>NC_000019.10:33490874-34115874 GCF_000001405.40 Homo sapiens
CTTGTCTCGAACTCTTGACCTCAAGTGATCCGCGTACCTCGGCCTTCCAAAGTGCTGGGATTACAGGCATGAGCCACTATGCCCAGCCTGGGCAAGGCATTTTAAATCACCATTTCTTTACCCAGAACTTCAGCTTGATGTCTAATTGTATATCTAAATTGAACACATTGGATCATCTATGACCATAATCATCTCACATAAGTTTCCCTTATAGCCATCAAGACAGTAAAGCAAAAAAAAGGGGCCAAGTGCTAAAGGAAATAACTATTTTGGTAAAAATCAATTAAGAAAAGAGAAAGGCTGGGCACGGTGGCTCACGCCTGTAATCCCAGCACTTTGGGAGGCCGAGGTGGGCAGATCACCTGAGGTTGGGAGTTTGAGACTGATCAACATGGCGAAACCCCGTCTCTAACAAAAAACACAATATTAGCTGGGTGTGGTGGTGCATGCCTGTAATCCCAGCTACTCAGGAGGCTGAGGCAGGAGAATTGCTTGAACCCGGGAGGTGGAGGCTGCGGTGAGCCAAGATCGCTCCACTGCACTCTAGCCGGGCAACAAGAGCAAAACTCCATGTTTGAAATGTTTGTTCTTCAGTGCCATAAAGAAATAGCACTTGAACATAAATTTAATTTATTTAGTAAGGCCATTTTCACTTCCTGCAGAAAGGGTACACTCTCCAGCAGTTTTGCCACGAGAGTTCACCAAACAAAGGAGACAGGGTCGTTTATAACCTGGCGTGTCCACCCTACTGCTGTGTCCGGTTTCCACTGCCTGGAACGGGACCCCACATTCTGTATTTGTCCCGATTGGCTAGCAACTTAGAACTTTTTAAAAGAGGCAAAGGTAGAGGGGGAGAAAGGAAGGAGGAAGTAACTTGTGGAATGCTGAGAAAGGTAAAAACACTTTTAAATAAGGAAGAGGAACAGGCTATGACCTTATGTTTGCTTGGACCAGTATAAGCACATCAGGGCAAATATTTAGGTTAAATTGTGGGAGCTAAAAACATAAAGTATATTGATTTCTTTATTACAGCTAGCAGATATTTAAGAATGTTAGCACAGGTCTTTGAATAAATTTTGCTTCTAAGAGAAGTTACTGTTTATTTCTAATTAGACGGGGAGGAAAGTCTTTGAAGAGAAACCTCTACTTTACTTTTTATATTCCATTTCAAAAAAAAAAAAAAAAAAAGACAAGAGGGAAGGGTCACTTTGGGGGGAAGGCTTGTGGACATGCCTCTTATATGAAACTCCCAAGCTCAAAGAAGTGTAAGAAAGCACACTTCTCTGAGAAATTCCAGAGAATTCTTTGGGGGCACACCACAGCTCAAGTGCCCCCAAAACCCTGCCGGCGTACCCAGAGCCCACCTCGCACCCCCCACCCTAGCCCAGGCCCTCGGTCAGTCACTGCGCCCCACACCCCTGCTACCTTGAGGGCAGACGCCCGGTGGTGTGGTTTTCAGACCCCTTTAACAGGGGAGACAGAGGGTGGGAATAAACTTTCTTTTTTCCTTTTTAAATTTTTTATTTTTAGTTTTCATGGGTAGATATTAGGTGTATACATTTATGGGGTACCTGAAATATTCTGATACAGGTATGCAATGTGGAATAATCACATCAGGATACATGAGCTATCCATCACCTCAAGCATTTATCCTTTCTGTTACAATCCAATTGCACTCTTCTGGTTATTTTTAAATGTACAATAAATTATTGTTGACTGTAGTCACCCTGTTGTGCTATCAAATACCAGATCTGATTTGTTCTACCTAGCTATATTTTGGTACCCATTAAACTGACTTTCTACATCCACAAATTCCAGGAGCTCAGCCTGACACAAATACATCTTCTAGCCAGGTTTAACCTTAGGAGTGGGTGTGGCGCCAGGCCCACATCCTCACGACAGGACACAGCAGGTCCCAGGGAGACTCAAGGATGGGGTCCCATAAACAGCTATTCAGACTGAGCAGGTATCGCTACTTATCACTGATGACCATTCCTCTTGGTTTATTTTTTTCTTTTTTTGAGACAGGGTCCTGTCTGTGGCCCAGACTGGAGCACAGTGGCGCGATCATACCTCACTGCAGCCTCAAACTCCTGGGCTCAAGCACGCCTCCCACCTCAGCCTCCCAAGTAGCTGGGACCACAAGCACATGCCACCAGGCCTGGCTAACTTTTTAATTTGTTGTAAAGACAGGGTCTTGCCATGTTGCCCAGGCTGGCCTGGAACTCCTGGCTCCAAGCGATCCTCCCACCTTGCCTCTCAAGGCACTTGGATAACAGGCGTGAGCCCCTGGACCCAACCCCTCTCCGTTTTTTAATCCTCCCCTATGGGCCCGACCTCTGCAGGAGAGGTGGCCCCCATAAAAACCCTCCCCAGAGCCAAGCACTGCCCCACCCCTGGACACCAGCCACTTACCAAAGTGAGGAGGACAGAGGGCTTCTGTGACGTCAGGACGCTGGCAATCTAGAAGGTCGGAAAGAAAAACCCACTTTAGAGGCACCACTAAGCCTAATGAAGATGACATGCCACCATTCCTTCATAATGACAGTGCACATTTATCAAGCAGATCATTAGAACAGGCGACGTGGGCGCTGCCCTCACCCTGCAGGTGAAGAAACCCAGCTTCCCCTGGTTGAAGGACTTCTGAAAGCCACACAGCCATCGAGGGGCAGAGAGGATAAACCTACACCTGGCTCGCTTCCCACCGCACCGCCCTGCTTCCAGGCACCACACAGATCCCTGGCTCCAAGCAGCCAGCCCTACCCACCCTCCAAGGCCAGCCCCTCTGCCCATCTGCAAAGTCCCTGCTCAAAGACCCGTCCCCCGGGAACCCTTTAGGCTCCAGGCCTACCAGCCTCTGGTTCCTAGGGCAGAAGACTCCCTCCCTGCTCCCCATTCAACCCCTAGACCCAAGGGAGTTGGCCTTCCCCAATCCCACCCTCTGGCCCCCACCCCACAGCCCACTCTCTGTCCCTCCACCATGACCCACTTGGACCTCCTGCCACTGCAAGCCAGTTACTTCCCGGCCCAAGCCCTTGCATCTGCATGCCGGGCCAGCTCCTCTCTCCACGCCTCTGCTCCAGCTCTTATCTCTCCCTGAGTGCCTTCTTCCCATCTTAGTGCCTCATCAATGTGCACTCAGGATGAAAGCCCCAGCCCCCTGGGCAGGTTCGTTCACTCCCTCCTCTACTGCCCCACTGACAGTCACCATTCCCCCAGCAAAGTGCCATGTGCCAACCAGCCTGCTGGGAGCAATTTCTTCCTCTGCCAGCCCCTCCTCCTCAGTCTGGCCTGCATCTTGGCTACTGCAGACCCTCTTGTTTCTGAGCACCCCCTGGGCAGAGAACAGTCTCATCTCCACAGCCCTCGCCTCTCCCCACACCCCTATCCTAACTCTTTACACCCGAAACGCAGGGGGAGAGTGAGGAGAACTTGTTGTTGTTTTAACAGCTTGATTGAGTGATCACTGACATACTCTATGCTGCCTGTATTTAACATAGACATTTTGATAAGTTTTGACATATGTATACATATACCTTTTTTAATACTGAGATGCCTCCCAAGAAAACCTGGAACGTATTGAAAACTATAAAAAGATAAAATGCACGTACAATCCTATCTCCAGAGACATTTTAGCTTTGCTCATAAAAACAGAGATCTGTAATGACATTTGGATCATATGAAATTACATGCTTCACTTATTTCCTGTCATTATATGTTCTTCAAACATGCAATTTTTAGCAGTCACTACCGCTGGGGACAGTAAACGTCCAGTAGGTCGCTGAAGACGGCCTGTGCCAGTCATCTTACACACAGCATCTCATTTAACCACACGGGGAGACAGTGCGGCAAACATGCAGGTTTCGCAAATGAGAATGGCTTACAGATTAGAGAACTTGCCTGAGTCTGGTTAAAAAATAACAGCGCAGCCCAGATTTGAACCTATGGCTGTAGAATACTCTCTTAATGGACACTACTCATTCCTCTACGGACACTTAAATTACATCTAATACACTTTGGGAGGACAGGGCAGGCAGATCACGAGGTCAGGAGATCGAGACCATCCTGGCTAAAACAGTGAAACCCCATCTCTATTAAAAATACAAAAAAAATTAGCTGGATGTGGTGGCGGGTGCCTGTAGTCCCAGCTACTCAGGAGGCTGAGGCAGGAGAATGGCATGAACCCAGGAGGCGGAGCTTGCAGTGAGCCAAGACTGCGCCACTGCACTCCAGCCTGGGCAACAGAGCAAGACTCCGTCTCAAAAAAAAAATTACATCTAATAATTAGCAATTATAAATAACGCTGTGATGAACATCCTCGCATACAAGTATTTCCTTAAAATTAAATGCCAGCCAGCCACAGTGGATCATGCTTGTAATCGCAGCACTTTTGGAAGCTGAGGCAGGTGGATCGCGAGGTCAGGAGTTCGAGACCAGCCTGGCCAAATGGTGAAACCCCCATCTCTACTAAAAATTAGCCGGGTGTGGTGGCACGTGCCTGTAGTCCCAGCTACTCAGGAGGCTGAGGCAGAAGAATCGCTTGAACCCAGGAGGCGGCAGCTGCAGTGAGCCGAGATCATGCCATTGCACTCCAGCCTGTTGGGTGACAGAGCGAGACTCTGTCTCAAAAAAAAAAAAAAAAATTAAATGCCTTTAAAACTGTTGGGTCAAAAGCCACAGACTTTGTCAAGGTTTACCATGCTCCTGGCCCAATGATCCTCCAGACATGTATCAACAATCTCCCGGGATCCTCCCTCATGTTACTGAGTGACTGCTTGGAGAATGGCTGTGTCCTTTGGCCTCAGTGTTGCAAAAAAACAAAAGGCTCAGCTGGGTGTGGTGGCTCATGCCTGTAATCCCAGCACTTTGGGAAGGCTGAGGCGGGTGGATCACTTGAGGTCAGGAGTTCAAGACCAGCCTGGCCAACATGATGAAACCCCGTCTCTATTAAAAATACAAAAAAATTAGCCGGGCTTGGTGACTGTAATCCCAGCTACTCGGGAGGCTGAGGTAGGAGAACCGCTTGAACCTGGGAGGCAGAGGTTTCAGTGAGTCGTGACTGCGCCACTGCACCCCAGCCTGGGGGGCAAGAATGCAACTCAGTATCAAAAACAAAAAACAAAAAAAAACACCCAAAAGGTTCAGCTGTGTCCCTACACACCCTCAGCCCCTCCTGAAGGAAGGGGAGACTTATTAAAAGGAACAGGGGTACACATGCCGGCCCTAGGTGTGTTGTTACGTTGATGTGAATGTTCTGCATTCAGCTGCACAGAAGGAGCCCGTCAATTACAGCAGCTGAATCAGAAAGCCAGGAGGCACTTGGGGATTGTATCTGCTATCGTCTTGGGAGGGAGGAGCAGGATAACAAATGTGTGGGCTGATGGTTTTTCTCCGGGCGACGACTCTCAGGACATGCTGGTTAGGAATAATGGAGGAGGGGAGAGCAGCCGTCTCCTTGCAGCCCGGTGCTCAGACAATCCAGGCCTGACTCTGAGAGCAGGCTGTGCATCTCCTAGTCCTGGCAGGGCAACATCTTTTATTGATCACAACTGCTTGAGTGGGCCCTGGTTACTTCTGCGGCTGCAAAAACCTCTCCCGACCTGGCAGCTCCACCCGCCCTTCCCCATGGAGACCCATTAGTGCTACGCTCTCATCAGCACACCCTGACTCCGTGCCTCAAATATTAAGGGAACACGACGCGCTGTGCGTTGCTGGCTCCCGATGTATCCCCAGCACACAAGACAGCACGGCTCTGTCAACTCAGGGCCTCGTTTCCACGGAGTGGTGGCCACTGGGGACCTCTCACACCCTGCGCTGTTAAATGACCCTGCCTTGCTTCATGCCAGAGCCAGCATCGATTTCTCCGGCAGCCCCCGGCCTCTCTGGCAGATGGAGCTGGATGGTCACGGGCAGAATTCATCAGAGCCCTGTGGGTGTACATCCTCCCCTGGGGACAATCAGAGGCTTCCCACGGACACCTCCTGCACTTTCCTAACCAGGGCCCAGACCAGGCCCGAGGGCCGCTTTTCGCAGGGTGATAAGCTGGACAAAAAAGCTGGATATGCCTTTGCCAGCGCTGGGAAAGCCTGCAAGGCTCCAGAGAGCTGGCTCTGCCCTGCAATCACTGAAGCTTTTGAAAATAAACCTTCTTTCGTGGCATTCTCCTCCAACAGTATTGCACGCTGGTGGCCTGCACTGCTTTTACAATTTCAAATTTGTTTCTCAAATGTAAACATCAGGAAACATCACCAACAGTCTGGATGTGTGGCTACTCCTGAACAATCAGGTTCCTGGAGCCATGGGCTCGTGGTCCCACAGCACAGTGGCCCCTGCTGACCCCATCGCTTCCGATGCCTGTCCCTGTGCTGCTGCGGTTGTCCTCTTACATCTGTCCTGCCTGTAGCAGACTTGGTGACCCTCGGACCTTCTCACATATGCCTGGCGCCATAAAGGGAAGCAAGTGCATGGAACGCACGCTTCACCTGCCAGCTCTCAGCCGGTGATCCCGCCAGCCTTTGCACAGGGCCTTCACGGCAGAGCCTCGGGGCCCCACTCAAGGTTCTGCTGAATGCCTCCTTCTCAGGGGAACTGCCTTCTCAATAAACTCAGGATCCTCTGTGGGGAGGAGGGAACCTCGGAGCCAGCTGTGCCCCATCAGACACCTGCATGGCATACATGCTATCACGTGACCAGCCATGGCACTGGAGGCCTTCCTGCCTTTTTTCAGAGGAGACAAGCGTTGGCTGTGATTTGTCACTGACAGCTAAGGCCACCCCAAGTGAGATGGGGCTGAGCACTGCAGAACCAGCCTGGGGACCCCTTCCCTGCATAAAGGGCTTCCTGTAACCTCCCATGATGCAACAGGCCCTGGGTACCTCAAGCAACCTGGGATACCTCCCAGCTCAGGGGGTTCAGTCCAGCAAGTCACACTTTTTGGCAGGCTCCCTTCAGAGCCACAGAAAATCAAAGGCACAGGGAGTCCATGTCGCCTCCACAGGAGTGTCCTACAGCAGCCCTCCTTTCTGAGGGGAAAGGGAGGCCTGGAGGGGAGGCCCCTGGCGTCACATCCCAGTACCACTCCCCTCCAGCTGTGGGACTGTGGACGAGGCCTTTCTCTCTGAGCCTCAGCCTCATATCTATGAACGGGGTGGGGGCTACGGCCCAGCACAGTCCCTGCCCCGCTGTGTCCCTCCCGCAGCGGGAGGGCCAAGGGGCTCCAAGAGAGCTCTAGTGTTACTGGAGCCCACGTGGGCCGCCCCAGCATGAAGCGCTTGCTCTGCTGTCAACGTGAGCCTTGTTCCCAGTAAAAACAGCAGCAGTAACAGTAACATCAACACCAATCTGCAATGGCAGTGGCGTTGACGGGGTGCGGTGGGGTGCTCCCGAACCCTAAAGAGATTCTAGCCTTTGAACTCTACTGAAGCCTCGACAATCTGCTTTGTATACGAAGACGAAGAATGAGCCGGTCTCTGTGCTGTCATTCTGTGCAACCATTAACAACTTCCCTGCCCTAACACTCAAGGTGGCCTGTCTCTTACTTTGCTTAGAGACCAGTTCTCCTTCCTCACCCCCAGAAATCACAGTAGACACGGAGCTGAATTTTCCCCCAGTTATAAAGACAAAAATGTCAGACAGTGGCTGGGGAGGCTGTGGTCCAGAGGTGGCTCGGACTCAGCAGCTGAGTCCAGGGCAGAGGCAGGTGCCGGTCCCACCACGGTCCTTGAGACAGGGTCCTGGAGGCAGGTGCCCATCCTGCCAGGGTCCTTGAGACAGAGTCCTGGAGGCAGGTGCCCATTCCACCAGGATCCTTGAGACAGGGTCCTGGAGACAGGTGCCCATCCCGCCACAGTCCTTGAGACAGGGTCCTGGAGGCAGGTGCCCATCCCACCAGGGTCCTCGAGACAGGGTCCTGGAGGCAGGTGCCCATGCCGCCAGAGTCCTTGAGACAGGATCCTGGAGTCAGGTGCCCGTTCCACCAGGATCCCTGAGACAGGGTCCTGGAGGCAGGTGCCCATCCCGCCAGGGTCCTTGAGACAGGGCCCACCCCAGGCTGCCCCTCCAGGTTTCACATCGAAGAGACCTGAAGGGTCAAGGTTTCAAAGGACAACAGTGTTAAGAAACAGTTTCTGGGGCAGGGAACACATCTGCCAAGGAGAGGGTCGGAAGGAAAACGAGAATGAAGGAGTAGGTGCCTCCTGCTCCACTTCTGAGACATACAAGGCAAGTGGCAGATGGTCTCATTGGGAGCATGCAAATAAACGTTCCGTCTATTTTAGATCCTGTACTCAACGGGATCAATATGATAGGTCACATGTGTATTGACAGAATCTTCAGATGTTAAGAGTCACCCCCAAAAGCTTGGGATTGAAATAACATAACATAAAGATCCATCAAAAGCCTCCTCTCTCCACAGTCCAACCAGGCAGAAGATGCTGTAGAGACAGGCCCCCGTGGCCCTGTAGAGGTGGGCAGTGCCCTTCACAGAGGCTCTTCCAGGGATCTCTGCCCAGGCACCACCACCCTGCGGTGACTGTTCACTCATGTGGTCACCTCCTGCACTGGACTGTGCCCTGGGCTGTTGAGGTCAGCCCTGGGTCTCGGCCACCTCTGATGCCCTACATGTCCCTGGGACTGGGCAGGGAAAGAGTGCAAGAGGAACGTCTGGGGAAAAAGAACTGGACGTTCAAGACAAATACAAGACAGTCAAGGGCAGGGTGCACATCAGAACACAGTCAGCGTCCATGGTGTCCACAACTTGGTCCTGAGGGCTCAGGGAAGGGGCACCAGTGTGGGCCAGAGTCTACAGCAGATACAGTGGCTGCTACAAGGCTGGTGCAAGGCCTCAAAAGATGGATAGGAGAAAGACAGAGAAATGGAAAACATATTCCAGGACAGCAGTACCGGGGGCAGGGCTGGGCACATGGTACTGGCCCACCTGCAGTCAAAGAGGGCTGGCCACCCCCGAGCTGGATGGGCCGGGCTGGGCCCCCACATGCTGGGCAGAGACAACTGGTCTCTCACAGCACTGTGTCTGGCCATGATCCCTGGGAACCTGCTTCTCACCCAGTGCCGTCATCTTCAACCAGGCTGTGTCCTGCCCAGGGGAAGGGGGAAGCTGCTTGGCCGCCAGAACTGGCTCCCCTGGCCACTTCCACACTGCAGCCCCGGCTCTTAGCATGGCCGACACATAATCTCTGTCTGGGGAAATGTGGCTACAGGATGGCCCTGTCCAAAGCTGATGCTGCCAGGTCCAGGTTGGACTCCCAGTGGCAGGCATTGACTTCTGGGTGCTTCACATTCTACACGGCACTGACCTGCACAGGACGTGGGGTTGTGACAGCGCCCAGGGCCAGAGCACAGAGGCCTCCTGTGTGCCAGGCAGTGGTTTAGTGTCAGGGCCTTTGGTCAAGTAGACCACAGGGGCTCCCAGCTGTGCTCTCGCCTCTGTCCCAGCCCTGCCCCACTGGCAGGAAGGAGAGCTGGAGTCGAGGAGTCAGGGCAGCCCCTTTGACCTGCCTGAACTTGGTTGGCACAGATTCAAAACCCCAAGAGGACAGCCACATGCCTACCCAGGCCACACGACACCTGCTGGACAACCCCACTGAGAAGTGGATTGAAGTCAGGGGACCTCCAATGCTACTCTACAAGCCTTTCACAGCCTCGGGCTTTTCTGACAGTGGCATCTGCAGTCAACCAGGGCTCGAGACACACGAAGACCCCGGCCCAGCCTTGTGGTGACTTAGACCGTGTGCCACCGCTGCAGGCAGGCCCGCCTCTCAGAGACACCTCATGTAATCTCAGCGGCCACAACCCAGGTCACCAGACACTTCTACCCACAGAGTCAGGGGCCTTCCCAGGCAAAGCAATGGCTCCGTAGAGAAGCCTGAGGCATGGGTTGCTGCCTACTCCTTCCAAATGGGAGCACCTGCGGCGCAGGGACTGGTGGCCAGGTGGTAGTGTCCCTGACATCCAGCAAGGTTGTGGCAGTGGAAGGAGAGGAACTCCAGGAGTGGAAGGCATGCTGGAAGCCCTGGGCTGCTCAGAGGAGGAGCCGGCTACCCACCTCATCTACGTACTGGACGTCGTCCACGGCATACTTCTCCTTGAAGTGCTCCTTGGAATGGATCCTCAAAGAAAAGCACAAGGAATATCAGGGTCAGGGCTTGGTAATGGCTCAGCATGGCCACCTTCCTGCCTGCCAAGCCCAGGCCATGGAGCCCCAGTCCCATCCCTATCACGGTCAGCACCCAGCACCCAGCACCCGGCACCGAACAGGTCGGCCCAACACACACTTGGAGGGCAAAGGCCATTAGGCCATGGAGTGACGGCTGAACCACAGCTGCTTTCCTCAGCAAGCCCCGCTCCTCCGTGACCCTAGCCACCTGCAGCCAGCCCCTGCAGACAAAACCCCTATCATCCCCTCCACTGCCAGAGACAGTCCACCAGGGCAGCCAGCCAGTGCACCCGTCCCTCTGTGGCATAAAACAATCTGCCTGCCAGGTCTTCATGGAGCATCTTTAAAGGAAAGTTTATTTTAAGGTCAGCCGCAGAATCCCAGCACTTTGGGAGGCCAAGGCAGACAGATCACAAGGTCAGGAGATCCAGACCATCCTGGCTAACACGGTGAAACCCCATCTCTACTAAAAATACAAAAAATTAGGGCGCGGTGGCGGGTGCCTGTACTCCCACCTACTCGGGAGGCTGAGGCAGGAGAGTCACTTGAACCCAGGAGGCGGAGGTTGCAGGGAGTCAAGATGGTGCCACTGCACTCCAGCCTGAGTGACAGAGCGAGACTCCATCTCAAATAATAATAATTATTATTATTACTATTTTATTTTATGTTCTAGAGACAGCATCTCGTTCTGTCACCCAGGCTGGAGTGCTGTGGCACAATCATAGCTCACTGCAGCCTCAAACTCCTGGTCTCAAGCAATCTTCCTGCCTCAGCCTCCCGAAGTGCTGGGATTATAGGCATTAGGCACTGTGCCCAGCCAAAAATTAGCATTTTTAGAAAGTCAGTATCAGTATTACTCAATGTGATGAGAAAAACTCAAGCTTATTCATTACCCCTGAAAAATCTGCCAGTGAGAAGACACAGAATGGATGAGGTTGGGCAGCCCTCGTCCACCTCCTGATGGGCCCTTTGGTCACAGCTGTGCTAGGCAGACCTCCAGCCTGGGTCCAGCAAGCCACCACCCCCAGGCTCTTGGTCAGGAGATAAGTCAATGTCTCTGTTAGTGACAGAGCTTACGCAAGGGGAAAGGAACACAAACTGCACAGGGGAGACACTGAGAGCCAAGTCCAATGACGCACACATACTCGGTCCTATGTCATCCCACACCTGGGCCCCACCTCATCACACGGGCTCTATCCCCAGCCGTGCTCCAGCCCTCCAGCTGTCTGTGACCTCACAGTGTTACAGTCACCAGGTGCTGGGTCCCAAATAGGCCTCAGACAAAAAAACAGCAGATGGTTTCTGGATGGTGTTTCCTGGGCTGTCAAGGGGTGGTGGTGAGGCAGGAGAATAGGGTCGGGAGGCGTTAGGGCTTTTTCATGCTGACTTCCTAGAACTAAATTGAAAGGAAAACCCTAACTTTCCACACCTAAGTAACAAAGGACCAGAGGCTGCTCCCTTTGCAAACCCCCCCTTTTTTTTGAGGCAGATGGGAAATTGAAAGTACCTCTGATTGCAAGTAGAGTCTTGGTTTGCAAAGAAACGCAACTTTGTAACTTCACTTTAGCCTCTGATTGGTTGCAGAAGTGAAGTTACAAAGGTTGCTTTCCACAACCAATCAGACTGATGGCAGGCCACCACTTCATTTACACCAGGCGAGCACCAAGTGGCCAATGGGAAACCTCCTGGGGGTATCTGGACCTGAGAAGATTCTGTCACTAGGCCTTGAGACTCTGCTCAGCCGGCTCCCACACTGTGGAGTGCACTTTCATTTTCAATAAATCTCTGCTTTCATTCTTTCGTTGCTTCATTCTTTCCTTTGTGTGTTTTGTCCAATTCTTTGTTCAAAATGGCAACAACCTGGACAACTTGCAGTCAAGACCCTCTACGGATAACTGGGGGGCGGGGGGGGGTGTTGTGGGTGCCAAGGATAATGTGCCTGGAGAACCCCACGGAACACGGTGGAGGGAGAGAACCTTGGGACTTGGAGGTGATGAACTTCACGAGTGAGCTCCTGAACTGGTGTCCTATGTGCCATTCTCAGCCTTTGTGACACTAAGGACCAGCATCACCTGCAGGAAACAGAATCTGCTCCTCTCTCTGAGTCCTCCACCACTTCCCTCCCCACCCAAACCAGGAAGTACTGGCCACAGGGCCCAGGGACGGCTGCAGGGAGCAACAACAAGGAGCACTGAGGGCCCGGGAGACGCTGGTCTCACCGTAATCAATGGACTGCTCAGTGCAGCCCACAATGCCCTTTGCTTTCTCTCCCTTTTGGCTTCTCTGAAATGATCACGGGGTATCAAGCTCCTGCTGTTAATTAAATTTGCATGATTCAGTCACATTCACTTGTGCATTTGAGACAGGACTCAAAAGTTAAATGGCCAAGGTCTGACACCTCCATTAGCACGGCCTCGAGCAGTTATGGGGCACGAATTGATGACGAGCGCCTCGCCTGGACTTCGGAGGCCCCAGACGCAGGGCTTATTGTGCAGCTGGCTCAAGGGAAGCCTACAGACCCTTTGCTACTGAGCAACCACACTCTCAGCACCGAGTTGACCCCACAGCCCGGCACAAAAGCAGGTGTCAGAAATACAAAAGGCAGGGCCATCAGCGAAATGCGTGGCTGGGATCAACACATCAACTCGGACTTTCTGGCTCCATAACAAACACCCTGCGTCCCTCAGTTGTTCCCAGCTCTGCCTCTAGCCCCCTCCCTTCATTGCCTCCAGCTGTGACAGGAGTGGAAGGCAACCTCACGGCAGAGTGGGGAAGTACAAAGGATCTGATTTTGAGGCCAGCGCCCTACAGAGGGGCATCTCAGCCATCAGTGTGGCACCTGACCTTGTCACTTCCACTCCCGTTATGGGCCTGAAACCTCCCAACTCACCCCAACTGTGCGGAGGGAAGCCACCAGGAAATGCATTCCCGCCCCTCCTGCCAAAAAGCGCCTCCCAAGCCAGAGGTCTGGTTCTCAACAGAAGAGCCATTCGACAGATACAACCTGAAAAGCTGCAAGCAGCTTTTCTGGCAACTGTGCATTGCATTCTCTTTTAAAGGGCAGAGATAATTAAGTTTAGATAGTACTTATTTTTCATGTTTGGGGGCTAATTATAGTAAAAACCATTTAAACGTCATCCTAAGGGATATGCGTGCCAGACTCCCACGTCAAACCAGCCACCGAAGGCTTGGCAGCCATGATTTGGTGGGGTTGATGAGAAAAGAAGAGGTGTGGCCACACAAGCCCTGCAAAGCTGGCTGGAGAGGCCCCTGAGGGGCTCTGGACTCCCTGAGGCCAGGCTGGCCAGGGCAGGAGGCAGCCACTCAGAGGGAGGGCCTGCACCCTGCCCTGTGGGGAGTCTGGGGTCCAGCAACGGTACTTCATGTCAGGCCCCATCGCATGGGAAGTCTGGATGGAAACAACCAGACTGGAGGCCGGGCACCGTGGCTCACGCCTGTAATCCCAGCACTTTGGAAGGCCAAGGTGGGCAGATCACCTGAGGTCAGGAGTTCAAGACCAGCCTGGCCAACATGGTAAAACCCTATCTCTACTAAAAATACAAAAAAATTAGCTGGGTGTGGTGGCTGTAATCCCAGCTACTCAGGAGGCTGAGGCAAGAGAATCGCTTGAGCTAGGGAGGTGGAGGTTGCAGTGAGCCGAGATCGTGCCATTGTACTCCAGCCTGGGTGATGAGATCAAAACTCTGTCTCAAAAAAAAAAAAGAAAAAGAAATTACTGGACTGGGGAGGATGGGTCAGCAGAGAAGCTGCTGTCACCCCACACACACTCCCCTCAAATGCCAAGGATAGCTTTGGGAGGAGAGAGGAGAAGTCCTCCTACCCAAAGGGGCTCTCGTCCTCCACAGGGGTCAGCATCCAGGGACCCCAGTTGGGCCCTGGCATGGATGAGAGAGGCCTTTCCCAGTCCCCGGAGTCAAAGCCCATGACTGCACACTCTGCAGTGACTGCCAGCAACTGTGGGGGCCACGGGTGGGAAGGAGACATTAAATTAATGCCACACAGTGCAGACACGAGGAGCCCTCTAGAAAATGAAATTTCAAAAAGCAGGTCTTGCTGGCTGGCTGACCACCTGCATGCGATTAATGAATAAGTAACAGGGCCAAATTACAGCCATCACCATCCATTTCCCGCGGCCCGGCCTGCCTTCAGCTACAAACAATGCTGCCTCGCCGACTCTCACTCTGCTCTCCACAGAAGGCAGCGGCATTTGCTCTGCGGTGGAAGCCGGCAGCCATCTGAGGATGTTAGCTGGTCAGAGACAAAAGCAGACCTCGCCACAGTGACGCAGGTGCCTATGCCCAAAGACCACTCCCGGAGCAAGCTTCCTCACAGGGGCCACAGAGGGAACAGCGCTGCCCGGGAGGCTGGAGACCAGGTCCAGTGACCAGGCCTGCCCAGGGTCAGTGCCTCAAACCACCCGGGCAGCAGCCGAAGGAGCTCCTCAGCCCCTTCTCAGAGGCCTGCACGGCAAAGAGGGCCCCCGACACCCTGCCAATCACAAGGAGCGTGGGAGGGAGGCACCAGAGAGGCTGGGGAAGCCTCGATCCTGGGGACACTTAGTGGGGCAGAGCTGGGAAAAACACACAACACACAACACACAACACACCCTCATCACAAACACCCTACACAACACACACACCTGCACACAACACGGCACACTCACACCCACCACACCCCATCACAAACACCCTACACATTATTTACTCACACACCCACACACCCACATACACCCTCATCACAAACACCCTACACACTACACACACCCACACACAACACAGCATACTCACACCCACCACACCCCATCACAAACACCCTACACACTACTTACACACCCACACATACCCTCATCACAAACACCCTACACACTACACACACACCCAATACACCACACTCACACCCACACCCCATCACAAACACCTTACACATCACTCACACACCCTCATCATACCCTACACACTACACACACAACACAGCACACTCCCACCCACCACACCCCCATCGCAAACACCTTACACACCCCTCAGACACCCACACACACCCTCATTACACCCTACACACACATCCACACACAACACAGCACATTCACACCCACCACACCCTACACAACACTCACACACCCACACACTCTCATCACAAACACCCTACACACTACACACACACCCACACACAAGACAGCACACTCACACCCACTACACCCCATCACAAAAACCCTACACACTACTCACACACCCACTCTCATCACACCCTACACACTACACACACACCCACACACAACACAGGACACTCACACCCACCACACCCCATCACAAACACCTTACACACCACTCACACACACACCCTCATCACACCCTACACACTACACACACCCACACACAACACACTCACACCCACCACACCCCATCACAAACACCCTACACAACACACACCCACACACACCCATACACACCCTCACATGCACCCTACACACCACACACACAGCACACACACACTTCCATCACAACCTACACACCACACACACTCCCATCACAAACACCCTACACACCACACATGCCCACTCACAACACAGCACACACATGCCCACACACACTCCCTCACATGCACCCTACACACCTCACACACCCACACACAACACAGCACACACACACTCCCATCACAACCTACATACCACACACCACACACACACCCATCACAAAAAACCTACACACCACACACACACCCCATCACAAACACCCTACACACCACACACACAAAACACAGCACACGCACACCCACATTCACCCCTCCTCATAAACACCCTACACACCACACACCCCCATCACAAACACCCTACACACCACAAACACAGCACATGCCCCCCCCACACAACATACTCTACATGCATCACACACCCCCAACATATGTCCTCTCCACATCACATCCATACGTACCCACCCCTCCACATGCACCACACCACACACAGGTGTGCACTCCATATGCACACACAGCCCCCCACACATACACCATGCATGTGCAAACCCTCCCACCATACCCGCATCCATCTCTCACACAAGATGTGGGTATGGCCCTGGGAAGGCTGAGCGCCCCTCCCTGCATACCCAGAGCCGGGGACGGAATGCGTTACAAAGGTTCCAGGAGGGTCCCCCGACCTGGTCAAACTGGCTCCCCAACTCTGGGCTCCGAAGCTGCCTGGGGCGCTGACTCACAGAGGCCCACAGCCAAAGCCACCCTCCACTAAGCCCAACTCCGATGAAAAATGATGGGAAATGCTCTCACATCAAAAAGACACCACACACTATTGTTAGCAGAGACTCTGAATAAAAATGCATTCAGAGCTACCACCCTCCCCATCCCAGAACAGGCCTGGGGTGAGGAGTGGGCCGGCTTCAGGCTGCCCACGGCCCCTGGCGTCTGCAACCCTGACAACAGCAAGACCGTTTCCACAGGAAGCGGCAGATCCTGCAGACGGGGGTGTCGTTTCCCTGGGCGACTTTGGATTGCAGTATCTGCCAGATGGATTTTCAAAAACCATCAGATAGGGACTCAAAAGGAAGCTGAGGAGCTGAAGGTCAAATGTGAAGTCTGGTGGGTTTTGCTTGCAAAGGCCAGGTACTCCCGTCAGCCTCGCTCCTGGTGCCCTATTGATTCCAGGAGCGGCTGGAAGCAGCCATACGCAATCAGATCTGGCCACTCCCCAGCTCCAGTCCCACATAGTCAACCCCGCCACCACTGCTCTGTTACAACTGAGCCTTCTCTCCTGAGGGCTCAGGATGTGGAGACTCAGACAGGGTCACTCCAGGACAGTGGAACGGAGAGGCCTGCTCGGGGTGGCTGTGGTAGGGAGCCAGGACAGCAGGACACAAGGCTCTACCTCTCAGCTATGGGGCCAGATGCCCCCTCGGGACCAAGGCTGCCTGATCTGACCTGCCCAGCATGTACACAGCCTTTTCCAACAGGGGAGACCCCTGTTGGAAACCCCTGGAAACCCCAGGTGGGGCCCTGTTTAGCCCCTGATCAGACCCTCCCTGAAGCTGTTTCTCCTTCTCTGTCCATCCCCACATCTCACAGAGGAGGCATCCGACCTGACTGCTGAGCTACTTCTCTGAGCAGTGGGACATGTCAACAGGCTCTGAGCCAGCAGTGAGGGCCATGAGGAGGCGAGAGGGCAGCCAGGTCAAAACTGCAGGTGTCACCCGGAGCCAAGGGTACCCTGGCACAGGGGCCCTCGCTCGTCCTGAGTCGTGCCCCTTGCAAGAAAGGCTGAGGCCACAACTCTGCTCTGGGTAGAGAGGGGATGCTGGGAGAATCCTCCTGCAGAAAGCAGACCTAAACTCTTCGTCACTGCTGTCCCAGTTACAACGGCTGGGGAATAAACGACTCCAACACTTAGTGGAGTGCAAAACCACCAATCATGTTCATGGACTCTGAAGGTCGGGAATTTGGACCGAGCCCCGAGAGGACAGCAAAGCTCTGCTCCACATCTAGGACCTCAGCAGATGGAAGGCTGGGCCTCATGCACGCTGGCGGCTGGTGCTGCTGGCGGCTGGGGTCCCCCTATGGGGAGTCTGCGCTTCCTCATGATGTGGCGGCTGGGTTCCCAGGGCAAGTACCCCATGGGAGAGAACCAGGTGGAAGCCACAGTGCAGTTTACAGTCTAGCCTCAGACGTCACACAGCAACACTGCCACATCCGTCATGAGGCCCAGACCTGGGACAGGCAGAAGGGAAATAGATGTCACCTGCAGACAGCGAGTGTCCAGAAACACTGCTGTGGCCATTTTTGGACAAGACAATCTGCCTCCTGGAACCATCCCTGCCTCATGTCAGTGTCAGAGATACAGTGGCCAGCACTGTAACTCCAGTCCTGGGGGGCCTCCAGAGCAGCATCACAGAGAAGGAACTGGAGCCCCAAACATGACCAGACCCACTTGCAAGCCCCACGGCCTCTCAGAAGCCACACTTAGCCAGCAGGCAAGCTCAGCCTCCAATTGCAGCTCCAGCAAGACCTGGCTGCAGGACCTGCACAGGTCACACCAGCACGCTGAGCCATCTCCTCTTTTGTAACAGGGCAGTCATAAGGATTCCACCGGGAATGGGATAAAGGTCGACAATAAAGATCACGACAGGATGGGAAGGCATTGTCAGGCCAGGGCCTCCGAGGGGCAGCCCGGCAGAAGCCCCAAAGGCAGTTGGCCCGGGTGTGTCCACTCCGTGCCCTTCTTCCCAGGGGCCGAGCCAGGAGACCACCCCCAGGAGAAACAGTCCCCTTTTCTTCTGCTGCCAATTGTGCTCCAGGCTGAGTCCTGCCCAGCAAAGATCCCAGTCTTGCCAGGCTGGGATCCTGCCAAGTGGCCTAAGAGCAGAATGATTACCAACTTGTAAGCCTGAACCCCTCTCCCTGAGACAGCAGGAGCAGCACACACCATGGCCAACGAAGGCAGAAACGGAGTCTGCACTGAAGGGAGGGTAGCACTGGAAGCAGGGGAAGCTCCACTGTGGCCCCAGTCCTCAGCAGAGAGCCCAGTCCCTGTGGCAGCCAGGGGCCTTGTCACTCAAACCAGCCACAGCCTCTGCAGCCCACCTGGTAATGAGCATTCTGGGGCACCAGGCAGCAAAGGCTGCAATTTATACATTAGCCCAGAATAATCACTCTCCAGGCGGAGATGACACGCAGTGAGGCAGCCAGCATTTAGCGGGATCCTCTGATCACCTCAAACCTCCCTGGTTAAGTACAGTGTCCGCCCTGGCACCACTGAGCAGGCAGAACAGCTCCTCGGCGGTGGGGAGTACCTGGAACAGCAGGCACCATGGAGGGTGGAGGAGGGTGCCCAGCAGCCCGAGCCTCTGCTCTATCTCACAGGTGAGCCGGGAGGGCAGGACCTGCGCTGCGTCCAGAGGAAGGCAGCAAATAACACACCCAGCATATCAGCGATGGGCCTCAGAGAGGCGGTTCCCCGATCCAAACCCAACCCACCACCCTCAGGCACGCACAGGGCCATGCCACACCTGTCGATGCCATGCAGGAGTGACGGCCTCGCAGGGCCAAACCCTCAGGCATTTTCACAGACGGAGAAGCTAGAATTTCAGGATTAACAAACTGCACTTCTAAACAAACAAGGCCCCCAGTTGACAGGGCTCTGATGAGTGGAGGAACACCAGGGTTCTTGGTCTCGAGTTGAATTAGAGAAAACGACATGGACACACGTGGAGTGGTTTTAAGGAGCGGAGAGTTTAATAGGCAAGAAGGAAGGGAGAAGACAGAAGGAAGAAGCTCCTCCATATGGAGACAGAGGGAGGGGGGCTCCAAAGCCAAAAGAGGAGGTCCCCAAGTGCAGTGGACACCAGCCAAGTATATATGCAGAGGCTGGAAGGGGCGATGTCTGATTTACATAGGGCTCAGGGGATTGGTTTGACCACGCATGTTATTCACATAGCCCACTAAAAAGCTGGCTCTCCCACCCTAGTCTTTTAATATGCAAATGCAGGGAGCCATGGATGTTCTACACATGTGGGGATATTTGGGGATGTTCTACACATGTGGGGCGGCCATGTTGCCAGGAACATGTGAGGCAAGGGTAAGAAGGCCTTGGGAATTGCCATGTTGGGTGGACCCAGTTTCTAATGGCCTGCATTTGCATATCAAAGGTTGCCGGCCTGGCTCTAGGAGCTGGGGCTTTACCAGAAAACTTCCCAAGGACCCCTTTTCCTCTCTATCTACCTAAAACAATTTCTCAATAACTCCTACCACACAGTCATACTCCAGCTCTAACATCCCTTCCCAGCCAAGGGTGCAGGGCTCTGGCGAGAGGCAGGCTGTGACAGCCCTGACCGCATGCCCTTCCTCCTGCAGCTCTTCCCTCCTCCCCGTCCCCAGGCCCAACCCAGCTCTCTCATCCCACCTCCCCTACCCACCCCCAGCCCATGGTTGGTAGCCATGGTGCCCTGGCCAGGCTGCTCCTTACTTTCCCATCCAGGTGGCATGGCTGGCAGGAAGCCTGGGCACAAACAGGGTCGACTTCCCAGTGTCAACATCGATGACACCATAGCAGCCTGGCTCAGTGACACCGAACGCCCAGTGAAAGAAGGACTCCTGTGGCGGGAACAAGAACTATTGTTAGCCAGTGGAACATGAGGTGCAAGGAGGGACCGGTGGCTGCATCACAGCACCCTAGAGAGCCAGCTCAGACCGACAGCCTCCTGTAACTGACCCCAGCCCCAGACATCCCTTCCCCTCAGCACTCGACTCCCCAGCTCATCCTCCCGTAGTTTGGCAGGGGGCAGCCTGGCAGCTCCTCTACCCTGCTGGGAGCCCTCCCTGATGCTGTGTCAGGCATGTGCCTGAGTCCACCTGTATCCCCACCCCCGGGCCCACAACAGGGCGTCCAGCAGCACCACACGTCCAGCTCAACCCTGCCTCTCTGCCACGTGCAGGCAGGCAAGACGCCCCCCGGATTCTGACGCCCAGGCCGGATATCTGCACAGAAATGGATTCCTCCATTTAAGACTTCTTACTTCCCTCTCCCACCCCCGGGACGGCTGATGACTTCAGTGTTTAGGGATGAATGCTGCGCTAAAAGGACGTCATAAAGGTATGGTGGAGGAGGATCTCTTCCAAAATTAGCCTTGCATACCATCAGAAAGGGAGCCAACAGCTGAATTTAGGAAATCGGTTTTTAAGCCGCAGAGTATTTAAACCTGGAGAAGCATCAAGACTAGCCAGAGAAAACTTATTTAGACCTCCATGTTTCTCACAGCCATGGGATTGCAGGCTTGCAGCTGCGCGAACAATGGAGTGGAGAGACGGGACCCTTCAGGCAGGAGGTGCTTTTAGTAAAGAAAAAACACAGTCTGCGGTCGCTCAGCAATGGGTCTCAGCCCATCTGTGGCCTGCTGGGGCGACAGGGTCCAGCTAGGGAAGCCACGCCTTCCCATATCCTCTCCACACTCAGCTCCCCTTCGCATTCCCATCTCTCCTCTTGCCAGGATGCTGCATGGACACATTCCCTAGGCTCTGCCTGCCCCAGAGAGGTTCTGAAGTTCCTGCTGTGGTCAGGCTCCAGCTCTGGGCATGGCAGCGGGGAGAAAACAGCACTAGATTTAGAGTTGGAAGACAAAGTTCTAATCCCAGCTCCACCTCTTGGCAAGTCATTTCCCCTCTGAGCCTCAGTTTTCTCATCTGCAAAATGGGTATAATGCTAAGATGTGTGAAAGTGGGCCCAGCTCAGAGCCTCACAGTCTTCCTGGGTGGGTGTCCTCATGTTCCTGTGCCTGGGGACTGAGTGCTGCCAGTGACTCTCAGCCATGGCCACCATGGCCAGGCTGGTTTCCTGCAGCTGGGCCACCCGCTGCCCCACATCTTCAAGTTCTACATCTTCAAGGAGCCCCTGGACCACTTCCCAGGCGAGGAAACAGAGGCTCAGGGAGGGCCACAAGGGGCAGCACTGGCCAAGCTGGGGCCTCCAACTCCTGCTCAGGACAGCAGCACCATCACACACCTGCTCACTTGTGGCCAAGCGGGGAGGCTCACCTGGCGGAAGAGGACCCCGGTGTCGGTGCAGTAGCGCTGAGTCTCCTCCCCGCCCTGCAGGACCACGATGGAGCCGGCCTGCACAGCAGGGTTCTTCCGCAGCCGCTCACACAGGCGCTGCCGGTTCAAGGCAAAGAGCGCCAGCGGCACCTTCAGGGTTTCATTCCCCAGCCAAAACGAGGGTCTGCAGAGGCAAGAGCACACACCGCCACACAGGCCTCTGTTAGCATCTCCAAGCATGCCCACACCTGAGGTCGGGGTGACCGGAGGCCCGAGCCTGCCGTGGGACCCCCATCAGCACGGGGCAAGCTGCCCAAGCTCCACCTACTTATGACCCAGAAACAGCCCCTCACTGATCCCCCTGAGGACCACAGGGGCTTGTCTCCCCTCCACCACCCATGCTGTCCTGACTCCACCCCCCTGCTCCTCTGCCCCCCAACCAACTGCACAGCAGGCCACAGTGACCCCACGCTCCCGAATCTGCAGCAGGTCCCCAGTCCTCACTGGCCACTTGGTGCCCATGACCCTGGGGGCCACTCTCTCTGCGGAAACCTTCTCCAACAGCAGCCGGTCCAGGCTCCCTACCAGGCAGGCCCCTGGCTCCCGGCTCAACCTCCCTGCTAGAGGCCAGCTTGGCCCAACCCTGGGGCCTCTTCCCTAACTGGCTCCCTCCCTCAGCTCAGCTGAGCTTACCCAGTCCTTCAGCTCAAAGGACCATCTGCATCTGCAGACTGATGATGTCCAGCTCCAGACTCACAGACCCATCAGCCACCCTCAGCAGGCAGAAGATGCACCTGAACCAAAGTCGCTCCTCCCCAGCCTCCCCCGACACAAAGCACCTGCACCTGGACAGTCCCAAAGGCCATCCTGGCCTCCTATCTCATCCCACCTCCTGGCCACCAGCAAGGTCTACCCTCATTGCACATCCCCATCCCCAGGGCCACCTCCCCATGTCCCGTCTGGACAACTGCAGGCAACTCTCAACGGTGCTCTTGGCCGCAACTTCCCCGTGGCCTGGTCTGCACCTTCTGCCAGAAGGGCCCTTTCAAAATGCCAATCCCAGCACACACTCCCTGCCCAACCCCGTGCCAGCTGGCTTCTCTGAGTGCAGACTTCACTCCCCAGCCACAAGGGATCCAGACCCCCAGTTCACCCTTGGCTTCCTCTACTGTGGCACGGGCATCCTCG
Source organism: Homo sapiens (assembly GCF_000001405.40). Taxonomy (NCBI): domain Eukaryota; kingdom Metazoa; phylum Chordata; class Mammalia; order Primates; family Hominidae; genus Homo; species Homo sapiens. The sequence goes on from NC_000019.10 coordinate 33,513,781, forward strand.
CTCTTCCCTAAACCCCCAGAACACTCCAGCCTTTGCCGCTGCGGCGCCCTGTGGGGAATGCTCTTCCCAAGGGCATCCCATGCCCTTTTACCCAGCCTCTGCAGAAATGCCCCTTTCCTACCCACCCCAGCCTCTGCAGAAATGCCCCTTTCCTACCCACCCCATCCCCCAGCTCTCTTCGTGTCTCTCTAGAGCCCCCATCACTCTTCATTTATTTGTTTGCTGGCCCTCCAGGTAACATGTAAGCTCCCTGAGGGCAGGGACAGAGCAGGTGTCGGTATCTATGGAATGAATGAAAAAACGGATGGTGGTCCCAGCAAGCAGGCTGGAGGCCGGGTGTGGAGAGATAATGGGGATGAGGTGGAGGAGGAGTAAGCAGGGGCAGGGTGTGCAGGAGGGAGCCCCTGCGGCTCTCCAGCCAGGGGGCAGTGGGTGGGCACGGAGGTCAAGGAGGCAGGGACATCCCAGAGCTGGTGCGAGCAGAGAGCTCTGCCTGGGGACTGCAGTGAAGCTGTGGATGAAACCTGCCCTCACAGCACAGCACGGTGAAGTGGTCTGGGGCACCTCACACTCACCTCACATGGGACCCTCAGAGGCCCTGACCCTCCTGCCAGGGTCACATGAGCAGGTCACACCTCCTGCACATCTTGGCTCCAATACGACCTTTTCCGGATGGTCTTCCCCGGCCTCCCTCTTTGAACCTGCAGCTCTTCTCCTTGCCCAATCCCCTACTAGTCCCTGGCCTGAGGTTTCCCCACTTGCCCTCCAGATACACCCCCCTGCACTGTGCCCAGAGGCCAACCTACCCGACCTCCTCAGCATGCACGCTGCCTCCTGTCTCCAGGCGCACTGAGCCAACGACAGGCACATGAGGCTGGGGTCAGGAGGAGAGGGAGGAAGACAGTGGATCCACTCCCCTGGCTCCCTCCCTGGGGACCCTGGAACTAAATGGCTGGGGGCACCCCTCCATCCAGGGCCGCTGCTCTGATGACAGCGCCCTGCCCCACAGCACAGCCCCTGCTGGGTTTCTGACCAGGTTCCCCACTCTTCTTTCCACTGTCTTCCTCCCTCTCCTCCTGCCCCTAGCCTCATGTGCCTGCCTTCCCTTAACGTTCGCACAGCTCTGTGTATCGTCCCCTCTCTCAACTCTCCTTAGTGGCCCCCTGGAGTAAACTCCTAACGTGGGGCCAGGTCCCTGGCTAACACAACACTTAGCACACAGCACCTTCCAACCTAAACGCAGCGGGTGCTGCCTGGTGCTTCCTGGTGTTCTCCGGCCCGCCGCCTCGGGTGGAAACACTGGGAGATGGAGCTCCAGGTTGCCTCGGTCACTGCCGTGCCCTCGCCTGGTGCCTTGCCTGACACACAGCAAACGCTCAACACATATCTGCTGAATGACACACGGGGCCACACACACAGCTGTGGGATGAGAAGATGCCACATCAGCCGCAGCAGGGCAGGAAGCAGCCCTGGAGTCCCAGCCTGCCCAGGAAGGGTGGAGGGTCAGAAGCAGCCGCACATGCTGACATGACTAGAGCCCCGCCCGCTCCCCCACGTGCCCTTCCTACCCTCCCAGGAGGGTGAGCAGGTGGCTGGGTGGACACCAGCGGCCAGAGCTTCCTCTGGGCTGGGGCTGCTTTTCTGCCACGCTCAGCCATTGGGATGAAAGGGCAGAGGGAAGTCGGTGAGAGTTCGTAAACATGACCACATCCCAGATGGCCATGCTGTCAGGAGCTAAAAGTGCAGTCACCAGCACCTTGTGCTCGGATATCCCCCATGGCCTCCCACGCCCTTTCCCTTCACTCAGGAAAGCCCATGGTGGGATGGGCACAGAGGCAAAACTCGTCTCTGCAGAATCCCCAACAGCTTAGGGGCAATGACACCGAGACCCTGCTATGGACAGCCTCAGCCACAGTCGTCGAATAGCATGACCGGCCGAAAATGCCCATCCTCAGCCACCAGCCTGCATAGCCCAGCCCAGCCCACCTCTCCCACACTCCCCTCTCCCTGCCTGGCCACACTCCTTAATCATAACAGGTGCTGGCTCCCCATGGCCTGACACCATGCCCCCACCTGTAATGCTCACAGAAGGGCTGGCCTTCCCCTTGTTCAGAACCTTCTGAGAGACAAATTTCTCAGGGCACCCAGACTGGGATCCCAAGGGCTGAGCAGAAAACTTGATAAGCCACCTTCTCCTTGAACACTCAGCTGCCACTGCAAAGAAAATCTACAACCATGCTTATTTCTCCATGGGGCTCCGCCAGAACAGAACCCACCCTGTGCAGGGCTCTGAGCATAAGAAGGGCTAGCCTGAGCCACGAGGCAAGGCAATATGCTACAGTCATTAATTACAGGACACCAAGTAATAAAGTTTTATAGAGACATGCCCTTTGATTTCCCATGGCATAAACCAAGCCCCCAGAGAGACTGTCAGGCTCAGAGTCAACACAGACGAATTCTTCCTGCAAATTCGGCAAATGTAGCACCAACAAAACATCTCTAACAGGTTTCTGCTGCAGCTTTTGTTAACTGGCACCCAGAATTTAAAAGGCAAAAGCCATTATCATCCCCAGGTCCCAGGGTAAATAAGCCATGCTTTGCTGCAGACAGACAAGGCACAAGAGCTCCAGGGCCTCAGAGACCCACAGAACAAGTCTCTGAGCCCCAGAGGCCAGGACCCCCGCTGCCCTGGAAACAACCAAGACCCAGTAAGCAGCCCAGGACCAAGAACGGAGTGACCAAGACTGAGGCCAGTCCTCAAGGAGGGTATGATGCCACTGCCCCCACAAGCCGTCTCTGTCTCCACACAACCCACACCCCCGTATCAGTACTGGGACACCCTCTCCTCAACAGCCACGTGCAGGGCTCTTACCTAAGGCCTAGGGACCCCCAAGGATTCATCCTCAAATTCAGGGGCTCCATCTACTAGATGGGAAAAAGCTGTACCTTTATTTTCTCTAACCTCCAATTCGAATTTACATTTTCTTCAGTTATTAACATAAGCAACAAACTACTCAGTGTCAGCAATGCATGTTAATCTGTCACCAACAAAAATCAAAGGTATTTTAATACCATGTTATTGCTCTTCCAGTATCTCAAAATATCACTTTTGCTCCCCACAACTTCAAAGTTAAAGTAGTTGGGCCAGGCGCAGTGGCTCATGCCTATCATCCCAGCACTGCGGGAGGCAGGAATTCGAGACCAGAATGGGCAACATGGCAAAACCCCCATCTCTACCGAAAACACAAAAATTAGTCAGGAATGGTGGCTTGTGCATGTGGTCCCAGCTACCCGGGAGGCTAAGGCAGGAGGAACGCTTGAGCACTGGAGGCGGAGACTACAGTGAGCTGAGATCGCAACACTACACTCCAGCCTGGGGGACAGGGCGAGACCCTGTCTCAAATTTATGTAACATTTTGATACCTGTATTTCCATATAATTGGGTTTTACTTTTGTAATATTATGTACTTATTTCATACATTTAAAAACATTATGCCAGCCAGGTGTGGTGGCTCATGCCTATAATCCCAACATTTTAGGAGGCCGACATGGGCAGATCACCTGAGGTCAGGAGTTCGATACCACCTGGCCAACATGGTGAGCCCCTGTGTCTACTAAAAATACAAAAATTAGCTGGGCATAGTGGCACACACCTATAATCCCAGCCACTCGGGAGGCTGAGGCAGGAAAATCACTTGAATCTGGGAGGCGGAGGTTGCAGTGAGCCAAGATCAAGCCACCGCACTCCAGCCTGGGTGAAAGAGCAAGACTCCGTTTCAAAAAAAACAAAAAACAAAAAACAAAAAAAAACCTGATGCCGAGAATGGTACGTAGGTTTCACTGATGCCCGTGGGGTCTACCGCACAGACAAGGAAAGATCTCTGCACTAGAATGTGGAGCCACTGGCCAGGTGCGGTGGCTCACGCCTGTAATACCAGCACTTGGGGAGGCTGAAGTGGGTGGGTCACGAGGTCAGGAGTTTGAGACCAGCCTGGCCAACATAATGAAACCCCATCCCTATTAAAAATACAAAAAAATTAGCCAGGCATGGTAGTGGGCACCTGTAATCCCAGCTACTCGGGAGGCTGAGGCAGGAGAACCACTTGAACCCGGGAGGCGGAGGTTGCAGTGAGCCGAGATCGCGCCATTGCACTCCAGTGTGAGACTCCCTCTCAAAAAAAAAAAAAAAATGAAATGTGGAGCCACTTCTAGACAGGGTCACACCGCTAAGTTCCCAGTAGGAGAGGCCAGCCAAGGACCAGCCACCTCCTCCCCTCAGCCTCCAGCGTGGGGCCAGGCACCAGACAGATGCTCAGGCAGCCCACTGGGCACCAGACCGTAAGCGCCAGGCTGGAGAGGGTTGCCACGGCGGAACAGGACCTCGAGGCAACTGGCCAGCAACCTCCACCTTGCACCTCTGTCTCCTGGGGCGGATAGGGGTGCCAAGCATACACAGAAACCAAGAGACAGCTGTGTGGAGTCAGGACCTGGGGAAGAGCCAGGGAAGGCACAGGGATACTCAGTGGCCAGCCTGCCTCCCATAGGCCCACCCGTCCCTAGCCCCCAGTCGGCCTGAGTCTTCTGCTCCTGGAGCACAAGGTTCACATTGTGGGGTTGGGCTCTTGACCCAGAATGTGAATTCTGCAGAAGACTCTCCAGAAGAATGCTGACTCCAGTGTAACCTACGGCTCAACAGGGGTACACGTCCAGGGCAGTTCACCTTTGCCTCTTTTTGGCTCTGCAACAGCTCCTGGGAGCCACTCAGTTAAAGAATTAAGGCTATTTCTTCATCCTACCCCTCGGAATTCTGTCCCCATTCCCCACCATGACTCCTTCCCTCAATCACTGGGAGTCTCCCAGGAAAGCAGGATGGGATGCTGGACTAATTTAGAGTAAATCCCCTTTTCATTCATTTCACCAAGCACCAATCACAGGGCAGCCACAGACTGGCCCTGCGGATACAAAAGAACCCCAGGGGTTCTAAGGATGCTAGGAGAGGCATGAAGGGAAGCAACTCCTAACCCACAATGGGCAGACGTGTAAAAGTGTACTGCTGGGGAGAAAACTGAGTGTTCTGGAGTTCTGAGCACTAAACCTTTACCCGAGGGCTGGGAAAGGCTTCTGGGAAAGGGAACCATCTGAGCTGGGCCTGCAAATACGTGAAGAATCATATAGAGGACAAGAACATTCCAGGGCTAGTTGGGTGAGTGTGCAAGGGAAGAAGGGAATGGAAAAAGCCATGTGGGAGAGCAGATGCAGACAGGTCTGGCTGGAGCTGACAGATTTCAAATTATCAATCCTGTCTGTGGAAAGCTCAAAGCATTGCTTAAGGAGACAGCAGCAGTGCCACCAAGTGCCATGGGATAGGGACCCCTCTCCATGAGGGGATGGGAGGTGACCTCAGCGCACTCTGTCTCAACCTGAAGCCTACACCCAGGCTAGCAAGAGAAAGTAGGATCAACCCTGAAACACCCCACATCTTAAAAAGAGAGATGCATTCAGAGTAGATTCTTGAGTTTCAAATTAAATCTGAGATGCTAGTTTAGGGCTTCCCCTACTCCCCAAATCATATGGGGCACACCCCAGTCACCTGGAACTCTCATGGACCCCCTCTGTCCCAGGCTCTGGTAGGATTCTACAGACAACCAAACCCAACTCCCAGTGAGCCCACGGCAATGGCCGTGACTTGCTGGCATCATGCCTCGTTATGCCTGACTCTATGATCTGTTCTGTGAGTGTGGCTAGGAGCTGAGCTTTGCGGGAAACACACTTAATCATTCTGCTCTAAAGGAAGCCACTGGGGTCAACCTCAGGCTCAAAGTACATGGGAAAGCCCCATACCAGACTGGGATGGCTCTTCCCAAGGAGACTGCCAGGCTCTGGAAGCTCCCACACCCTCTCAATAGCAGACCTCTCTAAGACCTGCCACTCTGTTTTGCCTCCCTCACCCACCCTGTGTGGTGGCCCAGAGAATCGGTTCTGCTAGAAAAGCTCTCATTCTGGGGCCAGGCGTGGTGGCTCACACCTGTAATCCTAGCACTTTGGGAGGCGGAGGCGGGTGGATCACCTGAGGTCAGGAGTTCGAGACCAGTCTGGCCAACATGGTGAAACCCCATCTCCACTAAAAATACAAAAAATTAGCTGAGTGTGGTGGCACACGCCTGTAATTCCAGCTACTCAGGAGGCTGAGGCAGAAGACTCGCTTGAACCTGGGAGGTGGAGGTTGCAGTGAGCCATCATGCCATTGCACTCCAGACTGGGCAACAAGAGCAAAACTACGTCTCAAAAAAAAAAAAAGAAAGAGAAAAAGAAAAGCTCTCATTCCAGGATCCAGTCAGTTCCAGACTTGCTCCCGTCCAGACATCAGCTTGGTTCCTTCAGGAGAGCAGCAGGTCTCAGGCCAGCTTGGAATCCTGAACCCAAATGCAACCCCTGGCACTCCCTGTGAGCACCGAGCCAGCCTAACCAGAGAGACAGCACACCCACAGCTGGGCACCAGCCTGCTCAGTCTACCCTTTAAAAGGGTCACAGGCTGGATTCAAGGATCTGACCCTGAGTTCCTTGACACCCATCTGAGACTTTGTCTGCACTGTTCTCTACCTGAAGGGAGTCTCATTGCTGAAGGACTAGCACAAAAGTCACCCAGGAAGTGAAGCCTTCCCACACTTTATCTGAGCTCAGAGTCCATGCCCCTCCTTTGCAAATGGCAAGACCACACGGCAAGCAGATGGATGACAGAGTCCCATGTGTCCATCTGTTCCAGTGGCCTGTGAGTACCTTAAGGGAAGACCCACTGCTATTCCTGGAATATAGCAGGTGCCCACAAAATATTTGATTTGTATGCTCTAAGCTCCCTCAACCTTGGGGGCCAACTTAGAACCCACTTTCTGTTGCCATTTTCCCTGTATCTTAAAAAGAGAGATGCATTCAGTCCACTAGATCCCCCATTCTGACCTCAGTTTCCAACCTGGCATCTGGAATACTGCTCCCTCCTACACCATGCCCCCTCTACCCCACTGTACCACCAGACCCACACCTTCTCCCATTGAACTCACACATAGCTCAGGGGAGCCTAATCTTTAAAAAACAGATCAAGCAGCTTGTAACAAAACCCTTCCAGCCCATCAGGGCAAAGTCTGAAGCCGCCACCTGGAACACCACACCTTCCAACCAGCCCCAGGCATGCACCCCTGTCCCCAGAACACTCTGAACTCTCAACCTTTGTCCCTTACCCTGGGCTCAGATGCTCCCTATCTGGGAGATTCCGCCCAACGCTCTGGTGAACCCATCTGTCCACCCTTCCTCCCACTACGACCACTCAGCTTTCTTTCATTTAGCCCAGTATGGAGCACCTACTGTGTGCAAGGCACCGGGCTACTGAGAAGCAGGTAACATACCTGCCCTTGCACTCTAAATGCAGAGAAGATAAAGAACAAGTACAAACAATGCTCTATATAGTTTATCAGGTGATGATGAGGGCACAAAAAGTGGGATAGATGGTTAGAGAAGGATTCCCTGAGGGGGTGACATTTGGCCCCTGAAAGAAATGGGGAAGTGCCCTGCTGGGAAAAGGGAATTCCAAGTCCGTCTCGAATACCGCCTCCTCCGGGAAGCGCCCGGGTCCCTGGGGTCCTCGCAACGCCGCCCTCCTACCCGGGGGTCTTGGCAGCGAACATGCGTGTCGACCCCAGCCCCCACCGCAGCCGCACACGGTGGGGCCGCCAGACGCGGGCAGGTGGGGCCGGAGCCAGCCAGGAGGGTGGAGAGGAGCTGCGGCCCCCGCGCTGACCCTGACTCGGAGCGTGCAGCTCGCCGACCGGCGCTGGGACTCCGGGCCAACGGGAAGAGGCGCCTACCCGCGGCATTCAGCGACCCCGGCTGACGCTCTCACCCGCGGTCCGGCCGGGACACCCATGCCCCTCTCCACGCCAGCGGGAAAGAGCGAGGGAGGCGCAGCACTCACCCGGTGGCCGCCGCCATGTTCGCCCGGCACCGGCGTCACGTGAAGTGCGGCGTCAGCTGAGCCCCTCCGGGTGCCAATGCATGGGGCGGGGTAAGGGCGGGGCAGGGGGCGGGGCATGGAGTCCTTGACCCACCTCCTCCAGAGCCAAATTCCACGGGACGGGAAGGGGCGGTACCTGGGGAAGGGCGGAGCCCCGATGGGGCGGGGCTCCCGGAGATTGGGGGCCCAAGAGCTCGGCCAGGATAAATGAGCGGGCTGCCGGCTGCAGACAGTAGGTCGGGTTAGCGGGCAGCATCTGCAGCCTTTTCGTGGTGGGAGGGAGGTCCTGAAGCAGAGGACATCTTGATTCTGGTTCAGTCCCCGATCTGGCGTACCAGCCCACCCGGGAGAAGAACACATAGGAATAAAGAAACCACGTGGGAGGAGAGGAGGGAGACTGACCCAGGCTAGGGTCGGGGCAGAGGTGGCGATTTTTGTTTAAGAAGGGAAAGGGCTTGAGCAAAGGCCGTGGGGCAACTGGAGGACTCTAAATGTGCAGCGTCCAGGAGAATGTGCGCGAGAGAGGGGCAGCCTAAGGGAAGCAAGGGCCAGACCCTGCGGGGCCTCCACTGTGGGGCCTATGAGTTAAGTCTGGTAGGATCTTTTCTAGGTTTCCTGGGCTGCAGAATGGAGAAGCTGGAGGAAGGGAAGCCAGGGAGGAGGGCAGGCGAGAAGTGGGCACAGCCGAGAAGGGTTTAGGAGGGAGAGTCTGCCAGAAGGCTTACTCCTCTGCCCCACTGGGCACTGGTACTGGGTGCAGAGTCCTGCAGAGAAGGTGTAGGGACCCTGCAGCAGACGCTGCCCTCCCTACTGCCAACAGAGTCAGGGCATTACAAGCACGGCCCAAATGCGTTGCACATGTGAGCTCATAGAAACCTCACCACAGCCCTATGAGGTCGAGACTATCTTTAAGTCTATTATACAGATGAGGAAACTGAGGCCAGAGAGTGCTCACACAGAGGCTGAGCTCATGAAGCCATACCCTGAGGAGTGACCTCACTGCCCCTGTGAAGGAAGGGGGCCCCACACTGTTGGGGGAGGGCGTCCCTGGCGCCAAGGGTGTACAGATGTGTGTGGTGTACAGATGTGTGTGGACAGGTGGATGGGTGGCCCAGGATAGGCGTGTGGGGCTCCTGACCCCACCCTGCAGCTGTCCCACAGCTGGAAGTGGCTTCTGATCAAAGGTTGTGGGTTGGGGGATGCTTCTTGTTTCTTTATCGAAACAAGGATGTGGGTCACCATGGCCAGGCTGGTGGGAGCCAGGGGCTATGACTGGAGAAGCAGCTTCTGTTTGTCCCCATGAAGCAGGGAGGAGAATAGGCCCCTTAAATAGGAGCAAGGGAGCCAGCCATAAGCAGGGTAGTGAAGGGCACGTGGCACAGTTACCTGGAAGCCCAGTACCATCCCTGCTGTCCTCATCTGTCAGGAGAGAGCTAATGGGGCCACCTCACAGGGCTGCTAGAGGGTTTTACACTCAAACCTGCAGGCACAGCCAGAGACCAAAGCTGCCAGGAGGAATGTGGCCCCTCCAGACAGCCCCTCCCACCTCCCGGTCCCAGATAAGGAAAACGAGAGCTAATGGAAGAGGGGGGGCCTCATCCCTTCTACCCCTTCCCACAACACATGGACAATTTGCAGGGGTCCCTGACCTCCAGGCAAGGTCCAAGAGGAGCTCTCTCCACCCTCTTGCCAGTTTCCAGGAAGAAGAACAGAGGTAAGGATTCACACCCCACTGCCTGGCCTAGGGGCCCCTGAGAACTTCTAACACCCCTAGTTAAGCAGTAGGTCCGCCTTCAGCTTAAGAAACTCAACTCCCTAGTAAGTGGCGCTTTAAAAAATACATAATAACAAAGGGTGAGCAGAATGAGCTTTCCATGCGCCTTCAAGGAAGGAAAACATACCCCCCAGCTCATTCATTGCACCTGCCTCCCACCATTTCTTTTGACATAAAATATGTCAAAATTAAGCCAGCTGCCAGCTCTGAGTGCTTACTAATATGAAAAAGAAGTCAATATCCCAAACACAAAATAATGGAAGGAAGGCACCCACCAACTGAGTGGAGCTCCCTTGTTTGTGGACAGTAATATGGAGGCACTGCCCATGACCCCTGCCCACCCAGGTCCCCTGCCCTCTCCCCTCCCCATCAGGGGCTCCGGCAGGGCTGCCCCTCACCCCTCACCCCTCCCCATCAGAGGCTGTGGCAGGGGCTCCAGAAGCCGCCCAGAATATGGGAGAAGACCATTTAGTTACTTATGCAGGGCAGACCCAGGACGTTGCTGGAGCCAGGAGGCAATTGGGGGAAGATTGATTTTAGAGAGTCGAAGTGGGAGTGTGTAAATCAGCCAAGGCAGCGCGCCAGGCAGCACTCTCATGCGGCATTGCCTCCGAGGTCACAGGCCCTTGTGGCCGAAACAGTCTCCTCTCGTCAAGCCCTGCAGGTGGCTGGTAGATGTCTGCACTCGGTCAGCCTGGTAGCCCGGTAGCCAGCATAGCATTATTCTCCAGAAGGGCCCCCCCAACTCCCGTCAGGCCTTGCAAAAGAAGCTTCACCCTGGGAAGACACCTCTTGTGTCCCGGGACACTGTGTCCAGCCAGGTTTCCCTCCTCCACCCATTCCCCACAATCTAGCCCCCACTCTTGCAACTCCGTGGACGCTGCTGACAGCTGGCTGCCTGGAGACGGCAGGCCCAGATGTGGCGGCCTGCTAGGCTCTGACTCATGAGCCACCCTTGGGCCATGAAGGGGAGGTCCCCGGGAAGAGCCCTGTCCATCTTCTGCTGTGGATTGAGGGCACTGGTCTACCAGAGGCTCTGTGGGACTGCACTGGAGGTAGCCTGGATGCTGGTTCTGCCCTGCACCACCCAGTTGTTGCCCACAGTGCCACTCCAGGACTGGCCATGCTGTGAGGGCCAGGGATCCAGACCCTGCCCTTGCCTAGAGGATCTTTGGTCTGGGGACAGAGGTAGAGGAGCCCTCCACACTGTCCCTGGGGAGTCCACCATCTGGGAGGGCCTCAGAACGGGGCTTCGAGGGTTCTGCTTTTGGCTAATGGGGAGATCCTGGGGGATTCTGAGCTGCAAGCTGCCGATCCAAACCCCTCTCTCCAGCAGGAGCTCAGGAGGATTAGCAGAGAGAACTGAAAAGAGCCAATAAGAGCCAATAAAGCCACTGCACGGGGCCGCCAGCCTCAGATGGTCAAAGCCCTACACAAGATGGCATTTGGGTGTTTTGCGATTGTTTGCTTTTGCTGAGAATAGAAGACTGGATGCAGAAAGCCAGCACCAAATAAACAGAAGAGGAAGAATAGAGGGGACTGTGGGTGTGAGATAGGGGCAGGGTGGCATATGGCAACCCAGTGTCTTCCCAAGTGGGAAAGCAAGGAGCGTGATGGGTGTGGAATGCCCAGGAGACCGTCTCTCTATCCTGGTTCTGGCAGATCCCAGCCTTGGGCCTTTGCAGGGCCTGCAGAGGTAGCCACAGCTCTCCCACTCCAAAGGCCTGTGTGGCCTGCTCCTTCCTCCAGGCCTACACCCCAGCTGTCACCACCATCCATCAACCCCCCTCCTCACAGGAGCCCCCACATCACGTTCTACTCCTCCTCTCCTTTCTCCCCCAGCCCAGCCCACCTGGGCATCTATCTTCCTGTAGAAAAGAGGCAGGCAGAGCTGAGGGGCCTTCCCAAGGAAGCCCCCATCACCGCCTCAGATGAAGTGGTCCCTGCTGAATGCTTTGCTGGGGTCTACGAGGCAATTCAAGATGAGAAATGGAACGGTGGCTTCGGAAAAGCAAATCATTCCAACAGCACCTGAAAACATCGAAGGAAACAAGCTCTTTTTGTGTGTGTGGAAATGGGGAATATATTGTTTCTCACTGTTTCGAAGACTGTTTTCCCATCTTGAAATCACAAGCTGTTTTCTTCCAGAGAGACTTATAAATACATCCAATTATCGACATTCAATATAAGAAATAAAGTTCTGAAATGGTTTTCTTCAGCACATGCAGAGTGAGCCGACCAGGTTGGGCAGGTGATAATTACTTTTATTTCTTACGAGTGGGTATCACCGCGGAGTGGCTAGAAGCTTCACCTTTTATTGCCTTCACCTTTTATTACATTTCCCACGTTGTGCAGGGCTATTCATTGGTAATTTTATTATCCCATATCAAGATCTTGATTAAAAAAAAGGATGAAATTTCTAATTTCAAAAGATATGAGTGCAAAGTCCCAGAGTAGGAGGATTTGGTCCTATACCTTGTGACCTGAAGAGTAACCCTCCAGGGGGATGGACTGTCCTTGTGCCCAGCTCCAAGTGACTGAATGTCACTGACTAGACAGTGGGTGTCTGCTGGCATTCACAATTGTTCCTTTTTTTTTTTAAATAGAGATGGGGCCTTGCTTTGTCACCCAGGCTGGAGTGCAGTAGTGTGATCATAGCTCACTGCAGCCTCAAACTCCTGGGCTCAAGCAATCCTCCCGCCTCAGCCTCCTGAGTAGCTAGGACTACAGGTGTGCCCCCCCAACGCCTAGTTAATTATTTTTAATTTTGTATGTTTTGTAGAGATGGGGTCTTACTATGTTACCCAGGCTTGTCTCAAACTTCTGGCCTCAAGGCATCCTCCTGCCTCAGTCTCCCAAAGCTCAGGATTGCAAGGCATGAGCCACTGAGCCTGGCCTCAACTGTTCCTTTTAGGGACTCTGCTCAGGGTGTCATTTTAAGAAGGATGCTTGTCATTTTAGGATGGTGTCATTTCTTTTCTTTTCTTTTCTTTTTATTTTTTTTTTTTTTGAGATGGAGTTTTGCTCTTATTACCCAGGCTGGAGTGCGATGGTACAATCTCGGCTCACCACAACTTCTGCCTCCTGGGTTTAAGCAATTCTCCTGCCTCAGCCTCCGGAGTGGCTGGGATTACAAGTGCCCGCCCCCACACCTGGCTAATTTTTTGTATTTTTAGTAGAGACGGGGTTTTGCCATGTTGGCCAGGCTGGTCTCAAACTCCTGACCTCAGGTGATCCACCTGCCTCGGCCTCCCAAAGTACTGGGATTACAGGCGTGAGCCACTGCACCTGGCCAGGATGGTGTCATTTTAAGAAGCATTTCATGAAAGCACCTGCCGGTCCTTCTGTCCATGCCACCATCAAGATGAGATCACCTGTGTCTCCTCCCGCTCCATCCACTGGGATTGCTCCTGACCCCACCCCTGTCTGCACTTCCTCCTCAATGTCTTGTCTCTCCTCCAGCCTCTTCCTTCCCGTGGCTCTTTTGCTGCTCACCTGCATAACTACTTGGCTGCAGTCCCTTCTCATTCTGAGCCCCGACTCGTCAAGATTTTTCTGTAGCAAGCAGCTCCTGAGTCTCACCTCAAGTAGAAGAGGGATACATTCAAATGCTGTCCAGTTGCACAGTTGCAGGAGAGACAGACTCAGAAAACAGGCAGAGGCAGGGAGGCTGGCAGCTGAGTGCACCACCAGGCTACCCCCAGGACATGGCAGCTGGCACAGCTGCTCAGACCCTTGCCATCACTCTGCCCTTGGGCGTAACTGGGACTGATACAGTGTCCTGGCTTCACCCCCTGCATGCTCAAAGCGCTTGATGGGCAGTACAGCCAGTTGCAGTGCCCAAGTCTCATGCCCACACCTTGGCTATCATGTCCCTTTTGGCTTCTGCTGGGGGTGGGGATGTGTGTATATGGGGTGAGATGAGGTGGGGGTAGATACACAAAACCTACCCCCACAAGTAAAACCTTGAAAAGTTTAGCTTGGATAAAAGCCTGAATATTTCAATCAGAATGTCTAGAATGCAGCTATTTTCGTTTTAGCATAAGTGTGAATTTCTTGTTTGATGGTTTGGTATAATTTAAATTTTTGATTTACATGCCGGGGGACAGGATACACAATTGTCTTTCTTTTTTTGAGTGATGGGGGGACAGGGTCTCCTTCTGTCGCCCAGGCTGTAGTGCAATGCCACCATTATAGCTCAACCTTAAACTGCTGGGCTCAAGCGATCCTTCAGCCTCAGCCTCCTGAGTAGCTGGGACCACAGGCGTGTGCCGCCATCCCAGCTTATTTCCAGTGTCTTGGCTCTGGAGCTCTTACCTAGCTCTGCCTCCATGTCATTGCCAAATAAATATCCCTGAGCACAAAATGCTCGAATAGAAACTGTGTGATGGAGAAAGAAGTGCATGGACTTCAAAGCCAGAAGCCTGGGCTTGACTCCTGGCAGCTTGACGTCTCTGGTCCTCGCTTTCCCCGTTTGGAGATGAAGATGGGATGGGCTTTACCTCCCTGACAGGGCAGTTCCAAGGGGTCAGATGACCCCTTGAACACTAAGGCCCTTGGGGGCAGTTTAACATGATGCAAATGTGGTGGTAGTTACTTTCCTTATTGATACTTACTGCTCTTTTTTTGTTTTTGAGACAGGGTCTTGCACTGTCCCCCAGGCTGTAGTGCAGTGGCACAATCATTGCTCACTGCAGCCTCGACCTCCTGGGCTCAAGCAATCCTCCCACCTCAGCCTCCCAAGTAGCTGGGACTACAGGTGTGCATCACCACCCCCAGCTAATGTAAAACATGTTTTCTGTAGACATGGGGTCTCACGGTGTTGCCCAGGCTGGTCTCAAACTCCTGGGCTCAAGCAATCTTTCTACCTCAGCCTCCAAAGTGCTGGGATTACAGGCATGAGCCATCATTCCTAGCAGTACTTATTATTAGAGAACCTGGACACAGTGGTTAGGAATTGGATGTAGGAAGCTAGGTCCGATTCCTGGCACTGCTATTTACTTGCTGTGTGGCATAGGGAAAATAACCCAACCTCTCTGAGCCTCAGCATCCTCATTGGTAAAATGGGGACGATGGGTCCCAGCTGGGAGGATTGTTGAGAGGATTAGATGAATGTCACAGGAGACACTCAGCTCAGCCCCTGGCTCATGGGGGTGCTATCCTTATTTCAGTGGTCATGTGAGGGGTAGGGGCAGTGAGGAGAGACAAGCATCCTTATCTCCCAGGTGTGAAGGTGGGGGAGATGACCTGTGAGGTCACTGTAGCCCTGCTCAGCTACAGAGCGACCTTGACCGAAGGAGTGAGTCCATAACCCCAAGCCCAGGGGGCCAGTGCTTAGCCCCTTTGAGAGGACTGGCTGGGACCTGGGGTTGCCACACCACCTCAAGCAAGCAGGCTGGCAGTCCAGCCAAACACAGCAGTGCTAAAGGGAAAGAGAGGAACAAGGGTGAGCAGGAAGTCTTCCAGGGTAGGGGAGATGCTTCCTCGCTACACCCAGGGCCTCTGGTCCAGTCCGGGGCTTCAGCCACAGGGCTCTGCTTGTGCGCATGGATTTGCATGTAAGGAAGAGATAGCCTGCAAGGAGGTTTGTAAGAGGAATTAGAGACATGTAATAGATTGCAGAATTGACCTCAAATTCTTCTACGTGCTGCGTCCACAACCCGCTTTTGTGATGTTCAACCCCTCCCATCTAGAGGTAGAATCTATTTCACCAGCCCTTGAATGTGGCGGCCACGTGACTTACTTTAGAAAATGAGAAGGAAAGCTTGGAAGGTGCTCCTCCACCAGGCTCACCTTCTTGCCATTCTTGGAAGCCCTGCTACCATCACCATGGGAAGATGCCCTCGCCGGAGGGTGAGATACCTGGTCAACAGCTAACCAGCAGACACACAGGCGTGGGCAGCCTTGATTATCCAGCCTGAGGCCAACTGCTGGCCCATGAGTGAGTCCAGCAGAGACCAGCCAAGCCAGCCCCCGCATCCTGAGCTCTCTCAGGGATCGTCTTACCCATTGCATCCAGCAGCGTTTTAGACCATGATTATAACCAACACAGGGTGGAAGGAGGAGATCCTGGGACTACTGCCCCAGAGAGAAGGCTGGGGGAGACCCTGCAGGGCCTGTGTGCACAAGGAGCTCTGCAAAATGCAGGGTCCAAGCAGCACTGCTGTGTGGCCCTGGAGAGAGAGTGTGACCTTCACCTCCCCACCCCCGCCTGGGGCACAGCATGGCTTCTGAGCAGAGAAGGCTGCAGGGACCCGTAATCCCAGCTACATGGGAGGCTGAGGCTGGAGAATTGCTTGAACCCAGGAGGCGGAGGTTGCAGTAAGCCGAGACTGCGCCATTGCACTCCAGCCTGGGCAACAAGAGCAAAACTCCATCTCAAAAGAAAAAGAAAAAGAAAAAGAAAAAGAAAAGATTAATAGGTACGACTGTTGTGCCTCGTTCAGAGAGTCGCACGGTCTCTGAATGAGATGCCAAGTTCCCTGATGCCGTGATGAAATGACAGGAGTCTCACTCCTTTCCCCATTCTTTCTGGATATTCAGTTCAAACAGCTTTTGGGAAAAATCACAATTTTATTTCCAGATCTCAGAGATTGATATCATACTATGCATTTTAGGGCTTGTGGGGAAATGAACCGAAATCATCCTGCAGTGGTGAGGCCGGGGCAGGGGCTCTGCACCTGCAGGTCCTCCAAAGTGATGCCATCTCAGTTCCCAGACGAGCCCACCTGCAGGACCCACTATTGCCCAGCACGAGGTCTTCCTGAGCTTTCCTTTCCAGGTGTGGCCAGGCAGCTGCCCTCATTGCTCAGAGTCTCAGTACCAGCCCTGTTGGGGCAGCAGCCAGGCCTTTCTTCACAGGGATCTGGGAGCAGAAGAGACCTAAAATCTCCAGCAGGTGCCATCTCTGCTTGAAAGGAAGAGGAGGCCAAAACTGGGCTGAGAAAAGCTCATGAAATTGTTACGAATGTTCCCTGAACTCCAGGCTGGAGAATTGGCTGCACAGAAAACTGTTTTTAGCTTTGGATGTGGCACCAAGGACAGACTTTGTCCCTTCTGTCATCAGTGGATGCTTGTTATGTGAAGACTAACGGCACTTTCTGAGGGTCTCCAAATCCTCTGGGGACAGTCCACAAAGCAGAACGATAAGTGCCAGGCTCCTTTGCGGGTTAGGGGGATAGGTGGGTGGGAATGCAGCCCGCCCCCAGAGATGCTGATTTGCTGGGCTTGAGTGCAGCTCAGGCTCCTGGATTTTGCTGTTATTGTTTAGAGATGGGGTCTCGCTCTGTCACACAGGCTAGAGTGCAGTGGCATGATCCTAGCTCTCTGCAGCCTCCAACTCCTGGGCTCAAGCACTCCTCCCACCTCAGCCTCCCAAGTAGCTGAGAACACTGGCACGTGCCACCATGCCCAGCCAAATTTTTAATTTTTATTTTTTGTAGAAATGGGGTCTTGCTATATTGCCCAGGGTGCAGGCTGATCTCGAATTCCTAGGCTCAAGCCATCCTCCTGCCTTGGCCTCTCAAAGCACTGGGATTACTGGTGTGAGCCACCTTGCCCAGCCCAGGCACCTGGATTTTTAACCAACACTCCAGCTGCCTGTGGTTTGTAGCCAGGTTTGGAGTTCGTTGTCTGGGCAGCCACGTAAGGAAGCAGCCTCTCTTGTGCCTGGAGGTCAGGCTGGCCCTACTGGCTGCCTCTCCTGAGATGAAGCTTGGCCACTGGGCATCCATTTCCCAGCCTGGTTTATTCCCTCTCTTCCCCCAGTGAGGGCCCATCAAGCCCTCTGATACCGACTCCTTCTGCCCTCCCCACAGCTCGGGCAGGAAAGCTCACTGGCCTGGCCAGGGGACTCATGGGATCTACAGGGGCTCCCTACTCCCACCCAAGCCTGGCACCAAGTACAAGCTTGCTGAGATCAAATGTTGTAGCGTTGTGTGGAGAGAAATGGAAACAGCTACTTTGGAAGGTGCTTTGGCAATATGTGTAAGAAAGAAAAGAAAAGGAAAAGAAGGAAGGGGCCGGGCACGGTAGCTCACGCCTGTAATTCCAGCACTTCGGGAGGCCAAGGCAGGGGGATCACCTGAGGTCAGGAGTTCGAGACCAGCCTTGCCAACATGGTGAAACCCCATCTCTACTAAAAATACAAAAATTAGCCGGGCCTGATGGCACATGCCTGTAATCCAAGCTACTTGGGAGGCTGAGGAAGGAGAATTGCTTGAACCCAGGAGGCCGAGGTTGTAGTGAGCCAAGGTTGCGCCACTGCACTCCAGCCTGGGTGACAGAGCGAGACTCCATCTCAAAAAAAAAAAAAAAAAAAAAGAAAAGAAAAGAAATAGAAAAAGGGGTTAATTACTACTGACTTTACAGAAATAAAAATGATTATAAAGGAATATTATAAATAACATATAGCAACAAATTGGATAACCTATTTGAAACAAACAAGAAATAACCATAAAAATGGGCAACCAGCAGCCATTCTTTTTTTTTTTTTTTTTTTTAGACGGAGTCCTGCTCTGTCCCCCAGGCTGGAGTTGCAGTGGCAAAATCTTGGCTCACTGCAGTCTGTGCCTCCCGGTTCACACCATTTTCCTGCCTCAGCCTCCTGAGCAGCTGGGACTACAGGTGCCCACCACCATGCCCGGCTACTTTTTTTGTATTTTTAGTAGAGACGGAGTTTCACCGTGTTAGCCATGATGGTCTTGATCTCCTGACCTCGTGATCCGCCCGCCTCAGCCTCCCAAAGTGCTGGGATTACAGGCGTGAGCCACTGTGCCTGGCCCAGGAATAGCCATTCTTTTATTCCTCTACTTTCTTTCTTTCTTTTTTTTAAATCGAAACTATTTTTTATTAAAGGAAGGTGCATTTAGATTAAAAAAAAATTTTTTTATTCCTCTACTTTCTTAATAAACTTGCTTTCACAGTGCTCTGTGGACTCACCCTGAATTCTTTCTTGTGGGAGATCCAAGAACCCTTTCTTGGGGTCTGGATCCAGACCGCTTTCTGGTAACCACCATGGGTCCTGGAGTCTGTGGAACCTGTTCCCAGACACCCCTACCTCACCCCCACCCAGCCCATCACCACTGCTGTCCTGTCCCAGCTTCTGGTTGCAGAGTGACACGGTAAACTGTCTGGGGAGGGGAGGTTGGTTGCTTTGTGTTTTGCAGGAAAAGGCCTGGTTGTGATTTATAAGAATCACAGACAGAGCTCTCCAGGGGTGGGACCAAGGGGACACTTGGGGTCTGTGAGGACCAGGGGCTGCCATGGCTGATGGGAGTTCAGACCCCGCGTGCCGCGCCCCAATTCCCCACCCTGGCCCCACCACCCCTGCCTGCCTCACTCCAACCCCACCATCCAAACTCCATCTCTTCCTGCTACTGACCCCATCTTCCAACCTCCACCTCCTGGCCCCAGAGCCCCTATGCTCAACCCCAGCTTGACCCCGGAGCCCCACCTCCACCACACCAACCACTACCTCTGACTCTCATCCCCCTGCCTCTCCCCCTGCCCTGCCCCTTGCTTCCCACCCCAGGGTCTGCTAGCTCCTCCCACCTCATCTGCTCAGCTCTGGAGAGAATTGGGAACCCATCCTTTGGTGAGGTGGCTGCTGGTGAGAAAGAAAATGGTATTTGAGGCTTTTACTCATCAAGGAAGGGAATATCCCCCTCCCCCTCCCAGGACTTGCAAGGCAGCGCCCAGCCCCCTCCTCCTTCCTGGTTTCCAGCCTCCTGTGTGGTTTCCATGGATTCAGAGATTTCCTTCCAGCACCTGAGCCCCGAAGTGAGGGGGAGGGGAGGGAGGGGAAGGGCCCAGCCATCTAGGGGAGGGTGGTGGAGAAGCTGCTCCAGGACGGACCCCACAGGTCCGCTGGCCCCGTCCCCTGCTCCCAGAGACCCTGAGGCTGGGCACCAGAGGACTTGCTGGGGACTCGCTGGGGGCCTGACAAATCCCACCCTCCTTCTGGATGGCCCAGGGGAGGTCATCCCATTGGGTCATGTTGGGTGAGAAGAGCTGTCTCAAATCCTGACCCTGTCCCTGACCTTGACCCCTACTACATCCCAAATCCCAAGACCTGGTCCCAGAATCCAAGCCCTGGGTTCTGACATTCAGTGGACTGTGAGGAGGACAGTTCAGGGAAGGGACCAAGGACATCCCTGCATCAGCCTCCATCCTGCTGAGAACTCACTCGAGTCCTGTGTTTCTGGGGCTCCAGTGCTGCCTGCATATCTGGGATCCCAGAGAGAAGGCGAGAAGGGTTTATGGTGGGGAGTTAGTGAGCATCAGGCACTTGGGGTTCTCCATCCTGCCCAGCATGGCCCCTTCCAGAACAGGCACACGGTGTTTACGACCTCCTCCCCCTCTGCCAGAGTCCCCACTCTGCCAGAGTGGCAGGTGGAGAAGCTGTGGGCACTGTCGTGGTGGCTGCCCAGAACCCCGACACCCTTTCTCTTGGAGGGCAGCTAGGGTGCAGGCCCAAGCACGGCCAGGCCCATGCCCCTGCCCAGGCTTAGCTCAGCCAGAAAAGATTCGTCGTGGCTGCAGCAGAGCAAGAATCAGAGCCGGAGGCTGGGGCAGCTGTGGTGGCTGCAAGGGCAGAGCCAGTTGCCCACAGAAAAGCTCGGCCCAGGTGGGGTTCCTTCCCCAGCCCAGGACCTCACAGGTTCTAAGAGCTGCCCAATATCCTTCCGATGGGGTCCTTTTCTGCATACATTTGTCTGCGTTCATTTTTATTGGTTGCGGTTGAGAGCTCATCCTGGCATGACATTTGCCAGTGGGTGGGTAGGTGGTCTACACTCTTGGTTAGGCTCTTGGAGACCAACTGAGATCCAGAGGGACTACTACCATATGAGGACCCAGTGGTCCTCTGCCCTGGCTTCCAGTAGAACCTGCTGGAGTTTATTTATTTATTTATTTATTTATTTATTTATTTATTTATTTATTGAGATAGGGTCTTGCTCTGTTGTCCAGGCTGGAGTGCAATGGCGCAATCATGGCTCACTGCAGCCTTGAACTCCTGGGCTGAAGCCATCCTCCTGCCTCAGCCTCCCAAGTAGCTAGGACTACAGGCATATGCCACCATGTCCAACCAATTATTTTATTTTTTGTAGAGATGGGGGTCTCACTATGCTGCCCAGGCGGGTCTCAAACTACCAGGCTCAAGCTATCCTCCTGCCTCAGCCTCCCAAAGTGCTGGGATTATAGACTTGAGCCACTGCACTTGACCTCTTGGAGAATCTTTAAAAGCTTCTAGCAGGTGAGGCACAGTGGTTTGCACCTGCAATCCCAGTACTTTGGGAGGCCATGGGAGGAGGATGACTTGAGGACAGGAGTTTGAGACCAGCCTGGGCAATATGGTGAGAGCTCCATCTCTAAAAAACTTTTAAATAAAACAATAAAATAAAAGCTGTTAGTGCCTGAACTTCACCCCAGACCAAGTAAAACAGAATTTCTAGGCATGGGAATTTGTGGAAACTCCCTCAGAGTTTTCATGGGGAATACTGGGATTTTTGACAGCTCCCTGGTTGATTCTGCTGGAAGCCAGGACCAAGAAAGCTTCAAGACAGAGTCCTCCCCAACAGGGACAGTAGGTGCTGGGGGCAGGGGAGGGAAGGCAGGGGGAGCCCCTGGGCATGGCCTCCTCTCTTCCCACCCTGTGCGTGACAGCTCCCCCTTGGTCCCCATCCCTCTGCCTTGCGCCTGCCTCCCAAAGGCTGCCCACGGGTCCTGCTCCCTTTTCCTCTTTGTCCCTTCATCGCACAGTCCAGATCTTGCCTCAGTCTTCACAGTCAGCCCAGATGACTCATGAAACCTGGAAAGGAAGCCATTCATTTGCAACCTTAAAACAGTCCTCTTCTTTGACCCAGAAACTCCGCTCCTGGGTATACGCTCAGCAGAAATGTGAGCCGACGTCTGCTGGCAGACACAGGCGAGAGGTGGCTCATAGCTGCACTATTCAACATACCCCCAAACTGGAAACTCCCCAAATGCCCATCCACAGTAAACTGGATGAATAAAGTGGTGTTTTCATCCAGTGAAATTCACATCACAAAGAGGATGGATGTCAGAAGCACGACACTGAGTGAGATCAGCTAGACACAAAAGAATCTGTGTTGTATGACCCCATTTATTTAAAGTTAAGAAGAACACAGAAGCCAGGCGCGGTGGCTCATGCCTGTAATCTCAGCATTTTGGGAGGCCAAGACGGGCGGATCAAGAGGTCAGGAGTTCGAGACCAGCCTGGCCAACATGGTGAAACGCTGTCTTTACTAAAAATACAAAAAATTAGCCAGGCGTGGTGGCACGCACCTGTAATCCCAGCTACTTGGGAGGCTGAGGCAGGAGAAACACTTGAACCCAGGAGGCAGAGGTTTCGGTGAATGGAGATTTCACCACTGCACTGCAGCCTGGGCCACAGAGTGAGGCTCCATTTCAAAAAAAAAAAAAAAAAAAAGAGGAACACAGGAAAAACTAATCTAAACTATGGGAAGTCAGAGTCATGGCTCCCGGCAAGCAGTGAACGGAAAGGGACACAGGAGGGACTTCTGGGGTCAGGGATGGCAGGTTTAACTCGTCTGGGTGGTTACAGGGGCATATTTGGTTTGTGAAAATGTAAGAAGCTGTGTGCTTACAGCTATGCACTTTTCAGTGTGTATTATTCTTAAGAAAAGCTGTCACAATTAATCTAGCTGCCCTCAAGGAGGACAGGGGAGAGAAACGTTTGTATTCACTCTTTTCAAGGCAGGAAAGAAGAAAATGTAACCTGTTAGGTTTCCTTTTTTTTTCCTTTCTTTATTTCTCTCTGTCTCTCCCTTTCTTTCTCTTTCTTTCTTTCTTTTTTTTTCTTTCTTTCTTTCCTTTCCTTTCTTTCTTTTTCTTTCTTTTTTTTTTTGAGATGGAGTCTTGCTCTGTCGCCCAGGCTGGAGTGCAGTGATGTGATCTTGGCTCACTACAACCTCTGTCTCCCAGGCTGAAGCGATTCTCCTACTTCAGCCTCCTGAGTAACTGGGATTACAGGCATGCGCCACCATCCCCGGCTAATTTTTGTATTTTTAGTAGAGACGGTGTTTCACCATGCTGGCCAGGTTGGAGGTTTCCATTTTTAAAGGCAGTTGGACATTTATATCCTGCCAGGGAGTTCCCCCTACTGCTCCCCAAAAGCTTCCTTTTACTCTCACACCTGGATTGCACTAGACTCCAAGGAAGGAGAAAACCTCCACTTGGGGGCTGGGAGACGGGGACAGGAGGAGCAGCAGCCCAGCCCAGCCCACCTCTTTGTCCCTCAGAATCCACTGAACACCTTTCAGCCTTGTCCCGCTGGGACGGTCAGGATTTTAGGGCTCTGGGGATCACTTCTTATTCTATTTTTTTTGTGGGGGGTGGGGCACAGAATCTCACTCTGTCATCCAGGCTAGAGCTGAAGTGCAGTGGCGCGATCAATTTTGTTTGTTTTGTAGAGATGGAGGCCTTGCTATGTTACCTGGGCTGGTCTTAAACTTCTGGCCTCAAACAACCCTCCCACCTTGGCCTCCCCAAGTGCTGGGATTATAGTCATGTGCCACTGCACCCTGTTCACACGTCATTTCAGATGGTAAAAGGAGCCAAGAAGAAAACAGACCAGGATGACCAAGGGACTCTAGAGAGGGTAGAGATGACACTGAAGCTGAGGGTTGAAAGGGCCTGTCTCCTCCTCCTGCCAACATTGGCCTTGGCCTCAAGTGATCCTTCCACCTCGGCCTCCTAAATTGCTGGGATTAGAGGCATAAGCCCCCGTGCCTGGC
This sequence comes from Homo sapiens, assembly GCF_000001405.40. Taxonomy (NCBI): domain Eukaryota; kingdom Metazoa; phylum Chordata; class Mammalia; order Primates; family Hominidae; genus Homo; species Homo sapiens. Next base: position 33,537,335 of record NC_000019.10, read on the forward strand.
CTCACTCCCTATTTTTGAAACTGTCTCTTGCTTGCCTCCCAGGTGCCCTCCTTCTCCTGACTGCCCCTCTGGTCAGTCCTTCTCCAGCTGCTGAGACTCAGCCCAACCCTTGGGAAGACCCTGTCTTTTCCAACTGCCCATGAGGTGCAGGCAACTCCAGCAGCCCTAGTTCCAGCTCAGAGTCTTCCCTGGCTCCATTTCTGTATTGCCCATGGCCCCTCTCAGTTATTTCCAGGTGTATTCATCCGTTCTCATGCCGCTGATAAAGACATAACCGAGACTGGGCAACTTACCAAAGAAAGAGGTTTATTGGACTCACAGTTCCACATGGCTGGAGAGGTCTAATAATCATGGTGGAAGAGGAAAGGCACGTCTCACATGGTGGCAGGGAAGAGAAGAGAGCTTATGCAGGGAAACTCCCCTTTTCAAAACCATCAGATCTCATGGGACTCATTTGCCATCAAGAGAACAGCGCAGGAAGACCCGTCCCCATAATTCAACCACCTCCCACAGGGTTCCTCCCACAATACAATGGGAATTGTGGGAGTTACAATTCAAGAAGAAATTTGGGTGGGGACATAGCCAAACCATATCACCAGGCAAGACAAAGCCTTAAACAGGCACAGCTTACCCACCGCCCTGCTCACTGCCTTGGTATTCCCCATCTCAGAATCCACGAGGCCAGCTGTCCACATCAGAGACTGGGTGTTGCCCACTTTCAAAGATACATCCAAGCCATCACCAAATGCTGCCCATCCTTCTAAATATTTCTGGAATCCCTCCCCTCGCCCAGCCCTAGTCTCCCTGCCCTGGCCAGGCCCCCTCTTCTCCCACCCCGGTTATCACTAGAACCTTCAACAAGACCCTCCCGGCTTCTGCTCAGCAGTTCTTTAAATGAAAATGATCTGGCTGGGCTTGGTGGCTCACACCTGTAATCCTAGCTCTTTGGGAGGCCAAGGTGGGTGGATTACCTGAGGTCAGGAGTTTGAGACCAGCCCAGCCAACTTGGCGAAACCCTGTCTCTATTGAAAATACAAAAATTAGCCGGCCGTGGTGGCACATGCCTGTGGTCCCAGCTACTCGGGACGCTGAGGCAGGAGAATTGTTTGAATCCAGGAGATGGAGGTTGCAGTGAGCCGAGATTGCACCACTGCACTACAGCCTGGGCAACAGAGTGAGACTCCATCTCAAAAAAAGTTTTTGTTTTTTTTTTTAAATAATAAAAGCAGTGTGATCTTCTCCCTCCTGGCTGCTTACAAGGATGCTACATTACTCTTAGGCCATCGGAGTGAGGCCTCAAGCCCGGCTGCATTTTAGCTATGCCTGGATCCCATCCCCAGCCCCACCTGAGCCTAACTCCTGGGTGTGGGGCCTCAAACATTGGTACAACTTGACCGTCTCCTGTGGTCAGCTCCAGCCCCATCTTCCTGTGTTCTCCTTACCAGGTACTGGGCTCCTAGGCTTCTGCACATCCAAGACGCTGTGCCCCTGCCTCAGGCGCTGGTCCTCCCTGCCACATCCTGGCTCCACCTCCTTCAGATATCAACTTGGCCCCTTTCTCTCCTTCCCTGGCCACCCCTGCCTCCTGCCTGCCCACTGCCCTTGCTGTATGCACTCACCCGCACCTGCGTCATCCCCATCAACCCACACTCTCCTGGGAAGCCCTTTGACTTGTCTGTGTTCCTGTGGGGAGATAGCTCCCAGGAGAGCAGGGCTCACCCCAGCTTCCACCTGCCTGGCATGGAGTACACACTCCTGGACAAAGACTCTCTCCTCGGCCACACTCAGGCTCCTCCAAGCCTTCTTCTTGATGAGGGCTCAACCTTGGCCTGTAAGAATTGCTGATTCGGCGGGGCACGGTGGCCCACGCCTGTAATCCCAGCACTTTGGGAGGCAGAGGCGGGCAGATCACTTGAGGTCAGGAGATTGAGACCAGGCTGGCCAACATGGCAAAACCCCGTCTCTACTAAAAATACAAAAATTCCCCGGGCGTGGAGCTGTGCACCTGTAGTTCCGGCTACTCAGGAGGCTGAGGTGGGAGAATTGCTTGAACCCAGGAAGCAGAGGTTGCAGTGGGCTGAGATCATGCCTGCCACTGCACACCAGCCTGGGCGACAGAGTGAGACTCTCTCAAAAACAAAAACAAAAAAAGAACTGCAGACTCTTAGCCCATTTCCATCCACCAGCACCCCTGCACCCACCAATGCACACCAAGAGACTTGGAGCAAACTCTAGCCTGGGGTCTATCAGCTGAAGACTGCATTCTTGGGAAGACCCAGACCCTGCTTAGAGAACTCAAGCCTGCCAAAAATATTTACTGTCTGTTCCTGCCAGCATCTGAAGATAGGGCCCTAATTTCAATAAGCACCAGTTAGCAAACTCAGATGGCTTAACCCCAGTGATCAACCTCCCCTCCCCAATTTTCTTTTTCTTTTTCTTTTTTTCTTTTTTGAGATGGAGGCTTGCTCAGTCACTCAGGCTGGAGTGCAATAGCGTGATGTTGGCTCACTGCAACCTCCATCTACCAGGTTCGAGTGATTCTTGTGCCTCAGCCTCCTAAGTAGCTGGGATTATGGGCACAAACAGCCACGCCCGGCTAATTTTTGTATTTTTAGTAGAGACAGGGTTTCGCCATATTGGTCAGGCTGGTCTCGAACTCCTGAACTCAAGTGATTGGCCTGCCTCAGCCTCCCAAAGTGCTGGAATTACAGGCGTGAGCCACCACACCCAGCCCCTACCCACTTCTTATTTCACCTCCCTGACTCTGCACAAACCCCCACTGGTTCCACCTCCACCCCCTTTTCCCTTTAAAATGCCCAGTCACCGCTACCTGGGTTAGAGTTGAGCTGAGTTCTACAGTAAAGTCTCTCCTACTGCAGTAGTTACTGACTGAATAGCATCCATCTTTACCACCTCTTTTTTTTTTTTTTTTTTTTTTTGAGTCAGGGTCTCACTCTGGAGGCTGAAGTGCAGTGGCACGATATCAGCTCACTGCAGCCTCAACCTCCCGGGCTCAGGCAATCCTCCCAACTCAGCCTCCCAAGTACCTGGGACTACAGGTATGTGTCACCGTATCTGGCTAATTGTTTTAATCTTTTGTAGGTGAGGTCTCGCTTTGTTGCCCAGGCTGGTCTCGAACTCCTGGCCTCAGCCTCCCAAAACACTGGGATGACAGACATGAGCCACCATGCCCGGTGTCTTTACCAGCTTTAACTAGCATCTGGCTTTGTGTCCCTCCAACATCCTTTAGCAGTGGCTGAACGCTTGTATGACAGACAGGTGGAATGTGAACAACCTCATTCCCACCTCCCAGAGGAAGATCTGAAGTCCTGTGGCTGTTGCACTTGGACAAGCCCACGCAGGAGGGAGTGGTACCCGCTGAGCCAAGCCCCCTGCTCCTAAGTGAGCTTTCCAGGTGTCCTGATTTCCTGGGGCCACTGTGATGAATGATCATGCGCTGGGTGGCTTAAACAACAGAAGTGTGTTCTTTCACAGTTTGGGAGGCCAGAAGTCCAAATCAAGGTAACAGCAAGGTGGGTTCCTCCTGGAGTCTCCCAGGGAGAATGCATTTCCTGTCTCTCCAGCTGCTGGCAATCTTTGGCATTCCCTGGCAGCATCACTCCATTCCCTGCCTCTGTCTTTGCATGACGTTCTCCTCTGTGTCTTCCTTGTGTCTGTCCCTTAAAAGGACACTCATCATTGGATTTAGCACCTGCCCTAATCCAGGATGATCGTCATCTTGAGATCCTTTACTTAATTACACCTGGAAAGGTTCTTATTCCAGATAAGATCACATTGTGAGGTTCCAGGTGGACGTATCTTTTATGGACCACCATCCAATCCACTACACCAGGGCTCAGCGGTGGGTACCCTCCCTTCTTTCTGGCACAGATGCTGGCATCACTAGCGTGGGAAGGCAGATCCATGAGGTGGGGAGAGCTGGCCAGGGATGGTCTCAGGAGTGTGGAGGGGCCTGGGATGGAGAACCTGAGACCCCCCTGCAACCCAGCTTCTGGCAGACACACCCTCCTGGCCTCCTCCCCAAAGACAAACACTCGGTGTAAAGAGACCTGGGTTCAAGGCCTGGCTTCACTCCTTGACTCATGTGATCTCTGGCAAGCACGTGCCCTCTCTGGGCAGAGATGATTCCCCAGCTCCTCACAGCCCTGGCTCTGGGACTCTGAGTGGGAGCTGACAGCAAGAGCTGTGTGTCTGCATCTCAGAGCCTGGCACCCTTTACGTATCAGAGCACAGAATGACACTGAAGAAAGGAGTGATTGAGCAGTGGCTGGGTGTGCCTTGGGATGTGCTGAACTGGGCATGTGGTGGGATCTGGGAAGCCCCTGAATTCCCCAGATGGTCATATCCCCACTGCAGAGGTGATGTTCCCTGCTGATATACCACTGGTGGCTCAGGGTTGGGCCATGCATATTCTATCACTGGAGGATCAGGACATGAGGACCAGCCGGGGTCAGGAGTCTGCAGCTGTGCTTAGGCAGGAAGGTGAGGAGAGGACCAATATTTACTCAGCTCCATCTCCTTTCAGTCTCATAATGTGCCAACAAAATAGGTCCCATTATATGCCCAGTCTATAGATGAAGACACAGAAGCTCGGAGAGGCCGAGCAACTTGCCCGAGGTCACATAGTTCTTGAATAGGGCAGGATTCCAACTTGGTCAATTAGGCTTCAGAGTTGCTCCCTAACACATCATCTTCACCCCTGAGGCCAGGCCAGGGCTCTCAGTGCCCAGAGTAGAACAATAAACACATCACACAGGCTTATCAACCACATCAGGGACCCTGTCATTCTATTCTCAAAAAATATTTTTAACCATGGTTGCATTAGGGTTGTAAGATTTTCAGAGCTCTTTTTCTGTTTTTCAAATGTTTGCTAATGTGCTTATATGATCTTTATCATTAAAAAGGTAAACATTGAAAAAATCATCTACTAAGTGGCTTCTGTCAAGAGTGCAGCTAGGGTAGTTGTCATTCGGAGGAGGCTATTCCAGGGACAAACCAACAATTTAAAGGTTTTCTGCTGGGTGCAGTGGCTTACACCTGTAATCCCAGCACTTTGGGAGACCAAAGCGGGCAGATCACGAGGTCAGGAACTTGAAACCAGCCTGGCCAACATGGTGAAACCCCGTCTCTACTAAAAATACAAAAATCAGCCAGGCGTGGTGGTAGGCGCCTGTAATCCCAGCTACTCGGGAGGCTGAGGCAGGAGAATTGCTTGAACCCGGGAGGCAGAGGTTGCAGTGAGCAGAAATCGTGCCAATGCACTCCAGCCTGGCGACAGAGCGAGACTCTGTCTCAATAATAATAATAATAATAACAACAATAATGAATTATCCAAGCCCTGTTTCCCTTGTTTCTACCCAGATCACCAAAAAGTGTATTTCTCTGCTTTCACACAGAGCTGTTTTTACCAAACCATGTCTTAACACTCTGTCCTTGGTTTCGGCTGGGGATCAGTAGATTAAATGTGCACGTGTAGATTGTCTCTTTATTTCCCACAAAACTGTTCTCTCAAACACCGCCTATTGTGTCCTTCACATTTCTTGCAAAGATCCAATTGACAAACTCCCGTTAGCTTCATAGCCGGGAGAAATGCTCTCTTGATCAATCTGTAAGCTCCCGAAGAGCTCAAAGATGTCTGTTTTCACCCCTGCTATTTTCACAGCGCCCAATAAAGTACTAGGCATTTACTCTGTGCTCAAATATTGCTTTTTGAGTGGAAAAAAAAGGCGTTGATTGACTCATACAGCTGAGAAGTCCAAAGGAATGTCTTGCTTGCTTCAGTTACGGCTGGATCCAGGGGTCCAAATTGTATCTTCAGGACCCTACCCTCCCTCTTTTGGTTCCGTTTTCTTGTGTTACTGGCTTCATTCTTGGGCAGGCTGACTGCCTGTAGCAGCCAAAACAGCCACTCACATTTCCCAAAGTTCCTTCCACACACCGGTTTGCAAGCCTGGAGAAAAGAGGGCAAGCACTCAGTTCCCCAAAGTTCCAGGGAAGATGCCCATCAGCTGGCTTGGGTCTGTGTGCCCATCGCTGAACCAATCAGGGTGTCTGGGGGGAATGACGTAATTTCATTGGCCAGGTCTGGGTCAAGTCCCACTCTTGAAGCCAGGGGGCGGAGTCAGCTGCATCCCACTCAAGGACACAGCAAGGATGGGCTCTATTATCAGAAGAGGAGGTAGAGAAAGGCAGGCTGGGCAGGAAGCTAGAGCACTGCAGTTTCTGCAACATCCCAACCTGGATTCCTGATTTTGCCGCCATATTGATAAACGGTGCAGCCACCAACTCTCCCGTTCCTACAGCCAGAAAATTATTGATTATTCTTTGTTCTTTCTTTTTTTCTTTTCTTTTCTTCCTTCCTTCCTTCTTTCTTTCTTTCTTTCTTTCTTTCTTTCTTTCTTTCTTTCTTTCTTTCTTTCCTTCCTTCCTTCCTTCCTTCCTTCCTTCCTTCCTTCCTTCCTTCCTTCCTTCTTTCTTTCTTTCTTTCTTTCTTTCTTTCTTTCTTTCTTTTTTTTGTGAGACAGAGTCTTGCTCTGTTGCCCAGGCTGGAGTGCAGTGGCGTGATCTCGGCTCACTGCAACCTCTGCCTCCCGGGTTCAATCTATTCTTCTGCTTCAGCCTCCCAAGTAGCTGGGACTACAGGTGCGTCCCACCATGCCCGGCTAATTTTTTGTATTTTTAGTAGAGACGGGGTTTCACCATGTTAGGATGGTCTCGATTTCCTGACCTCGTGATCCACCCGCCTCGGCCTCCCAAAGTGCTAGGATTACAGGCTGAGCCACCGCGCCCAGCCTTCTATTAATTAATTAATTAATTTATTTATTTATTTTGAGACGGAGTCTCACTCTGTCACCTGGGCTGGAATGCAGTGGCGAGATCTCAGCTCGCTGCAACCTCCACCTCCCAGGTTCAAGCTATTCTCCTGCCTCATCCTCCCGAGTAGCTGGGATTACAGGCGCCTGCCACTATGCCCAGCTAATTTTTTGTATTTTTAGGAGAGACAGCGTTTCACTATGTTGGCCAGGCTGATCTCAAACTCCTGACCTCGTGATTCACCTGCCTCAGCCTCCCAAAGTGCTGGGATTACAGGCGTCAGCCACCACACCTGGCCAATTCTTTGTTCTTTCCTTTCACTCCCTTGCAGGCTGGTAGAAACTTGAGGCATGTGGCTACTATGTTCAGCCATCCTGCAGTCCAGCCCCAGCCTGGGAGCTGCTACCCCCCAGCCCACATCCAGCTCCGAGAACCCTGGAACTGAGACGGCATTATACCCATTTTATGGGTAAATGTGCCAAGGCCAAGCTGAACTAATGATGTCTTTCCTAAGTTCACACAGGAAGCTGGTGGTAGAATCTGGGCAGAGTCTAGGTCTCCAACTACTTGGTTCAGAAATACACCCACTCATGCCCCACTCTGTATCCTATGGCCCTGGTGCACCAACAGACCATCAGCACCAACAAGCCAAGCTCCCCCATCCAACCACCCACCTCCAGCGCAGCCAGACCCCAGGGTTCAAGGCTTGGGGGCACTGGGCTCCCTCAGCAGATGCATGTGCAGGGGGCAAGCCTCCTGTGTGTAGAAGGAAACTGTGACAGCATTGAGGATATCTCTCCTTGGGAGTTCCTGGCTTCTGGATGCCCACGCAGCTGGCAGGTGTGTCTGAGCATGCACTAGTCTCTCTACAAAGCAAGACCCCGCATGACCAAGGCTTGGAGGACCTGGAGCCGAGACCGGTTGCTGCTGGGGACACATGTGTGTACCCTTGCTCATGGAATTCCTGGCACTGGGACATCATAGTCTCTGATACAGAAGAAAGGAAGTGCTGTGGCTCAGATTCCAACTCAGCTCGCACAGCGTGGGACCCCCGAAAGGCATCTGGACAAGTGCAAGGTGCAGCTCCAGGCAGCGCCCCCTGGAGTTGTCCATCCCGCCCCGGCATCTTCATTTATGGTATCTTGTTTCTTCCTTGCTACAGCTCCCAGAGGAAGGCATATGGTCATCTGTGTCAGTAGGGGCCCCCAGGAAGCAGGTACTGAGATGGGGTTGGAGATGCAACAGGTTTACTAGGGGTAAAGTCTATGGAAGATAACAGGGGAGGAAGTGATTGGGCAGGGAGAGCCCCAGACACTAATGAAAGCTCACAAAGTTTCAGCCAACCTATTGGGGAGCTCCGCAGTAGAAAGTGCCCACAAGAGGAGTCCAGGTTAGGCACAAATGGCCAGGTCCTGGGCCCCCTGCCATGCACAGTCGCTGGTTGACGAATGCCTGGGAGGAGCCTGGCTTCATTCAGCTGGAACGCTCCTTGCACCTCAACAGCAATTCTAGAAGGGAGGCCTGAGCACCTTCATGGCAGCCTCATGATCCATTTCACAGATGCAGATGCCAGAGTCCAGAAATGTCAATGACCCTCCCAAAGGCACATGGCTGGCACATGGCAGAGCCAGGCTGGCATGGGAGCATCTGATCCCAATGCCATGCTCCTGTCAGCCCCAGAGTGACTCTTGGCTGCTAAGATGCCCTTTGCTACTGCTGGGCAGGACTCTGGGACATGTTTCCCTTCCATCCTCCAGGGACAGTGACAAGGTGGCCTGACAGAGTGCCCAGGTCCCTGCTGAGCCCCGGCCAAAGCTCCTGTCCCTGGGAAACATGAGTAGGGACAGCCCATGTCATGCTTCAGTCTTTCCAAATCTCAGGAAACTCTTGGGTAGAGAAGCCACTTCAATGTGGCAGCTTCAATTCTGGCAGGGATTCATCAAAAGTCCACAGTGTTTCCCGCACCTTCCAGGTCCCCTGTCTGTCTGGGGTCACCCAGGACCATCTGTCTGTCACCACAGCGGTGTGGAATGCTGAGGATCACCTCTGTGGTGACAGACAGATGGCCCTGGGTGACCCCAGACAGTCGAAAGGATGACTTACAAGTGGCCCAACTGGAGAGATTCCCATAGGGCTGGCTGCAGTGGAAAGTTGCTGCCAAATGCCCATCTCGTTCCATAACCCTCTCTTGGTGCAGCAGCAGTGCATACAAGTGTCCCAGAGGGACAATGACGGCTGCTTCAGCTTGAATCACAAGGGAGGAGGTAGGGTGCTGGATACACTCAATTATCACCCCAAACCCTATCATCACTCATAATCTGCCTGAGATAAATCACAGGCAGGTAATTATTATGTCAGGCCAGGTAGCAGAGAGGAGTTCTAAAATAGCAGTCAAGGAACTTCCTGGTTAATTCAAATCCATCCTAACTCCCTCCAGGGGACAAAAGTGCTTTGGCTGTAGAATTGACCAGGCGGAGAGAAATACGATTGCTTGATGCAAAATGGGAACTCCTGGACTTAATGTTTCTCTCTGTCAAGTTTCAGAATAGCACACCTGTCAGAAACCCTAAATCAATGATCCACCATCCGGCGTAAATCATACTGCAGGGATGTCCTATTTTCTTGGTGTCAAAACCAACCTCCCCAGCCTGCTCGCCAGACCGTGTCCACTTCTGCTCAGCCCAGGCCTCTGGACCCAATTAGTCCTGCCTGCTTGGCTTCCCACACCTGTACTTCTTCCCCCATCCAAATGCCACCAAGGCCCAGCTCAAGCCACCTGGCCCCCAAACCTTCTATGCCCAGGCCCATCCCTGGATCCAGCTTAAGCGATTCCACTTCCTGTCCCCACTGCAAAAGGCCAATGCTGGGTTTATCCATCCCTGAACTGGTCACAACCCCAGATCTGTGGCTCTCCTAGAGCTGGGTCTCCCTGTTCTTATCCTTTTGGCTTCTGGAGCCAGCTCTTCTGCTGGGCAACAGAAACTGCTTTGGATTCACTTAAGCCAGAAGAGTGGAGGTGGGTTTACTGGAAAGATGCTGTTTGTGGGGAGGTTTCTTGGAGTGCCAAGGAGCAGAACACCCGATTCACCCGGGCTGAGTAGACCCCTGTCCAGGGCAGGCTGGCCTCAGGTGGGGCTGGATTCAGGCACAATCTCTGGGCTCTGGCTGACTCTGTGGACGACTTTCCTAGGCTCTTCATGGTGGCAGAGTGGTTGCTTACACCTGTCCAAGTGCAGGTCCACTTGGACATGGCAGACGATTACTCCAAGTTGCTCAGACAAAAGCCCTGGGCTAGGGCCAGGTGCAGTGGCTTAGCCTTTAATCCCAGCACTTTGGGAGGCCGAGGTGGGTGGATCATCTGAGGTCAGGAGTTTGGGATCAGCCTGGCCAACATGGTAAAACCCGTTTTTACTAAAAAAAAAACAAAAAACAAAAATTAGCCAGGCGTGGTGGCGGGCGCTGTAGCCCCAGCTACTCGGGAAGCTGAGGCAGAAGAATCGCTTGAACTCAGGAGGTGGAGGCTGCAGTGAGCTGAGATCACACCATTGCACTCCAGCCTGGGTGACAGAGTGAGACTCCATTTCAAAAAAAAAAAAAAAAGCCCTGGGATTAGTCTTCATGAGGCCTGACTATGTGACCAGAGGCACATGCCCACCTCAGGGCCAATCCTGGTGGCCACGGGAGAGCAGTGTTCTCATGGGCAGAGGCCCTGGGTCACAGGCTGCTGCCCAGGTGGACGGGGCAGCTCCACCTGCAGCTCATAGACTGAGAACATGGGAGTAGTGATTCCCACAGGTCAATCAGGGCACCAACAAGAAGGAATGGATGGTGGGCAGCTCCAGACCAACAAACACCGAGAAGTTGGCTCTCTGGACCAGAGAGACTGCTGAACAAAATCAGACTGGCCTGGAGGCTGGAGTTTTGGGGTTTTCCTCTCCCTGGGACTGGCCATGAATAAGGCACTCAACTTCACCACCTCTGGTTCCTGGAAGAGAAAATCCACTTGGCCAGTTCTGAATCACAGGTGCTGCGGCCAGGGCCTGGCCGAGTCTTGGGTACATTTCCAGAGAAGGCAGAAAGGGCTTTGAGAGCCAGGAGACATCCTCCCAGCAGCTGCTAAAATGTGGATGTCGCTACTGTTTTTGTTTTTTTTTTTAGACGGAATCTTGCTCTATCACCCAGGCTAGAGTGCAGTGGCGAGATCTTGGCTCACTGCAACCTCCGTCTCCCAGGTTCGAGCTACCCCAGCCTCCCGAATAGCTGGGATTACAGGCGCCTGCCACTGCGCCCAGCTAATTTTTGTATTTTTAGAAGAGACGGGGTTTCACCATCTTGGCCAGGCTGGTCTTGAATTCCTGACCTTGTGATCCACCCGCCTCGGCCTCCCAAAGTGCTGGGATTACAGGCATGAGCCACTGCACCCTGCCGGATGTTGCTACCGTTGCAACGCAAGCCACCTTAACTTTTTGTTTACCCCAAATTAGAAATTAAACAATTTTATTTTCAATGTCACCAGTATGTGATGCAATTTCATGATGATGGTTTATCTGAGTAGAAAATTGCCCTTGGTATCTATTCTACCCTCCTCTGCTCTGGAGGCCTGGGTATAGCTGAAGCCACAGCAGGGATGGGGGCAGGTAGGGAGTGGGAGTTGGCGAGTTGCCCATTTTCTCCCTTCCCTGGGGTCAGGAGGAAAAAAAATGCCATTAATTTTGTTGTGATGAAAACCCCATCTCTACTAAAAATACAAAAATTAGCCAGGTGTGGTGGCAGGTGCCTGTAATCCCAGTTACTTGGGAGGCTGAGGCAGGAGAATCGTTTGAACCCGGGAGGCAGAAGTTGAAACAGCGCCACTGCCCTCCAGCCTGGGCAACAGAGTGAGACTCCATCTCAAAAAAAAAAAAAAAAAAAAAAAAACCCACAGATAAATTTGGAGAGAACTTGAATCTTTACAATAGCGAGTCTTCTCATCTGGGAAAGGCCCATTTCTCTCTGATCCTCCAGGATGTTCTCAGCTCCAGCCCCTCTCCCCCACCATCCCAGGAATAGCAGTGACCTTTTGTACATATGCCTTAGTCCCTCATCCTCCAGATACATTTAAGCGCTTTGTCTCAGGCCTCCCTGCCAAGCCCACATCTGCCACCAGCCTCGTGTCCTCTCCTCCCCAGCCTCAAATCCTGCGCTGGCTGGATTTAGGAACTTGGGCGGCATGTTCCTCCACACCTCCAGGCTGCGGTTCACCGGCACGCTCCTCCTGTCTCATCCACCAGGGATTCCTATCTGTCCCTTACATTGTTTCCCTCTCTGTAGAGCCAAGCGGGAAGGGCCATGTTCACCTTTCAGCTCGGTGCCCCACCCCCATCCCCCAGTTGCTCACTCACATGCACAAGTTCATCTTGCTGCACCAATGAGTCTTCTCCTCCATGCTCACCCAGTCTTCCTTGGATCCCCAGGTGTCGTCCTGGGTGTGTCCGGTGGTGGGTGCTCAGTAAACGCTTGCTGGATGGAAGGGGAGACAGCACCACTGTGGGGGGCGGGGACTGTGTTTCCACCAGCCCTCGGTAGGATCTTTTTTTTTTTTTTTTTGAGACGGAGTCTCGCTTTGTCACCCATGCTGGAGTGCAATGGTACAATCTCAGCTCACTGCAACCTCCGCCACCCGGCTCCAAGCGATTCTCCTGCCTCAGCCTCCCGAGTAGCTGGGACTACAGGCGCCCAACACCACTCCCAGCTAATTTTTGTATTTTCAGTAGAGATGGGGTTTTGCCATGTTGGCCAGGCTGGTCTCATACTCCTGGCCTCAGGTGATCTGCCCGCCTTGGCCTCCTAAAGTGCTGGGATTACAGGCGTAAGCCACCATGCCCAGCCCTGGATTGAGAATGTTCTAAAGACAAGAGCTTTTGGGAACGCTGCAGCAGGAGACTTGCAGGTGTGCAGAGGGCTCTTGGGGGCCTCATGAGCAGCTGGAGGTGACCCCTCTCCCCACATGTCTTAAACAAGGGTACTTGGCCAAGACAGTACAACTGGAAATAAAGACAACGAAAAACAGTCCAAAGATTAGAAAGCAAGAGACAATATTATCATTCTTGGCAGAGAATGTTTATATTTACCCAGAAAGTCCAAGAGAATTCATTGCAAAACAGAACTGCTAAGAAAGCCTGGAAAAGTGGCCTGATAAAGACCCATAGCTTCCTGCATGCCAGGGACGAGCTGACTGGAAAATAAAGTGGAAAAGGCCTCATTCACAGCATCAATAAAGTGATAAATGACACCAGCTTAACATGAAATAGGCCAGACCCATACAAAGAAAAAGAGAAAACCATAAAAAGGGCAAAAAGACGTGCCTCGTTAGAGAGAAATGGTTCTTCCCCGGATGGGAAAACCCGCTAGCGTGAAGATTCAAGTTCTCTCCAACTTTACCCGTGTTTTTATTGCAATTCCAATGGGAAAATAATTCCAAAAACATTTTCACTGGTGTTTGCCAGAAAAATGCTTATGTTCCTCAAAAAGAGGAGGTGCAGGCTGGGCGCGGTGGCTCACGTCTGTAATCCCAGCACTACAGGAGGCTGAGGCAGGTGGATCACTTGAGGCCAGGCTGGCTAGCCTGGCGAAACCCTGTCTCTACTAAAACTATAAAAATTAGCTGGGTGTGTTGGTGTGTGCCTGCAGTTCCAGCTATTCAGGAGACTAAGGCAGGAGAATTGCTTGAACCTGGGAGGCAGAGGTTTCAGTGAGCCGAGATCATGCCACTGCCCTCCAGCCCGGGCAGTAGAGGAGGTGTGGTAGGGCTGAGGCGCATTGCCATACCCCTGTGTGCATGCCTGAAGGGACAGGGAGGGGACTTCCTCTCCAGCTGCCTAGAGGAATATTGCAGCCAGCTCTCTTAGCAAAGCCACATGGTCACCGTGAGCTTGGGAAGTGTGGGGGCACCTCCTATGTAGTACTGGCTCTGAGAGGCTTGGGCCTTAGTGCTGTTTTCCCCTAGTGGGGGTCCCTGGACAAATGATGTTGCCAGCAGTGTGTTCCAAAACCACCACGGTGGGAGGGATGAGCGTCTCCTGCAGGTCATGACACTCCAGGCTGGAAAGCATCAGAGAACAGAGCATGGCTGTGGGCCCTGGGGAAGGGGACCTGTCTTAGTCTGTGTGGGCTGCTATAACAAAATGCCTTAAGCTAGGTGGCTTATAAACAACAGAAATTTATTTTTCACAGTTCTGGAGGCTGGGAAGTCCAAGATCAAGGCCCAGGCAGATTCGGTGTCTGGTGAGAGCCCGTTTTCTGGTAGAAGGTGGTGCCTTATATGGTGGAAGGGGCCAGGGAGCTCTTTGGAGCCTCTTTTATATGGGCACTCATCCCATTCACCTCCCACAGGCCTCATTTCTAACACCATTACATTGGTGATTAGGTTTCAACATATGAATTTGGAGGGGAGTGACTGAACATCCAGACCACAGCACGATCTAATTGGCTGAGCCCAACTCACAAACTAGACTTGCGAGATGGCTGTCTGCCGAGGTCTCCTTGGCCCTGACCGGGCAGAGGGGGCTCAGTAGGGCTCTTGAGGGTCTCAGCATTGTGAAGAGCTTGGGGCAGAAGGGTAGGGCAAGACAGGAGGATGGTGAGGGCCTGGCTGTTGGCCACAGAGTGACCTCTGTCCCCACCCTCTCCCGGGGCTTCCTAGGGCTGGGAGGCAGAGCCTGGAGTCTTCTCTGGTCTGCAGCTCCTTTGTTGTGTGACCTGAACTATGCTTCTGCTTGGTGTCTCAGTTTCCCCATTGGTAACTGGGGCGTTGACTGGATTTCAGGGCTCAACTGGGCTCCCTTTCTCGGCAGGTGGAAATTGCCATCTTATAAAGGGGAACCTGGATGCTGCTGGCTGGGAGCACTGGGTGGACCAGGCCACAGCCGAAGGCCCAGGAGAGGTGGAGAGAGGCTCCATCCTGAGTGGGGCTCTTCTAGGCCCTAGAGTCTCAGGCCACTCATGCCACTACAGAGGGAGAGACAGGGGCTACATAGGGAGGGTGTGGACCAATGAGGGGTTCAGGGTTCCCAATCCCACATCACGCCTTCCCGTGAACCTGGAGATCTCTCCTGTCCCAACAGGCCTGGAACCAGCTGTTGGCATCAAGGCCTTGCACGCATGACCCAGACAGCTTCCCCTCTCCCTCCTTCCAGCCTGCTGCTTCCATACTAGATTCGGGGCCATTTTGCCGCAGGATTCATCGGAGGGCCGAGAGGGAGCTGCCGGCTTTTCCACCTCCGAGCCGAGGTTACTCTCAGATTCATGGGAAGCCATAAACCCGCGCCCTATTTCTGCTCTAATTGAAGCGATTTGTATTGTGACTAAAATAATCAGAGACAATTTTATTGGTATATTTTTAAAAATAATTACAGCCCATATATTTATGTTATATAACTGCAGTGACAATTTGATTGGGTTCCCCAGGGCCCCAACTTGAAGAGCCTGTGTGGGAGTGGCCCCATCCCTGCCTTCAGCACCCTCCACCTCCCCCAAATCTCGGGCAGAGGTGATGTTGACAGATGCAGTCCCCAAGGCCTGAGGCTCGGTCAGGGACTTTTCAGTGGGCATGTCTTAAAAATTTTGGGACAGCCATGCCAGCCCAGCGACCCCAAAGCGCCGTAGGGAGGTTGGGAAGAGATGGAGGGGGGCTCTGGAGTCTGGCTCAGCTCTGGCCTTTGTGGTGGGTGTCTGTGCCCTGCCATCCAGCATGCAGTCACTGACCTTCTTCTGTTCTTCTCTGGGGACCTCCTGCCTTTGTCCTCCTGCTTCTGAACAGCTGACTGTCCCAAAAACTCTGGGGTTGACCAATCAGAGCATCACATTCTCCAGCCATGGTGATTGGTTCAGGGCTAAGCACATGACCCAATCAGAGCCAATGACATTGCACATGCCCCAGATGGACTCCCGAACGGTTGGGGATCCCGAGCCGCAGGCTGCCATCTTGCCCCATGTGGGCACTGGAGAATGGGGCTAGTGTAGAGAAGACCCTAGAAGAGAGATGTGGATGGGACAGGGTCCTTGTGGCATCATTTGAGATTCTGAACCTGGAGCTGGGGCTGCTCCCAGAGTTTTTGGATATATGAGCCAATACATCCCATTTTGGCTTAAACCTGCTGTAGCTGTAGGACTGTGACCAAGAGTTCTATTTCTATGAGTCCCGCAGGCTTGTTTCCCCACCTCTAAAGGGAGAGAGTAATCACTCCCGTGGTCTGTTATGCCTCGTCATTATCTGTGTATAGTAGAGATATCTTGGTGTATAGCACCAAGCACAGGACTTGGACAGAGTTAACCACTCAATAAACAGCAGCCATGGCCGTCGTCAGGAGCATTGTGGAGCACTGGATGCTGTCGCTGGTATAAGGTGTGGGCAGAGGAGACAGGGAGAGGTTACCAGGCAATGTCCCAGCCCAGAAGGAGGCCCTGCCCCCACATGCTTATAGGTGGCAGAAGCACGGTTCCTGCTGGCTCAGCAATGCCTCCTTGCCTTCTTCCATCAGGGCCCCTCCTGCTCAGCCAGGGTCCCGTACTGTGCCCAAACCAGTTCTGCATTGTTCCTCCCCAAATAGCTCAGGCTGGAAGGAAGGAGCTAGGGAAGTGAGGAGGGGCTAGGGAGGGGGAAGAGCAGCGGCCATAGCTCCAGCACAGTAGGATCTGACTATGGGCGGGAGAGCCTCGATCGCGGGGTGCTCTGGTGCCCAACTTGGCTCCTTCCTCTTAGCGATCGCCCCAGCTCTTTGCTGAGCTGTTGGATGCCTCAGTGTTCCCAGGCAAATCCCCCTGGGGCCCTACCTTTGGAGCTGAGCTGTGTCTGGCCTGCACATCCACCAGCACCACACCAACACCGGGCACTGAAGACCAAAAGCGGATCCAAACTCCCACCCGCTCTGAGCAGGTTTTCTCTCCTACGGCAGCCTTCACCCGGAAGCCACAGCTGTTAAAGCTGCTAGCGGGTGGTGAGGGCCTTGTGGTTCTGCACCCAAGAAAGCCTTCTCTTCACTGGCTTCAAACCATCTTAGTCTTAGATAGCAGCACGGGCCTCAGGGATAGCCCCCAGGTCTACCTTGTGGGAATGACACCTTCCACTCCTGGAGGCTTGTCCCATGAGTCCACTAATAGGGAAAGGGCTGAAAAGAGCGCTGGGGCTGAAACATTCAGCTGGCTGTTGGGTCCCCAGGCCCTCCTGACTGCACAGTTTAGTGGAGACGTGCAAACTCGCCCAGTTGCACACACTCACATGTACACATATGCACACGCACACACACACGCACACTTTCACATGGGCATGCCACACATACACACATATGTGCGTGCTCATACCCACGCACACTCTCACATGGGCTTGTCACACATACACACATGTGCGTGCTCACATCCACACACACTCTCACATGTGCACAATTGCACACATGCACACTCTCACAGGGGCATGTTCACACCCACGCACACTCTCACATATGCATAATTGCTCACATCGGCATGGTCATACACATGCATACTCACATTGTGTACACTTACACACACACACACACACACTCCTACACATGTCCACACTCTCATGCATGCTCTCACATGAACCAAAATACTTGCCTCTTCTGCCTATAGCAGAGCAGAGGTGCGTCCGTCGATGCCCCATGGTGTTTCTCAGGATCCACGCATCCCATGTACTGAGTGTTGTTAGCCGGGAGATTGCCTGCTCCTGTGTGGCTGCGCTCTCACCAGTCCTGAAGGTCCTTATAAACATTGGTGCCACCCATCTTGTAGGACATTCTCTGCCCGGCCCCAGGAGCCTCAGCAGAGGTCCCCTGATTTCAAACATTCTTTTCTGTCATTAGAGCTTATGTTCCACAGATGACTTTGAAAATCTTGCCACCTTCACAGGCCCAGACATGACGGTGCAGAGGACATCAGGACCAGCAGGACATAAAACCCTCACGGTCACAGGGAGAAAGTCAGATCCCGGGCACCTGACACAGCCAAGCCCTGCTCTCAACATGTGTATGACAATGGGTGTGATAGAGGTGCCCCCTGCCTCTGGGTCTGGGTTACATGCCCCCTTCTTTGAGTCCTAGAGGGAACAGCCTGATAGTGGGCACACCCCTTCCTCTCCCTGAAATGACCTGGCAGACCCCCTTCCCCCAGTGATGGCCTTAGGGATTCCCAGCCATCACCCCTCCCTCCAGGAACCCCTCATCCCATCCTTCCATAGGGCCACCACACAGACAGGCCCTCTCGACCTTTCCCACCATGCTCTGCACAACTAGGATGGGCAGTGCCCCACCCAAAGCACTGCATGCCCCGCTCCCCATTGTCACAGTAGGTACAGGACATGGGTCTATTAGATCTTAGACACTACAGTCCGTACATGCCAATCCATTCCCAGAAGACCTCCCCTCCCCACCCCAGTGTCACTGAGCCACTTCCTCCAGCACAGCCCCACGGAGGGAGGCCCTTTTGTGTCTTGCCCATCACCTGGCTGGCCAGATCTGCTCAGCTCTTCCCTGACTCAAGAAAAACAAGAGAGCTTCATTAGTCCGTTTTCATGCTGCTATTAAAAACTGCCTGAGACTGGGTAATTTATAAAGGAAAGAGGTTTAATGACTCACAGTTCAGCATGGTTAGGGAGGCCTCAGGAAACTTACAATCATGGCAGAAGGCAAAGGGGAAGCAAGACACCTCCTTCACAAGGCAGCAGGAAGAAGTGCAGAGCCCAAGAGGAAGAGCGCCTTATAAAACCATCAGGTCTCGTGAGAACTCACTCACTATCACGAGAACAGCATGGGGAAGCTGCCCTCATGATTCAATTACCTCCACCTGGTCTCTCCTGTGACACATGGGGATATAAGGATTATAATTCAAGATGAGACTTGGGTGGGGACACAAATCCTAACCATATCAAGTGCTCTGTGGTCCCAGATAAGCCAAGAAACCTTCGTGGAGGAGGCCACCCCCACCCTTGGCCTCCAGACCCAGTGGGATGCCTAGGTAAGGATGGAAGTGTCCCTTAAGAGGGCTGGCATGGATGTCACATGTTCCATGGCACACCTTGAGGGTAGGCAGCCTTGAGCAGTGGGCGGGGAGCTGGGCCTGCAGGGACACAGAGCCCTGAGGTCTTGTCCTTGGACCCCTGATCTGGGATCCTCAGGGGCTCTGGGAGAAAGCCCCTGTCCCCTGCTGGTGCTGGTGGTGTGGTACAGATAACCTGGAAACCCTAAAAGAAGCAGGGATGGAGGGAAGGTTGCTGAGAGGTGGTCAGAGAAGCTGTTATGCAGACTGGGGGCCAGGGAGGTACAAGGGGAGTCCAGATGGGGGCTGTGGGAGGGACAGACAGACAGCAGACTGGGTCACCCCCAGGCTCCCCTTCTGGGCCCCCCAGGAAACGAATAGGTCCAGCCCAAAAGGGGCTCTGGGAAGACTGCTCCCAGCACCTCTGTGCTGCCAGCCCTAAAGGCACCCACCCGACCCCCACACACGCTGAATCTCCACTCCTTGTTTGCAGGAGGAAACTGAGGCCCAGGAGCCTGGAGATGTGTCTGCTCCAGGTCACACTGTGGGCTGTAGGGGTCCGGAACCCAGACATGTGGACTGCGCCAGGCTCTAGCCAATGACTCCTCCAAACCACTGCACCTCCCCAGCCCTCCAGAGTTCTCATCTGAAAAACGGGGCATCAGGTCTGAAGGTCTTCAATGCCCCTTCTGGCTGGGATATCAGAGTTTTGGGACCTCTCTCTCCAGGTCCTCATGAGTCCAGCAGGAGCTCTGGCAGGTCCAGGGTCCCCTCCTTCCCTCTGCTGCCACTGCTCAGCACCCAACCCTTTTTAAAATTAGCTCTGTGAGTTACAGAAGTAATCCCTGCTTTCTTGTTAACATGTTTCAAACAGCACAGAAGGGTTCAAGGTGGAAGCTGAAGGTACTCCCCAGTCTCCCCCACAACCCCCAGCCCACCTCTGCTAGGTCCCACATGGCCTTTGGGAAACATATGCATTGTTCCCTCTTCCCATAGAAGCCAGAAGGGAAGTCTGGAATCAGTGAGCCAGGTACAGCTCTGGGCCCAGGCCCAGAGATCCCACACTCATGCCAGCCCCTACCCACGCCAGCCCCCTCCCTGTGCCAGCCACCGCCCCTCCATCTATGCAGGCCCCCTACCACCAAGCCCATCGATAGGGGCTCATTATTCCGTCCTGTCTCCCTAGGATGGGGCAGAGTGACAGCTGTTCCGTGTTTAATTACCGATGGGCTGAGGCTATGCCAACCCATGAATAAAATTACAGTTGTTCTGCAATGCAAATATTGCGGGCCTCCGTCTGAGGGTGCGTGCGGGGCTGATCTTCATTGGCTGACTTTTTTAATGAAAAAAGTTTTATTACATTTTAAAGAACATTCATAATGATGAAATTCACACACCTCAAGATTTATACAGCACTGCAAACAAGTGGCAGGAGAAAGGGAGTTATTTATAACTTCAAATAGGCTTCTATCCTCTGGTTGCATTGTTGTAGGGTGCAGAGCATTTTTAGCTGATAATTGCTTTAATGGTAAATGAGAAACTTAGAACCAAATATCGGAAGTGCCTAAACAAGGAGAAGCCTCAGCTAAGATGGGGGCGAGTTGACCTTATGGGTGGGGAGGGAGAAAAGGGAGCTCGCTCTCGCCAAGGCTCATGGGGTAAGAACACATGGCAGACGTTCAGCACTGGCAGAGGTTTGCCATCTGCGGGTGCCCACTGGGCACAGGTTCAGCTTATGGAGAATGAACTTGGAGACATGACATCCTCCTGTCGGAGCCGCAACCGCAGGGCTTTCTCCTCCCATGGTCGCTGTGGGATTTCGTTCTGTGTGGTGTATCCATGCTTTGTGTGACTGGAAATCTCATCTGAGCACAGCTGGATAGGTGATAATGCAAACTTTCGATTCCATCATCTAAATCCATACCGATAGGAATACAGAACATCTGATTTGATTTCCCCTTGTACTAAGAAAACGGAGCTTCCCAGGGAAGGTGGGCATTTCCTGCTGAATGGGACTGGAGGTGGCATTTCCTTTGCTAAGCCTTCCCTGCAGATCCTTCCCTCTGGGGACGCAGCTGAGCTCAAGAACAGTATAGCTGAGAGAAGCTTCTCCAGCTGGCCCTGGTCCCCATCTCTAAACAGAACAGAACCTGCTTCAACTTAGCACCGTCAACACATTCATTCGTTCATTCATTTTGCCGACATGTGTTTGTTGAAAGCTTACTACAAGCCAGGCTCCTGGCACGTTCGGATGAGGAGGATGTAGTCTGTGGCCTCCAAAAGCAACTGAACAGGCAAGACCTATACGCAGAGACAACTGAGCCTCACTAAACATCAGTGTGACAAGGACAGTAATGGAGGTATAAATGCCCAGGGACAGGGACAGCAGAGAAGAGGGCCTGGCTGTGTCTGGGGGTGGAGAGGTCAGAGAAGGGGCCATGCAAGCCAGCCTTGAAGGATGTAGAGGAGTTTGGAGTGGGCACATGCTTGGCAGGGCAGCAGAGTGACCATCAAAGGCACCCTCCAGCTTGAGGTCTGTGGGAGGGAGGGGGACTTTGAGTGTCTGGAGCACGGGGTGGCGTCTATGTTGGGGTGCAATTGGGATGTGGTGGAGTGTCAGGCGGAGGAGCCTGACCTTCTTCCTGGGGCATCTCTGCTGCTTGGAGCTGGGGTTCAGGGGCTCTGGAGGCCGCACGGAATGCTTATAGATGGTGGGGGCAGGGAGGGCGTTTGGGATAGGGATTGGGCCAGCCAGTAGGCACATGAGACAGTTAGAAGGAGAAATCAGTGACTCCTGCTTCCCTTCTCTTGGAGGTCAGCCAAGCCTGGGTGTCTCCTGTTCATTCAGCAAAATACCTCATCCCGGAACAAGCGTGCAAAAGGAGACAGGGCAGGATTCCAAACCAGCTGCAAGGCTCCCTCTCGGTGTCCTTCCCCACTTCGGCATGTCTGTGCGTGCATGCTGGCTTCTGTGCATGCATGCTGGCTTCTGTGCATGGGTTTACATGTATGTATGTCTCTGTATATGTTTGTGTGTGTGTACTTAGTGTGCGCTTTCATGTGTGTTCATGCCTGTGCGTGCATGCTGGCTTCTGTGCATGGATTTACATGTGTGTATATCTCTGTATATGTTTGTGTACTTCAGTGTGTGTGTGCCTGTGCATGCTTGTGTCTGTGCTGAGTGTACATGTGTCTGTTTATGTTTGTGTATGTGCAGATATGTGTGATGTGCTCATATCTGTGTGAGCGTGTGTACATGTCCATGTATGTATGTCAAGCACAAGGGTGTGTGCTTGTGTGAATGTGCACTGATGTATGTGTTTAAGGATTTGTGTGTGTTTGTGTTTATGGATGTTTGTGTGTGTGTGAGGGTGCATGCTTATTAGGGGATCTGTGCCTAGACCAGATACCTGGGTTTTTTTTGTTTTATTGTTTTGTTTTTGAGATACAGTCTCACTATTGTCACCCAGGCTGGAGTTCAATGGTGCAATCATGGCTCACTGCAGTCTCTAACTCCTGGGCTCAAGCGATCCTCCCACCTCAGCCTCCTGAGTAGCTGAGACTACAGACGTGAACTACCATATCTGGCTAATTTTTAAACTTTTCATAGAGAAAGGGGTCTCATTATGTTGCCCAGGCTGGTCTCAAACTCCTGGCCTCAAGCAATCCTCCCACCTCGGCCTCCCAAAGTGCTGGAATTACATACAGGAGTGAGCCACTGCACCCAGCCCAGACACTGAGATTTTTAAAATTAGTCTGACACTCTGGAACCCACACAGCCTGACACCACCACTGGAGATTCTAAAGTGAATCCCGTACAAGCCACGCACACAGCCCCTGCCCTTGGGTGGCTCGGGTCCCTGAGGTCTCCTTGGTGAGGGGAAGAAAACGGAAGCCTAAATAACAGCAGCTGCCTTATGGAGCAGCCCAGGCCAGGCTCAGGGGGTGTGGGGGTAAGAGGATGTCTAAGGACAGCCAGGCTGGTCCTCTGCTCACCCGGAGCCAGAAGTGAGGTAGTGCCAGCCAGGCCCGGGGCAGCCTCAGGGGCCCCGAAGATGGGAAGGGTGCCCAGATGCCCGTGGTATCTGGGAGTGCACATGAGTGTGTGTGTACATATATGTGAGTGTGCAGGTGTGTATATCTGTGTCAGTGTGAATAAACACATCTGTGTGTGTATTTGTGTGCAGATAGGTATGTTGGTGTCTGTATATGTGCACATGTGACTGTGTTTCCTGACCCAGGAACAACTATCTCTTGACCAAAGTTAACCAAAGTCTCATAGAAGAGGTGGGGATGGGGCAGGGAGGACAAGGCAGACATCCCACTCCTGTCCTTCCCCACAGTAGCCCTCTGACCTGCCAGCGTCAGAGCCATTAGGAAACAAGCCATCCTAATGGCTCGAGACAGTGGCCAGTGGGCATCGCGTATACTCCAGGGCACTCTGTGGGACGGGAGTTCATTGTTGGCACTGGAGGCCTGTTTTATTTTTTCTTTTCTTTTTTTTTTTTGAAACAGGGTCTCGCTATGTTGCCCAAGCTGGGGTGCTGTGGCACGATCATGGCTCACTGCAGTCTTGACCTCCCAGGCTGAAGAAATCCTCCCACCTTAGCCTCCCTGGTACCTGGGACTACAGGTGCACGTGCCACCATGCCCAGCTAATTTTTATATTTTTTTAAGAGATGGGGTTTTGCCATGTTGCCCAAGCTAGTCTTCGGCTTCTGGGCTCAAGCAATCCAACTGTCTCAGCCTCCCAAAGTGCAGAGATTACAAGTGTGAGCTGCCAAGTCCAGCCCTGTTCCCTTCTTAATGGCTTACTTGGGGTTTCAATGATGACAGGGTCATTACTGGGTTTCAGGAACCTTCCTTAAGCAGCTGAAAGAATCCGTTGAGCTCTGCTTCCTCTTCCCTCTTCCAGGCTGAAGGAGCTGGAGGGGCCTGGGGCCTCCTTTGGGGAGGCCAGGAGGATTTGGTGATTAAGTGAATGGAATATGCCCATTGTGGTAAAAATAGCAGAGCTGCGGTTGGTGGAGGCACAGAAGCCCGGCCGAAGGGACCAAGGGGTGTTCGGGAGGGAGGAAGTCCAGTTCTGATGATTTATTAAGGTGTACAAAAGAACCTTCAGAACAAAGACCCAGAGATGCAGGAAATGTTGTCCATTTTTCTGCTTAGGTTCAACGACATATGGACAGCCATGTCGAAACAGATTGGACAATAAGGGCTGATAGACTGAATGGCAAAACCCAGCCAGGCCTGTCTATCTAGATTCTTCTTGGCCTCTCTAAGCAGCGTTCCTTTCTTCTGGGTAGGCGGCAAGGCCCCTTCTGGAATGGCGGGGGTGGGGGGGGGGGTCTCGTGACTTACAGTCAAACAAGGTAGGTCAGAGATTGTGCAGGTTTGTTACACAGGTATACATGTGCCATGGTGGTTTGCTGCACTTATCAACCTGTCATCTAGGTTTTAAGCCCTGCTTGCATTAGGTATTTGTCCTAATGCTCTCTCCCTCCCCTTGCCCCCCAACCCCTAGACAGGACCTGGTGTGTGTTGTTCCCCTCCCTGTGTCTATGTGTTCTCGTTGTGCAGCTCCCACTTACGAGTGAGAACATG
Source organism: Homo sapiens (assembly GCF_000001405.40). Classification (NCBI taxonomy): domain Eukaryota; kingdom Metazoa; phylum Chordata; class Mammalia; order Primates; family Hominidae; genus Homo; species Homo sapiens. The sequence continues at coordinate 33,561,797 of NC_000019.10, forward strand.
CGGTGTTTGGTTTTCTGTTCCTGTGTTAGTTTGCTGAGGATGATGGTTTCCAGCTTCATCCATGTCCCTGCAAAGGACATAAACTCATTCTTTTTTATGGCTGCATCGTATTCCATGGTGTATATGTGCCACATTTTCTTTATCCAGCCTATCATTGATGGGCATTTGGGTTGGTTCCACGTCTTTGCTATTGTAAATAGTGCTGCAAAAAACATATGTTGTGCATATGTCTTTATAATAGAATGATTTATAATCCTTTGGATATATACCCATTAATGGAATTGCTGGATCAAATGGTATTTCTGGTTCTAGATCCTTGAGAAATTGTCACACTGTCTTCCACTATGGTTGAACTAATTTACACTCCCACCGACAATGTAAAAGCATTCCTGTTTCTCCACAGTCTCACCAGAATCTATTGTTTCCTGACTTTTTAATAATCACCATTCTGACTGGCGGTTTTGATTTGCATCTCTGTAATGATCGGCTAACAAACATATGAAAAAAAGCTCATGATCACTGATCATTAGAGAATTTCTTTATGGCCAGTTTTTACACAGAAAGGCAGAGGGAAAGTTAGAGTTATATTTTTAGGTTTTATGGCTGGCTTTGGGGGAAGAGCTTCAGATTCTATGACCAGCCTTGGGGAAGAGGGATTCTAGTTTTTATGGTTAGCCTCAGGCAAGAATGGGACTGAGAGACAGGAGGGCAGGAGAAGGTCAGAGAAAAACTTTTGTTTTGGAGGCTGTTTCTGGGGCCCTCATTTTGGACCGCAGCAATAGCTGGGCCAGAGGGAGAGTGGCGGGGGCTCAGTGGTCGGACTCAGAGCTGGCTTGTCCACCTGCAGAGCTCTTCTCCCCATAGATGCCCCCTACCCAGGAGGGCGTTGTGAGTCCATTTCACAGGCCAGGAAACTGAAACTCAGAGAGGTTGTGCAGCTGCCTGTGGCCACTCAGCAGGCAAAGCCAGAGCTGTTGCTTGCACCAAGGCCACCTAAGCCCAAGGTGCCGCCTGCCCCATGCAGCTCTCCTCTCCTGCCACTCAGCAGGGAACTCCAGAGTCCAGAGATGGGGACCATCCCTGGGGCAGGCACTGGGCAGCCGCGATGCTGGAAAATGCTCAAGGTTTCCTTTCATCACAGCCCAGGCCACAGCGCCTCATTTGCCAACTGTGTTCTGAGAAAACAGCAACGATAGAAAGGCACCAGTGAGGAGGCGGCTGGAGCTCTGGGCTGTGAGGCTGCGTTTCAGGATTGAGAGGCTGCGCTGGGAAGAAGGGCCTGCCTTGGGGGCTGAAGGCAAATCCTAACTCCTACTGCATGTGATATAAAGGGTTACAAAATTAAGTATAAATGCATCTCTCTAAAGTCACTTTTCTTTCTGTGTGTGTATATACGAATATTTGTATTTATTTATTATTCCTAAAAAATAATTGTATTTACTGTTGTTTATTGTGTTGTATTTATTATTCCTTGCGTTTTATTGTATTGCATTTTATTATTTATCTATTGTGTTTATTATCTATTGTATTTATTATTGTATCTATTATATTTATTATTCCTGAAAGTTTGTACTTATTATTTATATATTGTATTTATTGTTTATTATTGTATTTAGTATTTATTATTGCATTATATTTATTATTATTTATTGTATTTATTATTTCTAAAGAGTTTTTAGGAAACTCTGTATTTATTATTCCTAAGATAAAGTTTATTGTATTTATTATTCCTAAATATTTATACATTTATAATATTTATATATTATATATTCACATATTTGTAATATTTATGTTAGTTACATTACATATAATATTTATATTATATATTACGTATGTATAATATGTATATTATATATTTACATATTTATAATATGTATATTATATATTTACATATTTATACAATTTATATATTATGTATTTATATATTGTATATTTATATATTTATAATATGTAAATATTTTTATATTATATTTAGGAACAATAACATTGCACTTATTATTCCTGAAAAAGTCTGGGGCAAGATTAATTTGATAGGATAAACACAAGTACTACAATGCTGTTTTTTTGGCACCCCAGAACTGGTAGGCTGATCCACCAATATTCTTTAGTCAAAGTTCTTAGGGCCTTGAACTGGAGGTAAGAGGATAAGCCCAACCTTAAGTCTCTTGTATTTTAGAGCTTGCCATATATATTGCTGTGAATACGCAATATGATTTAACCATAGCATAGCAATTTAACCAAGGAGGTTGAGTTGTAGCAGGAATAAGAGTAATAACTTTTGGGCCAAGCACGGTGGTTCACGCCTGTAATCCCAGCACTTTGGGAGGCCAAGGCGGGCAGATCACGAGGTCAGGAGTTCGAGAACAGCCTGGCCAACATGGCAAAACCCCATCTCTACTAAACATACAAAAATTCGCCGGGTATGGTGGTGGGTGTCTATAATCCCAGCTACTCAGGAGGCTGAGGCAAGAGAATCGCTTGAACCCTGGAGGCGGAGGTTGCGGTGAGCCGAGATTGTACCATTGCACTCTAGCCTGGGTGACAAGAGCAAGACTGTCTCAAAAAGAAAGAAAGGAAAAAAAAAAAGAATAATAACTTTTGGTAGAGTAAATAATGCCTAAACCTCACTTATTGATCTCCTCCATGGGTCAGGCACCCCAAGGCCCTCACAAGTCTTGGTTGTCTTAATTAATTTAAGCCACAGAACTTGAGGTTGGCCCTGTGATCTTCTCCATGTTTAGAAGAAGCAGCTGAGCTTTCTCTCCAAATTCCCTAGAGACATGCCATCACCCTTACATGCATACGAAATACTTTTGTCCCTTATGAAAATTTCACTAGGAAAAATTACTCACTACGTTCCTTAGTCATAGATGTGTATGTAAAATGCATTTGCGGGGCCAGTGGTAACTGACATAGCCTGTAACTTACCAGGTGTGAGATGTATAAATGAAGATGGCCATTGTCTGAAGTGAGAAGAATGGGATAAAAAAAAGAAAACAAAAATCGGAGAAGTCCTACTGAAACTCAGTGAAAGCGTCAGCTACATTTTGCAAACTTCAAGGAGTTTCTGTCAGGTGCTAGGCTGCTGAGACCAGAGTGAATTTTTGGCTTAAAGCAGACATACAGCCCTCTCTCCAGGGGAGGCAGCATGGTGTGGGAAAGAAAGTCAAGGACACGCTAGTGGAAAGTCATGTCCTCCTCTCCAGGGTGAGCATGCAGGGGCGGCAGCCGTTGGGGAGATGGGGCCAGTGCCTGCCTTGTCTTAAGGGCCTGCAGACACCCCAGCTTCAGATACATGGGCACAGTCTTGGCTGCACCTAGAAGCCCTGGGATGCTGACGTGAGCATTTCCTGGGATGGAGGAACTCCTTCTTGAACCCCCTCAAACTTGCAGAGGTGGGCTAGACATGAGTAGGCTGCTCATGAGCACCTTTTGTGTCCGGGAACCAGCAGTCATGAGGATGCTTTGTTGACCGTGAAGACCCAGTGTTTCCAGCAGGCAGAATTCTGTGGCCTGGCCTCTTCTCCAATGGCCCCTTCACCACTGTAGTGAGCTCCATCTGCCCTTGGGGCCCCCTTCCTGAACAAGAGAGATGCAGCTCACTCACACAGTGGGATGGGGATGCCCTCAACTTGACAGGCAAAAGCCTGGGCATGAGAGTGAGCTCAGCTATCCAGCCCCCTGAAGAAAAGACAGATGGAGCAGAAAACCGTATTGTCATGATATCAAGGAAAGAGAAAAAACAGAATTCTAAAAATATTTACTCCAGGAAACAGATGTAAGGTTTTCTTTCCAAAATGAAAACATTGAATCTGCAAACCAAATGGGGAAGAGAGGATGAGGACAAGCTGTGGTGGAAATGGAGCTGGTAGTCAGGTAAAGCATCCAAGGACACAAACATCACAGCAAAATCGCAGAAGGGTCAGCGACAGGGAGAATCTGTGAGAACCCTGCAGACAGTGGACTCGGTGACATGGAGCATAGGTTTGAGAGGCTTTTTCAGAGTGCACCAAAAACAAAACAAAACAAAACAAAACAAACGAACAAAAAAAGGACCAGAGAAGTTAGAAGCAATAATCGGCAGAGCAGCGGCTTTGAAGAAAAGAGATTGGAAATCCAATCAGGAGGATGGGTGTTAATGAAGAAAGAACATGACTAACAAGGAAGAAAAAATATTCAAAAATAAAAGAGGAAAACCTGGCTGAACTGAAGACAGATCTAAATCTGCAGGTTGAAAGGGTTTGCTAGAGACCAGGCAAAACTAGTAAACATCAAAAGATAGTGGTGACACACTAATCGCTTGGATTCATGAGGAATGAATACCTACAAAGACATAAACAGCAGGCTGCCTTGGTTCTCTCCCTGCACTCCTTACCGCCTGCCCTCCTTGGAGTAGGGCCTCACCCTGCCTTCTCAGCATCTCTTTTCTTTCCTTTCCTTTTCTTTTTTCCTTCCTTCCTTCCTTCCTTCCTTCCTTCCTTCCTTCCTCCCTCCCTCCCTCCCTCCCTTCCTTCCTTCCTTCCTCCCTCCCTCCCTCCCTTCCTTCCTTTCTTCCTTCCTTCCTCTCCCCCCTTTCTCTCTCTCTCTTTCTCTCTCTCTCCCTTCTTTTCTGACAGAGTCTTGCTCTATCGCCCAGGCTGGAGAGCAGTGGTGCAGTCTCGGCTCACTGTGCAACCTCTGCCTCCCAGGTTCAAGTGATGCTCCTGCCTCAGCCTCCCGAGTATCTGGGATTACGGGTGCCTGCCACCACACCTGGCTAATTTTTGTATTTTTAGTAGAGATGGGGTTTTGCCATGTTGGCCAGGCTGGTCTGAACTCCTGACCTCAGGTGATCTGCCCGCTTGGCCTCCCAAAGTGCTGGGATTACAGGCGTGAGCCACTGCGCCTGGCCTCTCAGCATCTATTTCTCTGCCTTCTTGATCACCCCTCCCTGCGCCTCAGTCCATCATGGGGGAATCCCAGGTGAGATGCACTTGTACTCCTAGCGTTACAGGAAAGGGATCCCAATCCAGACCCCAGGAGAGGGTTCTTGGATCTCGCTCAAGAAATAATTCAGGACAAGTCTGTAGAGTAAAGTGAAAGCAAGTTTATTAAGAAAGTAAAGGAATAAGGAATGGCTACTCCATAGACAGAGCAGCCCCGAGGGCAGCTGGTTGCCCATTGTCATGGTTATTTCCTGATGTTACGCTAAACAAAGGTGGATTCATGCCTCCCCTTTTTAGACCATAAAGGGTAACTTCCTGATGTTGCCATGGCATTTGTAAACTGTCATGGCGCTGGTGGGAGTGTAGCAGTGAGGACGACCAGAGGTCACTCTCGCCTCCATCTTGATTTTGGTGGGTTTTGGCCCACTTCTTTACTGGAAACTGTTTTATCAGCAAGGTCTTTATGACCTGTATTTTGTGCTGACCTCCTATCTCATCCTGTGACTTAAAATGCCTTAACTGTTTGGCAATGCAGCCCAGTAGTTCTCAGCCTCATTTTACCCAGCTCCTATTCAAGATGGAGTTGCTCTTGTTCACACGCCTCTGACACTAGTCGTCTCACTGCAGAGCTGCTGAGCTGCCTTGGATACTGGGCTAATCTTCAGAGACCAGAAGCTGGCAAGGCTCACAATATGAGCCTTGGCTGCTCACACCTTCCCCCAAGGGAATCCCTATGTGCAGATGGGGTTTGGATAGGCAGAGGGGAGAGACCCCTCCTTCTGCAAATTCAGGCCAAAGATGGGTCAAGCCCTGAAGAGCAGAAGCCACATAACTTTTGGGCCACACTGTAGACCCAGTGGGTGAACTGCTTTTCTCAGCCAGCAGGTCCACTGGGGCTCACCCAGGCTAAGCTAGATGCCCCCTGGCAAGGTTGCCAACTCCCTGACCTCTACCTAACGACCCAGGGAGGGGAATGGCTTGCCAGCCCATCACTCCTGCAGCAACTGTGGTGGGAAGGATGAGAAACGTAATTAAAATCTCAGGCATCTTTTCCCAAGGGTCATTCCAGCTGAAGAGCCTAAATATCATAAGGGTATGAATGAGCTGCATTTATTATTTTCACCATGGAGACGTCCAAGAAAACTGACCTTTTCAGCTTCAATAAAAACGGATTTTCCTGCAGATACTTTGACAACAGCTGTGATCATGAGCTTGGCTGAAACTTAATATTAAACACCAAAGACCAGGAAAAAGAGATGCCTTCCCAAGGCCTGGGAGAGTTACTGACACCCGCTTGCAATTAGACACTGGTATGGGCATGGCAGCCTGAGCCCAGCTCACAGAGGCTCACTCACTCCTCTCTGGATCCAGATGGCTGAGGAACCCACTCAGCATCAAAGCCACCTATTATTTACGCGTTTAGTTTAAGGCATGTAGCACGGGACTCAGAGCAAAGCTGCAGTAGCAGACTGCCCTGGAATTCAGCAGGACTAGGTTCCGGTCTGCTTGGATTCAGCATCCCCTCCTGTCATGTGACCAGGAGCCCCAGACATCACACTCTGGCTCGTCTTCCCCTAAACACAGCCCAGAGCTGACCCTCCTGCCATGACTTGGCCATACTAGTTGGCAAAAAGCTTGCCAACTTCCTGCCCCACCATTTCTACTGACCATGGTAGCCAATACCCAGAGGAACAGATGACAGTCAATGGCAGCTGCTGCCTTGCACTGAAATCAGGTGTTGGACAGTAACAAAACCTTGAGTTCCCTCTAAACACCTGTGCCTGACCCCAGGCATTTTGTCCTCCCTGTCCCAACCCTGCTGAAACCACCTTTGCCAAAATTATGACTGAGAAAATTATTACAGTAAAAGAGATCTGACTGAACCAACTCCGTCTTGCTCCTAACCTCCAAGTTGTCCTTGTTCATTCCTGGGCATAGGCCGAACTAACTTTGGGAGGAACTTGGTTTACAGTTTAATTTTGAAACAAAGATGATAACAGCCTTTTCCCAAAACAAACCCCCTTCTTGCTTGGGGACTAGACTGCCTTTGCAGGACTAAAAAATTAGCCACATAAGATTAGAAATTATGGTGTAGGAGTCACTGTTGCAAAATCTGAGATTGGTGCTTTTGCAGATCTTCTGCTCCAGTGCACCAGCTGATGCCACCCAAATCGATAAACTGGCTCATCTGGTCTTGGGGCCCCCCACCCAGGAGCTGACTCAGTGCAAGAGGACAGCCTCACCTCCCGATGATTTCATCTTCAACCCAACCAATCAGCACTTACCACTTTCCAACCTTCTACCCACCAAGTTACCCTTAAAAACCCTTGTCCCCCAATTTCTGAGGAGATTGATTTGAGTAACAACTCTGTCTCCTGTGTGGCGTGGCTGGCCTCTTGTCAGTTAAACTCTTTCTTTACTGCAATGCTGTGGTCTTTATTTGTGCAGTGGGCATGAAGAATCTCTCAGGTGGGTACACTGCCACCATGAAAGTGAAGCAATTTAAAAAGGTATAAAACAATAAGGACAAAGGCAAATGAGGAGAGAGTAGCAACGAGAGATTTCAATGAATTTCAGAAGGCAGAACTTGGAGGAAGGCAATCTTACTAGGCAGAGCAGAGAAAGCACCTGAGGTGCTTTAGAGGAGACTGGTGAGCATGAGCCTGTCAGAGATGTTTGAACCACAGCAACTCCATCTTGAATAGAGGCTGGATAAAATGAGGCTGAGACCTACTGGGCTGCATTCCCAGATTGTTAAGGCATTCTAAGTCACAGGATGAAATAGGAGGTCAGCACAAGATACAGGTTATAAAGACCTTGCTGACAAAACAGGTTGCAGTGAAGAAACCCACCAAAACCAAGATGGAGACGAGAGTGACCTCTGGTTGTCCCCACTGCTACAATCCCACAAGCAGCATGACAGTTTACAAATGCCATGGCAACGTCTGGAAGTTACCCTCTATGGTCCAGAAAGGGGAGGCATGAATAATCCACCCCTCGTTCAGCATATCATCAGGAAATAACCATAAAAATGGGCAACCAGCAGCCCTTGGGGCTGCTCTATCTATGGAGTAGCCATTCTTTTATTCCTTTACTTTCTTAATAAACTTGCTTTCACTTTACAGACTCATCCTGAGTTCTTTCTTGCACAAGATCCAAGAATCCCCCCTCTCTTGGAGTCTGAATCCAAACCCCTTTCCTGTAACATGCCCATTAACACAGAACCTCAGGCAAGTGGTGGGGATGGATTCCGGAAGCTGGGACTGGGAATGAGAGTTTAGGAGGATTAAAAACAAGGGAGTTGGATGACGTCACAGAAGAGTGCAGTTAGAAGCTGCAGGAATCTTTCCCTCCACCCTAACAAGTTTTGATCTGGCAAGGGCTGTCTAAAGCAACTATTTTGGAACTCTGCAGTCTAGTTGAACACGTTCGGCATCCAAGAGAAAACTTAATGGAGAAGCTGGTGAATTTTAATACATTTCCATGTTTGCGTACTGGCTACCATCCCCCACCTGCCAGCCCCGTGGCAAACAGCTGTGGGGACAGTGGCCTGCATTCCTGGTGTGACTTGCTGGTGCCAGGGTGGGGAATAAGAACCTTATCCTCCAAAAATTAGAGTTGTGTGTTTTGATTGCTGATCCTTTTGACCTCTGGGGGACTGGCACAGAGTCCAGCCATTGTTTCAGATCACAAGAGCTAGAGCAGCTTTTCTGCTGTGAGGGGATTTAAAGAGACATGACTTCCCTGTTCCCTCCCCTCACCTCAACAATTTTGGGAGCCAAACATTTAAGGAAATCTTTGTCAGGTCATTGACTGACAGAGACAACGGAACAGGAACTTCAAGGACCACATGCAATAAGCAATCACAATTTGTAAAAATAATCTGGAAAAAAATCACAGATGGATGGCTCCATCCTTAACAAGCAAAAATCCACAATCCTTGAGGAGTGTGAGAGTTAGAGTTCCAGGATTACCACAATAATAATCAGAATGCCCAGTACTCAACAAAAAAAGTACAAAACATACAAGGAAATAGGAAAGTATGACCTGTTCACAGGAAAAGAACATTTGACAGAAACCATCCCCGAAGAAGACCAGACATAGGAATTACTAGTCAAAGACATTAAATCAATTATCTTAGACACATTTAATGAGCTAAAAGAAACCATGGATTAAAAAACCAAAGGAAATTGAGAAAATAATGTCTAAAAAATGAGAATATCAATAATGAGAAATTATAAGAAAGGAACCAAACTGGTCTTGGAACTGAAAAATACAATAACTTAAAATGAAAAACTTACTGGAAGCATTCTACAGCAGATTTGAGTAGGCAGAAGAAAGGATCGGCAAACATGAAGATAAGACAATTGAAAGTATCCAGTCTGAGGAACATAAATAAAAATGAATGAAGGAAAATAAATAGAGCCTGAAGGATTTATGGGATGTCATCAACTATAACTATGCATTATAGGAATTACAGAAGAAGGAAGAGAAAGGGGCAGAAAAACATATTTAAAGAAATTGTGGCTAAAGGCTTCCCAAATCTGATGAAAGATATGATATAGATACTCAAGAAGCTCAACAAACTCCAAACAGGATAAACTCAAGAGATCCATACTGAGACATATTATACTCAAATTGCCGAAACCAAAGCAAAGAGAGAATTTTGAAAGCAACAAGGGAGAAGCAATTCATCACGTACAAGGTATCATCAAAAACTTAATAGCTGATTTCTCTTTAGAAACCCTGAAGGCTAAAAGGCAGTGGGGTCACATATGAAAGTCCTGGAAAAAAAACTCAATCAAAAATTCAACATCTGGCAAAACTATTTTTTAAGAATGAGGGAGAAATTAAGACATTTCAAGAAAAACAAAAGCTGAGGGAGATCATTACAAATAGACCTGCCCTAGAAATGCTAACAGGCTGGATACACACACACACACACACACACACACACACACACACACAAGACAGTAACTTGAAGCTGTAAGATGAAATAACACTAACACTGGTAAAGGTAACTACATAGATAAATATAAAAGCCAATATTATTTTTCCTTGGTTTGTAACTTCCTTTGGTTTGGATTGGTTTTGGTTTATACTTTTGGTTTGGTTTGTAACTTCTCCCTTTTTCCTACCTGATTTAAGAAACTAATGTATACAACAATAATTGTAAGTCTATGTTAATGGGCACATAAGGTATAAAATGTAATCTGTGACAATAATAATGTAAAGAGGAGGGATGAAGATGTATAGGAACAGAGTATTTATATTCTATTGAAACTATTATCCAAATTTAATTGTTATAAGTTTAAGATGTTATTTGTAATCTCCAAGGTAACCACTAAGAGAATAACCTAAACACATATAGAAAAGGAAAGAAAAATGGAATCAAAATGATACACTACAAAACAAATCAACTAAATTTTTAAAAAGGCAGCAATGGGGGAATTATACAACAAAAATCATGTAAGACATACAGAAAACAAATAGCTAAATGGCAGAAGTAAATCCTTCTTTATCTAGAATATATAAAAACTCCTGCAAATGGACAATACAACAACGAAAATCCCCAAACAACTCAATTTTAAAAATGGGCAAAGAATTTGAATAGAAGTCTCTCCAAAAAAGATATACAAATAGCCAATACAAGATGATTGGCTAATATCATTAGTTATATGGTTCAGCGTCCAAGAGTCCAATATGCTCAATATCATTAGTCATTGGAGAAACGCAAATCAAGACCACAATGAGATATCACCTAACACCAATTAGAATAGCTATAATTTACAAAAAAGAAAAAAAAGTTTAAAAGCACACCAGAAAATAACAAGTGTTGATGAGGATGTAGAGAAATTGAAAAACTTGTGCATGGCTAGTGGGAATGTAAAATGGTGATGCCCCAGTGGAAAACAGTTTGGTGGCTCTTCAAAAAGTTGAACATAGAATTATTATGTGATCCAGCAATTCTGTTCCTAGGTATATATCCAAGATATTGAAAAACAGGGATGAAAATAGATACTTGTACACCCATAAGCAGAGTGTCACTGGTGAAGGGTGTTCAGGTTCTTGGCATTTTGAACAAAGAATTGGACAAAATGCAGAAACAAAGCAAGGAAAGAATGAAGCAATGAAAGCAGAGATTTATTGAAATAAAAGTACACTCCATAGAGTGGGAGCAGGCTTGAGCAAGCAGTTCAAGAGCCCCCTTGCAGAATTTTCTGGGGTTTAAATACCCTCTAGAGATTTTTTTTATTGGTTACTTGGTTTACACCCTATGTAAATAAAGTAGTGGTTTGCAACCAGTCTAATTGGTTGCAGAAGGTGGCCAACCAGAAGCCGAAGTGAAGTTACAAAGTTACAGATGAAGACTTGGTCTGTGACCAGTCTGATTGGTTGCAAGAGGGGACCAATCAGAGGTACTTTCGTCTTTCATCTGCAATGCAGAAAAGGGGTTGGGAGTTGCAAAGGGAGTAGCCACTGATCCTTTTGTTACTTAAAGGTAGGGTTTTCCTCTTGATTCAGTTCTAGGAAGTCAGCATGGATCAGCCTAAGGTTCTCTGCCTCCAGACTCTATTCTCCTGCCTCAATAGCTGCATTTTTCAAAATAGCCAAAAAGGTGTAAACAACCCAAGTGTCCATTAATGGATGAATACATTTTAAAAAATGTGAGATATATATATACCTGCAATGGAGTGTTATTCAGCCCCAAGATGTACTGAAATTCTGACCCATGCTACAACATGGAAAAACCTTGAAAACACTATGCTAAGGAAAAGAAGCCAGACATAAAAGGGAAAACATTGTATAATTCCACTTGTATGAAGTATCTAGAATGGCCAAATAAATACAGACAGAAAGTAGAATAGAGGTTCCCAGGGGCTGGGGCAGGAAGGTATGGGGTGTTATTTCTTAATAGGTACAGAGTTTCTGTTTTGGATGATGAAAAATTTCTGGAAGTAGATAGTGGTAATGGTTACAAAACATTGTGAATGTACATACTGCCACTGAATTGTACACCTAAAAAGGGTTAAAATTGGCAAATTTTATGTTACATATATTTTACCAAAAAATTTCAAAACCAGAGGAATTGGTGAAAAAGCTGTAAATTGAGCTTCTGAAATGCCAGAGTCTCTCTCCTTGCTCAATATCCAGGAGATGAGAGGCTGGAGTTTCATTTTATTAGGAAATTGAACCAAGGAGTTGAATTTTAGGGCATCAGGCATAAGAGATGTCTGGGGAACAGTGTGGATTGCTAGGCCTCCTTCACTCACCAGATATGGCATTTCCCCAGTCACATACCACCCACCCACCACCACCAACCCCCACACACACCACAGCACATTCCACACACCATGCAAACACACTCCATGTTCCTGGCTAGAATATCAGCAGGTTCTTTCTGGAATAACTGGGCTGTCACTGAGAGAAGAACCCCACACATTGCATATGTAGTCTGTCCAGTAAAAAGACCAGCCTGTTGCTTGCTCAGCCTCCCAGGAGTCCCGAAAGAGAAGAAATGTAGAAGGCTCAGTCTGCCTGGTCAACAGCAGTCCACAAAAGACAACAGAAAAAACAAATGGGAGGAAATTGTAAAAATACTATAAGGCAGTTTCCCATGGTTGAGGGACATAATTCTCTTCAGTTAAAAAGCCCACCAATTGTCCAGCACAAGAAATGAAGTAAGTTTACTTCAGGGTTCATCAAGGTCAATTTTTAAGTGACAGAGATAGGAAGAACTAAATGTTTTCAATGAGAAAAAAAGTATAGAGCCTGTGATGTGCCCCTCTGATACCCCTTCAGGAAAACATGTGTTGTCCCAGATGTCAGCAGGTGGCTTCCAGATCTCAGCCCTTCAGGGGTCTCTACGTGTTACAGAGAGGCACCTCGCCCCAGGTCATGCCTAGGTGATCCATATCCGATGGCTGTTAGATGTTGGAGCATAAAAGTGAGGATATCTTTGTTCAGTTCAGGACCCTCTGAAAAGTTATTCCTGCTCCAGAGCTCCCCTGGGGTCAAGGAAGGCTATCTCAAGCCTGAAGTGCAGTACAACTTCTCCTTCTGCCTAAACCTGCCTCCTTTCTCTCTCTTTTATAAATGTTAACCACAGGAGAATCTTTAGTAAACATCCTGCATGCTAAGTCTGCTTCCAAGGGAGCCCAGCCTGCAACAGATGTCATACACAGAACTGGGAATTAGAATGGCATCTGACTCCTCAACAACAACACTAAAAACTAGAACACAATGGAGCAATGCTTTTAAAATTCTGAGGGAAAAATATTTTCAAGCTAAAATTCTATACCCAGCTAAACTATCAATCAAGAATCAGCGCAGAATAAAGGCATTTTCAGACCTTCAAGTACTAAAAATATTTACTTTCCAAATCCATTTCTTAGGGAGCTGAAGAACAGGGATCTGAAGAACAAGCTCCAGGAAAATGAGAAAGAACAAAAAATGGTGTCATGAGACCAGGAAAAAGAAGATCCCACACAGGAGAAAAGCGAAGCCTGCTCATAAGGTGGAAGCTTCACAGCAGATTGCAGCAAGAGGTAGAAGGTTCCAGGAGGGAAATCCTCAGGAGTGAAACAGAGCTAATGGGTTAGAGCAGAAGCCCCCAATTTTTCTTGGTCCATGACTTCCTTGATGTCTTAGTAATTTTTTGTAGAGATGGGGTCTCACTACAAAATGTTGCCCAGGCTGGTCTTGAACTCCTGGCCTCAAGCAATCCTCCCACCTTGGCCTCCCAAAGTGCTGGGATTACAGGCATGAGCCATTGTGCCTGGCTACTTGTTTTTATTTTTTGTAGTGACGGGATCTCGTTATGTTGCCCAGGCTGGCCTCAAACTCCTGGCCTCAAGTGATCTTCCCACCTCAGCTTCCCAAAGCGCTGGGATTACAGGCATGAGCCACCACACCTGGCCTGATGGTTTAGTAATTTTTGTATTGCTGTCTTCAGGCTAAAAGAAATATCTAACAGTTCTGTTTATTAAATAGTTAGATCCAAACAATTTAATAAATATTTATGCCCTAACAGCTTAGTAGCCATTAAAAAAATATTATGCATAAATGGAAAGAAAAATAATATTTTTATTTTTATTTTATTCTTACATAACCACAATTACTTCCTGATGGGATGTGTCTGCCTTTTGGACACTGCAGTTTCTCAAACCTTTGCATCAAATTGTGCACCTGTAGCTTCATTTTCTGCTTCACTATGACATTTGCCCAATACTCACTTGTTATCATAGTAACTGCTGAAACCCAACTTTGCAAAGATATAGCATTATTGTAAGAAATGTAGTTCAGGGGCCAGGCGCAGTGGCTCACACCTATAATTCCAGCACTTTGGGAGGCAAAGGCAGATGGATCGCTTGAGCCCAGGAGTTTGAGACCAGCCTGGGCAATATGGTGAAACCCCATCTCTACAAAATACAAAAAACAAAACAAACAAACAAACAAAAAAACACAAAGCCGGGCATGGTTGTGTGCCTTTAGCCCCAGCTGCTCGAGAGGCTAAGATGGGATCTCTTGAGCCTAGGGAAGTCAAGGCTGCAGTGAGCCATGATGGTACCACTGCACTCCAGCCTGGGTGACAGAGGGAGACCTTGTATGAAAAAGGAGAAAAAAAAAAAGAGCTGTAGTTCACTCTAACATTAGAACAGTTAACTAATAGTTTGTGATACCTAACAAATATTGACTATCATTTGGAAAATTCAAAAGATCCTATGGTACATCTGTGCTATGCAGTGAATGAACTATGATATCCTGGAACTGACTTGGTACATTTTGGGAATTGTGATATTAGAGTATGTCAAAATATAGTTAATAGACTTTTGGCTGACATTTTGAAACATATGGAAAAAACTAATGATAGGTATATGGAAAACCAGACAAATAGGCTGGGCGCAGTGGCTCATGCCTTTAATCCCAGTGCTTTGGGAGGCCAAGGCAGGAGGATCACTTGAGCCCAGGAGTTCAAGACCAACCTGGGCAATATAGTGAGATTCCATCTCTACAAAAAATTTTAAAATTGCCTGGGTGTGGTGGTGCCCGCCTATAGCCCCAGCTACTTGGGAGGCTGAGGTGGGAGGATTGCTTGACCCTGGGAGGTCTAGGCTGCAGTGACCTGATCGTCACTGCATTTCAGCCTCAGCAGCAGAGCGAGACCTTGTCTCTGAAACACACACACAAAAAATGAAAACCAGGCTATAAAAAAGTGAAGCAATTATTGACTCTAGAAACAAGGTTGGACAAAAAATGAGACGAGATGATATACTTCTTGACTTAACAATAAACAATATTTGCATGATCATAATAACATGAACACTGACCACAGTTTTAACCAAGAGTGTGCTGGGGTTGGTAGACAAAAGTAAAAACAAGCTAGAAACTTGTTCACACTGTGGAACAGCAACATAGAAAACGACAAAACCAAAGAATGAAGATAGGGCCGTGTAAACGTGGGATTTGGAAACACAGAGGCAGATACCAAGGAAGCAGCTATAAGAGGTAAAAGTGTCACCAGGAGAAAGATTGGGGTATAGGGAAGTAAAACTATTGCCCTTATTCTAAGTCTTTTGGTAATATTTGACTTCTCAAACAATGTGCATGCATTGCTTTGATAACCACATTTAAAAATTAAGCCAAACAATGTTAAAACCTAACAAATATAACCCGGCTGCCCCTTCTAATCTACGTAATATTTCACATGCAACCGAAAGTCTCAGAGCTCTCCCGAGGTTTCTGCAAACCTGAGCCTGAGAGTGGAGGGATGAATTATATTCTCACAGTGCTGCCAGCCCGGCTGATGCCTCTGTGGGATTCTTGTCCTCTGCAAAGTATGGGGCCTCTGTGATTTACTCATCACACTTCACCTGCCCTGGCCTCTCCAAATCAGCTAAAAAGAGACAGCTGAGGCCCAAGAGGTTGGGGGCCTCTGCAGAGGGGTTCCTTATTAGGCACCCCTTTTTCTTCACATCAGGCTTAGACTCCCACCTCTGTCTGAGGCCTCTGATTCCTGTCCCTGTCCCAGAGAGACCCTAGGAGTGACCTGCATTTACTCTCACAGTTGGCTCCAGGCCTGACACCTGCCCCCGCCCCCACCACCACACACACACACACACACACACACACACACACACGGCAGGAGGGACAGCAGCAGGAGCAGAGCAAATGGCACACTCTCTTAGAAGAACAGCAGAGACCCTCATCTTTCCTTCACCAGGCTTCATCTTTCCAGAAAAGAGTGGTGGATTTAAGTAGCAATTTCCCCCTCCATTACATAGTATTACCCCCCACCCCATATTGACAAGCACAGGAATCACAGTGACTGTGCACCGTGACCGCCACACAGCAGTCTGAGGATGTGATGACCACAGAGCTCCTTCTTGGGGACTGGCGTTTCCCATGCTCTGCATGTGTGTGTGTGTGTGTGTGTGTGTGTGCACATGCAATGTGGCCAGGCCGCCATGTGTCTCAGCAGAATGGTAAGACGAGTGAATAAGGCATTGATCCCTGTGAGCCCAAAGAACGCACGTGTTAGTCTCTTAGTAGCAAGCCTGTGAGCAACTGTTCTCAGGTGTCAGGAGTTGTGCCTCACTCATCCAGAATAACTGAGAGAGGACTTTGGGTCCCTTTACAGCCCCCGAGGAGGGTCCCTTTCCCAGGCAGGCCAAGGACCCCAGTTTGAAGAAGCTTGCCTGCCCTGCAACTTTATTCTAAACCCTCAGACAGCAGGTTCTGCATTCTTCCCCATCTTCCCTGCAGCATTTACCACCGCCTGAGGGAGGGGGGTATCCTGAGCCTACTCCCTCTTTGTGGGGTGACACCTGTCTGCACAGATATTCCAGGGGGAGGCTACCTGATGGCGACCCTCTGACCCTCAAGCTGGCTGGTGTGAGGATGAAGCTGCAGGTCTCGCTTCTCCTCTGGGGAGAGCTGGCTGGGCTCCCCACGATGGGGCAGCTTGCAGGGAAAGGGGCTCAGTGCACCTGGCCACCCCCTTGCCTATGGGCTGCATGTTGAAGATGTATATTGAAGCTGCATAAATGGCTTGTATTTAAGTAATCCTTTTGACTCTGCCCTGGGAGTGGGGCTGCAAAGAGGAGGTTGTGGAAAGTGCAAGGGAAAGGTCCAGACCTCCAGCAATGGCAATGAAGGGCGCATTCTGGGTCGAGCATGCCCCAGGGGGCTACTCCCTGTAACTGCTGGCCCGGCCCCATGGCCTCAGCACCCCAGGCCCAGTGTGGACATAATGGCCCTTCCTTTAGTGCCCCACAGGACAATATCCAGGATAATGGAAGGGGACAAAAGCCAGAGCATCCCAGACACCTAAGACTCCTTCTCTGGGCCTGGTGGGCATGGGCTGCAGCTCCTCGGGATCCCATCCTCAGGAGGTCCCCTCTCAAGGCTCTGCCTTCTTCAAAACCTGCCTGACACCCCCAGGCATGTGCAACCTTCTCCACCTGCCCCAGTTGCTGAATGAGGCCCTGGCAGTCACTGGAAATATTCTTCACTTCCAGTAAGACTTCCCCACCATGCTCCACCTCACCAAGACCCCTTCTAGAAAACCCGGCTGCTACAGGCCCTGAAAAGGGGAGCCAGGAGTGATTGAGGGTGGAACGCCAAGTGTCACTACATCCGAAATTCAGATAGTCCTCCTGCAGCAAGTCAACTTGCAGACGTCATCAGGAACCCAGCCCAGCCAGGTGCAGTGGCTCATGCCTGTAATCCCAGCTCTTGGGGAGGCTGAGGCGGGAGGATTGCTTGAGGTCAGGAATTTAAGACCATCCTGGGCAACATAGTGAAACCCCCATCTCTACAATAAAATAAAATAAAATAAAATTAAATTAAAATCAGCTATGTGTAATGGTGTGCATCTGTAGCCCAGCTACTTGACAGGCTAAGGAGGGAGGATCGCTTAAGCACAGAAGGTCGAGGCTGCAGTGAGCTACAACGGCACTACTGCACCCCAGCCTTGGTGACAGAGCAAGACACTATCTCTAAAAAAGTAATAATAGGTAGGGTATGGTGGCTCATACCTGTAATCCCAGAACTTTGGGAGGCCGAGGCAGGTGGATCACTTGAGGCCAGGAGCTCAAGACCAGCCTGGCCAACATGGTGAAGCCCTGTCTCTATTAAAAATACAAAAATTAGCAGGGCATGGTGGTGGGCGCCTATAATCCAGCTATTCGGGAGGCTGAGGCAGGAGAATCACTTGAACCCAGGAGATGGAGGCTGCAGTGAGCTGAGATTGTGCCACTGTACTCCAGCCTGGACAACAGAGCGAGACTCTGTCTCAAAAAAAAAAAAGTAATAATAATAAAATTTTAAAATACAAAAGAAACCAGGGGCATGTGGCTGGTGTCCAGTCTTTCCTGTTCTCCCACCGGAGGCGGGACCGGGCTCTGGACATGCCTGAGCTGGTTTACTGATTGCTCTCCTGAGCTGCATGCAATGGGCTATTCTCATCCTCTTCCCAGAAAACCCCCTCCCTTGACTCCCAAGTCCATGCCCCTCTCCACCCCCTTGTGCTTGGGACCTGAGCTTGAACTCCAAATGCAGCAGCTATGACTGCTTAAGCAGGTCCTCCCGAGGAGCAGGGCTGCTGGGGGCACACACACTGTCCTGAGGACATGCTCTGCAGCCATTGAAACTGTTAGTGTCTGCCAGTCAGGAAACTCTCACCTTCTGCAAGGCAGTCTGGCTCTCCATGGCCTCCGAGTCACCGCAGCCCTGGATCAATACCAGTGTAAACAGAGCTTCGCTGTGAGTTGTTAGTTGTCTTTCCTGGTCTGGGGCGTAATTCATACTGTTGGCTCCTGGCACCTGGCTCGCCAGGGGCTGGCAGGGGTGCTGGGGAGAGGGGTGTGTGGTCAGGGTGAGAGCACAGTGCCCTGGAGGGCAGTTCCGGGAGAACAGTGAGGACATCTCCAACAAGGGGCTGGGGGACAAACACACCCTCTCCCGCAGCACAGGGGACTGGACTCTCCCCAGATCTCCTGTGCAGCTGAGCTGCCCACATGTCTCTGTCTGTCCAGCTTGCTGAGGACAATGTGTTAAGAACCGTCTGCTCAGCTCATAAAGAGGCTTGGCCCTTCCGCCCCGGCTCTGGTTGGGGGTGTTTCAGGGAAACAGGCTTTCCAGGGATGCTTCGGCATGGCCGTGCCGTATCCTGGCAACCAGACCCAAAGCCACATCCTCTTGAGAGGACTGGGCAGGGTGGGGAAGTGGCCACTGCGTGGGGCTACCCCCATTGTCCACTCCACCCTTAGCTGGCTCTATGCATACCCTGAGCTGTGCAGGAGTCACAGCTCTCCCTGAGTGCCACACCCTGTCCCAAGATGGCCTGCAGGGCATTCAGAGGTGCTATTTTCCACCATGGTCTCCCTGGGCTCCTGGGAAACTCCTTGGCCATAACCTCAGTTTTCTCATCTGCAAAGTGAGGTGGGCTGGGAGCCACCACTCCCTACGATAATCCCAGTGCTTTGAGAAGCGGAGGTGGTTGGATGGCTTCAGGCTAGGAGTTCAAGACCAGCCTGGGCAACATAGCCAGACCCTGTCTTAAACAAACAAACAAACAAACAAACAAACAAAACTTAAATGGGTGTGGATGATACTGTCTTTCACAGACCCAGCGCTCCCCAGCTGCCCATGCACCTCTGCCACTCCTCCTTCCTGGATAATTGATTTCAAAGCAATGGCAGTTGAGGTGACTGGGCTGGGGTCTGTGCCGTGCAGCCCTCTAGACACAAACTCCCTGCCCTTGAGGCACCTCCTTATCTCCAAGCCCAGCCAGGTCTAGTCATCCTGGGCTCCTCGCTCTGTTTCCCCTTATCCAGGAGCTAGAAAAAGACTCGTGGCATACTCCCCGCCACCCATAGCCTGCTCAATCCACAGAGGTACAGATGATCCACCAAAGTCCGCCTCATTCAGGCCTGCTGACTACCTTGTCAAACCACATCTCCTCCTACAGCAGAACTGTGGGGAGACAGGCCCCAGGCTGGAGTGCCCCCCAGCCAGGGCCTCACCTTCAACCTTTAATGCTCCCCTTGCCAGGTTTCTGAACATATCTGCAATGACCTGAATGTGTCTCCCAAAAAGCAAAATGTTGGAAACTTGATCCTCAATCTAAGTGTTGAGAGGTGAGGCCCAAAGAGAGGTGATAAGGCCATGATGGCAGAGTCAAAGGACTAACACTGTTATCGAAGAAGTGGGTTTGTCACACAGGGGGAATCTGGCCCTCTCTTACTCTCACTGTCTCCCCCTCTCACCCTCTCTTTGCCCTTTAGCCATATTGTGAAGCAGCAAGAAGGCTCTTATGAGATGCTGACCTTGTTGATCTTGAACTTCCCAGCCTTCAGAACCACGAACCAATAAATTCCTGTTCATTATAAATTACCCAGTCTGTGGTATTCTGTTACAGCAACACAAAATGGACTAAGACAGTCTTCTCTGCTGTCTCTCCCATAGGCAGTTCTGCCAGATCCCCCAAAGCCCACCAATCCCCTCACCCCAGGGCTCCAGAAGAGGTTATGTCCTCTTTGGAGGTGGACCCATCCTGATGGCCTTGGACCTGTGGCTCCCTGGGCCTCCCATCAGCCCCTCTATTTGGAGAGTCACTGCAGCCAGGAGCCCCAAGAAGGGACTTCTCAATTCCCCAATAGTGGACACTGTGTTGCTCCACCCAGATCTCCTCTCCAGGGGCTGATGCCACTATGCTGGTCGGGGTTCTCCAAGGAGACAGAGCCAACAGATAGATAGATGATGATAGATAGATGATAGATAGATAGATAGATAGATAGATAGATAGATAGATAGATAGATAAACACACATGAGAGAGAGAGAGAGATAACAGAAGTCAGGCACAGTGGCTCACACTTATAATCCCAGCACTTTGGAAGGCCAAAGTGGGAGAATCGTTTGAGCCCAGGTTCAAGACCAGCCTGGGCAACACAGTGAGACCCCCATCTCTACAAAAGATCTGTATGTATGTACGTATGTATCTATTATCTACATGAGATTTTTTAGGGGAATTGTCTCGTGGTTATGGAGGCTGAGGTTTCCCATCCTCAGCCACCTGCCAGCTGGAGACCCGGGTATGTTGGGAGTGTGACTCACTCCAAGTCTGAAAGCCTCAGAACCAGGAAAGCTGGTGGTATAACTCTCAGTCCGAGGCTGAAGGTCTGAGAACCTGGGCTGGGGGCCACTGGTGCAAGTCCTACAGTTCAAAGCCTGGAGAACCTGGAGTTCTGATGTCTCAGGGCAGGACAGTAGGGATGTGTCTGCTCCAGGAAAGAGAGTGAATTCACCTTTCCTCTGCCTTTTCGTGCTATCCAGGCCCCCAGCCAATTGGTGGTACCCACCCACATTGAGGGCGGATCTTCCCAACTCAGTCCATTGACTCACATACCAGTCTCCTCTGGAAACACCCTCTCAGACACAACCAGAAATAATGCTCTCCCAGCCGTCTAGGTGTCCCTTAATCCAGACAAGTTGATGCCTAAAATTAACCATCATGGCCATTATCCCCATGGGAGCTGGGAATATCCCTGCCTTCTTCCCTGGGAATTCCCTTGGCACCCGGGAAGCACCTTTCCTAAGTTTATGCCTCCTGTGGGGTGATCCTGTATCCAGCGACTGGCTGATGTGGGAGTACAAAGCCCTGCCCCTCACCTCAGTTTGGGGCAACTCTGAAGGCGTGTCCAGCTCCAGGGCTCCCCCAGGCCTGGCTGAGGCCTAGCTGTAACTGCACTGGGGGGTCGCCTTCCCTCTCTGCCCACCCTCGCCCTCCCCGCTTCCCTATAGGGGGTCTCTCCTGAGAGCCATCAGTGTAAACCTCCTGCCCCAAACTCTCCACCTCAGCTGCTTCCAGAGAACTCAGCCTAAGATGCCTTTGGGCTCTGGGGCCAGGTGGCTGTGAGCACAGGGGGCACGGGCTTGCATCCTCTTGGAATTTTCACTGCAAACTCAGAGTCCTGACTTTCACAGGTCTGGCCGTCTCATGGGTCTGGCCCCATAGGCCTTCCCTAGCTCAGCCCTTGGGCAGCAGACTCCCTTTGTAATAGACACTGTGGCTCCTCTTCGATGCCCTGTTCCATACTGGGCACCTCTGCCCTGGATTCCACCATCTGTACCTGCCACTCCTCAGAAGATCACCCAGGGTTAGGGAGCTGCCCTGCCCACAGGTGCAGAGAGTCTTAAGTTCCTGGAAGCTGATGAGAGCCTGGGCAGTGCTTAGTCAATGACTGACAGGTGCAGGAGTAGGAAAGCCCAGCTCCATTGCCTCAAGGTGAGGACAGCCGGACTTTGCCTGAGATCCCAATCTTGATTGACTTCTTACTCTTCCCTGGCCTGATCCCCCCTACCTTTCTAGCATCAGGGACTAGTTTCATGGAAGACAATTTTTCCGTGGATGGTGGGGGAGGGGAGATCAGGGATGGATTGGGGATAAGTCTGTTTCACCTTAGATCCTCAGGCATTAGTTAGATTCTTATAAGAAGCATGCAGCCTAGATCCCTCACATGCACAGTTCACAAAAGAGTTCACACTCCTATGAGAATCTAATGCCACCGCTGATTTGACAGGAGGCAGAGCTCAGGCAATAATGTTCACTCACCTGCCACTCACCTCCTGCTGAGGCCATGAACCAGTACTAGTCCATGGCCTGGGGCTTAAGAACCCCTGCTTTATAACTCATTTGCCCATGAATGTCGATCTCAGGCTTCTCTAGGGAACCCCACCCAAGACACTTCTCTCAACAAGAGAAAAAAATGGAGTCCAGACAGCGCCAACATATATACACACATTCAAGCCTGGGGGGCTTGCATCTTGTAGTTTGCATGTTTATTTCAGGCCGGGAAGGACTTTCTCCCACCCAAGGATCCGCCATGTGAGAATCACTCATCCGCATTTCCTTCCATTATTTTTGAGAGCTTCATTTGTTATGATTAAAGCTTTAATCCACTATTGGAATTTATTTTGGTGCATGGTGTTGAGAAGGAAACCAATTTAATATTTTTCATAAAACAGTTAACTAATGATCACAGCACCATTTATTTATTTATGTAGTTTTTAAATTAAAAATGAATTAGAACATGAAATGATCTCCAAGATATTATTAAGTAAAAGGAAAAACAAAGTGCAGGATAGTGTGTATAATAAGCTCTTATTTATTTATTTATTAAATACATAAAAGGAGGCTGAGCGCGGTGACTCATGCCTGTAACCCCAGCACTTTACCAAGGGGGAATATTGCTTGAACCCAGGAGTTCAAGACCAGCCTGGGCAACCTAGTGAGACTCCCATCTCTAAAAAATTAAAAATTAAAAAAATTAAGGTTGACCGGGCACGGTGGCTCACGCCTGTAATCCCAGCACTTTGGGAGGCCGAGGTGGGCGGATCTCAAGATCAGGAGATTGAGACTATCCTGGAGAACATGGTGAAACCCTGTCTCTACTAAAAATACAAAAAAACTTAGCCAGGCGTGGTGGCAGGCACATGTAGTCCCAGCTACTCGGGAGGCTGAGGCAGGAGAATGGCGTGAACCTGGCAGGTGAAGCTTGCAGTGAGCCGAGATCACGCCACTGCACTCCAGCCTGGGCGACATAGTGAGACTCTGTCTCAAAAAAAAAAAAAAAAAAAAATTAAAGTTGTACATGTCTGTAGTCCCAGCTACTAGGGAGACTGAGACAGGAGGGTTGATTAAGCCTGGGAACTCGAGGCTGCAGTGAGCCATGATCATGCCACTGCACTCACTCCAGCCTGGGTGACAGAGTGAGACCCTGTCTCAAAACAAAACAAAATAAAACATACATATAAGGCCATCTATAGGCATGGACAGTTTCTATAAGGTTTTGTAGAAACTGTTGATAGTGGTTGCCTCCCGATAGAGGGCCAGGGCTCTGAAGTGGAAAGGAGAACTACTTCTCACTGAGTATTCTGTGATCCATTTGAATTTTTTGTCATATTCGGTCATTAGCTTTTTAGTAAAATTTAAGCGAATTTTAAAAATTTAAGACTCTGTGGGTTGCAAGTAACAAAATGTAACTGAAGCTAACTTGAACATAAAGGGACACATGTTTTGAAGGATGCAGTGATCACCCTGGAGCCCTAAGCCAGGAGGGCAGCCAGTGTGGAGATGCGTGGAATGAAGGATGCTAATAGGATACCCCCTCCTGCCTGTCCAGCTGTTCCCACCCTACATCAGAGGACTTCTCTCCCAGCAGAAAGTGCCTGAAACCCACCTGACCCTGCCCACTCTCGCCAGGCAGGGATAAGGTTCGTCTTCTTAGAGCATACTTCTTTTTTAGAGAAAGCAGGCCACTCCACTCTATCTGCCTGCCTTCCTCGTTGTGCCACCCATAGGCTGAATGATAATGAAATCTTCCCCAACACACCCCATGGATGGTAGCCAATTTCATTTAGAAGAGAGAACATGTTAAGAGCCTTCTAGAATAGAACTTCACCCTACTTGGTTGCCAGTCCAAAGCAGATACCATTTCTTCCTTCCTGGAGAGAATAAGGCAGTGATGGTTCCAGTGAATTCTTACCTTCCATAATTCTTTGGTGGCTTGTTTCCATGACCAGCAGTCACCCCAGGGTTTGCTTGTAATGGGGGGAATTCCCTATCCAGTGTCCTGTGGGGACACCCAGAAAGGAGCACCGTGGGGGATCCCCTGAAAGGGCTGACGGCCGTGATGATTTACTCCCACTTAGAGCCTGAACACAAAACTGTGGCTTTCTTGAGGGACTGAGAATCACAAGCCCCCTGTTGGCCAGATTTTCTTTTTTCTGGTACTACATCTCTTATAAAATCCTGAGCTGTCTAACTATAGGGATTTCCTATAGCCTTACTCTCTATTGGTCCCTACTCTTACAGCCAAGAGCCAATAAGCCCATCAATTACATTTCTAATATATAAATGTGAAAGGAAAATAAATCTTGGAACCCCAAAATCACTAAGCTAAAGGAAAAAGTCAAGCTGGGAACTTCTCATGGCAAACCTGCCTCCCTTTCTATTCAATGATCTAAATGTGTCTCCCAAAAAGCAAGATGTTGGAAACTTGATCCCCAGTGCAAGTGTTCAGAGGTGGGGCCCAAAAGGAGAATTGATAAGGCCATGATGGCAGAGTCAACGGATTAATGCTGTTATTAATGTGAGCACCCCTCTGTGCACTGAGATGATGCATATCTGATTGCCTTCTTCAGAGAGGCTAATCAGAAACTCGAAAGAATGCAACCATTTGTCTCTTATCTACCTATGATCTGGAAGCCCCCTCCCCACTTTGAGTTGTTCTGCCTTTGCTTCGAGTTGTCCCACCTTTCTGGACCAAACCAGTGTTCATCTTACATATGTCAACTGGGGTCTCATGTCTCCCTAAAATGTATAAAACCAAACTGTGCTCTGACCACCTTGGGCACGTGTTGTCAGGACCTCCTGAGGCTGTGTCACAGATGCACGTCCTCAACCTTGGCAAAATAAACTTTCCAAATTAACTGAGACCTGACTCAGATATTTGGGGTTCACATAACCAGGGGAGATATTTCTCAGTGTTCAATGGGACACCTTCACTATTGACTTATTTCCTTACTCCCATCCTGTCTCAGTAAGTCTTTGAGGGAGGAACAGTTTACTCATAACCCCACTTCTGGTACCAAAGTTGATCTTTGTTAATATTCTTCTGATTATTTCATTCGACTAGAATAGGCTTAGACACAAACATGTTGTTGTTGTATTTTAAAGTATGCAGAATCTGTGGACAGGAATCCAGCCAGGTTTCAGGAAAATCTGTGACTCAGCCTGGACTCCCATTACCACATGACTGAGAACATGGCTGGCCCCTTTCTTGACTATTTAAATCACTGGTTTAGCCACAGGAAGGGCTGACTTTCCCAGCTCTATTCCAAAATTCTGGTCAGGGGAATCTCTGTTGGCCAAGTTTGGGATAATGACTACTCTTGGTTCAAACTTCATAGGCCAGGATGGAGGTAGGGTTAGGGTTGGGGAGCAGGTAGGATGATATTGTACGGAATGGACACCAGCACAATTGTCAAAATAAGGGGCTGGGATTAGAGACTTGTTTGAACAGAGAAGACATCTCCAAAAGGTAAACAAAAACCTAAAGATATACAGGCACACCTCATTTTATTGCATTTCACTTTATTATGCTTCACATACATTGCATTTTTTACAAATTGAAGATTTGTGGCAACCCTGTGTTGAGCAAGTATATTGGTGTCATTTTTTCCAGTCACATGTGCTGACTTTTTGTCTCTGTGTCACATTTTGGTAATTCTTGCAATATTTCTAACTTTTTCATTATTATTGTATCTGTTATGGTGATCTGTGATCAGTGATTTTTGATGTTACTATGTACATGTACATAGTATGTACATGGTAACTATGTACATATTACTATGTGTACATACATGACCCTATAAGACAGTAAACTTAATTGATAAATGTTGTGTGTATTCTGACTGTTCCACCAACTGACCATTCTCCCCTCTCTCTTCCTCTCCTCAGGCCTCCCTATGTCCTGAGACACAACAATATTGAAGTTAGGCCAGTTAACAACCCTACAATGGCCCCTAAGTGTTCAAGTAGAAAAAAGAGTTGAATATCTCTCACTTCAAATTAAAAGCTAGAAATGATTAACCTTAGTGAAGAAGGCATGTCAGAAGCCAAGATGGGCCAAAATCTAGGCCTCTTGTGCCAAACAGCTGGCCAAGCTGTGAATGCAAAGGAAAGGCGCTTGAAGGTCATTAAAAGTGCTACTCCAGTGAATGTCTGAATGATAAGAAATCTAAACAGCCTATTGGTGGTATGGAGAACGTTCGAGTGGTCTGGATAGAAGATCAAACCAGTCACAACATTCTTTTAAGCCAAAGCCTAATCCAGAGCAAGGCCATAACTCTCTTTAATCCTGTGAAGGCTGAGAGAGGTGAAGAAGCTGCAGAAGAAAAGTTGGAAGCTAGCAGAGGTTGGTTCATGGGGCTTAAGGAAAGAAGCTGTCTCCATAATATAAAAGTGCAAGGTGAAGCAGCACATGCTGATGGAGAAGCTGCGTCAAGCTATCCAGAAGATCTATCTAAGATCATTGATGAAGGTGGCTACACTCAACAACAGATTTTCAGTGTAGACAAAATAGCCACCTATTGGAAGAAGATGCCATCTAGGACTTTCAGAGCTTGAGAGGAGAAGTCAATGCCTGACTTCAAAGCTTCAAAGGACAGACTAACTCTCTTGTTAGGGGCTAAGGCAGCTAGTGACCTTAAGTTGAAGCTAATACTCATTTACCGTTCTGAAAATCCTAGGGCCCGTAAGAACTAAGCTAAATCTACCCTGCCTATGCTCTGTAAATGGAACAACAAAGCCTGGATGACATGTGTTTATAGCATGGTTTACTGAATATATATATATACACATATATATATTTTTTTATAGTCTGGAGGTCTTTTTTTTTTTTTTTTTTAACAAGTATTATGCCATGAGTTCATACGGAATAGGTTCCAGCAGCTCAGGCTCCTTCTCATTGGTTCTCACAAAGTGTGCTTCTCTGGGTGGAGCAGGCTGGCACTTCAGTTGAACCCAGGTACCTTTCTCTTTGGCTTCTTTCTTTTTCTGATCATTTTCCTTCATGTATTTCAGGAAGCTATCCCAGCTCTCAGAGTGCTTAATGTGCTCAATACGCACATTAATTCTCTTGGCAAGAATCTTGCTCTTAACTTGTTTGTTTACAACAATGCCAACAGCATGCTGGGTAACATTGTAGACTCTTCCAGTTTTACCATGGTGACACTTGTGAGGCATTCCTTTTTGAACAGTGCCCATTCCCTTGATGTCTACAATAACACCTTTCTTATAGATTCGCATATACGTGGCCAAAGGAACAACTCCATGTTTTCTAAAAGGCCTAGAGAACGTATATCGGGTGCCTCTCCTCTTTCCCTTTGTCTTCGTCATTTTGGCAAATTACTGGAAGATGGCAGTTCCGGCTGAAAGGGTGGTTTACTGAATATTTTAAACCCACTGTTGAGACCTACTGCTCAGAAAAGAAGATTCCTTTCAAAATATTACTGCTCATTGACAATGAACCTGGTCACCCAAGAACTCTGATGCAGATGTACAATGGATTAATATTGTTTTCATGCCTGTGTAGGGGAGTCAGAGATCACCTTCAACACTCCCTTGAGCACTTATGTGGGCTGTTCGGCTGGATCTAGAAACCAATGCACACCCAGGTAAATGAACAAGAGAAAAGCATATGAATGTTATGAGTTTTACATGTACATGGGGATCTTCACAAGAGAGTGAAGTCTGAAGAAGTGGCCAAAGCAAGATCTTTTCATACTTTTTAGATAAAGAACAATGAATTTGAGAAGAAATAACAGGACAAAGAAAATTTGGCAGGGGCAGTAAATTTTCTAGGGGTCACTAGAAGATATGGAGAGGGAAACTAGTGGAAGATAACAGTTACTTTGTTAAATCTATTTATTCAGGTCCATTGTAGCCACCAAATCCCAGTCTCTGTTGATCAGAGCTGTTTTCTTGCCCTGGTATAGGTGAGGGTACCAGTCTCCAAGAGGAATCTTTATGGCTTGCTGAATGCAGAAAGAGGTCAGCTAGCCCTTTCTGCAATCATAATTTCTTTGATGTTCCCAAAATAATCAATATACCAAGATATGATTGGTATAATAATCATTATACCAATCAATAATCAATATTTTGAGATGGCACGTCCTTTGCTCCTTCATCTACTAACACAACATCCATTCTGCAGCCCATGGATCAAGGAGTAATTTTGGTTTTTAAGTCTCATTATTTAAGAGCCATGTGTTGTAAAGATACAGCTGTCACAGGGAGTGGTTCCTCTAATAGATCTGGGCAAAGTGAACTGTAAACCTTTTGGAAAGAATTCACCAGTCTAGATGCCAGTAAGAATATTTGTGATTTATGAGACGGAGGTCAAAATAGCAACATCAACGGAAGTTTGGAAAAAGTTGATTCCAATCCTCATGGATGAATTTGAGGGGTTCAAGACCTCAGTAGAGACAATAACTGTTGGTGGGGTGGAAATAGTAAGAGAACTAGAATGAGAAATGAAGCCTGAAGATGTGACTGAATTGCTTCAACCTTGTGATCAAACTTTTACAGATGAGGAGTTGCTTCTTATGCATGACAGAAGAAAAAGTGGTCACTTAAATCTACTCCTGGCGAAGATGCTGTAAACATTGTTGAAACGACATAAAGGATTTAGAATATTGCATAAACATAGTTGATAAAAGCAGTGGCAGGGTTTGAGAGGATTGACTATAATTTTGAAAGAAGTTCTACTGTGGGTAAAATGCTATCACACAGTATTGCAGGCTGCAGAGGAATCTTTCATGAAAGAAAGAGTCAATCGATGCATCATATTTCATTTTGTCTTATTTTAAGAAAGTGCCACAGCCACCCCAGTCTTCAGCAACCTTGACCCTGATCAGTCAGCAGCTATCATCAACATTGAGCCAAGACCCTCTACCAGCAAAAAGATTACAGCTAGCTGAAGGCTCAGATGATCATTAGCATTTTTAAGCAGTAAAGTATTTTTAAGTTAAAGTATATGTATTTTTTTAGACATAATGCTATTGCACACAATAGACTGCAGTATCATGTAAATATAGCTTTTATATGTGCTGGGAAGCAAAAAAATTCATGTGACTTGCTTCATTGCAATATGTGCTTTATTAAGTTGGTCTGGAAGTGAACCTGCAATATTTCTGAGGTATGGTTGTATAAGATGTATTTTCTTTTTTTTTGAGACGGAGTGTCGCTGTGTTGCCTAGGCTGGAGTGCAGTGGTGCGATCTCGGCTCACTGCAAGCTCCGCCTCCTGGATTCATGCCATTCTCCTGCCTCAGCCTCCCGAGTAGCTGAGACTACAGGCGCCTGCCACCACGCCTGGCTAACTTTTTTGTGTTTTTAGTAGAGACTGGGTTTCACCGTGTTTGCCAGGATGGCCTCGATCTCCTGACCTCGTGATCCGCCCGCCTCAGCCTCCCAAAGTGCTGGGATGACAAGCATGAGCCACTGCGCCTGACCAAGATGTATTTTCTATTTCAAGAGAAATGTCTGTAGATGACAGAAAAATCAGATTCAAGAAAACAGGAAATACCCTTGATACCACCTGCTCAGACAATTACTATTAATACCTTGGTTTTGGGGTGGTTTTTTGTTTTAGTTTTTAGAGATGGGGTATCGCTATGTTGCGTAGGCTGGACTTGAACTTGTTGTTCAACCCTCCCGTTCCCTCCTCCACGTCATCCTTGGGTACACGTCCTAACAGTCTTTTTTCCCCATTTTTTTTTTTTTTGAGACAGAGTTTCACTCTTTTTGCCCAGGCTGGAGTGCAATGGCGCAATCTCAGCTCACTGAAACCTCCGCCTCCCGGGTTCAAGCAAGTCTCCTGCCTCAGCCTCCCGAGTAGCTGGGATTACAGGCATGCTCATGCGCCACCACCCCAGCTAATTTTGTATTTTTAGTAGAGACAGAGTTTCTCCATGTTGGTCAGGCTGGTCTTGAACTCCCGACCTCAGGTGATCCACCTGCCTTGGCCTCCCAAAGTGCTGGGATTACAGGCGTAAGCCACCGCACCCGGCTGTGTCCCCCTGTTTTTGTAATAAATTTTACATATATGTGGCGGCCAAATATAAATGCTCACCTTGCTTTATTAGAGACTGGAAACTATTTGATCTTTCTTCTCTTTTTTGTTGCTTTAGAGAGACAGAATACAAATATCTCCTCTCTCCTCCTGGGAAGCTTTGCAAAATTAAGCCCTTCCTGCCCTGGAGAGAAAAGGGTAATCAGGTTTTTGGTTCTTAAATGATAGACTGAATGGCTCATCCAATCAGGCATATTGTGAAAGAACAAGAGAAGATGAGCAGTTTGTTGGCATTTGAGGTGTGCAATAAATAATACTGTTCCCTCCCCACCACGTTTTGAACTGATTGAAAAATAAAATACAGTAATCAGACAGATGGAGATGAAATTGTCAGCACTGATGAGGCTAACAGGATCTGCAGCCCTGTTGCCTGTTGGGCTTCCTAATACACACATAAGGAAATATACATATAAATATATTTATTATATATAATAAATATTTATATATTATATATAAGTATATATTTTAATTATGTATAATAATATATAGCAACATATATGTAATAAATGATAAACATATACTTTATATCATATATAAACTTATATATGAAGTTTATTATTATGTGTATATATTATATATGAAGTTTATAATATATGTTTGTCATGTATACCTATGAAGTTTATTATTATATGTAATAAAAATATCTATTTTATTATACAGGCAGAGTCTCACTCTGTGTCCAAGGTTAAGTGCATGGTGTGATCATAGCTCACTGCAGCCTTGACCTCCTGGGCTCAAGCCTTCTTCCCATCTCAGGCTCTTGAGTAGCTGGTGCTACAGGCATGCAGCACCACACTCAGCTAATTAGAAACAAATATTTTGTAGACACAAGATCTCACTATGTTGCTCAGGCTAGTCTCAAACTCTTGGTCTCAAGTGATCTCCCCACCTCCCAAAGTGTTGGGATTACAGGCCTGAGCCACTGTACCTGGCCTGGACTTCCTAATATTATACCCCACCACCAACTCCTTCCTCACCAGCTGGGACAATGGTTAGTGACAGCCCCCTGCATACACATCTGCAAAAATGGGTCGTACCATATTCACTTTGCTCTGAAACCTGCTCTGTTCCTTATCAATACCTTTTACTTTATGGATCTCCATTAACTGGGATCTTAGTTGTTATAACTTCGGACTTTTTATAGAGAGTGCTGTAATGAACATCTTTATTCATACATTGTTTTTAATCTATTTGATGATTTCCTTATGATAAATTCCAAGAAGCGGCTCACATTGCAACTGTGTACATATATTGCCACATTGGTATCAGGAAGATGGTAATAATTCAGAATTTAGCTAACAGTGTTTGAAAGTTCTTGTTTTTCCACATGCTCATAGGCATTGGCAATCCTCCTTTTTAACTCTTTGCAAATATGATAGACCAAAACATTGTTTTAATATACGTTTCTGTTGGTCACTGAAGTTGAATGTCTTTTAATGTTTATTGCATATCCCCTCTTTTGGAATTGATTGCCTTTGTCTTTTCATCTTCTTTTATTGATTATTAAGAGCTCTTTATATGTTAAGAATGAAACCACCTTTGCAAAAATTATGACAGTGAGAAAAATCTGGCATAGCTTACTCCATCTTGCTTCTAGCCTCGAAGTTGTACCTATTCATTCCTGGACACATGCCAAGCTAACTATAGAAGGCAGTTAGTTTACAGTTTAACTTTGAAACAAAGACGATTACAGCCCCTTCCTAAAACCAGCATCTCCTTGCTTTGGGACCAAGATTGCCTTTGTAAAACTAACAGATTAGCCACAAGGTTAACATATGGCTAAGAGACATGTAGCCAGGGGCCACAAGATTCCTAACCTTCCCAATTGCCCCTAGAGATTGCATCTATTGTAAAACCTAAGGTTGGTGTTTGAGGTATTTCCCAGACCCTGCATTCTGATAGACCAGCTTCCACCACCCAGACTGGTAACCATACCAAGAAACTGAGTCAACTGAAGTCAACAATCATTCAACCCCATATGATTTCATCCCTGACCCTACCAATCAGCATTCCCCATTCCTCTGGCTCCTTGCCACCAAACTATCCTTGAAAAACCCTAGCTTCTGAATTTCCAGGGAGGCTTATTTGAGTAATAAACTCCCATCCTTCCACTTGGCTGGCCCTGCAATTATTAAACTCTTTCTGTACTGCAATACCGCTGTCTCAGTGAATTGGCTTTGTCTGCCACAGGCAAGAATAACCCATTGGGCAATTACAAGGACAATGATCTTCTTCTCATCGTAATATGAGCAAATATATATAAGCATAATATGAGCAAATACAAAAATGTGAGTATTGCAAATGACTCTCTACATACACTGTCTTGGTAAAATTTTGTTTTCTGGTTTTATGGATGATATATAGGAATCACCTGGAAAATTTTCAACATACACAAGCTGGCTAAATTTACTAAATATTTAGTATATTCCAGACACTCCTCTAATTGTCTCACATACATTAATTTATCAAATTCTTTAATCCTCACAGCAATAGCTCTGACCTGGGCACTGAGAGGTTAAATAACTGCCCAAAGGCACACAATCAGTAAATGGGATCCAAACTTATTGACTGGCCACAGAATCCTTGTTCTAACTCTGTCCTAATGCCACATGTATTGAGTTGAAACACTGGAGAGTCTGCAAAGTTTCCTTGGGATGAAGCTGGTATGTGCATGTTAAAAAACTCTTCAGGCAGGCTGGACGCGGTGGCTCACGCTTGTAATCCTAGCACTTTGGGAGGCCAAGGCAGGTGGATCATGAGGTCAAGAGATCGAGACCATCCTGACCAACGTAGTGAAACCTCGTCTCTACTAAAAATACAAGAATTAGCTGGGCGTGGGGGCACGCCCCTCTAGTCCCAGCTACTTGGGAGGCTGAGGCAGGAGAATCACTTGAACCCGGGAGGTGGAGGTTGCAGTGAGCCGAGATCGCGCCACTGCACTCCAGTCTGGCAACAGAGAGAGACTCGTCTCAAAAACAAACAAACAAAAAAACAAAAACAAAAAAAACTCTCCAGGCGGTTTTGACATGCCCCCAGGATGAGTACCACTGATTAGTAGTGTTTTGTTTGTATTTTGCCTAACAGAAGTTTTAAATTTTTAATGTAGTCAGATTTGTCCTATTTCTGTCATTTTATTCTTTAGTACTGCAATAAGAAAAGAGTCTTCCTCAGCCCAAATGCATCAGTTATCTATTGCTGCACAACAATCTGCTCTCAAAACATAGTGGCTTAAAACAATAGCAGTATACTACTTGTTTCAATTATCTGGATGGCATTTAGGTGGAGCTCAGCTGGGTGGTTTTCCTGCTGGTCTCACCTGGGATCACTTACACAACTAAAGCTGACAGCTGGTTCTGGCTTTGGGTTGGGGCATGAAGGAGTTCCGGAAATTCCACCCCAAAATAAGCCATTTTGAACTTCAAACTGAGGGCACTTGGGGAAGAGCAAATGCAGGAAGGAGATTCCTCTGAGCTTCCCTTATCTGCCTGAAGACAGAGCCTTCTAAAGGAACTCAGTTGTCATGAATTTCCTCCCCAGGAATCTCATCAGTCAAGGCTGTTTAACTCAGATCACAGGAGAGGAAGCTGGAGGTCAACAATATGTCAACACTTTGTCCCAGGCTATCACTTGTTCTTCTGAAGGGTCATCCATCATTCCCCAAAAATCACTTACTCTCCCCTAAGCTGCCTACATCCCCTCTTTCCTATGGTGAGGGTATATATGTTTCTAGATCTCACTGGGTTGGAGAATATTCATTTTTCCTTCCTGCAATGCTCCCATGCATGTAATAAATTGATATACCTTTTTTTCCTATTAATTTGACCACTGTCAGTTTATTTCACAGACACAATTACTGAATCCTCAGGAAGTAGAGGCATGTTTTTCTCTCCCCTATAGGCACCTCGGTTCTGCACCACATGGCTTCTCATCCTCTAAGAGGCTAGATTGGCCTCTTTGTGTCGTGGTGGTCTCAGGGCTCCAAGAGCGCCAGGTGGAAGTTGCAACATCTCTTAAGGTAGAGGCTCCGGAGCTAACATGATATTGCTTCTCCTGCACTATATTGGTCAAAGCAGGTCATGAGGCCAGCCTAGATCCAAGGGATGATATCTTTGTTGACTTCACTTCTTGATGGAAAGAACAACAAAGCCACATTGCAAAGGGGAGTGGGCATGGGGAGGCGTGACTCATTGGATGCCACTCTTGTAACAATCTAACACACCAAGATGTTAAATTCACTCTTCTATGAAGTCTTCTAGTACCTTTTTTTTTTTTTTTTTTTTGACAGAGGTTTGCTCTTGTCGCCCAGGCTGGAGTGCAATGGCTCACTGCAACCTCCTCCTCCCGGGTTCAGGTGATTCTCCTGCCTTAGCCTCCCAAGTAGCTGGGATTACAGGCATGTGCCACCACACCTGGCTAATTTTTTGTATTTTTAGTAGAGACAGGTTTTCACCATGTTGGCCAGGCTGTTTTTGAACTCCTGACCTCAGGCGATCCACCCGCCTTGGCCTCCCAAAGTGCAGGGATTACAGGCGTGAGCCACCGAGCCCTGCCCTACTACCTTTTTTTAAGGTAAAATTTACATAATGTAAAATTAACCATTAACCACTTTAAAGGGTATAATTTAAAGAGATGATCCACATCATCTCTATCTAGTTCCAGGACAATTTTATCACCCCAGAGGGAAAATCCATACCCATTAGGCAGTCACTCCCCATTCTCCCCTCCTTGCTGCCTCAGCCCCTGGCAACCACCAGTCTGTTTTGTTTCTCTATGGAAATCATACAACATGTGGCCTTTTGGGTCTGGCTTCTTTCACTTGCCATCATGCTTCCAAGATTTATCCATGTTGAAGAAGGTATCGGTGCTTCATTCCTTTTTATGGCTGAATAATATTCCACCATATGGATATAAGACAGTTTGCTTGGCTATTCATCTGTTGGATATCTGAGTTGCTTCTACCTTTTGGCTATCATGAATATCACCACTCTGAGTATCCAGTACTCTCTTGATTCTTCTTAAGTTGAAATCATTTCCACATCTGAGATTCAATTTTGTATGTGGTTTGAGGTAGGAAATTTCACTTCATTTCTTCCACTTATTCCTATGTATTTTATACACTATTCTTCTTATACTGACTTTATCTTCCTCTTTTGTTAAATAACAGTGTGTGCCCTTGAGCAGGTTTTAATTTTTTATTGTTTATTTTTTGAGACAGTCTCACTTTGTCACCCAGGCTAGAGGGCAGTGACACGATCTCAGCTCACTGCAACCTCTGCCTCCCAGGTTCAAGTGATTCTCCTGCCTCAGCCTCCAAGTAGCTAGGATTACAGGCATGCACCACCACACCTAATATTTGTATTTTTAGTAGAGATGGGGTTTTGCTATGTTGGCCAGGCTGGTCTCGAACTCCTGACCTCAGGTGATCCACCCGCCTCGGCCTCCCAAAGTACTGGGATTACAGGCATGAACCACCGTGCCCAGTCTTGAGCAGGTTTTTAAAAGGATTTTTTTAGAGATGGAATCTTGCTTTGTCACCCAGGCTGCAGTGCAGTGGCACAATCATAGCTTACTGCAAACTTGACCTCCCAGGCTCAAGTGATCCTCCTGCCTCAGCCTCCTGAGTAGCTTGGATTACAGGCGCAAGGTATCACCCCTGACTTGGGCAAATTATTTACCTTTTTTGTGCTTTAATTTCCTCATCTATAAACTTGGGATAGTAATGGTAACCTACATAGGGTTGATGTCAGGATTAAATGAATTAATACGTGTAAAGTGTTTAGAACAGGGTATAGTCCATAGCAGGTGCCAAGTAAATACCTATTATTTAATTCCAAATTTCTACATATGAAAGGATCTACTTTCTGTTCTGTTGTCTTACTTATCTATTTCAACTTTTAATCAGCATCCCAAGTCTACTTTTATTGTTCTTTTTCAAATCATTTTTTAGTTCATCTTGGTCCTTTGGAATTCTTCCCATTGAATTTTATCAAGTTCTCCCTAAATCCTGCTGAGAACTTTATTGGAGTTACATTTACAGATTAATTTAGGAGGAATTGAAATATTGTTACTACCAAGTATTCTTATGCCATAACACATCTCTTCATTTATTAAGCTCTTATTTTATCTCCCATGATAGAGTTTTATAGATTTTTAAATTTTATAAAGGTGTTGCAAATTTCTTTTCCTGGATATTCTTTTCTGGGATATTTTATATTTTTGTTGTTATGCTGAATCTTTTTACCCCATTATATTTATTTTTATTTATTTGTTATTTTTAAAAATATTTTTTATTATATAGAGACAGGGTCTTGCTTATTGCCCAGGCTGTTCTTGAACTCCTGGCCTCAAGCCATTCTTCCACC
Source organism: Homo sapiens (assembly GCF_000001405.40). Lineage (NCBI taxonomy): Eukaryota > Metazoa > Chordata > Mammalia > Primates > Hominidae > Homo > Homo sapiens. Next base: position 33,598,787 of record NC_000019.10, read on the forward strand.
TTGGCCTCTCAAAGTGCTGGGATTAAAGGTGTGAGCCACAGTGACCAGTCCTTGTTACATTTAACCAGCTACTATTTTCTATATGGGAAAACTACAGATCTCAGTCCTTTTTTTTTTTGGTGATATTCTAATGGTTTTTCATTCATTTAATTTTTTGAAATCAGATAATTGCCATCTTTTCTCTTTTTCCATCATTGTATCTATTTTTTTTCTTGACTAATTGCACAGGCTAAGACTCTCGGAGCAATATTGAATAAACAGGCAATGGTGGCTCTAAGACAGGGTTTGAGGAATGGCAGTGGGCGGCAGGGAGTGTGCCTGCAGAGCAGCCTGAATGGGTATTTCCCGGAGGGAAGGTGGTCACGTGTCTAGGGAATGCTCCAAAGAAAGGAGAGGATGGTTTCAGTACAGAGTGAGGGTTGCGCCTTTGATTAGGTAAGTGGTGAACAGTTATTAGTGCTTTCTGAGCATCAGACTGGCAGAGTCAGGTCATATTTTAGAAGGACTGCTCAGGTAGAGGTGACCACAGGGAGGTGGGACCCAGACAAGTGTGACCCATTAAGTCCTTACGAATCATTAAAGGAGAGGTGCTAAGGATGGGAGCTGAGTGCGGCTATGATGGAAGACGCCAGGAGATTCTATGGAGATTAGTGTTATCTTAAACCCCTCTGGCCCTGCACATGGGGAGAGCAAGTTCATGCTTCTTCCTAAAGAAGTGAAGCAAGGACGGAGCAATTTTCCATCTGATGTCAGGCCCTCCCTGATGGCTGGCCCCAAGGGCGACCTCTGTGATCCTTCCTGTCTCACCCTGGAAAAAAATGTCTATATTCTCACTTCATACTTCCAAGTTATGCCTTGGTTTTTTGGGTTTCATTTTTGTTATTGGTTGTTGGATGTAAAATAAATAGCAATGCATAAAAACTCAAATTTTTCAGCTGCGCATGGTAGCTCATGCCTGTAATCCCAGCTATTTGGGAGGCTGAGGTGAAAGGATTGCTTGAGCTCAGGAGGTCCAAGCTGCAGTGAGCTATGATCGCATCACTGCACTCCAGCCTGGGTGACAGAGACCGTGTCTCTTAATAAAAACAAAGAAACATCCAAGTGTTCAGGCCTCAAAGGGCTGTGGCCCCAGCTTTCAGTGTAACTCATCTCACAAATCAGTGGTGGTAACTCAACTTCGTCCTTCTGTGGTCAAGTTTCCCCCAACTGTCTCTGTTATCTGACCTTCCTTGGCTCAGCCACATATGGGTCTGGGAGCACAGTGGTCATCAACAGGTCGATGGAGATGGCTGGACCTCAGCAGCAGAAGAGCAAGAGGAGCCAGAGGATGAAACTCCATCTGGAAACTGTGAGAGGAGAAGCCAGCCCAGGCCCTGCAGGAGGGAGCAGCTACTCTTCCCAGCAGAGGCAACAAGGAGGGGCAGGAGCAAGCAGGTAGGGAGAGAAGGGGCAGCCTTCATGGGGCAGAGAGGGGAATGGGCTGATGGGAGCTGGCAGGGCTTCTGTGATGAGTTTGGGCAGTGGGGTGCATTTTTTTTGAGATGGAGTCTTGCTCTGTCACCCAAGTAGGGTGCAGTGGTGTGATCTCAGCTCACTGCAACCTCCGTTTCCTGGGTTCAAGTGATTCTCCTGCCTCAGCCTTGTGAGTAGCTGGGATTACAGGTGTGCAACATGATGCCTGGCTAATTTTTGTATTTTTGGTAGAGATGGGATTTCACCATGTTGGCCAGGCTGATCTCGAACTCCTGACCTCAAGTGATCCGCCTGCCTCAGCCTCCCAAAGTGCTGGGATTACAGGCTTGAGCCACTGTGTACAGCTGGGTGCATGTTTAAAAATAGAGGTTTGCTGGGAGGTGGAGGTTACAGTGAGTCAAAGTCATCCCACTGCACTCCAGCCTGGGTGACAGAGTGAGACTCTGTCTCACAAAGAACAAAAACAAAAAAGAGGTTTGACCTGAGAAATGGAGACACCTCAAAGTCCTAGAGGGATACACCCAGGGGGAGGACAAGGCCCAGCAGAAAGACCTTTGTCCCTCTGACCCCAGGTCCCACCAAGGAACCCAAGCTCTTGTGGTGGGGGGCCTACCTAGACCCCACTCTCAAGCCATACCCTGGCTCTGCTGGGCTTCCAACTGGCCCTAGCTGCCCCTGGTTGTCTTTATTTTCATAAGGATGAAAGCAATGCCGTGTCCCTGGCTTCTGGGACATCAAGGTCCGAGAATGATGGTAGACAGTGGATAGACCCCAATTTTCTGCCCAAGCCCAGCCTGGGATTCCTGGCTGGGGGCTTTGACTTGGCAGCTGGCACCAGGGTGTCTCATGGGGATGCAGGTGATGGTTTGAAATAGCCTTTGCAAAAATTATGACAATGAGAAGACCCACTGACTCTATCTTGCTTTTAACCTCTAAGCTGCCCTTGTTCATTTGTGGGCATAGACCAAGCTAACTTATGGAAGGAATTTACCTTATAGTTTAACTTCGAAACAAAGATAGTAACAGCCCCTTCCTGAAATGAACTCCCTTCTTGCCTGGGGACCACACCACCTAGGTAAAACTAAGGAATTAGCCACAAGATTAGAAATTATGGTTTAGGAGTCATGCAGCCAGAGGCCACAGGATTCCTAACTTCCCCAGTTGCTCCTATGGATAACATCACATTCATCAAACCTAAGATTGGTGTTTGAGACAGTTTTCAGACACTGCATTCCAATGGACCAGCTGGTGCCACCCAGACTGATAAACTGGCTCAGCTAGTTCTATGATCCTATCTAGTAAGAGAAGACAGCAACAAGAACCCACTTCAATCCCCCTATGATTTCATCGCCAACACAACCAATCAGCGTTCTCCACTCCCTAGCCCCCTGCCCACCAAATTATCCTTTTAAAACCCTAGTCTCTGAATGTTCAGGGAGACTAATTTGAGTAATAAAGCTCCAGTGTCCTGTTTATCTGGCTATGCATTTATTAAAGTCTTTCTCTATTGTAATAATGCTGTCTCAGTAGATTGGCTCTATCTAACCAGCAGGCAAGAAGAACCCATTGGGCAGTTACAGGCTGCTGAATGACAAGGCTGCTCTTCCCACACCTGACAGTGCCTCAGCCTCAGCTGGCAAAACTCATCACTTCACCTGAAAAGGGAAAAAACCCAGAGCTATCTCTGGCAATAGAAGGAGCAGAGTTTTCCTAAGCATCCAAGACAGACCCCAGACCCTGAACGAGGTAGGAGACTACTCATCCTGGCAACTGCTTACTCTGATTATGGGGTTATGAGGCCTGCTTCAAGGGAGAACTCTGAAGTTGCAGCTTTCCCTTTCCATGACAGACCTTGGCTCATGGACCACACCCCTGCCCCATCTCTGCTTGGCTTGTGTTTCATGGTCTGCATGAAGAACCAATCTAAGTCTGGTTTTGGCTTTATTTATTTTTGAGACAGGGTCTTACTCTGTCACCCAGGCTGGAGTGCAGTAGCACCATCACAGCTCACTGCAACCTCGACCTCCCAGGCTCAAGGTGTCCTCCTGCCTCAGCCTCTGGAGTAGCTGGGACTACAGGTATGCACCACCATATTTAGCTAATTTTTAAATTTTTTTTTTAGAGACGGGGTCTTGCTGTGTTGATCAGGCTGGTTTCGAACTCCTGACCTCAAGCAATCCTCCCACCTCGGCCTCCCAAAAGTGTTGGGATTATAGGCGTGAGCCAGCATGCCTGGCCTGGCTTAATGTTCATGTGCTTGCCCTTGCTGGAAAGAGAGCCTATTGGCAATTGATGCAGAGGGAGTGTTTTAATTAATGGAGCTGGCCTGAACATCAGGCTGGTGCAACTTTACTCAACGCTAAGGATGATCACAGCTTAACGTGGGGGAGAAGAAAGCAATGAAAGAAATAGATCAGATGAGGCAATATTGGGAGTTTATGAAGTCTGTGTATTTTCCAGTGGCTCCACAGTGATCGCTCTTAAACCGGCTGTCACCCCCGCATGAATTATCACCTCAACCTGGGAGGATGGGGAGGCCGACAAGACATACAACCACACACAAGGCACGGGCTCTTGCCTGGATCATAATTCTTCCTCATGCTGCTAAAACGGAGAGCGCTGCGATAGCAAAGAGGCATGTGGCCCTTGTGATATCTTCAGAAAGAAAAAACCCTGGGGGCAAGAGAGGAAAGAAGAAAGCTAAGAAATAAATAACAAAGCAGGATGCTATTTACATAGTGAGGGAAGGCCTTTGAGACTGAGCTCAGCGCCTTGGATGTCAGTAATAACTCAGTGATGGGAATAAAGAGACTCACTGCAAACCCACATCGCCTGAGATGGTATCAGCGATGTTTTTCTCTTTGTTTCCAGACAAATTCCAGCACAGCGATGGGAAGACAAGCCTGTCGAAGGGAATGGTGAGGTGGGGGTGAGGGTGAGTCCGGTGGTCCCCGTGAAGACTCAATTATGTTGGCTGTGAAGAGATTAATGAGAATTGAATTTTCTATTGATGTAAAACTGCCTTTTGCACCTGCTGCTGGCATCCTCATTACTGGTTTTCCATTACAGGGGATTATATGGTACAACGAAATAAACTTTATGCTTCCTGGGGGATGCTCTTAAAATGGGTTTACTGTACTCAAACTGGTGGTGAAGTGGGTTACCTGAGAGAAATATGATTTAATCCCTGTCTTTTCCTTTTGTGGACCAGAAAGCCTCTATCCCCTTCTGGAAATCACGAGGTGCAGACGTTTTCAGGTCTGCGGGCCAGGCTGAGGCTCTGCGAGGTATAGGCCCAGGCATGCCCTGCTTGCTCTGTCCCTAAACATCACAGGGATGATGAAGTTGAAGGAATCTTTGGCTTCCTGCATCAGAATGAATCACAGGGAGTGATGCTCTGGAAGAGCTGGCCCAGAGACCAGAGTGTAGGGAATTGGGGTCCTTGGGATTTCTGTAACTTGTCCTTTGGGAAGGAGGTAAATGTGTCTGTCGGTGGAGGCGTGAGAGGCATCTGTGGCCTTAGAAGATAATGAGCAAGTAAACACCAGGTGAGAGAAAACTGCTTCCTGTCCTGTGAACCACCTGCTCCTCCCTCCCTCAGTTGAGCTGGGGAGGCCAGGGTCCAGGGTGAAACCATCTCTGCCCAGGAAAATCTCAATAAATGCTTCTTTAAATTGTTTTAAGTTTTAGGGTACATGTGCAGGGTCCAGGGTGAAACCATCTCTGCCCAGGAAAATCTCAGTAAATGCTTTTTTTGTTGTTGTTTTAAGTTTTAGGGTACATGTGCAGGTTTGTTACATAGGTAAACGTCCCGTGGTGGTTTGCTGCACCCATCACCCCATCACCTAGGTATCAAGCCCTGCATGCATTAGCTATTTATCCTGATGCTCTCCATCCCCCACCAACCCCAGAAGCCCCAGTGTGTGTTGTTCCCCTCCCTGTGTCCATGTGTTCTCATAGTTCAGCTCCCACTTGTAAGTGCGAACATGCGGTATCTGGTTTTCAGTTCCTGTGTTAGTTTGCTGAGGATAATGACTTCCAGCTTCATCCATGTCCCTGCAAAGGACATGATCTCGTTCCTTTTTATGGCTGCATAGTATTCCATGGTGTATATGTATCACATTTTCTTTAACCAGTCTATTATTGATGGGCATTTTGGTTGATTCCATGCCTTTGCTGTAAATGCTTGTTAAATGGAAAATAGTAGCACCACCCTCAAGAGCCCTTACTCATCTCCAACCAGGATAAGTACTGATCTTTCAGCCTCTGCTGTTCCATCTGTTAAGTGGGCATAAACCAGGATGGTGGGGGCTATGGGAAGCCATTATTCTCAGCAGTTTGATGTAGACCTTATTTCATCGAAATCACCTTTATGATGCTACCTTCTAAACACAGCCCAAAATTGGATCTCCAAGAATGCAGGTGGTACCTTGTGTTTACATGAGGGTGCACTAGAACCCCATGTTATGGGGGAGCCCTGTGAGCTGGAGTGGGAAGCCTGGATGGGAAGCAGAAGTGTCAGAGGCCCACACACAGCTGTTTGTGCTTGTCTCTCCCTGAAGCGTTGTTCAGGATGAACCTATCTTGAGCCCCAGAGTCCACAGATGTCACTGCTTCTCCTGAGCAGCTGCCATGGCAGATGCTTTCCCGAGGCAGGGCGGGGGAAATGGTTGGGCAACGGCTGGGCACTGCCTTAACTTCTCTGAAGCATCATTAAATTTGTGTTCAAAGTGAAGATTGAGGAATTGGGCGCAGTGGCTCATGCCTATCATTCCAGAACTTTAGGAGGCTGAGGAGGGAGGATTGCTTGAGCCCAGGAGTTTCAAACCAGCCTGAGCAACATAGCGAGACCTCATCTCTACAATTTTTTTTTAAAAAATAGCTGTGCATGGTGGCATGTGCCTGTAGTCCCAGCTACTCAGGAGGCTGAGACAGGAGGATCACTTGAGCCCAGGAGTTAGAGGGTGCGGTGAGCTATGATCACACCACTGTACTCCAGCCCAGACAACAGAGCAAGACCTTGTCTATAAAAAATAAAAAAAAAGAGGCTGGGTGAGGTGGCTTGCGCCTGTAATCCCAGCACTTCGGGAGGCTGAGGTGGGCGGATCACGAGGTCAAGAGATCGAGACCATCCTGGCCAACATGGTGAAACCCCTTCTCTACTAAAAATACAGAAATTAGCTGGGTGTGGTGGCACGCGCCTGTAGTCCCAGCTACTTGGGAGGCTGAGGCAGAAGAATCGCTTGAACCCAGGAGGCGGAGATTGCAGTGGGCCGAGATCATGCCACTGCACTCCAGCCTGGTGACAGAGTGAGACTCCGTCTCGAAAATAAAGTAAAATAAAATAAAAATAAAATAAAATAAGAAAGAAAAATGTTTATTGTAAAATAAAACAGACAGAAAAAAATAAGTCAAACACATGTATAGCTTATGGAGTTATTATTACAGCCACCACCCAGACCAAGAAATAGAACTTTGCCAATGTCCCTGTTGTCCCTGGGAAGCACCTCCTGGGTTTCCTTCTAGTCTGAACTGCCACCTTCCCTGCAAAAATGACCCTCACATGACTTTTACAGTAACCTCTTTTCTGTCTTTCTTTATGTTTTTGTCAGAGTTTTTTGAACCAGAGCAACTCCATCTTGAATAGGGGCTGGGTAAAATGAGGCTAAGACTTACTTGGCTGTGTTCCCAGATGGTAAGGGCATTCTAAGTCACAGGATGAGATAGGAGGTCAGCACAAGATACAGGTTATAAAGACCTTGCTGATAAAACAGGTCGCAATAAAGAAGCCAGCCAAAACCCACCAAATCCAAGATGGCAATGAGAGTGACCTCTGGTCGTCCTCACTGCTACACTCCCACCAGCGCCATGACAGTTTACAAATGCCATAGCAACGCAGGAAGTTACCCTATATGGTCTAAAAAGGGAAGGCATGAATAATCCACCCCTTGTTTAGCATGTCATCAAGAAATAACTATAAAAACGGGCAATTAGCAGCCCTTGGGGCTGCTCTTGTCTAGGGAGTTGCCATTCTTTATTCCTTTACTTTCTTAATAAACTTGCTTTTGCTTTGCACTGTGGACTCGCCCTGAATTCTTTCTTGCACGAGATCCAAGAACCCTCTCTTGGGGTCTAGATCAGGACCCCCTTTCTGGTAACATCTTTCATCACCTAAGTGTGCCTTCCAAGACATATGATGTAGTTTTGCCATTTTAAAAAAATGCGATCTATCGTTTGAGTCTCTTTCAATCCACAGGTTTCCTCCCACTTCTTTTCTTTACAATTTCTCTATCGAGGAACCAAAGCCTTTTGATCCACAGAGTTCCTACTGTCGGGATTCTGCTGATTGATACTCTTGGTGCAGTTCAAGATGTTCTTCCCTATTTCCTGCAAATTGGCAGATGGATCCAGAAGTTGGATCACACTCACCTTCTGTCCTTTTGGCAGGACCAGAGGTGCTGCATTCCTTCGTTAGGAGGCACATAATATCCGGTTTGCCTCTCTTTGTGTGATGCTAACAGCTGTTGCAGCACAATGCTTAGCTCTGTTAATTCACTAGGGGTTTCAAAATGGTGATATTCTAATTCTGTCACTTCCTCACATATTAACTTGAGTACTTTTAAAAAGAGATGCTTCCAGTCGTCCACCATTTGCTTACCCAGTGGTACAGTTCACATATTAAACAGAGGCAGGATAAATGTGCGATTCTTTCCTCATTATTTACCTGTTTTTCAGAGAGTGAATTTGTTCCTCATCCTCTGAAGGTGACAATGTTTTAAGTAGTTTCATAAATTGAAGATTTAAACATATTTTATGGGTTTTTATCCATCACAATTATCGTCTTTACTGATGCTCAAATGGCTCTATGTTTGGCCAGTGGGAGCCCCTTGCAGATGGTTCCCGTGTCCTTTTGATATGATCTTTTAGTCTCTGATAGCCTCCTTGCTATCCAGCATGACAAGATGTCCAGGCTTATCTTACACATTTCCTGTTCTAGACCTGCAATCAGCCATTTTTCCAAGAAGTCCTGGTTTCAATCAGTAGAGAATCTATCTATCTATCTATCTATCTATCTATCTATCTATCTATCTATCTATCTATCTTCTATCCATCTATCATCTATCTGTTTATCTATCTTTTTAAAAAAGAAAAAATGTCAAAAGAGTGAGAAGACAAGCCACAGACTGCAAGAAAGTATTTCAAAAGATCCCAGCACTTTAGGAGGACAAGGCAGGTGAATCATCTGAAGTCAGGAGTTCGGGACCAGCCTGGCCAACATGGTGAAACCCCATCTCTACTAAAAATACAAAAATTAGCCGGGCATGGTGGCATGTGCCTGTAATCTCAGCTATTTGGGAGGCTGAGGCACGAGAATTGCTTGAACCCTGGAGGCAGAGGCTACAGTGAGCCGAGATCCCGCCACTGCACTCCAGCCTGGGTGACAGGGTAAAACTCTGTCTCAAAAAAAAATTTTTTTTTCAAAAGATATATCCAATAGAGAACTGCTAACCAAAATATACAAAGAAATGAGCTATCAAGCCATGAAAAGACATGGAAGAAACTTAAATGCATATTGCTACGTATACGGAGCCAATCTGAAAATGCTGCATACTATATGATTCCAACTCTATGACATTCTGGAGAAGGCAAAAGTGTGGAGACAGTAAAAAACTCAGTGGTTGCCAGGGGTTTGTGGGGAGGGAGGAATGAATCAGCAGAACACAGAGGATATTTAGGGCAGTGCAACTATTCTGTGCAATACTGTAATGACGGATGCATGTCATTATATATTTGTCGAAATTCACAGACAATAAGAGTGAACCATAATGTAAACTATGAACTTTGGTTGATGTTGGTCAATGTTGGTACATCAATTGCAGCAGACGTACCACAACGATCTGGAGTACTGATGGTGGAGGAGGCTGTATGTGCCTATGGGAAGGGGGTATATGGGAACTCTCTGTACTGTCCACTTAATTTTACTGTGAACCTAAAACTGCTCTAAAAATAAATTCTATTAAGAAATAAATGTAAAATGTCTCATATGTCTATATTGATTCTTCCAATTCAAATGTAGAATTATTGGGTGCTGGTCGGGCACAGTGGCTCACTCCTGTAATCCCAGCACTTTGGGAGGTTGAGGAGGGAGGATTTCTTGATCCCAAGAGTTCTATTGCGACCAGCAAACATAGCAAAATGTCCATCTCTATGAAAAAAAAAATTAAGAATTATTGGAGGTTGGGTGGAGTGACTCATGCCTATAATCCCAGTACTTTGGGAAGCTGAGGTAAGAGGGCTGCTTGAGCCCGGGAGTTCAAGACCAACCTGGGCAACATAGTGAGACTCCATCTCTACCTGAAAAAAAATTTGTAAAGGAATTATTGGATGTTTACTTAAATTCTTTCTTATTCCTGAACTCCTTTTTCTCACCAAAAAAAATCCTAGTTCTCAAAGGCCCAGGAGATGACAGAATTGAAATACACAAGAATTACTTATTTCCTTTATCCCATATTACACACACAGCATTCTTAGTATAAAATGCCAATACTACTTCCATCAACATCATTATTGAAAACAGTTAAAATTTTTTTATTATGCTTTTTTTCTGCATGCATTTCTTATTCTCTTATCCCTCAATTTATAAATAACTGTACTATATCTATATTGTCAGAGAATATAGCCATTATATACTATGCTTTTTTAAAATTTTCACTTATTCTTAATTCTGTAAATTATATATTTAATGTTCACCACCTTATGTTGATGTCTCTCTAGACACTTTGTTTCTCTGAAGTTCATTCTCTAGTGAATTCCTCAGGAAGGAATCATGGGAACAATATTTCCTGAACTGTTACATACTGATAAGTTTGTTTGTACCCTTTATACTTGAAAGTCAGTTTCCCTGAATATAAGATCCTTGGCTCACATTTTATTTTCTTGAGTTATTTAAATATGTTACTCAATTTTCTTCTGGCACAAATGTTGCAGTCAAAAAGTTGATGATAATCCAATTTCCAATCCCTTACAAATCATGGGCTATTTTTGCTTAGACACTCAAAAGATTTTTCTTTTCCTTTGAAGTTCTATCATTTCACTAAATTCATGCCTTGGTGTTAGTCATTCTGGGTCAGTACTCTCAGGAACATGGTGTGACTTTTCAATATGTAGTTTGAAAACTTTTTATTTCTAAATAACATAGTACCTTTTTGAACTATAGCTTCTAGTATTTGTTCTGATCCCTGCTTTGGGTTTTTCTTCAGGGAACCCTGTTCTCTGTATGTTGGATCCTCTTTACCCAACTTCGAGATTTGTCACTTTCTCCTGAAGCCTTTATATCCTTGCTCATTTCTTAGATTTTTAAAAATTTCCATTTGTTTCATTTTCTGTTTCTTCTGAGGAATTATCTCTTGTGTTTATTCACTCTTGCAATCTTTCTAGGTTAGTCTTAATTTCTGAAACTTTTTTCTTTTAAACTCATTTCCCCCCCTAAATTTGTTAATTTCTGAGTTTTTCTATTTCTGATTTATGTTGGGTTTTTTTGCATCTTATTTTGTTTAAATAATTGCTTCTAGCTTGTCTTAAAACAGTAGGTTATAGTTTTTTGTTTTGCAGGCATATCTTTTGGCATGTTTTTCATTATCTGTGAAGATGTTATTCTATTTCTTACTCTTTTTAAAAAAAAACTGTATAGAGTAGGACTTTGATCTTTGCCTGCTGCTCATTTTTGTAAAGGTGAAATTAATTTTTCTGAACTTAAAAATGGGGTTGAGTTCAAGACAGCTTTTATAACTTCACAAAGCTTTCTCTTTTGTTGTTTTCATGCACTGTTAAAAAATATGGCAGCTTATTTTATTTTATTTTTTTAGATTCCTGGTTCTTATAAAAATGTCTCTACTTTTATCTGGATACTCTGCTTCCTTCCCCTCTATCATTCCTGCTCTATTCAATTTTGTTTCCTGTTTCAGCAGTGTCTTCTTGATGTGCAGCCTTGTCCTGGAAGGATGACCTGGCTGGTCAGTTTCAAGAGTTCACAGGGGCTATGCTACTCCATCCTCTTCTCATCTTTTTACATGAGGCCCTTTGTACTTACACACTAATGGAGTGAGCAAAACCCTTCCCGTTTCAGCTCCTGTTGTGAAGCTGGATCTCTGTACTTTCCAGTGAATGAATACCTATTGCCTCTTTGGGGTTACTCCTTGTCTTAGTCCATTTTATGTTGCTATAACAGAATATTGAGTAATTTATAAAGAAAAGAGGTTTATGTGGCTCATGATTCTTGGGGCTGGAAAGTTCAAGATGGAGCAGCTGCATCTGTGAGGGCCTCATGCTGCCTCAACTCTTGCCTAAAATGGAAGGGAAGTGGGGATGTGCACAAAAAGATCACGTGGCAAGGGGGTAAGCAAGAGGGAGAGAAACCAAGGAAGCCAGACTCTTTTTGTCATCCTGCTCTCATTGTAACTAATCCATTCCCTCATGAGCAAGAACTCAGTCCCTAGAGAGGGCATTAATCTACTCATGACTCAAACACCTTTCACTGGGCCCCACCTCCCAATGCCACCACATAGAGGATCCAATTTCAACATGAATTTTGGTGGGGACAAACAAGTCACATCCAAACTGCAGTTTCCTGTTCTTAGAGATGACAAACACCCTGTTTCTTCCCTTTGATTCCTTCTGTATGCATACTAATACTATGCCAGTTTAATAACTGTTAGTTACAAAATAGGCAGTCCCTACCCACCAATATTTTGGTGTTTTAGGGGATGCATTGCCCACTAGTTTTATTGTGAGTGTTTCCCATAGGTTTTTGGTTTTGCTATCTAGTTTGTCTGTTTTTTATTAGTGGCATATTCAAAATGATGCCCCTAACACTGTTGCCATCTTCTCAAAGACATCCCAGGAAGAACTTCAATATTGACAATTTAACATCCTTAAGGAATGCGTTGTAACAACCAAACTGGAGGAGAAAAAGTATGTAAACAGTAGTTTGCATAGAGTGTCTTGTGCTGATTATGACACTGTAGCAGGTCTTGTTGATGGCTTCCCATATCTGCTCAGCCCACCCGAGCTCAACCTCAGGAGGCAGTTGTAATCTCAAGCACCTACATCTCTCTTCTTCTTTACCAGGGACTTTCCCTGGTACCATCAAAGCTTGCCAGCCTGCCTTGTACTTCCTGAGATCACTCCCAAACAAGCTGCCTGAACCCATGTGCTTGTCTCTTGCCTCCTTTTGGGGGAACAAGCCAAGGTAGACACCAAGTTGTGTTCCAATAGCCTGGCCTGATTCAAGCATCTCTCATGTAGTGTAATGATATGGTTTGGCTCTGTGTTCCCACCCAAATCTCATGTCGAATTGTAATCCCCACTGTCGGAGGATGGGCCTGGTAGGAGGTGACTGGATCATGGGGGTGGTTTCTAATGGTTTAGTACCATCCCCCTAGTGCTGTTTTGTGATAGAGTTTTCATGAGATCCGGTTGTTTAAAAGTGTGTAACACCTCCCTCTTCTCTCTCTTCCTCCTGCTCCCACCAAGTAAGATGTGCCTGCTTCTTCTTCCACCGTAATTGTCAGTTTCCTGAGGCCTCCCCAGAAGCAGAAGCCTGTACACCCTGCAGACCTGTGAGCTGTTAAACCTCTTTTCTTTATGAATTACCCATTCTCAGGTAGTTCTTTATAGCAATGTGAGAACAGACTAATACATGCCATCTGGTTATGATTTTCAAAAATGGAATAATGTTAGCTTTATATATATATATAAATGTGTGTGAGTGTGTGTATGCATATATGTGTGTGTATATGTGTACATATAAAATATATATTATATATGTGCATATATATATATAGAGAGAGAGAGAGAGAAAGAGAGAGAGAGAGATAGGGTCTCACTCTGTCATCCAGGATGGAGAGCAGTGATGCAATCATAGCTCACTGCAGCCTCAAAATCTTGGGCTCTAGCAATCCTCCCACCTCACCCTCCTGAGTAGCTGGAACTACTACACCACACCTGACTAATTTTTGTACTTTTTGTAGAGACAGGGTCTCACTATGTTGCCCAAGCTGATCTCAAACTCCTGGCCTCAAGTGATTGTCCCATCTTGGCCTCCCAAAATTCTGGGATTACAGGTACAAGCCACTGTACCTGGCAGCTTAATATTTTTGATGACCTTTGGTGAGAAATCTGTTTAGTCTACATAAATTAAATGCTTATCTTTCCTTGTCTACACCCTATTTAATTCCCTCCAGAGGCCCTGATTGATTAGTGGCCTGCCCCAGACATTGTCTTTCCTAAATGCTAGGTTTGTTTTCCAGAATTCAGCAATCTTACCTTCTAATTGCAGGTTCTATTTTTTTTTTTTCTTTTCTGAGCACGGAAGTGAGATTGCTTTATCTGTAGGTGTCAGGGTATCCTCTGTGTTTAACAAAATACGTGTTGAATCATTGTCTCCTTGGTTTTTATGACTGAGAGTCTTATTATAAGTGAGGCCATGCCAGGTGAGACTAGGTCAGGGCAAATGCGACCTTTGATGCCTGATTCCCAGCGCAGACAACTCAGCCACCTTGTTCATGGCTCCATCCCAGTCTGCCTTGCACTCTAGTTAAAGTCTGTCTGTCCCTGTCTGTCTATCTGTCTGTCTATCTGTCTTCCAGCCTTCCTCCTTGAGGGTGAGCTGCATTACCCCTTTGCACTGCCCACCGCCTGCCCCCCACAACCTGTCCCTTGCAGTTCCTCAGCAAGACCTTGGCTGGACAGTCTGTGCCTGAAGGCAGATGGCCCAGACACCAGTAAAGGGAGCTGGGCTTTGCCTCCGAGCCTGCCTCCAGCTAGGGCTTGGGCTTGGGCACCATCTTAGCACATCTGTAACTGGGGCTGAGCTGGCCCATGCTGTGTCCCCCTGAATCTTGGGACAAGGCACCAATGCAGGAACAGGCGTGAAGGGTGCACTCATCAGAGCCCAAGACATCACTGCAACAAGAATGCATACAGGAAGCTCTCTCTGAGGACAGGGACGGGGGACGGAGTGTGACAGGTTCCACACTGCGATATTCATGGCTGCCTCCGTGCCATAGGGCCCCTTGCATGATGTCAAAAGAGGAGACTTGCATCGTCTTGTTGTTTTCAAGCTAACTTTAAACACAACTGACAGCAAGATGTCTCTGGCACGAAAGCCAACAGGGAGGCGACTGTCTCTCTGTTTCCATAGCTACAGACAGGACGCCACTGGGCAGTGCTTTCAACTCCAGGGCATCCCAGGCTCTGCCTGAGGGATGAAGTTTCCTGGGTGCTGGGAGAACCCAGCCACAAAATGGCAGTTGCTGGTCTCAGTTTCTGCCCCAACCACCTTCTATTTTTGGTGAGAGAGTATCATTTTTCCAGATGTCCAAGGGTGTCCATTCAGAACACACTTCTGCAGCCAGGAATCTGGGAAAGCCGGAGATGTCTCCATAAACCTTCTGCAGGCCATGCCATCTGCTGACCTTGACACCTTCTCTGCACTGGAGGACGGCTTAGCAAAGCTGGAAAGGGGGTGTCCCCTGGGAGCCTGGCTGGCTGGCTGTCACTTGCTGAGCCAGGGACAGAAGGAGTTGACAGTACATTTTAGTATTACCTGCTTCCAATTTGGAAAAAATTTTGTGCATCTCGGTTTTTCCAGTTTCTCCTTCACCTCTGTGGACCTGTAAAATAAGGATTTGAGCACATCCCTCCAAAGCTAACTTGTAAATTTCCTGTTGCACTGATATGGTTGGGCTGCTTCCCCACTCAAAATCTCATTTTGAATTGTAATCTCCATAATCCACACGTGTCAATGGCAGGACCAGGTGGAGGTAATTGGCTCATGGGGGCAGTTTCCCCCCATGCTGTTCTCGTGATAGTGAGCGAGTCTCACGAGATCTGACAGTTTTATAAGCCTCTGATATTTCCCCTGCTTGCACTCACTCCATCCTGCCGCCCTGTGAAGAGGTGCCTTCCACCATGATTGTAAGTTTCCTGAAGCCTACCCCGCTATGCGGAACTGGGAATTAATTAAACCTTTTTCCTTTATAAATTACCCCATCTTGGGTATTTCTTCATAGCAGGGTGAGAACGGACTAATACATGCGTCTTCCCGCAGGAGAGTGGATGGCAGAGGCTTACCTTCAGGGGCCCAGGTCGGGTGCTGGACATGGGGCTGGCATTCCAGGTCTGCTGCTCTCGGATGTCCCTCTGAGGGGCATCCTGCCTGATGGGTGGGCTCCCCCTGATCTTGTCTCCTTGGATGCATCATCTGTGAGGCTTTTGTTTTCAGTCCCAGTGGAGAGATTCATACTGCCAGGCACTGTGTGGGCTCCTGTGCGTTGTGAAAATAACGCTTATTCAGGACTGCCTAGGGAAGAAAGGCCATACCTGCTGCTGTTTTTCCATCTCTGCTGTGGCCGCCCACATGGTTTACGGCACAACTTGCCTATGCCAAAAGGGACTGAGAAAACCTGGAAACCTACCAACTACATTTGGGAGATTTTTTTTTTTTTTTTTTTTTTTTTAGAATGTCTGTCTCGGGCAGGCAATAACTAGTACCGAGCTTGGTGACCCTTTTGCTTTCTAGCTCTGGGGGTGCAGATCTGAGCCTCCTCCAGAATGCAGTCCCCCTAGCCTGGCTATGACACTACCACTGGTGTGTCCTTGATGCCACATTTCTAAGCCCATCTGATCATAAACCTCCCTGGGGCAGGGAAGTCTCAGAGTGCACTTCCTCACCTAACGGCATGCCTCCAGTGGCATCTGATAAATGCTTCTGCAGTGTTCCTGGGGAAACAGTTTTATTCATTTCAAAGTAATCCTTTCTTTCTTCTCAAAATCTCCAAACCCAATCCTTAAAACCAAGCATTACATTTAGAATAGAATTCAAGTTTGGATTTTAAAAAATGCTTTTAAGTACGTCAGGAACTCAGAAGATACTTAAGCCCAACTTTCCTACCACATGATGGAAAGACACTTGGAAAGGACAGAAGAGTTTTGTTGTTGTTGTTGTTGTTGTTTTGAGATGAAGTCTTGCTCTGTTGCCCAGGCTGTAGTGCACTGGCATGACCTCAGCTCACTGCAACCTCCGCCTCCCCAGTTCAAGCGATTCTCCTGCCTCAGCCTCCAGAGCAGCTGGGACTACAGGTACGTGCCACCATGCCCGGCTAATTTTCTGTATTTTTAGTAGAGATGGGGTTTCACAGTGTTAGCCAGGATGGTCTCAATCTCCTGATCTCGTGATCTGCCCGCCTCAGCCTCCCAATTCTGAGATTACAGGTGTGAGCCATCGTGTCCGGCCAGGACAGGAGTTTTGAAAATGCACTCTGGGCTCTGATTCTGGAAAGGAGATCCTGACTTCAGAGGCCCTGCTGCCCTACTCAGACTCCAGAAGGTTGAGTAAAGTTGAGCAAGCTACAGCCACTCTGCTCTGGGAAGCCAGTAGCAAGTGCTGAGCCTGGACAATTTGAACTAAGCCAGAGAGCTCTCCAAATTAGGGAGCATTTAAATAGAAGTGCTGTTTATTTAGGTCATATAGTAATTTCCTTATTTTAATCGCTACCCCAGTTAATGACTAACAACATATAACCAAACAAGGTTAGCCCAGCCAACTTGACTGAATAGAGAGAACTATTTATAATGAGCTCATTCGTATCTGAATGCAGATAGATGCACAGAAGGACTCCAATGTTAATAGAAGTCAAAATCCATTTACTGTACAAGGTGGGGGAGATGTTCCCCCTGCAAGCCTATTCCCACTGCCTTTGACTGACAGTAAAAAAGTAAACTTCAGCCTGGCCGTGTATGACGTGAGTGCTGAATTAGTTTGGTTCCAATTAAATAGGATTTACTGAATTGTGACATGGACATATTCTAGAATTTTAAACTCTTTACCCCAAAAGTAAAAAGAAGAATCTCTACTATTTCTGTCAAGAGCGTCTTAGACCCCCTCCTGCAGTTCATCATCACCTTAGACAGTGTCCTTCGCCCCACCACGGGCAGGCCTGGAGAAGGAGCCCCGCCACTGGAGGATCATCCGTCTCAAGGATACTTGGGAACTGAAGGAGTGACCAGGAGCAGGCAGTCCAGTGGAGATCTTTTTTTTTTAATTAAGAAGCATCAAAATGAACTTGAGTTTGGCAAGACCTCAATAGAGTAGCCAAGCTGGCTCCAAGCCTGGTTTGCATGGAGGGGCTGGACTTGGCTTGGGCATGGCTCTGTCTTGGGCTCTGGGGTCAGCAAAGCCCCCTGCAGGCCTGCCCACCTCAGGCTGTGGGGAGCGCATCAGGGCCACCAAGGCAGTGAGTGGTCTGCAGCTCTAGGGATGGCGACCCATCCTAGAGAGCCAACAGCTGCCCCCAGAGTACTCGAACCTTATTCCCTGGTTCCTGCCTTCTTCCCTCCTGGGTACTCAGCGCCTCTCTGCTCTGTTGGATTCCCCAGTGTCCTTTTAAGAAAGTCTGGCAGGGCATGGTGGCTCATGCCTATCATCCCAACACTTTTGGGAGGCCAAGCAGGAAGATGACTCAAGCCTAGGAGTTCGAGACCAGCCTAGGTAGCACAGTGAGACCCTGTCTCTACAGAAAATAAAAAATAAAAAATTAGTTGGCCATGGTGGTGCACACCTGTGTTCCCAGCTACTCAGGAGAACGAGGTGGGAGGACCCTTTGAGCCCAGGAGTTTGAGGTTGCAGTGAGCTAGGGTCATGCCACTGCACTCCAGCCTGGGTGATAGAGTGAGATTCTGTCTCAGAAAAATAAAGTCTCCCCTTTCTTTGCAAGTTAGTCATAGTTTCTGTTGTGCACTCTCTAGAAAACCACATCTGTTCACCAACTCTCTTCTGTGTTAAGGACTGGTGTCACTTTAGCCTGCCCCAGAAAAACTTCTCTTTAAAGAGAAACTATTCCTTTTTTTTTTTTTTTTTTTTTCAGACGGAGTCTTGCTCTGTTACCCAGGCTGGAGTGCAGTGGCGCCATCTCAGCTCGCTGCAACCTCCACCTCCTGGGTTCAAGCAATTCTCCTGCCTCAGCCTCCCCAGTAGCTGGGATTATAGGCGTGCACCATCACGCCTGGCTAATTTTTGTGTTTTTAGTAGAGATGGGGTTTCACCATGTTGGCCAGGCTGGTGTTGAACTCCTGACCTTGTGATCTGCCCTTCTCTGCCTCCCAAAGTGCTGGGATTACAGGCGTGAGCCACCATACCCAGCCAAGAGAAACCATTCTTATACCCTGAGGAATGATGGTGAAATTTCGAAATTGTGACAGGTATATGGGGTTCAGGGATGCCCAGAACCCCCAGCAATGTTGCTTATGCAGGGGATACCCACCCAGGCATATTGACATCAGGAAATTTCAGACAACTCAACTCAGAAGGAAACAAAGTGACCCTCCAGCTCCTTGAAAACCCAAGAGGTGACAGAAAAGGGGAAAGGAGAGAGGAGGAAAAGGCCTGGGAAGGAACATTCATCCCATAAGGTGGCCAAGGGATACCTTGGCTGGAAATGAGTCTGGGCCACGTTCCCTGGTGAGGAACTTTTAGGAATCATGGAATTGCACAGCAGGCCTTCAGATCCTGGGCCCCCATCCCTCATCTTTCGAATGGGGAGGTCGAGGCCTGGGGAGGGAAGGCATGGCCCGGAGCCCACACAGGCCCCAGAGAGCAGCTGAGGAAGGCAGGTCCGTTCCCAGGAGGAGTCTCCCGCCTGGATGGCACTCTGATCAGCACGTCACTGGCCTGTCTGTGTGTTGAACTGACTTCAGGAAGCCTTGGGGTCACAATATTGCAGAGGCCATTACAGGGCCAGATGTTGGACGTGGAAGCAAGGCCAGGCCACGTCATACCCTGAGGTGACTAGTCTGTGGGTGGCTAAGGGCAGTCTGGTCACAGGACTCCAATTCCCAAAATGCCATGACACCCTTCACCTTTCCTCTGCAGGGACAGTCTATTGTCTCTGCATACAGGGAACAGGCTCTGAGGGGTTAGGAGACAAGTTCAAGACCCCCTAGCTGGCACCTGGGAGAGCTGAAGCAGACCTCCTGGCCCATCCCATCATTCCCTTCTTCCTCCCATGGGATGCAGGGAGACAGATGAGGTGTTCCCGACCTGCCAGTATAGATGGCTCCCA
Source organism: Homo sapiens (assembly GCF_000001405.40). Lineage (NCBI taxonomy): Eukaryota > Metazoa > Chordata > Mammalia > Primates > Hominidae > Homo > Homo sapiens. The sequence continues at coordinate 33,618,379 of NC_000019.10, forward strand.
AACTCCTCTGTGGAACAAGTCTTCTTCTTCTTCTTCTTCTTCCTCGTCTTCTTCTTCTTCTTCTTCTTCTTCTTCTTCTTCTTCTTCTTCTTCTTCTTCTTCTTCTTCTTCTTCTTCTTCCTCTTCTTCTCCTCCTCCTTCTTTTTCCTCTTCTTCCTCTTCTTTTCTTCTTCTTCTTCTTCTTCCTCTTCTTCCTCTTCTTCCTCCTCTTCCTCCTCTTCCTCCTCTTCTTCCTCTTCTTCCTCTTCTCTTCTTCTTCTTCTTCTTCTTCTTCTTCTTCTTCTTCTTCTCCTTCTCCTTCTCCTTCTTCTTTTTTTTTTAATAGAGTCTCACGCTGTCACCCAGGCTGGAGTGCAGTGGCACAATCTCAGCTCACTGCAACTTCTGCCTCCCAGATTCAAGTGATTCTCCTGCCTCAGCTTCCTGAGTAGCTGGGGCTACAGGTGAGCACCACCATGCCCTGCTAACTTTTGTATTTTTAGTAGAGATGGGGTTTTGCTATGTTGGCCAGGCTGGTCTCAAACTCCTAGCCTCAAGTGATCTGCCCACCTCAGCCTCCCAAAGTGCTGGAATTACAGGCATGAGCCACCATGCCCAGCCTGTTCTGGTTCCTCTCATGGCAACAGATGGAAGGTTCAGGACTCAAGACTCAGTCTTGCCAAACACAATGTGAGACAGTCTCAGCTTCCCACTGTGCCACCTTCAGCCTCCAGCCCAAAGACGGGCAGGAACCTTCACTTGCAGGAACGGCCTGAGGAAAGGGAGCCCAGAGCCAGTGGAGGCGGGGGTCTGCCTGCGTCCCAGAGCCAAGCCCCCTCCTCTTTCCTGTATCCTTGTTGCAGCAAACAGATTGGCACCTGAACCTCTCTATTAGCCCTTCTGGGGCTTAGGCTGTGGGCGCATGGGGCCATGCACTAAAAATGTCTTTCACCTTAGTTGGGATGCAAAGAGACAAGTTTGCCACTAATCTTTCGGTGGAGACACACATATCAAAAATCGCAAGTGAGCACACAAGGCTTCCTGCAGGGAATTGCAGCCTTCCTGCTCCTCCCTCGCTGCAGAGGCTGAGCCTGACTTTCAAAAAAGGGCACGCAGCCCTTGGCAAATCTCGGAGGAAAACTCACTGCGAGTTGGTGCCAGGGGCCTCAGGCCCCCTTTGGGGATTTCCCCCATGGCCTCTCAAAACAAGAAGGAAGTCTGAGTTAAAAATGGAAAATGGAGAGAATGTCAAAGGAATGCAGCGTTATTGATTCCTAGTGGTGTCTGCCTGAATATTAGATGCAAATAAGTGCTAATAAGTACAGTTGGGAAAGCTAATGGAAAAACCATCCTTCCCAGGAGGATCGCGGCACACAGATGCACAGTGTTGCTGAGATGGCTTGGCTCGCTCCACTCACTGGTCACGGCAAAGCCTGTATAGATGCATCCCAGGGAAATAAAGCCTGTGTAGACTTGTCGCATGGAAGTACTCATGGTCCAGAGCCCCCTTTCCAGCTTTGAGGCTGGGCTCTGGAAATGGGAGCTCCTATTATCTCCCCATTGCAGTTAAGTCTCTCTTTCTCTCTCCGTGTGTGTGCATGTGTGTGTGTGTGTGCATGCATTTGCCCTCTGGAGTGTTCATGGTACTGAAGAGATTCTCTTGACCATCAGGCCTCTGTGGCAAAAGTTGTGTGCTCTGTTCCAGGCCTAACTGCAGACAGGGAGCTCATGGGCAGCTGCCCAGCCAAGCTATGGTCAGGACCTTGGGTGGCAAGAGGGGCTGCAAGTGTGGGGTAAGGGGACCACAGGGACAGGGATGGGGTCATTGCACTGTGAGCTAGTCCGGCAAGTGACTTTTTGCTCACTCCACTCTCCCCTCTCTTTGTTCCTACCTTCTCTCCTGCTCTGCTCCAACAGCTTTGGGATGTAGGATGAATAAGGGTTCCACTGCCCTGTTTTTCCTGACACTTGAGTCCCTGGCCCTTGCACTCAGCTCCTCCAATCTGCACCTGACTGAGGCGGAGGAGGGTGATTTCAGACACACACACACACACACACACACACACACATTCCCCTCATGCGTGCAGCCAGTGGAGTGTGCCTGGGTCCCAGCGCAGCCCCAGGCCTGGGTCACTCCGAGCCTAAAGTCCTGGAAAGGGAACCCCAGAACAAAGCCTATCCCAGTTTGGAATCATCACACCTGGGCCATTCTCCAGATGCGTGGAGTCCAGCAAAATGGTGGCATTTTTGCATCTCAATTCGCTCATCTGTAATACGGGAGTGATAATGTCTACTCTGTTGCTGCAAGAATTAAAGGAAGACCATGATCTCTTTGTCATGCTTCTATTTATCTTCTTATCTGTCCTGGTCTATTTTTGGATGCTCTGAGCTTACCTGGGGCATTAAGGAGGCCTCATGGCCCTGGGGCTGAGGGGCTCCCTGGCCGTCCCCAGGAGTGGCTCTGCTCTCCGCCTGGTGTCCCCCACTCTGGTCAGTCAAGACCCATGGGCCCAGCTCACTCCCCAATTCCATCACTCACTCTAGGTCAGCTGGTAGGAGTCAGGCCAACCAGCCAGCAGGTACCATTAGAGAGGAGAGAGTAAGGGTCTTTCACTTTATTAAAGGCTTCTCTGCTGTTGTTTGAAAATACTGAGTGTCCCTTCAAGACTAACAGGTGACTGTGTGCACAGTTTCCTCCAGCTCCTGTGAGAAAGCAGTTGCCCCCCTTCCCAAGGCCTGCTTGTCCCCTGCAGGCTGGGGCTGCCTCTTCTTAGGAAGAACAAGGACCCGAATCCAGGGCCCCGTGTTCCTGTCCCTACTCTGTCCCGGTGCTGTGTGGCCGTGGGCCGGTTCCACCCTCCACGCTGTTTTCCCGAGTGTGTATGAAGAGGGTCGGTTGGCCCCGCTCTCAGGCTGGTGACCCGACACAAACTTCCAGGATGAAGTCCTGAAGGGAGCACCTGTTCGCAGGGCACTTTCAGCAGAATCTAGAGCCCCAGGGATTTGAGGATGGATGCGGACACCCGGGCCTGAGGCAGCTCGCGGCCTTGACCGAATTCCACGCGAGCTGAAGCCCAGGGATATCCCAGAATCTTCCTCAGGATCAATCTTCCGCCTTTCACCGGCCCTGCGCCCCCGCAGCATCGGGTCCTGGGCGCGCGCCCCTGCCCCGCTGTGGTCAAGGCCCGCCCCGGTGACGCCTGGTCCTTTTCCCGGGTTGGCGCCGCGTGCGACCCACCGAGGCAGTGGCAGCACTGGCCGCGGTCTGGAGCCTAGCGTCAGGCCGGAGTCCGGCTCTCCTGAACCGGGAGACCGGCGCAGCCCCAGCCACGACCGCTCCCACCCCCGCGGCCGCCGGACCGCGCCCAGCAGCGACTCTTTCTGAGAGCGCTGCCAGAGGGGCCGCGGGAGCCGCAGAGCGCGCGTGGGCGCGGCGCCCGCGAGCCCCCGGGAGGGCCGAGTGCATCGCTGGAGCGATCCCCGCCCGGCCCGGCCACCGCCGTAGCCGCCACCACGGCGGGGCGGGGCACGGGCCGGGGGCGGGGCGCCGGGCGGGCGCGGCGCTATTTCCAGCCTCGCCGGAGGCTTCGCTCTCACTTCGCTGGGAGCCTTCCCGGCGCGCAAGCCGGATCCGGCAGTGCTGCGGGGAGGAGAGAGGACGAGGCGGCGGCGGCAGCAGGAGGTGGGGGACCGATCGCGCCGGGGGCCGAAGAGGAACGCCGCCCCGCGCCCTCTCGCTCCCCGCACGCTCCGGCTGCCGGCCCCACGCTGCTCGCCCACAGATCGCACTGGGTTCCGCTTGGAGCGGGCGGAGGCACCGGGCCCGAGCTGGGTCGGAGGTCCTCTCCGCCGCCTGCGCGCCCCAAGCAGAGGATCCGCCGCGGAGAACCGCTCCCGGACTGGAGGCGCCCGCGGCCTCGGGTGCGTCCGCTGCGCCAGGTAAGTGGCTGCGCCCCTGCCCCACCCCTGTTCCCGCCCTGCGCAGGCTCCTGGCCTGCAGAGACGCCAGGAAGGGGTCCCGAGCGGGCCCCGGACTGCACCGCTCGCCATCCCCGCCACCGCACGCGAATGGGAGTCCGAAGCTGCGGGCGGAGGTGGGCGCGCGGGGCTCGGGTCTGGTTGCACTTTGGGGACCGGCCCCGGTAGCGGGAACTTTAATTAGACTTTCTCTCCTTGGATCTCACTCGCTGCCGCGCTTCTGGGAACTGCCGTCCCTCGGGCCCTCTTGGTCCCTGCGGACTCCCGCTCCGCCTCCTGGCCCTCGGTGCTGCCCGCGGGGAGGCGGCGTCGGGCGCTGAGCAGCGAGCGCCGAGGGCCAGGCAGGAGCGCTCGGGGCGCTGGGGCTTCCTGGCGCGCTCGGAGCCGGGGCTCCGGACGGGTTGCGGCGGGCAGAGACTATGGGGGAAGTTTAAGTGGCCTTGGCTTCCTACCCAGCGGCTCCGTCGCGCGCGTCCCCGACCCGCAACTCTCCAGGGCACCGGCCTGTGAGTGCTGGAGGCGAGTGTGCGTGCGTCAGCGATGGTGTGAAGGTGTGTGCGTGCGTGTGTCGGGAGTGCGGGAGTCGGAGCCTGGGGCGGCTCCAGGGGGCGGGGAAATGATCCGTTTGGCCGCGGGACCGAGCCGAGCTCTGACGGCGGCTGCAACTCCGGCTACCGACTCTGCAGACCCGCTCTGGCCTCGCTGGAGGCCAGCCGGGCCAGGAGGGCGATCACGGGTTTTGGCAGTGCCCGATGCTGGGGCTTGGGTCTGATGTGACCCCGATTCCTTCTCCAGTGCGGGACTCCCGCCGCCCTAACTTTCGCGTACATCTTGTCTCCAGGCCCGCGACCCCGACCCGGAGTTGAAGCGGCTGCGGCGCCCTCGGCTGTGGGCGCTGCTGCCCGGCTGTCTGTTTTAACCCAGAAGTAGGCGCCGATCCTGGGGCTCTCTGTCCTGCAGTCGTCTCCGGCGTCCCAGAGGACTCTGCGTCCCTGGGCCACTCCCGCTGGCTCAGGAGCCGTGATCAGCTCCGTTAAGGGGAACGCGCGTCCCGGCCCCTCTCCATCTGCTTGGCGCGATCTGGCGCAGCAGCAGAGCACGTGGGAGAGGCGTTGGGTGCAGGGAGGTAGTAGCTGCTTTGGAGTGGATGGTGGAGAGGGGCGGGGGACAGAGGGGTAAGAGGCAGATCAACCCCCTTTTATTTCCCACCGCCGCCCAAGGCCCCCAGGAGCTACAATACCAAGCCCACTTTCCTGGGTAACCTTTCTCTTCTGAGTTCACCTTGACCCTTGCCTACCTGTGGGGAAGTCTTTCCCTAAGTCCTGCCCTAGGACAGGGCACCCGTGGAGCAGGTGTGGCAGAGCCCTTAACATTTTCCAGCTGTCATGACCTTTCCTGCCCACCCTGTGCCCTGTCCCAAAGGCAAGGCAGACAGGCCACAGGAAGGACACTCATCCCAGCAGGAGATCCTCTTTTAATTTTAATCAGGACACCCCAAGCACAGAAGGCGGCGTGGGAGTTCATTCAGGAGCGTTCAGCAGACTGGCCTCTGTGAAGTGACCCACGGGAGGAATAACATTGGAACCCTGAAGAGAGGGACCTCTTGAGGGTCTGAATGTTGGTTCCAGTGGGACTGGCTGATCAATTATCCAATAGCATTTGAACACAGAAAAACCTCAAAGCCGGAACCTGACCCATTGCCTGGCCCAGTCGCCCTGGGACACACAAACAGTGCAGCTCATTTATTTACTTATTTATTTATTAACCTGGAATCAGACTCGGCAAGAGTGAATTATGTTTCCCGGGTATTGATTTTTAAAAAGACCCCAAATTAAAAAGTCAAGGCTTTCTTAAAGCAAGGTCAAGGATTAATTATTTATCGAGAGGCATCCATCAGGCAGCGTGGGGGCTCATTTATAAATTGCCTGAGCAGGCAAAATGAGCATCTTTTGATTTTCCTTGGCTCCAGTTGGGAGAGGAGAGCAGGCTCGTCTGACCTCCTGGGCTTGGTAGAACATCCCCCTCGGACTGTAACCGACGACAGAGGATGCTTTGTAACTCAGCCTGCTGTTAGAGATGCCTTTATAATCTTGTAGCCAGAATATCACTTGGGAAATTTCATGCATATTTGCTGTGTTTCCATAATGAACATTTACTGATTACAGGGTATCCAGGGAATTTCATTTTTTAAACATTTATTCAAATCTCTGTTTATGTAAGCTAATAAGTCTGGGAAAGTTCAAAAACGACTTTTTTGCCGTATGGTTGTTGAGAAAGTGTGTCTGGTGGGCTACTCTCAGAATTTGTCTTCAGTTCTCTTAAAAAGGGGAGAGTCAGATTTGCCTGATTGGAAACCTCGCGCAGGCTGCTCCCCTGCTCTGAGCTCTGAGTTCCTGCCAGAGGCAGCCTGATAGGCTTTTTGTGGTTTTGCTGATGGAAGAGAGGAAGGGGAGCTTTGATCATTGCTGATGCGTCTGGCTGGAGAAATTTTTAGTGAGTGCGGCTGTGCTTGTAGGGGCTGATGGGGAAGGTGTGGCCCAAGCTGAGGTCCCTGGCTGATGTCCCCATCTCCTGCCTGCTGCCTGGCCTGGAATCTGAGATCCCTGTCTTAGCTACATCTGCTGCTTTGCAGCTTGGAAAAACCTCCCTCCCTGATTTACTGGTGCGTGGCAGCCACACTGGAGAAACGTGGGGCAGCGGGGAACCTGTGAGCAGGAAAGAGGACACAGGATTATGGCAGCTTTCTTTCTTTCTTTTTTTTTTTTTTGAGATAAAGTTTCACTCTTGTTGCCCAGGCTAGAGTGCAATGTTGCGATCTCTGTTTGCCACAAGCTCTGCCTCCTGGGTTCAAGCAATTCTCCTGCCTCAGCCTCCCGAGTAGCTGGGATTACAGGCATGCGCCACCACTCCCGGCTAATTTTGTATTTAGTAGAGACAGGGTTTCACCATATTGGCCAGGATGGTCTCGATCTCCTGACCTCGTGATCCGCCCACCTTGGCCTCCCAGAGTGTTGGGATTACAGGCGTGAGCTACCGCGCCCCGCATGGCTGCTCTTTAGTGAGCAACCGTGGCAATTAGAGCCGATAAACACCATGTGGAATGAGTGGCCAGCCTTTCAGCTAACCAGAAGGTGACGAGTTATAAACTGGAGATTTATATAGTGCTGGCCCAAGGAGATCAATGTGACCCGGCAGTGGCACAGCAAAAAATGAAATAAATAAGTAAATATGTTTTTAAAAGATCGGCCAGGCACGGTGGCTCACGCCTGTAATCCCAGCACTTTGGGAGGCCGAGGTGGGTGGATCACTTGAGGTCAGGAGTTTGAGACCAGCCTGACCTACGTGGTGAAACCCAGTCTCTACTAAAAAGACAAAAATTAGCCGGGCATGGTGGTGCTCACCTGTAGTCCCAGCTACTCAGGAGGCTGAGGCAGGAGAATCACTTGAACCTGGGAGACAGAAGTTGCAGTGAGCCGAGATCATGCCCCTGCACTCCAGCCTAGGCGACAAAGCGAGACTGTCTCAAAATAAATTTTTTTTTTTAAATTGAGGTTGGTGCCTGGATGTAGATATGGCATCAGTGTCCTGCAACCTCAGAAAGTTGGCTGGGCATGAGCAATCTGCATGGTGACAGCGTGGTGACAGTAGGCTGTTTGGTGCTGTCTTTGGCGCCATATTCAGGGCTCATCTGACTCCAGAGCGGCTGTGTTCCCTCCAGAGGAAACCCACGGACCCAGACAACCCGGGGACAGAGCTGCATTAGCTCAGGTGCCAGAGGATGCGGCAGACGCCATCTCATTTCTTATCAGCTGGAGGATGTGTGACCCTGTGGTCAGTAAATCAGCATGGCAGATCGTGAGGCTTACAAATTGGTCATGGAAAAAAGTTGTGACTTTTACCCTGTACAAAACTACCTGTCATTTGTGATGTGGTGTTCTAGCCTGCACTGGCTGGATTCATTCCCGGACCCTTAGAAACTCAGCAATGCAGCCTGGGCCACCGAGAGACTGGGGAAGCCTCCGTGCAGGTGGGTTGACACCAAGAAGCAGCCCTGGCCCCATTGCCAAAGCCACCTTTTAGGAAGTCAGAGAGTATCTGTGCAATAATTTGGATGTTTGTCCCCTGTGAATCTTACCTTGAAATGTGATCCCCAGTGTTAGAGGTGGGGCCTGGTGGGAGGTAGGTCATGGGGGTGGCCCCTTTATGAATAGATTAATGCTATTGTGAGGCAGGGAGTGAGTTCTTGCTCTATTAGTTCCCACAAGAGCTGGTTGTTAAAAAGAGCCTAGCACCTACCCCCTACCTCTGTGATCTCGGCACACACCGGCTCCTCTTCTCCTTCCATTTTAAGTGGAAGGGCACGAGGCCCTCACCAGATGCAAATGCAGGTGCCATGCTTCTTGTACAGGCTGCAGAATTGTGAGCCAAATAAGCCGCTTTTTTTTTCCTTTTTTTTTTTTTTTTCTTTTTAGAGACAGAGTCTCGCTCTATTGCCCAGGCTGGAGTACAGTGGTGCTATCATAACTCACTGCAGCCTTGAACTTCCAGGCTCAAACAATCCTCCTGCTTCAGCCTCTTGAGTAGCTGGGACTACAGATGCACACCACCATGTCCATTAATTTTTAATTTTTTTTTATAGAGATGGGGTCTCCCTATGTTGTCCAAGCTCATCTTGAACTTCTTGCCTCAAGCAATCCTTCTGCCTCAGTCTCCTAAAGTGCTGGGATTGCAGATGTGAGCCAGCATGCCTGTCCTCTTTTTTTGGGGGGGGGGCGGGTGGGGTGACGGAGTCTCGCTCTGTTACCCAGCCTGGAGTGTACAGTGGTGTGATCTCGGCTCACTGCAACCTCTGTCTCCCAGGTTCAAGCAGTCCTCCCACCTCAGCCTCCCAAGTAGCTAGGATTACAGGCATGCACCACCATGCCCAGCTAATTTTTTTTTTTTTTTAATATTTTTAGTAGAGATGGGGTTTCACCATGTTGGCCTGGCTGGTCTCGAACTCCTGACCTCAAGTGATCTGCCCATCTCGGGCTCCCAAAGTGCTGGGTTTATAGGCGTGAGCCAGCACGCCCGACCCTTTTTCTTTATATATTACCTAGCCTTAGGGATTCCTTTACAGCAACAGAAATGGACTAAGACAGTCCGTATGCAGGCCTGGGGCTGGGGGCAGCAGACACAGCTGTCCTCCCAGGTTGGTGGCCTGGGTCTTACATCCGCACTCCGCACGTAGAACACCATACATTTCTGGGAAATAGTATTTCTTGGTGCTGGTGACTGAGGGCAAGATGCCCTTTCCCTGCCAAGCCATGACCAGTGTTGGCCCTGATGAGTGACATTTATTTGAACTAAATTAGAATCATCAACGTTGAAACCTGGAGCCAAATGATTCTCAGTCCCACACTCCTGGTGCCAGGCCTGTTGTCACTGTCCCTCGCCCTGCCCCTGCATGTTTATGGAGCAGGTATTAGGTGTCTTGCACTGTACCAGGCCCTGTGGACATGAGGTGAGCAAAGCTAAGGGTGGTCCCTGCCCTTGTGAGTTAGATGGAGACCCTCCTCATTTATTCCTCATTCACTAATTCATTTTCTGCCAGACAAAGACATTAATAAAAAAAATGACTAATGTGTGATTCTAGGCTGTGATAAGGATATAAAGAATATAAGGAAATAAACACTCAGGTACTATGAGACCTACCAAAGAGCAATCTGACCTGCACTGAGAGGTTAGGAGGACTTCTCGGAGGAGGTGGCCCTTCAGCTGCGGTCTGAAGGAGGAGTGGGAACTAAGCAGGGTTGGTGGGGAGTGTGGGAGGAAAGGATGGGGAGAGAGAATCCAGCATGCCAGGCAGGCACAGGCAAGAGCATGCAAAGGGCTTCCTGTGGAGGGAATGTGTGAGAGGGCATGAGGAGCACCATCTGGGAGCTGTGGGAAGGCCCATGTCGCCAGCAGAGTGAAGAAGCAGGTGACATGTGGCTGGAGACCCATCTGTGCAGGGTCTTCACAACCAGGGAGGGACTTGGGACTTTATCCTATGAACTGCTGCAGAGTAGGAAGACCAGCGAGGCTGGAGCTGCAGGAATCTTGCAGAAAGACCACTGTGGCCTTAAATAGGAGTGAATGGGCTTCCCCTCAGACATTGGTCTGGTCCATCAGGCTCTGTCTCCTGGAGCCGGGGTGGTTGAGCCTAATGTGCAATGGAGTCTGTCTACACTGGTTGAAACCAGTGTGTGATGTAGGCAGTGCATCTACGCTGGTTGAAACTAGTGGGCGGTGTAGGCGGTGCGTCTACGCTGGTTGAGCTAGTGCACAAAGCAGGCACTGTAACACTGGTTGAGCCCCTAGTTCATGATGCAGGCCATCTGTTTATACTGGTGGATCTCAGCACACCATTCACGCCATCTGTCTACACTGGTCGAACCAGTGCATTCTGCAAGTCATTCTGTCTAAACTGGTACCTGGCTGGATTAGGTGTGGGAGGGGATGTGGTAAGGAGTGGTCAGGATGGTTACCCATGGGACGCTATTGGGAGTTGTCTACTCCCTGAGACAGGGCTGCCCCCTGGAGTGCTAAGCACCTGTCCACTCTGGCTGAGTCACATCCTCCTAGGACTGGGTGGCCAGGCTGCTGGTTGTGTGGCCCCACTGTGCTCTGAGCCCTTGGTTCTTCCACTGCCTTCCTCTCTTGTCTGCTCACCATTCAGCCCTAGCACGTCCAGGGCACTCGGCAAGTGACAGCCCAGTGCCCATAGCTCCATGGTGGGGACAAGCTGCTCGACGGCCAGACCCATGGTCCTGGCCCAACTTTTGCCTCCTGACTCATTGAGGATGGGCCTCCACTGGGGGAATGGAGCTGACCACCCACTGTGGCTCGGATGCCCACTTCCCTCCGGAGCTGAGTGCTGCCCAGTGGTGGTCTCCATGTGTGTTTCATCCACTTAGCTTCCTGGACCCCTAGAGTTCCTTCACCTGCCACCTGCCTGATGTAACCTGGCAGCTGGCTGGCACCTGCCCCAGAAAGAATCCTCTCTTATACCCTTTTCTTGCTCTCAGCCCTCTCTCCTTTTCCTCCTCCCCAAGGGAGCCAGTCTCTACCTGTTGCACCCTCTGGGAGGGGCTCTGCCCAAGGCTGGGAGCTCCGCAGTGCCCTCTGATGTTGGTGAATTTCCTGTGGCTGTCTGCAGCACAGGTCGGGCCCTGGGTTCCCTGCAGACATCGGCCCTATCTACCAGGCTCTGTCCTCCAGAGCTGGGGAGCAGGGAAGCAGGTCTGTGAGTCACCCCATTTCCCGTTGTGCCCATGCTGCTGGCTGCAGGCCCTGAGCTGAGTGGCCACCGAGCTGCAGGCAACAGCCCAGGTCGCTGTCACCTTGTCCTCACTGTCTGGGCCTGAGCCAGCTCCTCCCTGACTGGGCCAGACTCGGGGACAGGAGGGAAGAGAGCTAAGCAGAGGATGCTAGGAGCTGCACATTACTCCTTGGTCCCCTAGGCCCCCTCCCAGGGCTGATTCCTTGCCCAGAGGGCGGCCTCTCCAGATGAGCCTTCCTGGGCTGGCCTGGCCACTCCATTCTGTCTGTTGCCTTCACCACTGTGGACCCCTGGACATGCCCAGATGCTTATCAGTGGGAAGCTGACACAGGAGAGCCCCTCTGCCAGCAGCCCCTAGCCCGGGCACAGACTGACTCGCACTTGGCAGACAAGTCGTCCCCACCTTCGAGGCTGCCTTTTTGGGGGCTGACTCATCTCTTGGGACAAGACTCATCAGCCTAGGCTTGCAGCACTGAGACCCTCCTCCAGCCTTGAGCTGCAGGAGCTTTGCTTCCTGTGCCGCATCCAGGCACCCAGCAAACACTGACCCTGACCTGCCATATGCAGAGCCTCGTACACCTGGCCCTGGAGAAGTTGAGCAAACACAAGCAGGTTACAGTGTTGGTGCAGATGCTGCTCTTTCTGGTTGTGTTGGCCAGGAGGAGCTCGGCATGGAGAAGGTACTGAGCGATTGCTTGTGGGCAGGCAGAGTGCATTAAACTGTGCAGTCTGTCTACTTCAGCATAGCCGGTGCGTGGGGAAGGCAGTCTGTCTACACTGGCTGGGCCAGTGTGTGGTGCAGGCAGTCTGTCTACACTGGTGGGGCCAGTGCATGGGGCAGGCAGTCCGCCTACACTGACGGAGCCAGCACGTGGGTCAGGCAGTCTGTCCACACTGGTGGGGCCAGTGCGTGGGGAAGGCAGTCTGTCTACACTGGCTGGGCCAGTGTGTGGTGCAGGCAGTCTGTCTACACTGGTGGGGCCAGTGCATGGGGCAAGCAGTCCGTCTACGATGACGGAGCCAGCACGTGGGTCAGGCAGTCTGTCTACACTGGTGGGGCCAGTGCGTGGTACAGGCAGTCTGTCTAACTGACGGAGCCAGTGCATGGGTCAGGCAGTCTATCTACACTGGCTAAGACAGAGTGTGGGGCAGGCAGTCTGTCTACACTTGGTTGAGTCTAGGGCATGAGCACTAGAACATTCCATGTAGTCTGTGCTTGCCCCACTCTCTGTGGGGTCTTTGCACAAGGTTCAGAGCTCTCAAACTCTGTAGATTCAGTGGCTTTTCCTGTGGCTGAGCTCAGCCTGGGTCCGGGCTTCCCCTCAGATGTTGGCCACGTCCATCAGGCTCTGTCTCCCAGAGCTGGGGTGGTCAAGCCCAGTGTGCAATGCAGTCTGTCTACACTAGTTGGAATCAGTATGTGATATAGGCAGGCTGTCTACACTGATTGAGCCAGTGCAAAAAGCCGGCGCTGTCTATGCTGGTTGGGCTCAGCATGTGATTCAGCAATCTGCCCACACAGGTTGAGCTGGGGCAGCCAGCCTCTCTCTGGCTTGCTGAGGCCAGAGCTCTTGGTTCTTTCTGACACCTTCCCTTTTTCCTATGTGATTCTTTCTCCCGGGAATATTCCTCCTTACACCTCCTATAGACATCTGGGTCTGATTTGATTCTGACTTCCAAAGACTCAGCTTTCGTGTGTCTGTTTGAATCTCCTTGGCAGAGGCTGACATGGGCTGGGAGTGGCACTGGGATCGCACGTGGATTTCCCCTCCCTGTTGCTGTGCCTGGGGCTGGGCCTGTGCTGGTGCAGAGGCTACCTGCTGTCAGTGGTCATCACTACCTTGCCATCCCTCGCGACAGCCACTCACACGCCTCTTTCTCACAAAAGTCATTTAGCGAGGATTACCACCTTGGTGTGCGTGGTAAATTGCATTTCTCCTGGTTGGGGCCATCTTGCTGTTTCCTGCTTAGATTTGGGGCCTCATGAGGTTTGGCCTCATCTGCAAATTTAATTTCATGACCATTCATCCCTGTGAAAGCACAATCTATGCCTATTATTTCACTCTTCTTGATTCCCTCTTCCACGAGTTAATGTGTCAGCGCACAGCCATGGCAACCACTCCCCGCCCTCCCTCCACCCCAGGCAGCCACCTCTAGGTTGCGGCTGAAGCTGGGACCTGGAGTCAGACCACCTGGGTTCAATCCTAGCCTTACCACTCGGTCACTGTGTGGGCTAGGGACCCAGTTTCCTCATCCACAAAACGGGGTTAACAAGAGAATCCACCTCCTAGAGCTGTTGTGCCTAAGAGTCCACAATCAGTGGCAGCTGCTACTGCTATTATTACTATTATTATTACTACTCCCGTTTTATCTTGGGTGTCAGGAAGCATATTGGTCAAGGGCCTTGCCTGGTGATGTGACAGAGGCTTAGGGGGCAGGCAGCCCCACTGGCCAGTGTCCCCTCAAGTTCTGCTTTTTCTTTTCTTGTCTCTCTCTCTCTCTTTTTTTTTTTTTTTTTCCAGACAGGGTCTCCCTCTGTCACCCAGGCTGGAGTGCAGTGGTGCGATCTCAGCTCACAGCAACCTCCATCCCCCGGGCTCAAGTAATCCTCCCAGCTCAGCCTCCCGAGTAGCTGGAACTACAAGCTCCCATCGCCATGCCTGGCTATTGTTGTTTGTTTGTTTTTTGGTATTTTTAGTAGAGAAAAGGTTTTGTCATGTTGCCTAGTCTAGTCTTGAACTCCTGAGCTCAAGCCATCCACCTGCCTCGGCCTCCCAAAGTGCTGGGATTACAGGTGTGAGCTGCCACACCCAGCCAAATCATTTTTTTCTAAGCAGTTTGCTAATGATGTCTTCTTCTTGTCCTGCATGCACCATTGTACATATTTAAGCCTTTTATTCCAAGTGTAGTACACATACAGAAAAGCGAACAGATCCTACGTATACAATGCAGTGAATGTCTGCAAACTGAGTGTGCTGTGTACCCAGCACTGGAGCAGGGATCAGAACATGACCAGGACCCCAGAACCCCCCCATGACCTCTTCCAGTCATTCCCCTCCACCACAGAAAACCGCTCCCCTTACTTCTAACGATATGGATTGGTTTTCCTTGTGTGTGTGTGTGTGTGTGTGTGTATGTGTGTGTGTTTGAGATACAGTCTCACTCTATCGCCCAGGCTGAAGTGTAGTGGTGCAATCTCGGCTCACTGCAACCTCCGCCTCCTGGGTTAAAGTGATCCTCCTGCCTCAGCCTCCCGAGTAGCTGGGACTACAGGTGCATGCCACCACACCTGGCTAATTTTTGTGCCTCAGCCTCCCTAGTAGCTGGGATTACAGACACGCACCACCACACCCAGCTAATTTTTGTATTTTTAGTAGAGACGGGGTTTCACCATGTTGGCCAGGCTGGTCTTGAACTCCTGACCTCAGGTGATCCACCCGCCTCGGTCTCCCAAAGTGCTGGGATTACAGGCATTAGCCACCACACCTGGCCCCTTGTTTTTAAACTTAATAGAAATGGAATCATGCAGTATGTATGCTCCCATGTCTGGGTCAGCATCTGGTTTCTGAGATTCATCCATGTTGTTTTGAGTTGTGTTATTTGTTCCTTCCTCTTTGTACAGGATTCCATCATGTGGGTAGACCCTAATTTATTTTCCAGTTTCTTGTTGATTGGCATTTGGGTTAGAGTTTTTGGCTTTTATGGACAGTATTGCTATGGATATTCTTGTGTGTGTCTCTTAGTGATATGTACACATTTTTTCCTTTTTTAGAGACAGGATCTTGCTCTGTCATCTAGGCCAGAGTGCAGTGGCGCAATCACAGCTCACTGCAGCCTTGAACTCCTGGGCTCATGCCAGCCTCCCGCCTCAGCCTCCCAAGTAGCTGGGACCACAGGTGTGCACCACCATGCTGGCTAATTTTTTATTTTTATTTTTGTAGAGATGGGGGGGTCTCACTTTGTTGCCCAGGCTGGTCCTGAACTCCTGAGCTCAAGTGATCCTCCTGCCTTGGCCTCCCAAAGTGTTGGGATTACAGGTGTGTGTCATCATGTCCAGTTCCTGCACATTCCTGATGTACTTAGAAGAGAATTGTTGGGCCCCAGGGTGCAGGTACTGTTGAACAGTTTTCTTTTTCGTGTGTGTGTGTGTGTGTGTGTGTGTGTGTGTGTGTGTGTTTAAGACAAGATCTCACTCTGTTGCCCAGGTTGTAGGGTAGTGACGTGATCATGGCTCACGGCAGCCTTGACCTCCCACGTTCAGGTGGTCCTCCTGCTTCAGCCTCCCAAGTAACTGGGACCACAGGTGTGCACCACCACCACTCCCAGCTTTTTGTTTTGTTTTGTTTTGTTTTGGTATTTTTTGTAGAGACAGGGTTTCCCCATGTTGTCCAGGCTGGTCTCGAACTCCTGGGCTTAAGCGATCCTCCCGCCTTGGCCTCCCAAAGTCCTGGGATTACAGGCATGAGCCACCACTCCCGACTCCATTGCTGGACTGTTTTCTAAAGGGGTCGTACTGATGTTTCCACCTCCTCACCAGTATATGCATGAGTGTTCCGTACGTAACTCTCCCACTCCACGTCCTGTCCAATACTTGGCATTGTGAGTTTTTCCCATTTTAGCCATTCTATGAGTATGCCGAGGTATCACACCGTGGTTTTAATTTTATTTCTCAGATGACGAATGCAGTTCATTTTTTTACCAAGGATATTTTGGACCTGGAAACATTATTCAACAAATTTGAAAATTTCCTTTCGTCCCCAAATTGTAGAACTCACTTCCATCCCCACATTGTGGAAACGTCTGGCAGTGCTTCTGATTTCTTCTGGGCGGGTTTGAATCTCCCAGGCTGGAAGCCAAGGGATGGAGTAGACAAGAGTTTCTCTGGATGAGTCTGGGGAACTGGCCACCTGCCCCAGAATCACGTGGGTTGCTGGTCAGAGATGCAGGTGCTGAGCCCTGGCCCAGCCCCGGACTCATCAGACAGCCCTTGACCCATTGGTCCTTCTAGGGCTGTTTTTTTTTTTTCTTGTCACGAAACCAAAAAAAAAAAAAAAAAAAAAAAAGCATGGATGCTGCCCTTTCTGTCATGTCCACGGCTGTGTCACAATGCCCAGAATAGTCCTGCACAGGGCAGACCTGCTGGGTTGAAGGGTTTCCCATTGTTGTCTCCATCCTCTCCCACCCCAGCTGACTTGGCGGGGACTCGTTAGTCAACTGGGCTGCCGTGGTGAGGGCTCTGGAAGTTGGTTTCTCGCTCGCTGGGGGGTGTCCCATGTCTGAATGACCTCCTCCTTCTCCAAAGCCAACTTCCAACAGAGCTGCAGCCGTGCCCCCAGCAGCCTTGCTCACCCCCAGTCCTCTAGGCACTGGCCATTTGAGAGCCTCCTTGGGCGACCTCCTCCCTGATGATGCATGTGTTATTGGGTCCCTCTGGAGAAGCTTAGGAGCCCCCTGATCCCCCGAAAAGAACAGCAATCCATCCCTGCACCATGCGGCCCCCTGAGCTTTTCCAACACCGTCTTTTCATAGATGATGTGCCCTTGGTCAAACTAAGGCAGAAGGGCCATTCCTGTCATCAGCTGCTCCACTCCTGCCCCTCAGCGTTTTCATGAAGACCGTGGTGAAGCCTCCTTTCTTTGGGTGTGGCTTGCCCCTCCCTCCTCAAGTTTAGCAGAACTACTGGGAAAGCAGGATGGCCTGGGGGAGGAGAGCTCTGGGTCAGACCCTTTGGGTGGTTTTGAGACCCAGTCACTGCCACAAGAGGAGGGAGGCAGTTTCGTATACACAACCCTGACTTAGCTAGCAGGGAGGGAGGGCAAGGGATCCTAGCTGGGATTCCTCCTGTAATGCCAGCTCTTTGGGAGGCCCAGGCAGGAGGATCTCTTGAGCCCAGAAGTTGGAGGCTGCAGTGAGTTATGATGGCACCTCCTCCACAGAGGAGGGAGGCCCAGGCTAGGCCTCAAAGATGGGTGGGGGGGTGACAACACCTCATGGACCACTCAGCATGAGCTCCGTCCCTGAGGGCCAGCAGTGGAAAAAATGCGGGCTTAGTTCCCCGGAGATACTGCGGTCCAGTTGACCCACCACACAAGGGCATAAGGCGATGGTCAGGGTTCACTGGAGAGCTATGGAAGGCTTCTTGGAGGAGGCGAGCTGGGGATTGCTTACCTCAAAGGCCAGGGGTGAGAACTTTATCTTGGTACAGTGGAAATTCTCTCCAAGCTTTGGGACTACAGTGCATGGACAGTGTGAGCCAACTACCGTTTGCTTTAAAATAGGGCAAAAATGAATCCATGGCGCACACATTGTTTATGCGATGTGGAGGCGGGCGCGCAAAGACGGAAGAGCTAAAAGCAGTTTGGGAAAAACAACACTTTTTTTTTTTTGGTGGGAAGACAGATTAGAGAGGTTTATGCTTTTCTGTGATAACTAATATGAAAGGTTTATCAAAGTTAAAAAAAAAAAAAAAACCTCTTGACGCTTTCTCCAAAATTGATCTGAAGACTTGGCAGATTTGAGGAATCATTCAGTAACGTTTTACGAGTCGATGCTAATTTGATGCGGCAGACCTGTGCATCGCGCCAATTTACTGCCAAACCAACATTAAGCACGGACCTCTCGCGCAAGGTTTATAGGCAGACAGCTCATAAAGATGCATGCTTGACAAGTATTCTGCTTCTCTTAGGATGTGGAATATGAAGTGTTTATCAAAAACCACCTAAATCGCCCTTGCCTTGACTCGTAAACAACCTGGCGGCTTCAGGCTTGGGCCCTATGCAGTATTTCACGTCTCACCACTACGGGTCCTGGTATGTGCGTGAGTGCCTGAGTCTTTGTCTCCAGAAGCCACAGTTAGAGGTAGAAGTGTTACAGGAAAGGGGTCCCGATCCAGACCCCAAGAGAGGGTTCTTGGGTCTCGCACAAGAAAAAATTCGGGCAAGTACATACCGTAAAGTGAAAGCAAGTTTATTAAGAAAGTAGTCCGGGCGCAGTGGCTCACGCCTGTAATCCCAGCACTTTCAGAGGCCAAGGCGGGCGGATCACCTGAGCTCAGGAGTTCGAGACGAGCCCGGCTAACATGGTGAAACCCCATCTCTACTAAAAATACAAAAATTAGCCGGGCATGGGGGCTGGCGCCTATAATCCCAGCTACTGAGGAGACTGAGGCAGGAGAATCGCTTGAACCCGGGAGGCGAAGGTTGCAGTGAGCCGAGATCGCGCCATTGCACTCCAGCCTGGGCAACAAGAGCGAAACTCAGTCTCAAAAAAGAAAGAAAGTAAAGGAATAAAAGAATGGCTACTCCATAGACACAGCAGCCCCCAACCACTGCTGGTTGCCCATTTTTATGGTTATTTCTTGATGATACGCAAAACAAGGGATGGATTGTTCATGCCTCCCCTTTTTAGACCATAGAGGGTAACTTCCTGATGTTGCCATGGCATTTGTAAACTGTCATGGTGCTTGCGGGATTGTAGCTGTGAGGTCGACCAGAGGTCACTCTCATCACCATCTTGGTTTTGGTAGCTTTTGGCTGGCTTCTTTACTGCAACCTGTTTCATCAGCAATGTCTTTATGACCTGTATCTTGTGCTGACCTCCTATCTCATCCTGTGACTTGGAATGCCTTGACCATCTGGGAATGCAGCCCAGTAGGTCTCAGCCTCATTTTACCCAGCCCCTATTCAAGATGGAGTTGCTCTGGCTCACACGCCTCTGACAGAAGGATCCCTGTGGGGTGTGAGATACCTAAAGAAAGGTTCGCTTTCTTTTTTTTTTTTTTTTGAGACGGAGTCTCGCTCTGTCACCCAGGCTGGAGTGCAGTGGCGGGATCTCAGCTCACTGCAAGCCCCGCCTTCTGGGTTCACGCCATTCTCCTGCCTCAGCCTTCCCAGCAGCTGGGACTACAGGCGCACGCTGCCACACCCGGCTAATTTTTGGTATTTTTAGTAGAGACGATGTTTCACCCTGTTAGCCAGGATGGTCTCGATCTCATGACCTTGTGATCTGCCTGCCTCGGCCTCCCAAAGTGCTGGGATTACAGGCGTGAGCCACCGTGCCCAGTCGAAAGTGAACCTTTCACTGGGTGTGGTGGCTCACGCCTGTAATCCCAGCTCTTTGGGAGGCCCAGGCAGGAGGATCGCTTGAGTCCAGAAGTTCGAGGCTGCAATGAGCTATGATGGCACCACTGGACTCCAGCCTGAGCAAGACCTTATCTCTTAAGAAAAAAAAAAAAAAAAAGAAAGGTCCCAAAGTGTAGGATCTGAAGCAGCATGCCCCCTCTTCCAGGAAGGCTCAAACATCCCCTTCCTAACAGATTCTCCAAGGCTGCCCTAAAAGGAAATAAAGGCTGCGCCCAAATGAGATCTTTGGCCCCAAGGAGATAGATTTCTTGCTCTCATGTTTGTTTCCTGGGCGACTGTGTGATGGATCTTCCCTGCATAGCTCTCTCCATCCAAATATGCTGTCAGAGCCTCACCAATTTCAGGATATCACTCGAGCTTTGTTTTGCTGGTCGGAAAGTGTTTAACAATAAAAATTATCAAAACTCCTGTCTTTCACCACCGAACACCACCGCTGACGTTTTCCTCAAAGGAAAAGTGGACTTGTGTGGCATTATTCTACTGTATCTGTGCCTCCAGCCCCTCCAGCCTCCTCCCATGGCAGTGTTAATTACCCAAGCTTAAACGAAGAAGGTTGCAGGTGGGGGCAAAGCATGCAGACCGCTGTCAGCACAAAGCCTCGTGGGTTTTCGCAAGGGGAAATTTGATCTCGGGCAAATGTCAAGGCGTTTTTGAAATCTGTGTTATGATATCAGCTCATTGCCAGTGTAGGACTTCATCTGAATTTCATAAATATTGTATGGGACTCCCTCATTGCCACCTTGGCCGGCCACAGTGCACAACAGCCACCCCTCAGCACACACACGCTCTCCATAGCAATTGCAATCTATCGCTGAGTTGTCATGAAAAGCCAATTGGTGATATTTCAATCACAATGTTCTTGTAACCAATTCCATTCAAATTCTGTCGGAAAGGGAGTTAAGGCTTCATCCTGCTGCTGGGAGAATGATATGCTAAATGTAGCTTCCTGGGGCCCTGGCAGCCAGCCAGGGCTTTGTAATTTATAGTTCACCTTCGTGGTTCTCCAAGTGACCTTGGAACCTGCATGCTGGTGGATTTTTTAGGTTCACACGTTGTCCTCCATCCCCTGGTGAGATTGCTCCCCAAGTGAGTGCTCCCTGGTCCATCAGGCAAGAGCTTGAGGGAGAGGATGTGGATGGGGGGCACCCAGAGAATGCATGGCTGGGGATCAGAAGATTTCTTGTTGCTGCTGACCTTTCTTCTAAAATTGCTGTCAGCCAGGAAACAGTCAAATATTGTGCTTAAAGGTGGCTTGCAGGTGACAGGAGCCTCTCTCCAGTCCTAGCACACAGCAGGTGATCCTGACCAAAAAAAAAAAAAAAAAAAAAAAGAGGAGGTACAATATGCGATTACGTTCATCAGCTATTTTTGGCTGAGGAATAAACAAAATGGCCCAAACTGCTGCCATTCGAGATTCTAGCAGGGGAGTGGCATGTAGAAAAGATTAATGTACAGTTAAAACCCGTGTACGGGTAAATTACAGGGTGACAGCTATCTAATGCAAACACTGCAGACGTGTAATTAAGAGGAGTTACAGCGCTCGAGGATGAATTTGCTGAGGGAAGTGCTAGGGTGCTGTCTGGAGCCCAGGGGCAGGGGCATGGCACTGGGATGGTGTGGGGGCTGCAGAGGTGGCCAGGAGGAGCCTCTCAGCATCGGGGCAGCCTTGTAACCATAACAGGTCCATTGCCTGATGCACGCAGCAAGTCAATGTGCTAAGATGCCAGGTTGCGGCAGAAAAAGAGGATTAATGGTAAGGTCATGGAACGAGGAGATGGCAGACAACCTCAAATCCATCTCCCTGGGGAATGTGGGGTTAGGATTTGTAAGTTTTGGAGTGGGTGAAGTGTGGAGATCGTTGATGGGTGGAAGAGTGCAGGGTAAAGTCTTGGGACCGGGAGAGGAAGAAGCTGTGTTCTCAGGCTGATCCCCCTCCTCTGTAGGGGGTCCTCAAACTGTTGGGGGCAATTTGGGGTCTTTTCAACATCTTAAGTGAACAAAAACCTTATGATTCTAAAATCAGGGGTCCTGTCTATAGGGACAATGGAGAAGCAAATCAAATTTTTTTTTTTTTTTTTGAGACAGAGTCTCACTCTGTCTCCCAGGCTGGAGTGCAGTGGCGCGATCTCGGCTTACTGCAACCTCCACCTCCCAGGTTCAAGTGATTCTCTGGCCTCAGCCTCCCAAGTAGCTGGGACTACAGGCATGCGCCACCATGCCTGGCTAATTTTTTTTTGTAGTTTTAGTAGAGACAGGGTTTCACCATGCTGGCCAGGCTAGTCTCGAACTCCTGACCTCGTGATCCGCCCACCTCGGCTTCCCAAAGTGCTGGAATTACAGGCGTAAGCCACTGCGCCCAGCAAAGCAAATCAATTCTTACACCATTTTATGACCCTAATGTCAGAAATCTTACCTATAGGAGCAATGGGGGTGACCACGGCCAGGATCTAGCACCACGTGACTCCTTGCCACAAGGAACTGGGCCAGAGTGCAGCCTGATTAATGCTTAATTATAACTATATTTCTGTCCAGAACCTAGCGTGCAATTCTTGCCAACCCTGTGGGGACAGTTTCAATCTGGGATGTGGTGGAAGCCATGGCTCCTTTGGGTGGCTCAGCCCACCTCTCCAGGTCTGTCCGTTCCTGTTCCAAGCTTCCAGCCCTTTCTGGAGCTGCCCTGGTCTCCCCGACCTCTCACTCACCTTTGGCTCTGTGGCCTTGAGAGCCCATGGATGTCTTTTATGTTTTTAATTTCTCCTGCTTTGTCAGCTTTCTAAGGAATATATTACATTATGTGGAAGTTGGATGCTAACAAGATTTGTATGAATAAATTAGACTCTTAACTTTTTTATGTTATTACAAAATTGAAATGGACTCTAATGACAGTCGGAATTAATGTTCTGTTGCCAATAAATGCCGGGGATGTGACTGAATCTTCAGCGCACTCTCCTCTTGCATCTCTGGCCCTTCCTGGGTGGTCTTGCCCAAGAAGGAACCTCCCTCCTCCTTCCAGCGAAGTGGGGTGCTCCACGACGCCTCCCTGCTGGCCCCTGGGTGATGGCCAAGGTGCTGCTCTGCCCAGGTGTGGGGGCTGCTGGGAATATCTGCTGCTGATGCTCCCAGGGGCGCCCCGGGATGGGAACTGCCCTGGGCCCCAGGGAGCTCCTTGCCCAAAGTCACACCCCATCCCACCGCCAGGGACTGCTACTGCTGTGGGATCACAAAGGCCCAGCCCCTTGTCTCCATTTGGGACTGCCCTGAAGGTCCCTCCCAGCACCAGAGCACCTATGGGATGGGCTGAGTCCTCAGCTGAGAGGCACTGCTGTCGGCTTCTCTCTCTGCCTGCTCCTGCCCTCCTCAGCTCCTCGCAGGTGGCTGTCCCGAGAGCCCTTCCCTACAAACCTGTCTGCACCGTCCATCCCAGAGCATCCAGGCAACTCAGCCCAAGATCCTGGCTCTTAGGGACTTACCTGTTCCTAAACCCATGGTAGGCTGGGTGAGTCCTCTTCTGCCAGGATCAGAGTCCTCGGGGAACAGGATTGCTGTTTCTGGCCCGAGACCCCTTCTTGAGGTCAGGACTGGGGGTGAGGCACTGACCAGCTTCTCAGTCTCAGCCTAGATCTCCGCCCCACCACCCCCTGGGCAGGGTTTGAGGAGCAGCAGGGTTAAGGGCTCCCCCAGATCTGAGCTGCCACACCTCAGCTTGCGGTGAGGAGTTTTCTGCAAGGAAACTTCTATCTCCCCAGGGGGGCAAGGTGGCACACCGGCTGGGGATTGGTGGTGTATTGGAACTGGTTCCCATAGCTGAAGATGGAAGGGAAGAAGGGGGCTGGTAAAGTAGGGAGAAGGAGCCTCAGATAGCCCAGAAATGAGGGGGTTCTGGACAGCCCAGGGTGGAAAATTTAGCTACCCTTGGAGTCAGGCCTCAGGGCAAAGGAGGGGTATGGTCTGGGATGTCGGGGGCGGTGTGTGGGGAGGGGGGACCTGCTGCTTTGGAAGGGGGCAGTGGGACTCCCGCTGTCATCGCAGAAAGGGATGAGGGTTTCCAGGGTGGCCAGGTATTCACATATTCAAGAACACAGGTCCATTTTTATATGAAATCGCTTCCCCTCTGAAGTCTGGAGACTAATTCAGAATTTAAAACCAAAGTCCTACGCTGACCAAACCATATGTCTGTATATTACTTTGGCCTCTGGGCCTGAAGAATTTGGAGTCCAGAACTTCACTGACAAGGTGGATGATTTCCGCCTGGAGGATGAGGGCCTGGGGCCTAGTGTCTCACCAGAGCCCTGGAAAGGGACAGGAACCACCAAGACCACAGGCCATGGCTGCAGGGCTGTGGGGCTCAGCACCCACTGACTGTGGCCTTTGTTCTGGGACATCCCTGTCTGCTGGGAAGGGGCCAAAGCCCTCACCTCTGGGACTGCAGATGGGTGGGCGACTGGCTGGGCTCTGTGTGCCTCTGGAGTCTGGCCCACTCCCCCAGGACCCCGTGGATGAGTGGGCAGCAGAGGGCCCCCCCCCACTCCACCTCCCACTTCCAAGGAATCTGACCTCAGCATTCTAGCTTCCACCTTCATAAGTCTTTTTTTTTTCTTTTTTTCTGAGATAGGGTCTCTGTCGCCCAGGCTGGAGCGCAGTGGCACGATCTCGGCTCTTTGCAACCTCTGCCTCCTGGGTTCAAGCAATTCTTGTGCCTCAGCCTCCCTAGTAGCTGGGATTACAGACACGCACCACCACACTCGGCTGAGTTTTGTATTTTTAGTGGAGATGGGGTTTCACCATGTTGGCCAGGCTGGTCTTGAACTCCTGACCTCAAGTGATCTGCCTGCCTCAGCCTCCCAAAGTGCTGGGATTACAGGCGTGAGCCACTGCGCCCAGCCAGGAGTCTTAAAGATTCCCTGCGGAAATGCCTTTGCAAGAGCAAAAAGAAGATTAAAGTCTTACCGTCCTTTGAATCCTTCTGGCTCTGGTGTTGGCATACATTGTCCCAGAGAAGGGGCTACCTTACGTCTCTATCGCTTTATATACGTAAACTCGTAAATCATTTTCATTTTATCAAAATGCAATAATCTTTATGCCTACCGCACATAACCTGTTTAATCACTTTGCATATCATGAATTCTTTTCCATGGTGATGAATCTGTTTCTGTCTTGCTTTTGACACCTACACGGCATCCCTTTCCATG
This sequence comes from Homo sapiens, assembly GCF_000001405.40. Taxonomy (NCBI): domain Eukaryota; kingdom Metazoa; phylum Chordata; class Mammalia; order Primates; family Hominidae; genus Homo; species Homo sapiens. The sequence goes on from NC_000019.10 coordinate 33,642,969, forward strand.
AATTTATCATAATTTATAGAACCGGTTCCTTGTTGGACATTTTGGGGGTTTTCGTTTTTGTTTTTCAATTTTAAAGCATGTTGACATGAACCTTCTTGCAGTATACCTTTGTGCCATCCCAGCATAAATTCCTAGAAGTGGAATAGTTGTCTCAAAGGGTATGCCCGTCTTTAAAACTTTTAGTACTTCCCAACAAATCACCTTCCAGAAAGACCAAGCGGTGCGTGAGCGGGCCTATTTTTTCTCATAATCACAACCGCACTGGGAATCTTTGTTTTTTATTTTTTAAATCTGTGTCAATTAGATAGGTTAAAGAGGGGCGTGATTATTGCCTTTTTAACATACATTTTATTTTTACCAAAGTCATGCATGTGCATAGCTTAAGAAGGCATAAATAATAAAAAAAAGGCTTTTAACAAATCTACCAGTTCTCTGCTCCCTCCCTCCCCAGCTCTCCTGAGCCCGTGTTCTGGAGGCAGCCACCTATGACTCTTCTAGCCATTTCCCCAGCAGGCACTGCAGTTCTGCCTCCATATTTCTAAATAACACACATATGCCGCAGGTGCGAAATGGCCAGCCAGTTGTACCAGCATCATTTATGGAACATTCACTCTTTGCTTGCTGATTTTTAAATGCCACCTTGACCATTTGCTTAATTCCTGTGTTAACTAGGGCCTCTTCTATACTCTTCTGTTCTAGCCTGACTCTTCTAGTCCCAGCACCCACGATTTTAATTATCGTAGCTTAGGAGCGCATTTCTAGTATCTTAGGAGGCAGATCCCCTCTATTATGATTCTTGTGTGATATCACATTTTTATTATTTTGGATGTAGGGCGTCACATTTCAAATAATATCTAGCGAAGATTAGTGTTAGGATAGTGTTTCACTTACACATAAATTTAGGATAAGTTTACTATTTATCCTTACAAATAAGGATACATTGACTCCTTTACTTTATTTATTTATTAATTTTTTATTTTTTGAAACGGAGTCTCGCTCTGTCACCCAGGCTGGAGTGCAGTGGCTCGATCTCAGCCCACTGCAACCTCCACCTCCTGGGTTCAAGCCATTCTCCTGTCTCAGCTTCCCGAGTAGCTGGGACTACAGGCACCTGCCACCACACCTGGCTAATTTTTGCATTTTTGGTAGAGATGCGGTTTCACCATGTTGGCCAGGCTAGTCTCGAACTCCTGACTTCAGGTGATCCACCCACCTCAGCCTCCCAAAGTGCTGGGATTACAGGCATGAGCCAGTGTTCCCAGATTTACTGTATTTATTATTATTATACTGGGTCTTCTGAGCTGATCCATGTACTCAACAAATATTTATGGAGAACAAAGTGTGTGCTGGGTGCATGTCAGGTACTGTTCTAGGCACTGGGGGATACAGCAGGACGTGAAGCAGAGGTGAATCCCAGCCCCCATGGAGTCAGTGTTCTGGTAAGGGCAGCAGACAGTGAACACTAATATACTTAAGTATATGATGGCCGGGTGTGGTGGCTCATGCCTGTAATTCCAGCACTTTGGGAAGCCGAAGCGGGAGGATCCCTCGAGGCCAGGAGTTTGAGACAAGCCTGGGCAACATAGCAAGACTCCGTCTCTAAAAAAAAAAATTTTTTTTTAATTAGCCAGGCATGGTGGTGTGCACTTGTAGTCCCAGCAACTTGAGAGTCTGAGGCGGGAGGATCAGTCGATTCCAGGAGGTGGAGGCTGCAGTGAGCCATGACTGTGCCACTGCACTCTAGCCTGGGCAACGGAGCAAGACCCTGTCTCTAAAAAAATAAAAAATAAATGAATTATGTAGTGTTAGAATGTGGCACTTGCTTTAAAAAGCCAAGTAGGCTAAGAGGGATTGGAAGTGTGGGGTTAGGGAGGAAGGGAAGGGTCAAGGTGGGCCTCCCTGAGAAGGTGAGATGAGATTAGAGGTTGGGAAGATGTGGACCATACAGATGGTCTAGGCCAGTGGTTCTCAGCCTGGGCGATTGTATTCCCAGGGGAATTTGGCAACAGCTGGAGACATTTTTGATGGTCATGACTCAAGGATGCTCCTGGCATCTGGTGGCTACAGCCCAGGGACACTGCTAAACACTCTACAGTCTATAGGACAGCCCCCATGACAGAGGACCATCTGACCCCAAATGTCCGTAGTGTGGAGGTTGAGAAATTCTGACCTGGGTGAAGATGAGTGTGGGCAGAGAGGGCACCCAGTGAAAGGAACGGCGAGGAAGTCAGGAGTTGGGGGACAGGGCCCGCTGGAGATGAGGCCGTGTGGGGGCGGGGGACAGAGATGTGGGCCCTGCAGAACAGAGTACAGAGTAGGAAATTCGACTTTACTCTGTGTGCGTGGGGAGCAATGGCAGGGTTTTGAACAGAGAAGTGCAATGATTGAAATTATATTTTAAAACAGGTTCCCTGTTGCTGCCATGGTAAGGGGCAAAGAGGCCTGGCAGTGGGAGAGGATGATCCAGCCAAGATGCTGGCAGTGGACGTGAGCAGATGGGTTGATTCTAGATATATTTGAAGGCAGAGCCAACAAGATTTCCTGATGGGTTAGATGGGGTGTGAGGAAGAGATAGCTTTTGGTCTGAGCGGCTAGAAGGATGGAGTGACCCACAGCTGAGGTGGGAAAGAGTGGGTGGAACAGCTGTTGGAGGGGCTTAGGCTAAACATTCGGTGAAGGACATACAGGATTTAGGATGTCCAGTACACATGCAATGGCAGATGTTGAATATTTGGTTGGATATACAAGTTTGGAGTTATGGAGAGAGGTTAGAGCTGGAGATGTTATACCCCAATGGGTTCTTCTTATTGGCTGCCCAGAAAAGCCAATACACAGAGAAGAGCAGGAGTATTACAGCAGAAAAAGAGTTTAGTGAGGGCCAGGTGTGGTGGCTCATGCCTCTAATCTCAGCACTTTGGGAGGCCATGGTGGGTGAATTGCTTGAGGCCAGGAGTTCAAGACTAGCCTGGGCAACATGGCGATACCCCATCTCTACAGAAAATACAAAAAATTAGCTGGGCATGCTGGTACATGCCTGTGGTCTCAGCTACTCAGGAGGCTGAGGTGGGAGGATTGCTGGAGCCCAGGAGTTTGAGGCTGCAGTGAACTGAGATGGCATCATGGCACTCCAGCCTGGGAGACAGAGTAAGACTCTGTCTCAAAAAAAAACAAAAGTTTAATAATTGCAAGGCAATCCTGGCAGTAGTTGGGAGATAAATTCTTAACCTGCCTTCCTAAAAATTTGGAGGCTAGAGTCTTTCAAGGATAGTTTGGTGGACAGGGTACTAGGGAATGGGGAATGCTGGCCGGCTGTGTTAGGGATGAAATTATAGGGGGTAGAAGTTATAGCTTCTTCATTTATTGTGCTATGACAGTTTCCGGGTGGGGGTCACAAGATCATTTGAGCCAGTTTCTTGGTATGGGTTACTGGTTCAGGTGGCACCAGCTGGTCCATGGGAAAGCAAGGTCTGAAAGATACCTCAAACACTAGTCGTAGGTTTTACAATAGTGATGTTATCTACAGGAGCAGTTGGGGATGGTGTAAAATCTTTTGACCTTGTGGCTAATTTGTTAGTTTCACAAAGGTGGCTTTAGTCCCTGAGCAAGGAGGGGGTTAGTTTCAGGAAGGGACTATTGTCATCTTTGTTTTCAAGTTGAACTATGGGCCAGGCACAGTGGCTCACGCCTGTTATCCCAGCACTTTGTGAGGCTGAGGCCGGCAGATCAGTTGAGGCCAGGAGTTTGAGGCCAGCCTGGCCAACATGGTGAACTCCTGTCTCTACTCAAAATACAAAAATTAGCCAGACATGGTGGCGTACACCTGTTTGTCCCAGGTACTTGGGAGGCTGAGGCAGGAGAATTGCTTGAACCTGGGAGGCGGGGGTTGCATTGAGCCAAGATCGCTCCCTTGCACTCCAGCCTGGGTGACAGAGTGAGACTCTGTCTCAAAATAACTAAATAAAAATAAATAAAATAAAGTTAAGCTATGAGCTAAATTCCTCCCACAGTTAGCTTGGCCTATGCCCAGGAATGAACAAAGACAGCTTGTGAGGTTAGGAGCAAAATGGAGTCAGCTATCAGATTTCTCTCGCAGTCGTATTACAAAGGTGCAAAGGTGGTTTCAGAGATAATACATTTGGGAGTCATCAACATATAGATAGTTTCTAAAGCCTGAAGACTGATCGAGGTCAGCGAGGGAGTGCAAATAGAGACACAAAGAGGACCAATAACTGAGAGCGGGAATATTCCAACGCGAAGACTCCAGGGAGATGAGGAAGACCCAAAGCAAGGCAAGAAGGGACCAGTGAGACAGGAAGAAAGCAGGAGACTATCACGTCCTGGGAGCCAAGTGAGGAAAGTGCACCACAGAGGAATGCATGGTCCCTTTTGCCCAATGCTGGTGGCAGGCCAGGTGGGTGAGGACCAAGGGCTGATCAGTGGGTTCTGCAATGTGCTCCAGGCAAGAATGGCTTTGGTGGAACAAAGGTCTGATTTTGGTGAGTATATGATAGAATGGGAAGAGAGACACTGGAGATTGTGAATAGGGATAACTCAAGGTGTTTTGCTGCAAATGAGGGCAAAGAAATGGGGAGATAGGCTTGGTGCGGTGACTCACGCTTATAATCCTAGCACTTTGGGAGGCGGAGGCGGGTGGATCGCTTGAGGACAGGAGTTCGAGACCAGCCTGGCCAACATGATGAAACCCTGTCTCTACTAAAAATACAAAAATTAGCCAGGCATGGTGGCGTGCACCTGTAATCCCAGCTACTAGGGAGGCTGAGGCAGGAGAATCACTTGAACCCGGGAGGCGGAGGTTGCAGTGAGCCGAGATCATGCCACTGCATTCCAGCCTGGGCAACAGAGTGATGCTCCGTTTCAAAATAAATAAATAAATAAAATAAAATAAAAAAGAAATGAGAAGATAGCTGCTGAGGGAAGAGGGGTTGAAAGGTTTTTGTTTTGGGGGTTTTTATTTTTTTTTTTAGGATTGGAGAAATCACAGTATATCTGTATGCTGATGAGACTGATAGAATAGAATGTGAAAAACAGGTAGTTCAGAGGGGAGAACTGTTTGAGCCCAGTCCTTGAGAAGCTTAGAGTATTGGAGCTGGTGGATGTGGGGGATTGGCCATAGGTAGAAGCACAGACAATTCTCCTAGGGTCAAAGCCGGGAGGGCAGAACAGTGGATGCAAATATGGTCACTAGGGTCTGGAAGTCCTCTCTCTCTCTCTCCTCTGTGTTTCTCTCTCTGTTAACAGCTTTATTGAGACATAATCACATACCTCACCATTCACCCACCTGAAGTGTGCAATTCCATGGTTTTCAGTATGTTCCCAGTGTTGTGCGCCCATCGCCACAGTCAATTCCACAACATTTTCATCACTCCAGAAAGAAACCCTGTGCTATTCACAGTCACTCCCCTTCCTTCCTGCCCAGTCCTAGGCAAACACTAATCTGTTTTCTGTCTCTATACATTTGCCTATTCTGGACATTTCATGTCAATTGAATCCTACAATGCGTGGTCTTTTTTTCCGCTTAGCATAATAATGGTTTCAGGGTTCAGCCATGTTGTATTAAAAGTACTCCCATCTCTAAAAAATAAAAAATTAAAAAAATTAAAGTTGACTGGGCGTGGTGGCTCATGCCTATAATCCCAGCACTCTTGGAAAACGGTCTAGCAATTCCTCAAGAGGTTAAGCATAGATTTACCAAATGGCCCAGCAATTCCACTCCTGGGTGTATACCCAAGAGAAATGAAAATATATGTCCCCAAAGACTTTGTACACGAATGTGTACACAGCAGCTTTATTAATAATCGCCAAAAGGTAGAAACAACCCAAATATCCATCAATAGATGAATGGATAAAATATAATAATAAATGTGTATATCTGTACAATGCAATATTATTCAGGCGTAAAAAGGAATGAAGCACTTTTTTTTTTTTTTTTTTTGAGTTGGAGTCTCGCTTTGTCATCCAGGCTGGAGTGCAGTGGGGCGATCTCGGCTCACTGCAAGCTCCACCCCCCAGGTTCACACCATTCTCCTGCCTCAGCCACCCGAGTAGCTGGGACTACAGGCGCCCGCAACTAAGCCCGGCTAATTTTTGTATTTTTATTAGAGACAGGGTTTCACTATGTTGGCCAGGCTGGTCTCAAACTTCTGAGCTCAATTGATCTGCCCACCTCAGCCTCCCAAAGTGCTGGGATTACAGACAGGAGCCACTGTGCCCGGCCTGTCTATCCTTCTGATCACAGCCATCCTAGTGTTTGTGTGCTAGTATTTCACTGTGGTTTGGGTTTGCATTTCCCCAATGAGTAATGATGTATCTCATTGGGGATGCATCTTTTCACATGCTTATTTGCTACTTGGATGTCTTTGGAGATGTCAGCTGAAAAAACACATGATTTATAGACTTAGAAAGGAGAACTTTATTTCTTAAGAAGGGGTTCACAACCTACAGGCCGGAAGCGCAGCCTCCACCTGAAAACCGAAAGCAAGCACTTCGAGGGAGGGCAGGGTGGAACAGGAATTTATGCTGAACGGGCTGGCCAAATACGCATATTCAGCAAGTTACAGGAAGAACTATGAACATTCATGAGGGGGGTCTGGACGCATACATACTGAACAAACATGCACGTTACATGCGTCCCATGTTTACCTTGTTTACCTTAGGTAGCAGACTTTGCATATAAATGCATTACAGTTAAACCCTACATGTCAAAAGGACATGAAGGTATTCAGTGCACAGCAGCCTCTGTAAACCGGCCAGAACCAGGCCATGGTGGGTAGTCTCTTATTAGGAGAAAGTTACTGAAATCAGTCTCTTGTCCAATCAAAGCTGCAGTTATGGCTGGTAAATCAGAGGGGTAGGGGGTCAGTTAGTGCCTGGCGGTGGGTAAGCTGCAATTGTTTCAGTATTGTTTATCTCCAAACCAGTGCTTGTTTAGCTGCTAGAGAAAAAGAAACTCCTGTGGCAGTTAGAGCATAGTTTACTTTTATAAATAGTAGTATAAAAAGTGTAGGGGTGTGTGACTTTATCCTTGCCTGGCATGGCCTTAGGTAATGTTTATAACTTGGTGTCTTACTGCCACAAAGAGTCTGTTCTGTGAGTCTTATGATCTCTGTGTTAATGTTCATGCTGGTCAGTTGTTGTGTCTAAACCACAAAAGGGATGGGAGTCCTGCTGTAGTCACTCTTAGGAGAGGAAGTCTAACGGTGGTTAGCAAGGGAGAGGTGTGTGTCCAACCTCCCGTCCCAGCATGGCCAGGAACCCAGTTTTTAAGATTTCTCTGGGTTCCTCTTGGCCAAGAGGGGGACTGTTTATTCAGTTGGGGGACTTAGGATTTTCTTTTTAGTTCTCAGAGACTATCTATTCAGATCCTTTGCCCATAAATTAATTGAGTTGTGAGACTATCTATTCAGATCCTTTGCCCATAAATTAATTGAGTTGTTAAATTTTTTAAATTATCAAGTTGGAAGGATTTTTTTAATCTATTCTGGATACAAGTTTCTTTTTTTTCTTTTCTTTTTCTTTTTCTTTTTCTTTTCTTTTTTTTTTTTTTTTTTTTTTTTTTTTTGAGACATAGTCTCTCACTCTGTCGTCCAGGCTGGAGTATAGTGGTGTGACCTTGGCTCACTGGTACTTTCTCCTCCCAGGTTCAAACCATTCTCGTGCCTCAGCCTCCCAAGTAGCTGGGATTACAGGCACCCGCCACCACACCTGGTTAATTTTTTTGCTTTTGTTTTTGTTTTATCTTGAGACAGTCTTGCTCTGTCACCCAGGCTGGAGTTCAGTAGTGTGATTTTGGCTCACTGCAAACCTTCGCCTCCCGGGTTCAAGCGATTCTCCTGCCTCAGCCTCCCAAGTAGCTGGGACTACAGGCATGTGCCACCATGCATGGCTAATTTTTGTATTTTTAGTAGAGATGGGGGTTTCACCAGGCTGGTCTTGAACTCCTGACCTGAGGTAATCTGCCCACCTCAACCTCCCAAAGTGCTGGGATTACAGACATGAGCTGCCACACCTGGCCACAAGTTTCATATTAAATATATGATTTGCAAATTTTATCTTGTTCTGTGGGTTGCCATATTTTCTTGATGGTATCATTTGCAGTACAAAAGTTTTCAATTTTGATAAAATCCAATTTCTCTTATTTTTATTTGTATTGCTTATGCTTTTGGTATTGTGTCTAAGAAAGTCTAAACCCACCTAAGGTCATGAAGATTTTCTCCTTTCTGTTTTCTACTGATTTATGCTTTCTATTTAATTTTCATTTCTAGGTGAATTGGCAAGTATTTTCCGGACAATGTTAAATAACAGTGGGCTTCTCTTGTTCTATTCCTGACTTTAATATTTCACCATTAATCATGATTGTATCTATGGGATGAGATCTTTTAAACTTAAAAAAAAGCGTCCTATATTACTAGTGTTTATAAATAATTAAGGACTCTTTTACCCCCAAATGTATTTAATCTATAGACATAAATGTGTTTTTTTCTCTTTTGATCTATTTATGCAGCAAACCATGTTAATATTTATAATATGGCTAATATTGAGCCATTCTGTAATGCATTTCTGAATTAAATCTTAATTTGTTGGTGTACATAATTATTTCATCATATTGCTTGTTCAATAGCCAATAGGTTTTATCATTTCCTTGTGATTCTTTGACTCATGAATTATTTGGATGCAAACACTTCAAGAGCATTTTTTTCTCTTCTGTTTTTGAAAAAACAAGTTTCTAATTTTATTGCATTGTGGTGCAATGTGATAAAATTGCAGAGATTGTGGTGTGCATGCTATTGATTATTTAATTTTAGTGGAGAATTCCTTTGTGTCCTGGTTAGTATATGATCATTTTTCTGTCCCATTATGTTGGAAATAATATGTCTCCTCTAATAGTTGCGTTCAGAAGTCTATATAGATCGGTACCTATATACATTCTTTAACTCAGTCTTGTATATTGTTTGTATCTTCTATATTCTTAATTTTTTTTGGCTGCTTAATTTATCAACATCAGAGTGAGATGTGTTAAGATCTCTCAATATGGTTATGAATTTGTTCATTTTCTTTGTAATCTTACCAACTTTGACTATATTTTTTTGTAAAGCAATGTTATTAGGTGCATATAGGTTCAAGATGATTATGCCTTCCTAGTGAATTATTTCCTTTTTCTTTGTGTAATAACTCTTTTAAATCCCATCAATGCTTTTTTTTGGCCTTACATTCTATTTTACCATATATTAATATTACAAAACAACTCTGTCTTTGTTATTTTGTCTTTGGTATGTTGCTTCACTTTCAACATTTCTGTGTCATCATGTTTTGAAAGTGTCCCTCTAGTAAGTTTAGTTGGTTTTCTTTTTTTTTGTGGTTACTGGTTTATTTATATTTTCTCTCTCTTTTTTTTTTTTTTTTTTTTTGAGACAGCTTCTTGCTCTGTCATCCAGGCTGGAGTGTAGTGGCGCAATCTCAGCTCTCTGCAACCTCTGCCTCCTGGGTTCAAGCAATTATCCTGCTTCAGCTTCCTGAGTAGCTGGGACTACAGGCGCCCAGCAACACGCCCGGCTAATTCTTGTATCTTTATTAGAGATGAGTTTTCACCATGTTGGCCAGGCTGGTCTCGAACTTCTGACCTCAGGGGATCCGCCCACCTCAGCTTCCCAAAGTGCTGGGATTACAGGCATGAGCCACTGAGCCCGGACTATATTTTTTCTTTTTTCTGTTTTATTTTGTGTTTCCTACTTAACTTGCTTTTTCATTGTTTCTTTTTAAAATCTATCCTGCTTTCTAAAGGATTGATTGTATGTACTTTACTCTTGTTTTAGTCCGTCTGCTGGTTTGGAAGTTACACATTCTATTTTTTATTCTCCCAGTGTTTACCTTTATGTTGCTAATATACGCACTTGGTTTAACCCAATATGATTTAAATAAAAATGTCTACTTTCCTCCAAAACAACATAATGATCTTGGAACACTTTAATTCTGATCATACTCCCATCCTATATCTTTTGTTGTCTAATTATAGTACCATATTATTTATAAACTCCCCAATTTTAAAAAATCATTATTACTGTTGATTATTTCAACTTACAGCTGTTTACCAGTTTCTTTTCTCACTCTTGCTTATTGCATTCTACTCTTTTTTGTGTGTGTGAGAGTTCTGTTTTCAACTGCCTCACATAACCCCTTAGTAGTTCTTTCAGGGAAGGCCTATGTAAACTCTCTTGGACATTGTTCATTTAAATATTATTTTTCCCTGCATAGTTGAGCTGGGTGTAGAATTCTGGGATGATAGTTATTTTCCTTTAGCTCTCTGAAGCCTTATTCATTGTTTTTGGGTCCCCTCTGCTCCTCAAAGAAGATGAGAGTTAGTGTGTCAGTGCTTTGTGTATAATGTCTTTCTCTCTGGTTATTTTTGTGACTTTTCTCTGTTTCATATTTTTCAGCTTCACTGAGTTAACTGTAGGTGTATAGTTTTATTTTTCCTACTTGGAAGTTGAGGCACTTATTCACTCTTAGGACTCATGGCTTTCTTAAGTTCTGCAAATTTTTTCAGTCATCATCTCTTCAAATAGTTCCTTGACCCTGTTCTCAATATTAGCCTTTGAAATGCAAGTCACATGTATGAAGGACAGTAAAGCACGGTGGTTAAGAACACGGACTCTGGAGATAGTTTCTTGGATCTGACTTCTACTCCAACACTTAATAGCTGGGGAAAATTACTTAAACTCAGTTCCTCAGTTTACTCATCTATATAATGGAGGTAATAATATTACCAAACTCTTAGGTTGTTGTGAGAATCAAATAAGTTGATGTATATAAGGTGTTTAAAATGGATACTGGCACATGGTCAGCTCTACGTAAACCTTGGTGATTAATGTTCTCTTGAGTGCCCTAGAGACTCTGTACTGACACTGACACAGTTGCCCAGAAGTCATTAGTGTAAGTGATCCGGAAGGACCCTGCCTTTGTTTTAGTCCCTGGGGATGCATTTTGGCCAGAGTCTATGATTATCAGTTTTATTTTGGACCCTCTCATTCTATTCTCTTCCTTGGAATTCAGATTCATGTTTTTCCATGTTTGCATTCTGGGTGATTATGTTAGATTCACCCCTGGATCACCTTGTCTCCTAGTTTACTAATCTGTTCTGAAATCCTAGCAATGAGTTTTTAATTTTAATCACTATATTTTTCATCTCTTGGAATTCTACGGAGAGTGTTGAAATCTACATGCTTGTTTCCTGTAGTTTCCTGTTCTTTCATGCCTGTTTTATTATTTTACTCATTTTATAATTTAAAATATAAATGTTAGCATAAACAATAGATAGATTAGCATAAATCAGGTTTCTCCCTCATCTTGGATTCTAGTCTTTCTGCTTGTTTATCAGCTTGTTTTTCCTCATGGCGAATCATTTCCTTTGGTAGATTATAATTTCTGTGCAATATTCTAGGGAAGCAAAAATTATCCAAACTAATTTAAGACTGTTGACTTTTAAACATTGGTAGCCCTGTGCTTCCTAGGTTGTGGAGATGTTGCTTCAGAACATTTCAAAAATTGTTTCTGCTGGGAGCCTCCATGGGTTCATCAGTTTGGGACTTATTTTTCCTACTATTTCTAGCTCCATATTGGTCATGTAAATTTGAACTCCACAGCCATGGTTCAGGCTTGGGATTCTTTTCATTCTGGGAGGCTTCCCCCTGCCTCCCAGAATGAAAATATAAAAATATTTTCTTTTAGACAGGGTTTGAGTTTTCTAGGCTTCCATTTCACTGAGCCCTTCTAGAGCCCTAGCTTTGTGCAGTAACTCAGTTCTAGTTCCTCATCTTATGAGGGCCCTGACTGAATCTCCTGTGGGCACCAATGCCCCAGGCCCTGACCTGTAGGGTCTGCCATCTGTGTTCAGGACTTCTGGGGCACCTGCTGACAGTTCATTGTTCCAGCTCATGCCTGAGGATTTCCTTTTCTTTCCTGAAGTTTAGCTTTGTATCTAATGATTTTTATCTGGTCAGACATGGTAGGTCAAGCCTGTAATCCCAGTGCTTCTTGAGGCTGAGGTGGGAGGATCACTTGAGCCCAGGAGTCTGACAGGGTCTGGCTCTGTTGCCCAGGCTAGAATGCAGTGGTGTGATCTCAGCTCACTGCAGCCTCCGCCTCCCGGGTACAAGCAATTCTCATGCCTCAGCCTCCTGAGTAGCTAAGACTACAGGTGCTTGTCACCATGCCTGGCTAATTTTTGCATTTTTTGTAGAGACAGGGTTTTGCCATGTTGACCAGGCTGGTCTCGAACTCCTAATCTCAAGAGATCTGCCCGCCTCAGCCTCCGAAAGTGCTAGGATTACAGGCATGAGCCACCGCGCCCAGCCTTCCATGTCCTTTTATTTAGGATTTTTGCATCTATAGTGACAAGCAAGATTTAGTCTGTGATTTTATTTTTGTTTCATCTTTGGCAGATTTTGGTACCAGGGTTATGTGTTATTCATAAAATTAATTAGGAAGTTTTTCTCTTTTCTTCATCCTCTGGAACATTTTAAATAGCATAGAAAATGTCTGTTCCTTGAAGGTTTGAAACTGCCTGAGGACAGTGCCTTTGGGGGTGGGGAGGACTGTTTTCCACATATATTTTCCATTCAGCTTCTCTACTTCTTAAATCAGTTTGTATCACTTTGCTTCCCTAGACTATCATACATTTAATCAAGATTTTAAAATTTACTAGCAGAGAATTCTATGTGGTATTCTTATATTTTTATAAATTTTTTTTGCATCTCTACTTATCTCTCTTTCTTATTAATGTTGTTTTTTTTCTCTTTTCTTGGTTAGACTTTACCAGAGATTTGTTGATTTCATTGGCCTTTTCTAAGAAGCAGCTGTCAAATTTATTTATTCATCCTGCTGTTCAACTCTTTTAAAAATCAGGACTTCCTCCTATTTAATGACTTGTTAAGGCTTATTTTCTTGTTCTTTTTCTAATTTTTTAAGTTGAACATCTGTCCAGGTCATGTATTATCTTTCTTCTTTACGAATAAAACATTTAAACTGATGACGCTTCCTCTGAGTACAGTTCTGGCCACATTCCGTAAGTTTTGGTATGCATAAATTGTCATTAGCATAATTTTTTGTAGTCTAAAATTGCTCATTTTATTTCCTCCTTGATGCAAGAGAGGTATTCAGGAGGGTACTTTAAAGCTTTTTATTTTTTCTTTTGTTATTAATTTCTAGTTAGATAGTAATGTATCCCATACATTTTTTAAAAATTACCATATTTTTATAAAATCTAAAATGCTGTTGATTGTAATGGACTCCAATTATTTTTTATACCACTAAAGAAGGGAAAAAGAAAAAACCCATTGCTTATTAAACTGTAACATCCCATCAGTTATAAGAAGCATTCTGGTTTCAGAGATGATGTGAAAAAATAAAGTACATCTTAGAATGTGTGAAATAGGGAGATTATTTGTCCATCAGTGTGAGAGCATTGTGGTCAGAGAATGTGATCTGTATTGTAATAGTTCCCTGAAATACATTGTAACCTGGTATTTGATATGTGGTCAGCTTCATTTTTTTGGTTTTTGTTTTGTTTTTTGAGACAGGGCTTTGCTCTGTCACCCAGGCTGGAATGCAGTGGTGCAATTATGGCTCACTGCAGCCTTGAAATCCAGGGCTCAGGCGATCCTCCCACCTCAGCCTCCCAAAATAGCTGGGACCACAGGCGCACACCACCACACCGGGCTAATTTTAAAAATATTTCTGTAGTGACAGCATCTCCCTGTGTTGCTCAGGCTAGTCTCGAACTCCTGGGCTCAAGTGACCCTCCTGCCTTGACCTCCCAAAGTGCTGGGATTACAGACATGTGTGGTTAGTTTTTATAAATGTTTTATAGGTGTGTGAAACAACGTTTATCTATTTATAATGTATCATTATTTATCATTTATAATGTATCTTCTATATTTGCTAGTTACAGGAATATGTATATTTCTATGCATTCTATATGTTATATATGCATATCACACACAGGCCTATGTAAAATCAGTGTTGAAATTGTGCTTTTCAGGTCTCATTGCTTGGTTTTCCATTACTGCGCTGAGACCTGTTAAAACCTTCCATTTTGATGGTGGATTTGTTAATTTTCCTTGTGATTGCCACTTTTTGCTTTATTACACACACACACACACACACACACACACACAAACACACATATACTTATACACACATACACATACACACATACATATACATACACAAACACACACGCATATACACATACACACACATATATATATACACACATACACACACACACTTTTTTTTTTTTTTTTGAGATGGACTCTTGCTCTGTTGCCCAGGCTGGAGTGCAGTAGCACGATCTCAGCTCACTGCAACCTCCACCTCCCAGGTTCAAGCAATTCTCCTGCCTTAGCCTCCCAAGTAGCTGGGATTACAGGCACACACCACCACGCCTGCCTAATTTTTGTGTTTTTAGTAGAGATGGGGGGGTTTCGTTATGTTGACCAGGCTGGTCTCGAACTCCTGACCTTAAGCAATTCGCCCACCTCAGCCTCCCAAAATGTTGGGATTACAGGCATAAGCCACCACACCTGGCCACACACTTATTTTTAAGGGACAAAGTCTTGCTCTGTTGCTCAGGCTGGAATGTAGTGGTGCAATCATAGCTCACTGCATCCTCATCCTCCTAGCTCAAGGGATCCTCTCACAGCAGCCTCTCAAATAGCTGGGAATACAGGCACACACCACCATACTCAACTAATATTTTAATTATTTTCGCAGAGACATGGTCTCACTATATTGCCCAGGCTGGTCTCAAACTCCTGGGCTCAAGCAATCCTCCCACCTTTGCCTCCCAAAGCACTGGGATTACAGGCATGAGCCATTGTGCCCAGCCAACATACATACTTAACTATAAATTTTTTAGCAAGTCTAAAGTTATTATCTCTGTTATCCTCCAAAACAAGCAAGGACCTTTGCATACCAGAACTGTACACTGAGCATTCTCTCTTGTCTTCCTTATTGTTATAACTGAGAATTTTTCCCACCTTAATACAAAAAAGTATCATTAATATTTACAGTAGGGCTGGGTGTGGTGGCTCACGTCTGTAATCTCAGCACTTTGGGAGGCTAAGATGGGTGGATCACCTGAGGTCAGGAGTTCGAGACCAGCCTGGCCAACATGGTAAAAGCCTGTCTCTACCACAAATCCAAAAAGTAGCTAGGTGTGGTGCTGTGCACCTGTGATCCCAGCTACTTGGAAAGCTGAGGCAGGAGAATTACTTGAACTCGGGAGGCGGAGATTGCAGTGAGCCAAGATCACACCACTGCACTCCAGCCTGGGTGACAGAGTGAAACTCCGTCCCAAAAAAACCCATATTTACAGTAGATAGTTAATTAAATTTACTTATAAATTATACCAATGTTCATGTATTTTAAATCTCACTCCTTCTCTGTGAGTTCATTTTTCTTCTTGCCAAAATGTATCCTTTAAAATTCAATTTCAGGGCAAGCCCTCTTAGTTTTGGATGTCTGAAAATGTCTTTATTTTGCCCTCATTCCTGAATAATTGAGTAGGATGACCTTTACTTTCCCGTAGCACTTTATAAAAATATTATATTACTACATTGTTTCCTGGGCATCTCTTGATGCCAGAATGTTTACAGCTGTTCTAACTGTTGGTAAGTCTCTTTTCTTCCTGTAAACTTTGAGGTTTTTCTCTTTGTTTTGATATTCTGGAGTTTTACCAAGATTACGAATTTATTTTTACTGTTTAGCAGTTTGTGTACATTTTTCTGGAACATTCTCAGCCATTATCCTCTCAGTTTATTACTTTTTCTACCAGAACCCTGTTCTCTTCTTTTAGGACTCCATATTAGATGAATGGGGTGCTTTTTAACAATTGCGTCAGATTCCAGAGTGTGGATTTATTCATTTAAACATTTATTATTTTTAATAGTTTGTTTGACTATTCTTCTTCTAATGGAAATTTATACTTTTCTACTAAAAACAATGCTATAGCCAATGATTTTATTTCTCTCTTTTTGCTAGATTCTATTTTTATTGTTTCATGGTTAGGTAATGACTTTTTTTTTTTTTTTTTTTTTTTGAGATGGCGTCTTGCTCCTGTTGCCCAGGCTGGAGTGCAGTGGCACAATCTCGGCTCACTGTAGCCTCCGCCTCCCGGGTTCAAGCGATTCTCCTGCCTCAGCCTCCCGAGTAGCTGGGATTACAGGCAAGCGCCACCACACCCGGCTAATTTTGTATTTTTGGTAGAGATGGGGTTTCACCATGTTGGCCAGGCTGATTTCGAACTCCTAACCTCAGGTGATCCACCTTCCTTAGCCTCCCAAAGTGCTGGGATTACAGGTGTGAGCCACCCCAACCAGCCAGGTAATGACTTCTATTGAGATTTTTTTCCTGTAGTCCAATATAAGCCCATTTTGCTAAATAATCTGTAAGTAAACTATATTCTGTTTGCTGAGCACAAAAATGTGAGAGGGAGTGCCAGATTTTGTCTGTTGAATCCTTAATAATCTCAATTTTGTTTGCACAATTTGTTCATTTAAAAAGTGTTCAGGCCAGGCACAGTGGCTCACACCTGTAATCCCTTTGGGAGGCCGAGGTGGGAGGCCTGCTTGAGCCCAGGAGTTGGAGAGATCTTGTCTCTACAAAAAAATTAAAAAAATAACCAGGAAAGGTGGCTTGTGCCTGAAATCCCAGCTACTCAAGAGGCTGAGGTGGGAGGATCACCTGAGCCCAGGGAGGTGGAGGCTGCAGTGAGCTGTGATCGCACCCCTGCACTCCAGCCTGGGTGACAGAGCAAGACCCTGTTTAAAAAAAAAATAAAAATAAAGAGTGTTAAAAACTTTATGTGTCGAGATTTATCAAGTCCCCTTCTTTTGCCCTAATCATTTGTTTTGTAGACTTGGAAGCTATGTTGTGAGACGTACAGGTTTCTGTTCATGGCAGTCACTCCACGGGGCTGATCCCTGGAATCCTCCTGAAGCTTTTGGGGACCTCACAACTGGGCCCTGGGCTCCACCAGGCTTCCTGGCCCCTGAGGGGCTGCCCAGCCTTCCTCACAGGCTGTCTGTGGTGGCCTGCAGGGCTCCTTGCTGTGTCTGACCA
This sequence comes from Homo sapiens, assembly GCF_000001405.40. NCBI lineage: Eukaryota > Metazoa > Chordata > Mammalia > Primates > Hominidae > Homo > Homo sapiens. The sequence goes on from NC_000019.10 coordinate 33,660,105, forward strand.
GCCTTCCTCTGTGGATACGGGCCCCACCCCTCACCCCATTTTTATATCTTTTTGCTCTTTTTGGTGGAAATTTGGGAGGGAGAGCGATTCAATCAATGATGCTAGTTGCCATTTGTACCATCTCTTAGATCCTCTCTACAGCTGCTTTTTAAGGCATGGAAGTTCTTTTCCTGACTCCTCAGCTTAACTTCCTTCCTTAGCTCCAGCCTCACGCTTACTGGAGGTGAATGTTGTCCATTCCTGCGCCGCTCTTGGAAGGAAAGAATGTTTCCAGCCCCCTTGATGCCGTTCGTGGTGGGGGCAGAGAGCTGGTGGTGCTCATGAGGTAGGAGATGGGCAGGACTCGTTTCTGGTCACAACCTTGCTGACCAAAACAAGATCTGGTCCAGACAAGATGAAGTGAAGAAACTGGTGGAAACCAGCAGATGGTGATGAAAGCAGTCCCGGGCTGCCCTCATTGCCCATTAGCATAAAACACACTTGCCAGCGCCATGACAGTTTACAAATGCCACGGCAATGACCCGGAAGTTGCCGCCCCTTTCACATCAGCAACCCGGAGTTTACTGCCCCTTTCCTGCAAAGCTCTAAATAACCCACCCCTTGATTTGCATTAACCTGCCTCCTTTCAATTTCAGTTTGCATGCAATTGAAAGTGGGTATAAATGCATATAAATACGGTTGTCAACAGCCAGTGCCTTGGGTGCACTGCCTGTGAGTTAGCCCTGCTTCACAAGGAGCAGTACTGTTCAATAAGATTGCTGTCTAACACCATCTGTTTACCTTTAAATTCTTTTCAAGGGTGTGTGAAGCCAAAGACCCTCCCAGGCTAGGCCCCAGTTTTGGGGCCCACCTGTCCTGCATCACTAGTAGCCTGGCCTGTGTGTTTGGTGGCCTGGGGTTGGAGATTGGGTTCTGGAGGGAGACTTCTTATGCCCCCTCTTGTCTGCGAGGCACGGGGACTTGGTGCACTGACCGGCTTGTTGACATGCCCAGCACTGGGTTGGGTTGAGCCCAGGAGTTCAGAAGACCCTGTCTCTACAAAAATAAAATAAAATAAATGAGCTGGGTGTGGTGGTGTGCACCTGTAATCTCACTTTCCAAAGTGACCTGTGGACAAGGGATCCCCTTTCCTGGGAAGAAGGAGAGCAGGTTACGGATGCTCAGATGTTTGTGTGCATTGAGATTGGACTTGGCAACACCTGCACCTTGGAATATTCTGGGCAGTTAAACATCACTATGTTATCATTCAGTTCTCACAACAAAGCCCTGAACTGAGGTTGAGCTCATGTATGCGACCCAGTGGGATTTTCACCCGAGTCCTCTGTCTCTGGTCCCTTGTGGAGGTCACCTTTATGGGGGTAACTTCTGTAAGCAAAGCTCCGCACTCACGGAGCCCCTCTGTCTTTCCCCATGGAGGGTCCATCGAGCCCTTTGCACGGTGGTGGCCTAGCCCCCCATGGCTGGGCCATCAGGAAAGGGGTGATGCCCACTGCCTCACCACATTCTGCCCTGCAGGCTGCTCAGTTCCTGCCCCCACTGCACGGGGGACCCTTGCTCCTTTGGCTCCCCCTGAATGGGCAGAGGAGCTGCCTCTCATCTGTTCTTCACCAGCAGCTCAAGAGGTCTTTTTAAAAGGACAGTTTCAGCCATGCACGATGGCTCATGCCTTTAATCCCAGCACTTTGGGAGGCTGGGGTGGGTGGATCACTTGAGGCCAGGAGTTCGAGACCACCCTGGGCAACACAGGGAGATTTCATCTTTACAAAAAAAAAAAAAAAAAAAATAGGCGGGTATGGTGGTGTGTGCCTGTAGTCCTAGTTACTCAGGAGACTGAGGCAGGAGGATCACTTGAGCCCAGGAGTTTGAGGCTGCAGTGAGATGGGATCGCACCACTGCACTCCAGCCTGGACAACAGAGTGAGACCCTGTCTCAAAAATGAATAAATAAAAGGATGATTTCTTTTTTTTCTCTCTTTTTAAAATTTATTTATTTTTGAGACGGAGTCTCACTGTGTCACCCAGGCTGGAGTGCAGTGGCATGACCTCGGCTCACTGCAGCCTCAGCTTCCTGGGCTCAAGCAGTTCTCTCGCATCAGCCCCCAGTAGCTGGGACTAAGACGCGCGCCACCATGCCTGGCTACTTTTTGTATTTTTAGTAGACATGGTGTTTCACTCTGTTGCCCAGGCTGGTCTCAAACTCCTGGATTCAAACGATCTGCCAGTCTCAGCCTCCCAAAGTGCTGGGACTACAGGTGTGAGCCACTGCACCCAGCTTGAAAGGACAATTTCGTACATCACTCCACACCCAGCTACATCCTTGCCTGGAAGTGCCCTCCCCTACCTACTGCCTTTCCACTCTAGGTCTCACCTTGATTGTCCTGGCATGGGGGCCTTCCATGGCACAGACCAGGGCAATGCTGTGGTCCCTGGCTCAGGGACTGTCTTTGCCCCACGGGGAATGCTGTGAGGGGGTGCCTGGAGTCCCAGCGTTACGCATTGACCAGCGCATGGTGAGTGCTCAGTGAGGGTTCCTGGAACAAACGGATGAGGTAAAGGTGGAGGGGCAGGAGGAAGGAGGTGGTGAAGGGAGGAGGGGAAGAAGAGGAGAGGAAAAGGTGGTGGAGAGGATTGTTCCTGAGCCCAGCTCTGGGTTCTGCCTGTTCCCGAACGCCAACCTTTGCTGCACTGCTCCCAGTGGGTGCCAACTCAGAATGCCTGTTTAAGTCACTCCACAAAACTCAGCTTCTCAATCTGTTTTATATTTGCAAGGGCCAGATCCACATTCCTTTTTTAAAAGTCAAGCTTCTGAGACAGTCATTTATATTCACAGTGATTCTCCTTTCAAAGACTGCTTTGCATGGGGCGTGTAGAGTCATGGATCTTAGGGACTCTGCCAGGAAAGGCTCAGGGTCACACAAAGACCCCGTGATGGTGTCTGTGTTGTAGAGGAAGACCGAGGAACTCTCCAATATGCCTGGGTGGAGGTATCTTCAAATGGACAGGATGCGTGGCCGGAGCCTGCCGTCCATCCACTGAAAAGTCACTTTCTGAAGTGACCCCTGGACAAAGGATCCTTCTTCCTGGGAAGAACAGCTGGTTATGGATGCTTCAGATGTTTGTGTGCATGGAGATTGGACTTTGCAACACCCACACTTTGAAATATTCTGGACAGTTAGTTAAAAAGCATCAGGTGGCCCACACCTATAATCCCAGCACTTTGGTAGGCCGAGGCAGGAGGATTGCTTGAGCCCAGGAATTCGAAATGAGCCCGGGCAACATAGCAAGACCCTGTCTCTACAAAAAACTTAAAAATTATCTGGGCCTGGTGACTCGTGCCTGTGGTCCCAGCTACTCAGTGGGCCAAGGCGGGAGAATCACCTGAGCCCAGGAAGTCAAGGCTGCAGTGAGCTGTGATGGCACCACTGCCTCCGGCCTGGGGGACCTAGTGAGACCCTGTCCCCCAAAAAGGTTTAAAAAGCAGGAGGGGCCAGGTGCAGTGGCTCACGCCTGTAATCCTAGCACTTTGGGAGGCAGAGGCAGGCGGATCACTTGAGGCCAGGAGTTCGAGACCATCCTGGCCAACATGGTGAAACTCTGTCACTATAAAAATACAAAAATTAGCAGGACATGGTGGCAGGTGCCTGTAATCCCAGCTACTTGGGAGGCTGAGGTAGGAGAATCGCTTGAACTCGGGAGGTGGAGTTTGCAGTGAGCCGAGATCCTGCCACCGCACTCCAGCCTGGGTGAGAGAGTAAGACTCCATCTCAAAAAATAAATAAATACATAAAATAAAAAGCATGAGGTAGGTCCATATGCACTGCTGGGAAAGATGTCTGAACAGTGTTGTTAAGTGAAAAAAAGCAAACCGTAGCACAATATGTACATATATACACCATTTATGGCAAAAACACACACAAAGCCACACTGTATGTCCTCTATTTACATATTTGTAAGTTCATATCTAAAAGTCTGAAAGGAATTATGCCAATGATCGCAGTTCGGAGTGGACTGGATTGGGGCGACTTTCAAAGGAATCTTCACTTCCACTGTATTGTTTGAAGTTTTTTCCTGTGAGAATGCATTCCTGTGTACTTGTGTAATTTAAAGAGATATATGGATTTAGAACTGGGAATCTATATGGTTTACCCTGAGCTTCTGGGATTTTCTTTTTTATTTATTTATTTATTTATTATTATTATACTTTAAGTTTTAGAGTACATGTGCACAATGTGCAGGTTAGTTACATATGTATACACGTGCCATGCTGATGCGCTGCACCCACTAACTCGTCATCTAGCATTAGGTATATCTCCCAGTGCTATCCCTCCCCCCTCCCCCCTCCCCCCTCCCCACAACAGGCCCCAGAGTGTGATGTTCCCCTTCCTGTGTCCATGTGTTCTCATTGTTCAATTCCCACCTGTGAGTGAGAACATGCGGTGTTTGGTTTTTTGGGATTTTCATTTTTATTTCTTTGAGTGATTATGTTAAGTGGCTTACCCAAAAAAGTTCACTGGACATCTCAAAAGGTTATTTGACAGATGATTTAAAAAAAATTATACTGCCATTTTTATGCATGTGCTTAAATATCTCAAATTGTTTTCTAAAATTGGTTGGGAATATATTTGCTTTTTTCCCCCCTTTATCTTGCCCCATCCCCTTCCCAGCCTCTGGTTACTGCCAATCTTGTCTCTGTCTTCATGAGATCCAATTTTCTGGTTCCCACGTATGAGTGAGAACATAATGATATTTATCTTTCTATGCTTGGCTTATTTCACTGGACATAATGGTCTCCAGTTCCATCCATGTTGCTGCAAATAACAAGATTTCATTCTTTTTAATGGCTAAATACTATTCCATTGTGTGTATGTACCGTATTTTCTTTATCCATTTATCCACTGATGGGCACTTAGGTTGATTTCACATCTTGACTATTGTGACTAGTGCCGCAATAAACGTGGGAGTGTAGATATCTTTGTAATACGCTGGTTTCCTTTCTTTTGGATATATACCCAGGAGTGGATCATATGGTAGTTCTATTTTTAGTTTTTTTGTGGAATCTCCATACTGTTCTTCATAGTGGCTGTACTAATTTACATCCCCACCAACAGTGTACAAGAGTTCCCCTTTCTCCATATCCTTACTAGCATCTGTTATGCCAGACAGACTATTTATAAGTGAATTATATTTGTAGTTTAGGCCAGAGGTCAGCAGACTTTTTCGTAAACGACCATGGAGTAAATATTCTAGGCTTCATGGACAAAAAGGTCACTGTGGAAGTCACTCAATTGCCATCATAATGTGAAGGCACCCACAGATGATACAGAACAGGCGTGGCTGTGTTCCAATAAAACTTTATTTCCAGGAACAGGTGGCTGGAGGGTGTGGTCCATGGGCCACAGTTTGCCGAACACTGGTTTAATGGATTGCAAGACACAGATGGGTATGGAAATGGAGGAAGATGGCAAATGGAAATGTGTTGGACATTTAATCAGAACTAGCATGTCGAAAGGATTGTTTGAGTATCTTCAAAACTGAAAAAAAAAAAAAGCTTTTCTCAAGTGCAATCCTGTAGCCTCTTCCTGCTGGACCAGGGTGAGGCTGGGGCCGCAGAACCCAGGAGCAGTGTCCCCCAAGGAACACTTCCTCTGTGACTCCTGATGGGTAGAGGGTGGAGGGGATGGGCAGGCCTTCCTCAAGCCTGAGTTTGCACATGGTTCACACTCAGTGGGCATCCGGGAAAGTGATCAGGGCCCCAGTGGCCCACCCAGCTCTGGGCAGGCAGCAGACAAGGTCAGACTGGGGTGGACAAATGACAAAATGACATCCTCAGGTTTGGGAGGGGACAAGTGGTGTCTCTGCAGCTGGAGGCCGAAAGGCAGGCCTCTGGCTCCGGGACGGGGTGTCGGAAACGGCTGTGCCCCACACAGCTTTCTCGTGGATCATGTCTGTGCAGGTGCCTTGGGGCCTGAGAAAGAAGCAACGTTGGCTGCACAACAGGAAAGGCCCATTAGTGCCTGTCGATGTAGGCCACGCTAATTAGTCACGTGGCTGGAGATGGAGCAGTCTTATCTGGAACTGAGCCCTTCATGCCCCACAGGACTGTGAAAGTCAGGGGGTACACATAGGGAAGATGGGCTTTCTTCTCCCCTCCATGCCCGTGGAAGCCCTCCAGGCTGAGTGTGAGCATGTGTGTGTGTGTGTGGACCCTGCAAATAGATGTGGCAGAGAAACAGTCACTAGCAGACAAGGACTCCGCTGTCTCCTCCTCCCAGCCTCACGGGGAGAAATCTGTCTGCCTCGCGTTTCTAGAGTCACAGTGATGACAAAAAGGAGGCAGAGCTCACGGATCCAGGAATGGGGTTACGCGGAGACCAGCAGAGTTACACTGCAGAGAAGAGAAGGAACCGGAAGGTGGGAGGGTCTGGGGCAGGTGGCCGATGGAGCCCAGAGGCTGGGCATCAGGGAAGAGGGTGCCGGGAGAGGTGGGAGAGTGGGAGGAGAGGGGTATTGATGGCATGACCAGTGGAATTCCTCTTGTTAGTAAGATTTGAAGATAGACTTAATTAGAGAGTAGTTGTTAAGTGGTATTTTTCTTTTTCTTTCTTTCTTTCTTTTTTGAGATGGAGTCTTGCTCTGTCACCCAGGCTGGAGTGCAGTGGTGTGATCTTGGCTCACTGCAACATCCGCCTCCCGGGTTCAAGCAATTCCCCTGTCTCAGCCTCCCGCGTAGCTGGGACTACAGGTGCACATCACCATGCCTGGCTAATTTTAGTATTTTTAGTAGAGACCAGTTTCATTATGTTGCCCAGGCTGGTCTTGAACTCCTGGCCTCAAGTGATCTGCCTGCCTCGGCCTCCCATAGTGCTAGGATTACAGTTAGGTGGTATTTTTCTGAAAGGGACCCCAGGGATGCCAAAGCCAGCCTGGGGGCCAGCCCCTGTGTGATCACAGGCGTGTGTATGCATCGAGTGCCCATGAGAAGGCACCTAGGTTTGCACATAGTGAGGCTGCAGCCAGCATCACCCCATCTTGAAGAATGGGGTTTGCAGATGGAGGGTGAAGGGCACATTCATCCCCTTTGCCTGTGTGCTGGCCAACAGTGGTCAGCCACAAGTGGATGTTGCCCAGAGACCCTTTCCTTGGGTCTAGGTTTCGCTGTGGGAAGGGAAGTGGGAGAAATAACGTAGGAGAAAGCCTTCCTGCAGCCCCAAACGGAATTTCCTCCCCTGCTTGAAGTCAGATCCAATTCACACCCTCGCGCAGCCCGACGGCTGGCGCTGGCTCTGTTTGGTAACATCGCAGCAAACGGCCACCTTGTCTCTATTTTGGTTCTTGCTTTGCCACTTCTCTCTGCACCTTTCAAGAAGTGTTCCTTCCTTCTGGAAGGCTGGGGTGGCAGGCTCCCCCAGCTCCTTCCCATTCTGGTAAATTAAGGAACAAACGGTGCCAAATTGTTCTTGTCTGTTTTGCGAGATGATTCGTAACCAGCTTGTTTTCTTTTCCTCCATTGAGCGAATGCATTAAAACTAAAATTAAATCATTACCCGCAGCACAGACGACACTCCCCCTCATAATTACATCCTCTTAATGGGCATTTGAGAGCCCAGCTCATTTTAATGCTTGCTGGAAAACGTCTCAGACACATTTATTTATTTTTTTTTAGGTTTAAAGGTCAACAAGAATATCTTACCTTAATTTGACAAGTACGCAAGAAATAATGCAAGACTCGTTTATGTTCAGGTAATGCACAAAGAAATCTATAAATCAAGCTGAGGGAATATTAGATGATGCCATATCGGAACCATCTGCCTTCATTCTCGGAAGAATCGATACCACAAAGAAAGCGCCGAAGACGTAGATTTATGCCCTTGTGTCGGGGGAAAAATATCGGCTGTTTTTAGAGTCACTTCATATCCTAAAACAACAGGGCCTGAGGAAAAGAATGAGAGTGGGCCTAACCCCGAGTGAATGCGTCAGACAGCACATCTGACACTCGGTTTTCGATTGTCTCTGCTGGAGAAAGAATGGTCCCAAGGTCCTTTCATCCCCATGACTCTGCCCCGTCTGCTATTGTATTTATTTGAGAGGCTGCCAGGAATGTTGAGATGGCGTGGAAGGGAATTAACTAAATTGCATCTGTGTGATTGTTGCCAGGGGGTGGAGGCTTGTAGAGCTCGGGGACCCTGGGTTTTCCATGCCATGCACACTGCCTAACACTCTGCCCTCCTTGGGAGAGCCTTCGCTGGCCTTCATCATGGAGCTGGGGGAACATACAACCTCCACCATATTGGATGTTGGGCTTGTCCAAAGATGTGTCAAATGGGAAGAGCTGTCTGGGCTTTGTGAGGGGGGAAAGATAGCCTCCGAGCAATTAGGGTTTGGAAAAATAGGGTAATCATCTTACCACCTACCCCAGAAGTGGTCATGAAGAGCAGCAGCTCTCCAGGGAGGTGGAAGGGAGGAAGAACAGATCAGGTGACCCTCTGGCAAGTGTATGAGAATCTCCAAGGAGGGAGGGGAAGAGTTGTAAGACTTGAATATTGAATAATTGGAGAGGCTTTTTTTGTGGGGGGCTTCAAAATATAAAGTTATATTTTTATAATCAAATGATAGAAATAAAGGCTTTTCATCTTTTCCTGGGGGTAGAGCGCTGCAGAATTTTGAATAAAAGAGATTTGGAGATTCTGAGATTTTGCTTCGTGACACTCGTATTAGGATATATGGACTCTCGTGCGTGTGTGTCGCCATTTATACTGTGGTTCCCATCACGGGTCAAAAACAAGCATTTTCTGTTTGAACGTGAGGATATGCTTAGAGGAAGAAAGTTTGATTTTTGTATTTATAACAGAGTAGCACAAAAATGGGTCCGTGAGCCTCGGGAAACGTATTTGTGTTGCATCCTTAGTTTTATCCTTTCAGGAGTTGAAGTTGCTTCTAATGTTATGAGAGGGAAATCAAAGGGCCCCCGCTAAGCAGAATCGTTCCCATCAGCCACAGGCACCAGTGCACTGTGCTCATGACCTTTTGTGCTAAACAAACCCACAGACACACATACGCATTCCTGCTTCTTGGAGCCCGGGTGTGGATGGATGCCTGACCTGCCCCATCACCCTTTGGCTACTGGCCACAGAGTTCACATTGTCACAGAGTTCACATTGCCATCTACAAACCAAACATGAACATTAGGACTCTCGTTTTTGTTTTCTTTGTCCCTTTTGGGTGTAGCTGAAAATGATACTTGCAGCTCATATCAAAGATGGATTTATGTCTATTGCAAAGATGGCGACGTGCACCTTCCTGGAGGTGCTGGCAAATTCCAGGCAGTGAAGCCAAACCACTCTCGTGCCTTAAATAATGTTGGATCAAGATCATGTGAAATTTATTCTAAAACCTGTGGTTTTTATTTCTTCCTGCAAAGCTCCATTCTCTGCTTCACATGAGAGAAATTAGCAATGAAGCACCTCGTCAGGATCCAAAACGCCTGCCACCCATCTGTGCAAAACCCTGGCAGTCCTGGAGGAGACAAATCCTCACCTTCCTGGAAAACTTCCATGAAACCTGCAGTGAGGGCAGCCAGACCTTAACTTGGCAAAGAAACTGTGAAGGCAGCCTGGAGTGCCAAACTATTAACTTAGTGAGGGTGGCAGGCTTCAAGTTTTGCAGAAGCCCAAATCTATTATTTAACTATTAGTTGTGATGAATGGATGATGAAGGGAACCAACGTAGATATGCATGAGGCATGGCCGAAGATGATATCATTGAGGAAATGCTGTTTTCTTAAGCTTTGGTGACTAACTATAGAATTGATTATGTCTTTGAACTGGAGTCAAATTTCTTCTAAGTGAGCCGAATTGGAAAATAATATTAAACTTCCATTAAGGGTGTTCCAGAAATGCCGAATTCAAGACAAGGATTGTGTGCGTTTCTGTGTGTGTGAATACAAGGGGAAACCTTACAGATATTTGCAGAATATACTCCATCATTTCCTGCCAAGCATCAGCTTCTAGTATTTCGCCAAGTTTTTTAGAAGACTTCAACCTTGTTAGCAAAGTAATTAAGCAGAAAGAAAGAAAAGAAAAAAACAAAACCCACAAAAATGAAAACAAAACCCCAATGCATTGAGTGCCTTGCTGTTTTTCTGATTCTGTGAAGTTGAATATCAGTGAATTCAAATTGCACACTGGGTTCTTCTGATATGAACTGAAATTGTCAAAGATGTTGGGTGAGTCTATGGGCTGAAGTTTACCGTATTTTTAATCATCTGAGAAAAGACCAACTGCACCAAACTTTCAAAATTGATCATTCTGAATAGTGCTTGGCATACTCAGCAGACATGATTGAAATAGTTTTGCAGACACAGCGTAAACATAAAATACCAACCCCATCACCTGTCCTGACACACACCAGCAGTGGTAGCCCAGGGCCAGCGCTGGCTGCAGAGGCATGGTGCCAAGATCGGCTGCTCATTTTCCCTTCTTGATGAATGCTTACGGGCCAGTTTCTGGAAGCCCTTTCCAGGAGCGTCACATTTTTCTGTGGGTCTGCCTGCAGCCCGGGCTCCTGAGACATTTCCTAAAGACCTCCATTAGAAGCTTCCACTGCTCCCCTTACTGGCAGGCGTTCAGCCTTTGCCAACTGCAGGTTGATGGAATTGTCGGAGAGAGAGCATGTCGGGGGGCTCTGTTCATCTCCCCTAAAGTAGTCACTGACATGAGCAACACTCCCTGTATGCCAGGCACTGCTCCCTTATTGCCCATTTTGTCCTCGTAATAATCTTGCAAGGTAGCCACAAGAGATTATTACTCCCATTTTGCAGATGAGGAAACTGAGGCATGAAGAGGTTAAGTAGCCTATGTAGCTGGTAAGTGGAGGAGCCAGAGTCTGGACCCCGGCATCCTGGCAGTTCCAGCCTCCTTCTCCCAGTCATCACTGTATGTTCCATTGTTCCGTTTCTATTTCACTCACATATAACGAGCAGCTAAGTTTCCTGAGTTTTTGGATATGACAACAAGCAGCGGGGGCCCAGCTTACTGAGAAGAGTGAATTACAGTTTTTTCAAGATCCAGAATATCCACATCAGAAAAGCTCATGGCCGGCAAGTGTGATATCAACACACGTTGATATCACAGCATCAAAGTAAAAACTATGTAATTTTCAACATCCAAATAAAGCCTTCTTTGAAAAGCACCGATTTTCACATGAGAATGGTGGACAGATTTCCACATCCTGGCCCGAGATTTCTCACCGATCCTGTTGCTGTTGTCTCTTCCCAGGCCAACCTGTTTCTGCCTGGCCTCTTCCTCCAAGGCCAAGAGGGGTCCTGCCAAAGTCCAGGTCAGAGAGTGTCCTCCCTCTGCTCCTGTCTCATTCAGAGTCAAAGCCAAAATCACTGGAGTGGCCCACATCACTGCCCCCCATTGCTTCTCTGACCATATCTTCTTTCGTGCTTCTTTATGTCTCTCCAGACACACTGGGTGTCAAGAGTGCTGTCACCCCAGGGCCCTTGCACAGCTGATTCCCTCTATAACCCTTGGTTCACATGTTGCCTTCTCAGTCAGAACTCCTCCCACATACTCACCTTTGGCCTCAAGCTCTCCCAGTCCTCCTCCCCCTACTGTGTTTTTCTTCTGTCCTTAGTATTTCTCACCCTCTAAGGTTATATATAATCTGCCTCTCTCCTGCTTGGAGTGGAATTCTATGAGGGCAGGATCTTTGTTTTGTTCATGAATGGATCCCAGTTGCCTAGAATAGTGCCAGGCATGTAGTAGGTGCTCATTAAATATTTACCACATGTGTGATTTACCTCCAGAGGGGAGGAGGGTTGCAAAGGGAACCCCAAGTATTGGTAATTGTTTTATTCTTTAAGCTTGGGTGATGAATGTGCTGGTTCTTCTTTATGTTATTTACCTGTATGTATGTGTATGTATGTATATATATGTGTGTGCATATATATACACATAAATATATTCTGCATATCTGAAATGTTTCATATTAAATTTTAAAAAATCAAACAGGATCAAAAAGTAAAAGAGGTGTATGGTTTATATAAGTGGTGGAATCCTCTTCTCCATTGAAAGTATTTCTTTTCTTTTTTTGTGTGTGTGTGTGGTGGGGTATAGAGTCTCACTCTTTTGCCCAGGCTGGAGTGCAGTAGTGCAATCTCAGCTCACAGCAACCTCTGCCTTCCAAGTTCAAGCAATCCTCCTGCCTCAGCCTCCCCAGGAGCTAGGATTACAGGCGCACACCACCACACCCAGCTGATTTTTGTATTTTTTGTAGAGATGGGGTATCACCATGTTGGCCAGGCTGGTCTCAAACTCCTGACCTCAAAGTGATCCAACTGCCTCGGCCTCCCAAAGTGCTGGGATTACAGGTGTGAGCCCCTGTGCCTGGCCCCCATCAAAAGTATTTTTTCATCTTTGTGTACCATCTCATGTCAGCGACGGAAAGTGCAAGTTCTTAGGCAGATGTGTTTGCGATGGGGGAAGATGCGGAGAAACAGGAAGAAAAGCTGGGCAGGGACTCTGACTGGCCGGGCAGTCGGGGCCCACACAACCAGAGGAGCTGACTGTCAAAGCAAGAGTGTTGGGGAACGATGAGAAATGAGGTGGAGAGTTAGCCAGGATGAGACGGCCCTGGGCCAGCTTCCGAGAGCAGGACGCTTGGCGTGGATGTCTGACCACCCTTGGCAGGGGAGCCTGCATCTCTCTGACAGAGGAGAGGAAGAAAGAGAAATGACATTTTCTGAGCCGCCAAGAAAGAAGAGGCCTGAATGGGGAAGGGCTGAGTTCAGGGACCTGGATGAAGACATCACGTGGGGTGACGCTGTGGTTGAGGATGGACCCAGGCAGGACGCGCCCAGGTCCACCACTCCCTGTGACCCCATGAGATTCCCCAAATCCTCAGAAGGGGAGACACTTCCTGGGTTTGCAATCACCTCCAGTTTATGTATATAGCCAGAAGGAGTAGGAGTCCAGATGTGGAACCTCTGACCCAGCCCAGGGCTGTGTGGTCCGTGGGCGAGGTGAGCTGGCCAATGTCCGGGTGTCGTGGCTGGGAGGACACAGCTGGTCCCCGTGCCCGCCAAGCAGCTTCCCAGATATCGATCAGTGCCTCTGGTGAGCATGACTCCTTCTGAGGAGTCCCATTGATCAGGCCAGATGGAAAACTAGTAGCTGTGATTGGGACGAGTGAATATTCATTTGGAAATGTCAATGAGTAACTGGAGATGATGCCTGCAGTGACTTGCCTGGCAGGATCAATTCCAGACATGAGGTGAACCAGACGTTGGCGGGGACCTAAGGTGGGAGCCAGGGACCCTGGGTGGGGCAGGGGGAGTGGTGGAGGCCAGAGAATGTGTAGGACAGTGAGGTCAGACACATTTCCCTGCCTCCCCACCCCCAGTTCTGAGGCTCTCTTGTCTGTCTGGGGCTTTTGTCTTCAAGTGTGGCACTCCTTGCACAGTGGCCACCAGGCCGGAGGACGTCTGTGTGTGTGTGGAAGGGGTTGAAGGGTCCCAGGACGTGCACTTGCTGGAAGAATGCATGGGTCTGCTGAACCTGCCTTCCTCCTGGGCATGCTGGGAGGAGGGGCTGCAAGAAGGTCAAGCTGGAGGGGTCTCTAGGCTCTAGCTGAGACCCTTCTCCCACTTTTTTTTTATTTTTTATTTTGAGACAGTCTCCCTCTGCCGCCCAGGCTGAAGTGCAGTGGCATGATCTTGGCTCACTGCTACCTCCACCTCCCGGGTTCCAGCGATTCTTCTGCCTCAGCTTCCCGGGTAGATGGGAATACAGGCTCGCGCCATCACATCTGGCTAATTTTTGTATTTTTAGTAGATACGGGGTTTCGCCATGTTGGCCAGGCTGGTCCTGGACTCCTGACCTCACGTGATCTGCCCATCTTGGCCTCCCAAAGTGCTGGGATTACATGCATAAGCCACCGCACCCAGCCTTTTCTCCTCACTTCTGTCAGTAGGTCCCAGCTGTGCACAAGTCAGGGCTGGGGCCAGGGGAGGCTAGGAGATTTTGGTTAGGGTCTCCTTGCACTGGGATGGAGGGATGGAGGGATTCAGCCACTTCACCCCAGGAGCTCTGGCCCTGGCTAGAGGCCTCCTGGACAGAGGAGGGAAGTCATCGCTGCTGGCCTGTGAAGGGGCCCTGTCAGCTTATTGCCAGGTGCACTGTCACCTAGGTGTGGCCTGCTACTTCCCCCAGTCCCAATTAACCATCTGCAGGAGCTGCCATCGGCATGGGGGAGGGGCTGGGTCCCACTCGTCTGTACAGACTGCTCAGCTAATGAGGGGGTCTGTGAAATTTTTAATTACGGCTCCCATGCCTGGCTTAATTATTTGCATATGGCTTTTACAAGTGGGAAAAGGACGATTGCATGCAGCGCAGCACTTCTCCTCAGCCCCACGTTTGACTTTAATTAAAGGCAGAACCTGAGGTCTTTCCATCACTAATGATCGTGGAAAATTAGCTTCCAATTCCCAGGGGTCTCCAGAGTGATGCACCCTGAGGCGGAGAGCGGGCGGAGAGGGGATGGAGCAGGGAGAGGAGCGGGAGGCACAGATGGCAGATGGTCCTGCTGGGCCGCCACTCTGGAGTCCCCCCAACCACAGGCCACCCTCCCACCACCTTCCCTCCAGGCTGCGTAGAGAAGGGAGCCTCACTTTCCTCTGCCAGGAAGCAGACCTGACCTTGGGCAGCAACTAGGAGGAAGACCTGCTGAGCTGGGGTGAAGGTTGCCAGGGTCATTCTCCCGTTGGCCAGGAGCTGGGTGTGTTCTGGCTGTAGCTGGACTGCTCCCAGCTGGTGGCCACAGGCAGAGGAGTGGGAGTTTCTGAAATGAGTATACGTGTGTGCACACATGTCTACAGCATGTGCTCACCCAGGCACACAGATACACAGGATGGAGCCGTAGAGACACACCTGCATGCTCACACATGTATGTGTACATATGTCCACTCAGGAGCAAAGGAGTGAATGTGTAGTGGGCCCTGTGGCCATCCCTGTGTCCCCATCCCTCTTGTCTCCTACTCACTGAGCTGGGAGGAGCTGACCCCAGGGCAGTTTCATCCCGCTGTTTCCAGTAGCCAGGCCTGCACCACCCCCAGCACAGAGCATCCCCTCAGCCCCAGGCACACTAGGTCAAGAAGTTCTATTGGCTCAGGATCCAGGGGCTTGTTCCCTTGTTGCGGATGGGGCTCCCTCCCTTCTACTGGACATAATGAGGATGCCTGTAGCTTGGACTATGTCTGTAGCCATTGAACCATGAAGGGAGCTCTCAGGATAAAACCTGCCCCAAGGACAGGAGCAGAGCCACTAGCAGAGCCTGGGTCCCCAGTGACACTGTAGAGCCTCGATTTCCCTGATGAGCTGGGTTTTCTGTTTCTCGCTTCCAAAAACATCCTGGTCTAGGCAGAGTTTGTGTCCAATGCGTGGTCTCACACTGCACGTGGTTGATGGCAACCACTGAACCACGCAAGAGCTGGTTTCCTGGCAACACCCCAGCCTCCTTCCTGCCCCACTGAGGAGGCTGCCCTGTAGGTCAGGGCTGAGCCTTCCTGGCACAGGGGCTGAAGTCATCAGCCAGGGCTGCCGTAACAAAGTCCACAGACTGGGGAGCTTGAACAACCATGTTTAGGTGCCATCTGGTCACAGAGCTGTAGGAACCAGCTTCTGACCAGTGAGGCTGTAGCAGCCTCTCTTCCCAGAGGATTTTTCTCCCTCAGCTGATTTTGCACAAAAGTCCTTGAACCGGGAAGCATTGTTCTCATCCAGGGGTCACGTGCCTTTCCCTAATCCAGGCTCCCGGGTTGGGGGAGCTCCAGAGTGGCAGCCCAGCAGGACCATCTGCCTTTCCCCAATCCAGGCTCCTCCTTAAGCCTCATGTCCATTCTGGATTTGGCCTGAGGTCCACCCATTGCCTCCTCTTTCATTGTAGGAGGCTGAGGCAGGAGGATCACTTGAGTCCTCTTTCATTATAGAGGGAGCAATGGGTGGTGGACCTCAGGCCAAATCCAGCATGGACATAAGGCTCAAGTAAGTTTTTTTAAATGTGCATTGCTTGCCAATTTCAGAATCAGGAAATTTCAAGTTAAAAATCCAGTTTCCAAATTGGAAGGTCTAAAGGTCTGCATTGCTACAAGGGTCATCAGATGTGTCATTTAAAAAATAATTTTGGGTCCAGTGCAGTGGCTTATGTCTGTAATCCTAGCCCTTTGAGAAGCTGAGGCAGGCGGATCGCTTGAGGCCAGCAGTTTGAGGCCAGCCTGGCCAACACAGTGAAACCCCATCTCTACTAAAAATACCAAAATTAGCCAGACGTGGTGGCACACGCCTGTAGTCCCAGCTACTCAGGAGGCTGAGGCAGGAGAATCACTTGAACCCGGGAGGCAGAGGTTGCAGTGAGCCAAGGTCGTGCCACTGCACTCCAGCCTGGGCAACAGAGAGAGACTCCATCTCAATATAATAATAATAATAATTTTTGCCCCGGTGTGATGGCTTACGCCTGTCATTCCAGCACTTTAGGAGGCTGAGGCGGAAGGATTGCATGAGGCCAGGAGTTTAAGACCAGCCTGAGCAACATAGTGAGACCCCATCTCTATAAAAATTTTTGAAAATTAGCTGGGTGTTATAGCATGTACCTGTGGTCCCAGCTACTCAGGAGGCTGAGGCAGGAGGACCACTTGAGCCCAGGAGTTTGAGGCTGCAGCGAGCCATGATCATACCACTGCACTCCAGCCCAGGTGACAGAGCGAGACCCAGACTCTTAAAAAAGAAAAAAAAAAAAAGAAATCCAGGTTTCCAAATAGGAAGATCTGAAGGTCTTGATCTGCTACCAAGGGTCATTGGATGTGTCATTTGAAACATAATTTTTATTATGAAAGTGTCTTGTGGTTATTATAGGAAATGAGCTGCTTCAAACAGCTGCTCACTAGAGACCAATGACTGACATTTTGAGTCCCACTATAAAAACGCCTGTCTTCATTCCTCTTTAGAGCAATCACATAAGAAGTCAGGGCTCCAGCAACCCCTTGTGTGATCAGCCGGCAGGGGGGGGCACTGGGGCATGAGTGTGGGGTCTGTGTGGATGCTCTTTTGCTTTAAGATGCTCCCAGTTAGCCGAGTGCTGCCCACATCCCTGCCCCACCTGCCCCTGCCTGGCAGACAGATGCCACAGAGCCCCACGTACAGGGATCATAATGGTTTACACCTCTTCTGCCTGTGTCCTTGAGGTTGAGCGATGAGGGCATGTGAAACCCAGGATGGTAGAAAAGAGGCTGCAGGCTTAGGGAAAGAAACCAGAGAAACCAGACTCCCTTGGATGTTGTTCAAGATAAGCAAATAATTCAGCAGAGCCATATGGAAAGATGGTGAGACCGGCCGTGGAGGAGCAGGCACCCTGCAGAGAGGACTGGGACCCAGCAGCCCATTCCACCAGACCCAAGCCTGTTCCTCCACCCCAGGGCAGCATCCCACCACTGCAGGAATCTTCTCAAATAGCTCCATGGTACCAGTCCACCAGGGGCCTACTTACTGGCTGGGAAAACAGGAGCCCAGATACATAGCATGAGGATGCCCCAAATCTCCCAGTGACAACATTGAATGCTGAGTGCTGTCTCCTCTGTGTTACTCTCCCACAGTCCCCTCTGTCAGATAAAAGCCGTTAGTCTCTGGAACACACAGGAGGGTGCCTCACTTGGCCTGGGGGCCATCAAGGAATGGTGAGAGATGAGACTGGGCACGGGAGGTTGGCAGAGGCAGGATATTCACAGATCTGGTGGACCATGCTGAGACATTTTAACTTGGGTCACTGGGCACCTGGGGGGCTTGGGAGTGACCACAGATGTATTGCAGGACAGGTGTTGAGATGGGGAGCTGTCCAGGCTACAGGTGCTGAATCAGAGCCGCACCGAGGGACTGGGAAAGAAAGACAGGACACATGTTCAGAAGGCCAGATCTGCACTCAGGTGTCAGGAGAGGGAGGAAGTGTTAGTCTGGACCCACATTTCTGGCTTTCCAACACTCTGTGGGGAAAAAGAAGGGCACCAAGGGGTCACTGGGGTGGAGGAGACTTGGAACACAGGACGTTAGCTGGAAGGAGATCTGAGGCAGAGACTAATGGAGAAGGGATGTTCCTGTCCCATGCACAGTCACTCATTAGTGCTTCCAGGTCATTTGAAGCCCCAGTCACTTCCTGGTGGCCTAAATGAGACCTGTTTTTCCACAGAGCATCCAGGATAGGGCCAAGAGACTTTTGTTCTGCCATATTCTTAGTCTTGAGCCTTCACATTGGGAGAGACCAGCCTGTTTTGAGATGAGCTCCAGGGAAAATCATGCTGGACTGGTAGAGGTCAAGACTGTGAGGGTTTACCTGTAAACCCAGTGCTTTGGGAGGCCAAGGTAAGAGGATTACTGGAGGCCAGGAGTTTCAGACCAGCCTGGGCAACATAGTGAGACCCCACTTCTACAAAAAATTAAACATTTAACCAGGCACTGTTAAATTGAGTAGTCCCAGCTACTCAAGAGTCTGAGGTGGGAGGACTGCTTGAGCCCAGAAGTTTGAGGCTGCAGTGAGCCATGATTGCATCTCTGCACTCCAGCCTGGGTAATAGAGTGACACCCTGTCTCTAAGAAAATAAAAATAAAAAAAGATATTGGAGGTTACCCTTTGGAAGCCAGCCTCCTTCCAAAGGGTATGGCCATGCTTGTGTGCTGAGTGGACCCACAGAGCACAACCACTGGACTCCACATGACCCCAGCCCGAAGGACCCAGCTGGCTCCAGTGCAGGAGCTTCCTTTCACCTTCGTTGTCCTTTTACTAGCTTCTCTTCATTCGCCACACATTGCCCAAGCACCTGCTCTGTGCCAGGCACTGTTGGCAGCTGGAAACACAAAGACAAGTCCTCTGGGGCCTCCTTGTGCCAGCCACAGGGAGAGAGATTCCCTGGAAGGCAGCCAAGGCTTCTTGCCATTCTCTCCTCAGAAGTCTATGGACTGCCTTGTGTGTCTGCACCCTGCCAGGGGCCAGGGCATTTCAGGTTTACTCACAGACTCCTCTCTGTCCATATTATACCCCAACTTTCAATTTTGAGAAGTAAATATGCAATTTTTTCCTCCCTGTAATTTTCCCTGCTGTGGCTGCGGATGTCAGAGCCGCTGGAAAATGTGAATAGCTCAGTGCTTTCTAGAACTGAAAGGAAGCTGGCCATGCCGCATCCTACATCCCCAGGTGCTCTTGGCAGGATCCAGCAGCTCAGGTGGGGAGAGATGCTCTCCAGGCTGTACTGTCGAGGGAACTTTTAACCCAAATAATTCATGTTCCCACCTTCTTCCATTAGCAACGAGATAATTGCCAAGAAGTAAGTGTGTATCTGTGTGAGTGTGCACACGCATGCGTGTCTGTTGCAGGGACATTAGCAGAGGAGGCGAAGTGAGTGTATTTGCTTATGCAGCCAAACTTTCTGCGTGTTCCTCTGGAGACTGTCAGACCTTCGTGTCTCAGTAACTGAAGGTCAGGACAGTCTGATCTAAGCTTTTGTTTTGGAAAAGCATGGCTGGGGTGGAGAGAGAGAGGATTTGAGTCAGATCTGGGGTGGCGCTTATTTCTTGTGTGTAACCTTGGCCATATTTAGTCTCTCTGGGTCTTCATTTCATCATCTGCAAAACAGAGTGGTGGGCTTGGAGATCTGCTGCCCAGATCTTCCTTCCAAGAAGGATTTGCTGACCACCTGGGGACTGTGTGATCAGCAGCCAGCCTCTAGTCCTCAACTCCACGAGGGGCTGCCTCATCTGAGATCACGCCCTTCTCTGGGCAACCCAC
Organism: Homo sapiens; assembly: GCF_000001405.40. Lineage (NCBI taxonomy): Eukaryota > Metazoa > Chordata > Mammalia > Primates > Hominidae > Homo > Homo sapiens. The sequence continues at coordinate 33,679,931 of NC_000019.10, forward strand.
ATCCAGCTACTGAGTAAGGGGGAGGTGTAAGGGTCCAGCCCTATCTTCCTTCTGCAGGACACTCCGACAGGCTGAATCCACTCCGGAGCCCACCATCAAGGCCTACATCCCTATTCCACTTCTTCCCACTCCAGCTTCCTCCCTTTTCCCTTTGCAGGTATTGATCCTTAATAAACATTGTGCACCCCAAACTCCATCTCGGTATCTCCTTACAGAGAACCAAACCTGTGGCAAATAGGGATAATGATTTTTACTTCAAAAGGTTATTGTGTGAAAGCTAAATGGGATGTTTATGTAGTATCCAACATTGTGCCTGGAACGTTAACAAATAATGATAAATACCTGTTCCTTTTTCTTTTCTTTCCCTCACAACTGTGACTCAAAATCCCATTCTGGGCCTCGAGCAGGTGTTCCTAACCTGTGCTCTGTAATATTGGTTTGGAAAAAGCCCAGCAAGGCAAGTGGCCCTGAAAATCTGTGCTGCGGCTAAATCTGAGATCCTGGCTGATGGCTTCAGAGCCAATTCTTGTCCCTGTCAAGTTCATTATCCATGGATCACGTCAGCCCTCTTCAAGGTTCCTCACTGAAAAGAAATTGAGCATGCAAATACTCTTTTATCATAATCACCACGTATCCACAGGGTAATTCATAAAAGAGCTGGAAATATGTTGAAATTCAATATTGTTTTAGTCCAAATCGATATTAATAATTGTTTGCATTTTTAAAGTGCAATTTGCAATTGAAAAGTGCACAAAGATCAACCAGTAGTTGCTAACACATCAAATTTTCCTATTAAAGGCACAGTCCCTTAACTTTAAAATGTTTCTTATACAACAGGGGCTGGAGCTGATCCATGGAAATGACTATCTCTTATTTACGTGCACAACATTAGAATTGGCTTCCATTCTGCATGAGCTGAAAGGCCAGTCACTTTTATTTGTAAGTTTTGATTTCTTTAATTAAATTTTTAATTTTGAGATAATAATATATTCATATACAGTTGTAAGAAATAATGCAGAGAAATCCCATATATCCCTTACACACTTTCCCCAATTGTAACGGTTTGCAAAACCGTAGAACAGTATTAAAACCAGGATATTGACATTGATACGGTCGAGATAGAGAACATTTCCTTCCCCACAAGGATCCTCGTGTTGCTTTCTTCAGATCTTTAAAAATTAAAGATTTTTGAAGGAAAAAGGACCCTGTTAGATTTCTGCCTTGAAACGATAGCTATCACTAAATGAGGCACTGTCCCAGCTGGGCTCAGTGGAGTTCACACAGAGGAATGGTCCCCTAGGTCAGGAGTAGCCCAGGTGGAACTCACCTCAGCCAGGGAGGCCTCAGGGGAGCACAGCTTTGCACATCAGAAAGAACCTGAGAACAGTTTTCAGTTTGACACTTGCAGTGTGGCCTTTGATCCCTCAAACAAGGACAGGGTTGTCAAGAAGGGAAACAGCTTGGCTGGGCTCATGTGGGCCACAGGGGCCCAGTTATCCCAGGAACAGGGATAACTGTTCCTTCCTAGAGTGTAGAACTCTGGGGCACAGCCCTGGCAGCCTCCCTGAGGACATGTCATGGGACCAACCCAGTTCCCTGGTGAGGGACAGGCGGCAGGTGTGGGTGAGGGGTGCCCTTGACTGAAGCCTACCTGGCATGCTTGAAAGTAACCCTATGCAAATGAAATTCACAAGGTGCCTCCCTGTTTCAAGACATTTGTCTCACACCAGAGCTGCAGGGAACTTGGGAACTCATCTACAGCAGGTATTTTGGATGAGGACTGATTCTGAGATAGGGAAACTCAAGTCCTGAAGATCAGACTTAAGTGGAGGGGAAGTCAGGCCAGAGAACCTGGGGTGCCCTGCTCTGAGCCTGATGGCTACCCTGTGACATCCAGATGCCTTGTTCAAGCTGCTTCCACTGAGGGTTTTGGGTTTTGCTTTTTTTTTTTTTTTAACGGAGTTTCGCTCTTGTCACCCAGGCTGGAGTGCAATGTCATGACCTCGCCTCACTGCAATCTCCACCTCCCATTCTCCTGCCTCAGCCTCCCGAGTAGCTGGGATTACAGGTGGCTGCCACCATGCCTGGCTAATTTTTGTATTTTTAGTAGAGACGGGTTTCACTGTGTTGGCCAGGCTTGTCTTGAACTCCTGACCTCAGGTGATCCACCCGCCTTGGCCTCCCAAAAGTGCTGGGATTATAGGCGTGAGCCACCGTGCCTGGTGTGTGTGTGTGTGTGTTGTGGTTTTTGTTGTTGTTTTTTTTTTTTTTTTTTTTTTTGAGACAGAGTCTCGCTCTGTTGCCCTGACTGGAGTGCAGTGGCGTGATCTCGGCTCACTGCAACCTCTGCCTCCCAGGTTCAAGCGATTCTCCTGCCTGGAAAACAGGCATGCACTACCACATGCAGCTAATTTTTGTAATTTTAGTAGAAATGGGGTTTCACCACGTTGGTCAGACTAGTCTCAAACTCCTGACCTCTAGTGATGCACCCAGTTCATAATCATTTTTAAGTGTACAGTCCAGTGGCATTAATTACATTCACATTGTTGGGCAACCATCACCACTATCCATCTCCAGAACCTTTTCATCATCCCAAACAGAGACTCTGTACCCATTAAACAACTCCCTGTTCCTCCTTCCAGTCCCTGGTAACCTGCATTCTACTTTCTGTCTCTATGAATTGGACTACTCCTGGTACTTCACACAAGTGGAATTATACAGTATTTGTCCGTTTGTGTCTGGCTTGCTTCACTTAACATGATGGCTTCAAGAGTCACCCATGTTGTAGCATGTGTTGCTATCATTGACTTTTTGATTGACACATGCAAGCTGTAATTTTTTGGGGGGGTTCCTAGCATCACAATATATTTTAAAGGTTTGGGGATGCATTAGTCCACTTTTGTGTTGCTGTAAAGAAATACTTGAGGTTGAGTAATTTATAAGGAAAAGAGGTTTAATTCGCTTGTGGTTCTGCAGGCTGTACAGGAAGCATGGTGTTGGCATCTGCTCGGCTTCTGGGGAGGGCTTCAGGAAGCTCACAATCATGGCAGAAGGCAAAGTGGGAGGAGGCCGGTCACATGGCAAGAGAAACAGTGAGAGAGAGATGAGTGGGGAGGTCCTAGACTCTTTTAAACAGTCAGATTTCACATGAACTGAATGAGAACCAACTCATCACCAAGGGGATGGCACCATGCCATTCATGAGGGATCCACCCTGTGATTCAGTCCCCTCCAACCAGACCCCACCTCCAACACTGGAAATCACATTTCACCATGAGATTTGGAGGGGACACATATCCAAACCATGTCAGGGGACAATCAGTCAATTTTGTGGCATCTCAATGGTGTGTGTCTTTTGTGTAAACATTGCACCTGTTAATGTGTATGTATATGTAGAGGGAGAATCAACATTTGTCTTTAAAAGTGTATTTGTCTTCAAGCTCTGTGATCTGAAATCTGTCATACTGACATGAGGAGGCAAAAGTGAGGTCCTGGTGGCGAGCGGGCCTCGGGTATTTCAAGCTTTAAGGCTCCACTGGGCTCCCTGGGGGCCGTTTCTTCCTTGCTTCTTCCTTGCCTCCTGTCATAGGATTGGGCTACTCTTTGGACCTGATTCCAAGGCAGCTCTGAGGAAAACAAACCCTCAGCTCCCTGAAACATAGATGACCTTTTTAAAATTCCAGGTTCATGGAGTGCCTCTCTCCAGATGGCCCCAAACACTTCCATCTATTAACTCGTGCTCATTCAACGTGCAGCAGAGGCTATTGATCACCTTCCCTGTGCCGGGGACTGTGCTAGGTGCTGGGAATACAAAGATGGGGAGAGGCCTCGATGCGATTCCCGATTCAGAGGCAGGTGGCAAATGCTTTTCCCACAGTGAGGGAAGGGCTGTCACCGCGATGGTGCTCTCAGGGAACCAAGGTTCACACATTCAGGGAATTCGGGGCACTGAGTCAGCATTCTAGACTCTGCCAGGATGAGGAGGAGCAGGGGACTCAGTTTCTTTACATGCAGAATGACTGTCCCCTGCCCTGCCCCACTGGCATAAAATGTCCTCAACATGTAAGAAGCCCTGGGCAGAGATAGTGTCCAGGGTGTGGTCAGTTGACGTGGCCTGTCAGTCTTTGGCCACGCTCTCAGGCCCCCCTCGCTGTGGCTGTGTGTTTGCAGGCGCCCCTCAGACTCCAACTGGAATGTGTCCGTGATGGTGGGAGGCCGGGCTGTGGTGCTCCTAGTAGGGCTATGGTGGCAAGCTTTAGGACCTTGTGAGCCTGATTCACCCGGTAATCTCCACCTCGGAACGCCCTTTCTCCCCGCTGCAGAGCATGGGGCTGGGGGGGAGTGGAGAGAACCCTGCCTTGTAACAGGGCAGCGGACAGCAGGTAAATTGCCTTCCCCGGGAGTAGCGTGCCGCCCGGCAGGGGCCTGGGTGTGCCAAGGCCCGGCTCTGGGGATTTCAGGACCCAGGCCAGCGCTCCCCAGCAGCAGGGCAGGAGGCAGCCTGAGAGTCGGCAGCCCCGCCTTGGAGTCTGAGCACTCGCGCCCATCCGTCAACCTTGCAGAGCATTGCAACTTTATGCCTACGCATAAAAACTGGAGGGACTCGTCCCAGAGTTTGCTGCCGCCGCCGCCGCTGCCATTAGAGCGGTTTTAATTAGCTGCAGGATTTTTAATGAGCTGAAATCAAGAAGAGCCCCATCTCAGAAGTAAGCGAGAGCCGCGCGCAGGGAAGAACTAGTCTGACAAAACAGAAGGAGGTGGTGCTCTCGGGGGACTGGGCTGTAGGCTCCCACCGATCGATCGGCGACGAGCAGATGAGTTCCCGAGGCCAGGAGGCTGAGGAGGGAAGCCAGGGCTCAGAGACCAGCGCCCGGTGCAGAGTCCCCGCTGCTGCCACCGCGGCAGAAGGCACGGTGCCGGATTCAAGGTGACGGCAGTGCCTGGCTCCATTCTCCTCAAGTTGCCATAGCAGCCTCTCTCCCAACAAGCAGCTTCTCCGGGAGCCCTCAGCCGGGAGGGACGTCATTGTTCTCTCCTGCCCGTGTGGTGCAAGGAGACCCACCGGACAGAGAACTTTCCCGAGCCCGGGGTCCGCTGACCACGTGGGTGCACCCATGCTGCCTGGAGCCAGGCACAGGGACAGGTCCCCACGGCCACAGGGAATCCTCTGGGCAGCTGAGGGGAGCGTCCAGGCCCAGAAGCAGCTGCAGCCAAGCGTGTCCTTGGAGCCGTCCATGCGTCTGTCCGCCTGCTGCCGGTCGCCACTGGAGGTGCGTGTGTTTTGGCTGAATTCCCAAGTCCTTGCTTGTGCCCTGAAGTGAATTTCTTCAAAGAGACACATTTTTAAATCAAATAAATAAGGAAATGGGAGGAATCCTTCGCCCTGCCCTGTGTCCCAGGAGGGGTTTATAAGATTAATTGGATCTTTTTTTTTTTTTTTCTTAAAGTAAAAATTGGTGACGCCATTCAGGCCTGGGGGAGAAAAGCCACCAGGAGGACTAGGAATTGTGAGGCCAGGCAGGAGCTGCTGGAAACTCGCTGGGGCTGTTTATTTTTCTTGCCTGAACCCTCCCTCTTCTCTGCCCCTGGAAGGCTGGATTTTCTTATTGTCTGTTGGTCTTGGGATGGGTGTAAGCAGGTGAAGGCAGGTTTTGCCCTTGTCATCGGAGCTGAGAGTGATATAGTCTGTGATGAGGATGGGACAGTCCCAGGTGGAGGCTGAGGCCTGTGACTGTGTTTATGCCTCATCCCCCAGCCTTCCAGGCCCCAGCCTGTGACAGATGGTGGTGTCCACTCCCCAGGCAGCAGCTGGACTCCCAGGAGAGGGAGACAGACAGCTCTTAGACCAGCAGCTCCTGTTGCCTTGAAAACAACGTGCGACTTGGAAGCCTGGGGTCCTCCGAGGAACAATAGAGGATTCTACACCCCCTGGAATGCCCGGGGATCTGTCGGTGACCACCCTCCCTTCCCACACCTTAGGGGAAAGGAGTGTTCTATAGAGTCCAGTTGGCCAGCCATACTGCTGGCCAGTTACCCAGGAGGGGAGGCACGCTGACCTTTTGATTCCTGTTTGCACGGAGCAGGGAGTTAGCTGGTCAGATGGTCCCCAGTGAGAACAAACACAGAGCTGAGGGTCCCAGAGGGAAAAGCTGGGGTCTGAGGCTTAGGGGCTAAACCCTGAAGCCACAGACGGCTCCAATGCCAGCTTCCCTGGGTATAGAGAGAGGGTGTTCGTGTTCTCTCGGGGGCCAGCAAAGGCAGGGTCTTTGAAAGGGGAAACGTGAACAGATGAAGCTCCACCACCATGGAGGTGTGGTCCTGGGTCTGTGTCTTCTTCCCCTTCCTGGATTTGGGGGCATGGATCTGGTCCTTGCCCTGGCTCCCAGGCACATGGGTGGCTGGAGCCAGGCATCATGGGGTGGGTTTGGTTTGGGGCGGTTCAGAAACAAGTGAGGACAGGTCTTCGCTGCAGACCCATTTAGTCCTTGACAGTGGATGTCGGTACTGGCTCGAATGGAGACAGACTGGGGAGAAGAGAGGACCGGCCAGCTCTCTTGTAACCACTCTGCAGCGCCAGCTACTGAACAAATGAGATGATGATCACACATGCTCCCGAGTCCCCTTTGTTCATCAGGTAGAGCCTGATATTGAGGGACCCATTATTAGCTGTTTTACCAGGCAGTTCTGGGCGCTAGCCATGAAGCTGTTCTCCTTCCTCTCTCCCTCCTTCCAAAATGTCTTGATGTTGGAGGCTACCCTAGGTCAAACTGGCTTCCCGGTGTCTGACTCAGGAGGCTGCAGGAAGCGCACCCACACCGTGGCCAGCTTACTCAGGGGCTCGCGACAGTTGCTTTCCAGCTGGGGCCTTGCTGGGGACCATCGATGGTATGTGTGCAGGCACTGGCCGGCATGCACCCGGGCATGTATGCATATGTGTGTTATTGAACCCGCGTCTGCTTAGGTCCGTGGGTGCGGTGCACATGTGAACACCGTCCCCATGACCGTGCAATAGCAGCTGCTCCCGAGAGACCTTGCAGGTTCTTCCTGGTCCCCATCTGAGAGCCATGGCCCCCCTGTGTCGGTGCGTGACATCTTTTCCATTCTTCTAACTCCTTTCTATGACTGCCTGGGGCTCCCCCGAGTGAGGCTGGAGAGAACAGCTTTGCCTGCCTTGTCAGCTGCTCACTCTCTCCTGAGGCTTTGGGGCTGGCCCCGGTGGGGCTGGGACTCTGCAGTGCAGTGCTGTCCTCACAGAGGGAAGGGCTTGGGGGACGGTAGGGCATCGCAGCCTGCTGTGGGGCTTACAGTGCTGCATCTGTGTCTTTGCAAGGCAGTGAACCCCAGGTCCTCAGGATGGCCTCATCCAGGGCAGCCATGGAGAGAGAGGCCCCAGCCCCGCACAAGGGGCTTTGAGTCTGAGCCCTTGGGGACACATGAGTGTCCATTTCTACTCTTTGCAGGCAAGGCAGGGGTGGCCTCGGTGGATGACAGGAAGCAGCAGTTTGTCTTTAGGGCAGAGGCCATTGCAGTGAGGTCGGAGCCAGCCTGACACCCCGGAGCCAGCTCCAGAGACAAAACAGGCCCAGCTCAGTGATTCTGTAAAAAGCTGGAAGGCCGCAGGAACCAACTGCTCGGCACAGTCCAGATAGCCCAGCGTCAGGTGCCTTCCCGGTGCGGAGAGGCCTGGGGCGGGTTAATTAAAGTTAACTGAGTGAAAAAATAATTATAGAAACTGCAGAGGGGAGAAACCCAAACCTGCAATTTACCCTCCCTAGCCCTTGAGCTTTTCAGAACCATCTGGTCGTGGGGAGTCGTGGGCAGGGGAGCAGGGAGAGTGCCTCTTCCCATCTCTCATGCTCCATGGACTGGGTGTGGGGGCTTCTTTCCCCAGTGCCTGGGTCCGTGTTGGGGAGGAGTCACCCGGCTGAAGTATTGTCCCTGGGCAGGGAGATGTCCTTGGGCCGAGCAGCATATTTGACCTGGGGCTTAAACAGCCACCCAGCTGTGGCCTCAGAGGCTACTGGGAGCTGCCTACCTGGCCTCACCTCCCTCAGGCACTGACCTGTGCCAGGGTGGGGATGTTCCCTCCAGCGCTCTTGGGTGGAAAAAGGGTGATCCTCTCGGCCTAGCCAGCAAGGCCCGCTGGAAAGTAAGGGGACAGAGTGACTGACCTTCAAAGCGGGGTTGGGGGGTCCCTAGAGTGCCTGCCGCCTGTGGCTCTCTCCCCCTGTACTCTGCCCATGCCCTCTCTACACACCACTGCAGGAACTTATATTCTTCCTTTGGGCAAATGGCCTTGGGGTGCCCCCATCTCCATGCACAGCCTGGCCCTGTTGGCGTGACTGGCTGGTATGTGGGGGATGGGGAATTTCTCTCCCTGCCCTCTAGGAGGAAGCGGGGTAAGGGGTGAGTCACATGGGTATACTCTGGGTCTGCAGTGGCTGGAGCAGTTAGTGCCCACCCCCAGGAACACGAGGGGGTGTTAGTACCCAGCCTCTGCGCCTCTGAGCTTGGAGTCTGTTGGACACAGGTCTAGCTGCCCCACCTCCACTCCAGGCAAAGGGCCTCGAGCACAGGGACTCCAGTGGTCTGGCCAGAGCCTCAGCTCCCTCTGGTGTGACTGTCCAGAGGGACTGACATACGCCAACCCATCTGTCAGTCCATCAGTGAGGACAGCCCTGGCTGTCACAGGAGAGTCCGTCTGTGCTTGAATATCCTTTGAGCCTAGCAGGCTCCTTTTCAGAGCTGCCTGCTCTATGGAGACCTTGTCCCCAGTGCCCTACAGAGAGAAGCAGGGTGGAGGCACATCCAAGAGCTTCTCTGCCCACCGGGCCGGGTACCAGGGACAAGGACCCAGGTTCCCGCCAGTACCTAGGCCCCCGCCCTGGGAGCACGCATGCTTATTTGGAGGCCTGGACAGTGCAGGGGGTGGCTGCTGGTTACTGACTGGGGGCCTGGAGGTTCCCAACTGGGCTCCCCAAGGCAGGGCCAGAGGGTGTCTCATTCCATGATTTGTCCAGAGGTGCAGATACAGGAGACCCTGGTGGAAAGCTAGCATTCCAGCCACAGGTGGGAACAGGCTTCCCTCAGCCTCCTGGGTGTGAAAGGATGGAAAGGGCACCCCTGGGTAACTTGTAGAGGGCAGAGTCATCCGGGGATTGCACTTGGATTGCTGCAGTGAGCAGGGCCTACACCTGCCCGGGTGCCTCGCGCCTCGGTGATGACTATCCCTCCTCTGCCCCGTAGATCTCGGCCTGATGGACGCCTGGTGTGGACGATGAGGGAAGAACGTGCCCCCCACACCCAAGAGGTGACCCCTGAGCCAGCCCCGGATGACCCTGCGACCTGGAACAATGCGGCTGGCCTGCATGTTCTCTTCCATCCTGCTGTTCGGAGCTGCAGGCCTCCTCCTCTTCATCAGCCTGCAGGACCCTACGGAGCTCGCCCCCCAGCAGGTGCCAGGTGAGTCCTTGCGCTGAGTCCTGCCATCACTGCCCCCAGCTTTCCAGCCTGAAGCTCAGGCCTCCACAGCTGCCCTGGTGTGCTGGGCTTGGGGGAAAGGGGCAAGTCTGTGCCAAGACCCCCGGCAGGCAGAGTCCTGGCTTCCCGGGGAAGGCGTTAGTCTCAATGTGGGAGTGCTGTGTCTGATGCAAGACCTCCAGCCAGTGCCTAGCAGCAGGGTGGCCCCTTTTGGGAGTCATGGCAAGGCTGCTGTCTATTGAGCCAGTTGTTGCCCTTGATGAAACTCAGATTTAAACAGGATTCCACCACCTCTCAGGCCTCTTCCACATTGTCAGGGACATCAGAAAGTAGACAACTTCTCCCTGAGCCCATGCCCCACAAGCAAGACTCAGTTTCCCTGCCCAGCCCTGGGGAATCTAGCCTCTCTGGTCTGGACAAAGGGGGTCAGGGTACCTCCTGGTTTAGTGAGGCCAAGACCCCCTCCGAGGGTCCCCCACTGCTACTTCCATTCCACCCCTGCCTGGTAGCCCACTGGAGTCACAGAGGGCTGCTGGGAACAGGTGGGATGGCAGGGAGGCCAGAGCAGGAAGGGTGATTCTGGCATCTCAGGGCAGACGGAGTGTGGAGAGGGAGTTCAGGCAAGGTTTCTGCTGCCGGGACACGGTCCCCATCCCCAGAGATATGGAAGGACAGGAGGTCAGCTGGCAGGGTGCCAAGGCCTGGGAACTCTCTGCTTTGGAGGGAGAGGAGGGGAGGTGTCTCAGCAGTGGCCCCTGTTAGGGGCAGTTCCATGAAGCCACACACTCACAGTCCACATGCTCTAGGGCATGGACAAGCTGGTGCACCCCCAGAGACACCGCTCCTCTGCAGGGACACCCACTCACTCTCTCTTGCTTGCTCAGTGCTGTGATCCAGAGACAGGATGAAAGAGAAGGGGGCCAGAGGTGTAGGCAGAGGGGTTGCTGCGTAAATCCCTGCCGGAAGCCCAGAGCACAGGAAGGGGTCTTACTCTGCAACCGCTCCGCCCCCATTATGGACGAGCACCCATGATGTGTGGCCTTTAGTGCAGATTGAGGGCCTGTGGGCACCAGGAAGGAAGGTGAAAAGAGCACAAGGAGGCCAGAGCTGGGGCCCTGGGTCTGGCAGCTGCCAGAGGCTCCCCATGGGCAGGCGAATGAGTTGAGAGTCAGAGGGAGGCAGCCAAGGCGGTGGCCTCCAGGAGATGGTGGGCGAGTCATCGGTGCTGACTCACGCCTGTGCCGGGCCCCCACAGGTGGTGGCTGTCAGAAGTGGGTCTGGCCGCTCCCAGGCGTCTGGAGCAGCAGGTGCGCAGCAGAGCCGGCTCTCCTGTGGGAGCTTTGCAGCCTCACATGAGCCCCAGAACAGCTCATGACACTGCATTGGCAGAACAGGGCCCCTCGGGACAGCGCCACCAGGGCAGACAGCGAGCTGGTACCTAAGGTCATGTGTTATCTGCATAGAAGCACAGTCAGGAAGAAGGGCGAGCAAACGCTGACTGGGTGTGTCCTTGGTGTGTGCGTGGTTGGGGGTGCATGTAGGCAGAGGGTCCAGGCGGCCAGTACCCACATTCTGCAGGAGGAGCCTGGGAGAGGAGGCATGAGTGTGCCTGTGATGCCCACCTGGGACCAGGGCCTGGACCCATCGGTGGGACACTCCTGGATGGGACTGTGGTTTGGTGGCTTCAGCTAGTGCCCTGCCCTGCCGCAGCAAGAGTGCTCACTGCGCAGGTCCCTGTTGCCCTGCCCAGCTTCCCGAGTGCACATACGTGTGGATTACAGGTGGGCTGGGGACCCAGGGGACGGCTGGGATTTCTGGGAAGATCGGATCCTCAGGCTGGCAGGGGATGTCAGATGGCACGGAGCCGAGGCCATCATCCCTTTGCAGCTGGCAGACCTGGCAAGGAGCACACGTGGGTCTTCTGATGGTCCATGCAGCCAGACCACCCTCACCACGTGCCAGGTGATGGGCAGACTTGACGGTCTGGGTAAATCACACCAAACACAGTCATAAAACTTTAAGTAATGCTTACGTTACTTTCCCTGAGCAAAGTGCCTCTGACACAGGCTGTTTGTGTTGATTTGTTACTATTCATTTATTCCTTCCCTGTACTTCTCACGGCAGCCTAATTGTGATTCGGTACCAAGAAAGCAATATCAAAGTAATTTTCCACAACATTAGTTACATTTTCTTCTGATCTTTCAAGTGAAACAATCCCATCCTGTTGGCTTCTCTGAGCATATAAACCTTGATTACATTTATCTGTTGGAAACCAGTGCTTACAAAGTGTATGTGTCCAGTTGCATGGCTGGGTGGCCCCAAGGGCCCTTGACAATTCTCCCTGTGAATTTCTGTTGGTGGGAGGAACACATTCTGGGAGTTGCCCTGCCATCCTGATCAGGCAAACAGGCAGGTGTTGGGGTGGAGGGCTGGGAGTGGAGATGAGCGGATCTACGGAGGAAATTCCATACCATGGCATGAACTGTCCTGGGGACGGAGTTCTCTGGGAGCTGCAGTTTGTGGCACAACAAATGTAGAAAGGGGATGGGGAGTGGCGGGAATTCTGAGTTGCTTGAGGTCCCTTGGGGCCTGGCCTCATTCACGTCCCTCCCACGCAGCCACCGGATATTAACAGCACCTGAACTTTACATGGATCAGCCAGCCAAGCTCACCTGGCTCAGGCAGTAGATGGAATTGTAGGGGGTTGCCAGACTTTTGTAAATCAAACCACATTTTAAACATTTTTTTTTTACTACAGTCCAAATCAAATCTTTGGAAACAGGAAGAGCTACCCAGTAAGCTATCCGATGCGAAGATGAAGTTTTGTGTAACAGAGAATTCACTTCTCCAGTTATAATTCTTTTCCAGTCTCCAGGATTGCCAGGCCCTGAGGCCAGAGCTTCTGCTTTCAGGAAATTCACTTTTTGACCCAGTAGACAAGACTTACCTCTTCTCCAAGAGAAAGACTTGGAGACCAGGCCAGAACCAGGAATAACAAACACCAATGGCCAGGTGTGGTGGCACGTGCCTGTAATCTCAGTACTTTGGGAGGCCTGGGTGGGAGAATCACTTGAGCCTAGGAGTTCTAGACCAGCCTGGGCAACATAGCAAGACCCTGTCTCTACAAAAAAAAATAAATAAAATTAGCTGAGTGTAGCGGTACACACCTGTAGTCTCAGCAACTTAGGAAGCTGAGGTGGGAGGATCCTTTCAGCCCAGGAGGTCGAGACTGCAGTGAGCTGATTGTGCCACTGCGCTCCAGCCTGGGTGACAGGGCCGGACTTTGTCTCAAACAACAAAAAATTCCCAATGTACTGGCTCTGGGGGCTGCAGAAGGCTGACTCCACATTTGGTCGAGCAAACTGAATTTTACGAGCTGCTTTCTTTGTGAATGTTTTATCATAGCGAATTTGGAACACATGCAGTAGTGGAGTAGGATAGTGCCATGAACACCACATACCGGGCACCCAGCACCCCCCACCAACACCAGGCTGGCCCCATCCATAGCACCATCCACTTCCCTCCTTTCATGTGATTTTTGAAGTCTATACCAGACATCCTATCAATTCAGCTATAACTATTTCTTTTTTCTTTCTTTCTTTTTTTTTTTTTTTGAGATGGAGTTTCGTTCTTGTTGCCCAGGCTGGAGTGCAATGGTGCGATCTCAGCCCACCGCAAACTCCACCTCCTGAGTTCAAGCAATTCTCCGGCCTCAGCCTCTCGAGTAGCTGGGATTACAGGCATGCACCACCACCCCTGGCTAATTTTGTATTTTTAGTAGAGACAGGGTTTCTCCATGTCGGTCAGGCTGATCTCGAATCCCCAACCTCAGGTGATCTGCCCACCTCGGCCTCCCAAAGTGCTGGGATTACAGGTGAGAGCCACCGTGCCCAGCCTCAGCCATAAATATTTCAATATATTTCTCAGTTTAAAAGATAAGAACTGTTTTATTGACATCACCACTGAACTCATTCCTTAATAACATCAAATTTAATGATTCCTCAATAGCATCAAATAGTCAGTCAGTGTGCAAATGTCTGTCTCACAAATATAATTACCTTTATTTCCAATTTGTTCCATCCAATATCCAGAAAAGGCCCTCACATGGCAGTTGGTGGATGAGTCTTTTAAGTCTCCTTTAATCTGTAAGTTTCCTTCTCCATCTGTATTCTTCTCTCACTATTTATTTGAGGAAACCAGGTCACGGTTCCTATAGAACTTTCTGTAAATTGAGATTTGGCTGATTGGGCCTGTCTGATAAGGATTCACGTTGTTCTCTGTTCTTTGTTGTCCCAATAAATTAGGTGAATCTTGAAGCTTGATCAGATACAGGTTTGGATTGGTTTTTGTTTTCTTCTAGGGGAGTTTTGGGGGACAGGAATTCATGGGTGGTTCTGTATTATTCCATCAGGAGGCTCCTGTCTGCCTGGCTGTCTTATGTTATCAGCCGCCAGAGATCGTGCCTAGATCCAGCCATTCATTAGGGGTTACACAGTGGCAATGTTCTGATTTTATCACTCCTTCTTCATTCTTTTAAGTGGAATGGATTTTGTTTTAATGGGGCAAGGTGAGTCATTGTCAGTGACCCATGAAGCCAAAGTGAGTGGTGTGGATTGATTGGTTTATTCATAGATATGTATATAAAACTACAATGTTACCATACAGATTCTGTTGTAGTTTATTCATATATATATATATATATATATATATATATATATATAAATGCAATGTTACCATACAGATTCTATTGTAGTTTATTCATATATATATATATATATATATATATATATATATATATATATATATATATAATGTTACCATACAGATTCTCTTGCTGGCACACTGTAAATAGTTCGTTCTTTTAATGTTTGGCTTTTGCAGAGTGAGTTTTCTTTAAGTGGGGCTACCCCATGTTTCAGAGCCCTTTGCCTTTTCCTGGAGTCAAGGAGTTGTGGGTGGTGGTTCTAGGGTGCCCAGTGGGGAGGCAGCTGTGGTGGACAGCAAAGATCCCCCTCAGGGACCCCTGGCACAGACAATGGGATTGGACAGCCCCCGATGACTCCTAGGTCTGTGGCCTGTCTTGGGGCACTCCTGCAGGGCATGGGGAAATTTAACGATGAAGATAATAATGAATATTGACTGAACATTTACCATGGGCCAGGCCTCGTATTGAGAACTTTACTTTTTTGAGACAGAGTCTCGCTCTGTAGCCCAGGCTGGAGTGCAGTGGCATGATCTTGGCTCACTGCAACTTCCGCCTCCCAGGTTCAAGCGATTCTCATGTCTCAACCTCCCAAGTAGCTGGGATTACAGCTGTCCACCACCACACCTAGCTAATTTTTATCTTTTTAGTAGAGACGGGGTTTTACCATGTTGGCCGGGCTGGTCTCGAACTCCTGAGCTTCAGGCGATCTACCTGCCTTGGCCTCCCAAAGTGTTGGGATTACAGGCGTAAGCCACCACGCCTAGCTTTACATGTTCTAATGCATATAATTTCCCTTCCCTTCCCTCCCTTCCCCTCCCCTCCCCTCCCTTCCCCTTCTGTTCCCTTCCCTTCCCTTCTTGAGGCAGGGTCTTGCTCTGTGGCCCGGGCTGGTGTATAGTCTTGCCATGAAAGCTCACTGCAGCTTTGACCTC
Organism: Homo sapiens; assembly: GCF_000001405.40. Lineage (NCBI taxonomy): Eukaryota > Metazoa > Chordata > Mammalia > Primates > Hominidae > Homo > Homo sapiens. The sequence continues at coordinate 33,695,047 of NC_000019.10, forward strand.
CTGGGCTCGAGTGATCCTCCTACCTGAGCCGCTGAGACCACAGGCAGACGCCACTACACCCAGCTATTTATTTTATTTTTTATACAGACAGGATCTTACCATGTTGCCCAGACTGGTCTTAAACTCCTGGGCTCAAGTGATCTCCCGCCTCAGCCTCCCAAAGTGCTGAGATTACAGGTGTGAGCCACCACAACTGGCTAGGTATGATTCTTACAAATAAACGATGTCTAGTTTGAGACAATGTGCCAGCACTCACTGGGGCAGACACAGAAGTAGCAACAATACTGATACTAGCTAATGCTCTCAGGCCCTCGAGATGAGCCAGGCACAATCACAAGCACTTTTCATATATTTAATACTCATTTACTACTTTTAAAATTTCAATAGTTTTGGGGGTATAGGTGGTTTTTGGTTACGTGGGTAAGTTCTTTAGTGGTAAATTAGGAGATTTTAGGGCACCCATTCGTCACCCAAGCAGTGTACACCATACCCAATATGTAATCTTTTGTCCCTCACCCCCCATCCCAGCCTTGTCCCCTGAGTCCCATAGTCTATTGTATCACTTTATGCCTTTAGGTCCCCACAGCTTAGCTCCCACTTATAAGTGAGAACATGCGGTATTTGGTTTTCCATTCCTGAGTTACTTCACTTAGAATAATGCCCTCCCCATCTATCCAACTTGCTACAAAAGACATTATTTTGTTCCTTTTTATGGCTGAGTAGTATTCCATGGTGTATATATACCACATTTTCTTTTTCTTTCTTTCTTTCTTTCTTTTTTTTTTTTTTTTTTTTTGAGACAGAGTTTTGCTTTTGTCTCCCAGGCTGGAGTACGGTGGTGTAATCTCAGCTCACTGCAACCTCCACCTCCTGGGTTGGAGCGATTCTCCTGCCTTAGCTTCCTTAGTAGCTGGGATTACAGGTGCCCACCACCACACCTGGCTAATTTGTGTATTTTTGGTAGAGACAGTGTTTCACCATGTTGGCCAGGCTGGTCTCAGATTCCTAACCTCAGGTGATCCCCCCACCTCAGCCTCCCAAAGTGCTGGGATTGCAGGCGTGAGCCACCGCACCCGGTCACCACATTTTCTTTATCTGCTCATTGGTTGATGGGCACTTAGGTTGGTTCCGTATCTTTGCAGTTGTGAATTGTGCTGCAATAAGTATGCATGAGCATGTGTCTTTTTCATATGATGAGTTTTCCTCTGAGTAGATACCCAGGAGTGGGATTCCTGGATTGAATGGTAGTTCTACTTTTGGTTTTTTAAGGCAGGGGTCTCCAACCCCTGCGTTAGGACCCAGGCCGCACAGTAAGAGGTGAGTGGTGCGCGAGCTATCAAAGCTGAGCTCGGCCTACTGTCAGATCGGTGGCCACATTAGAGTCCAGAAGAGCTCGAACCCTCTTGTGAACTGCATATACAAGGGATCTAGGTTGTGCGCTCCTTATGAGAATCTAATACCTGATGATCTGTCACTGGATATATTACATGTAATAATATATCCATGTATATACATTATATATTACAATGTAATAGTAATAGAAATAAAGTGCACAATAAATGTAACGTGCTTGAACCACCTCGAAACCACCACCTCCCCACCCCCATCTCCCTTCCCCAGACCGTGGAAAAATTGTCTTCCACGAAACTGGTTCCTGGTGCCAAAAATGTTGGGGACCGCTGCTTTAAGGAATCTCCACACTGTTTCCCATAGTGGTTGTACTAATTTACATTCCCACCAGCAGTGAAAAGCGTTCCCTTTTCACCACATCCATGCCAACATTATTGTTTTTTAAGTTTTTTTTTTTTTTTGAGACGGAGTTTTGCTCTCGTTGCCCAGGCTAGAGTCCAATGGTACAATCTTGGCTCACCACAACCTCTGCCTCCCGGGTTCAAGCGATTCTCCTGCCTCAGCCTCCCAAGTAGCTGGGATTACATGTTCTAATGCCACCATGCCTGGCTAAATTTTTTGTATTTTTAGTAGAGATGGGGTTTCATTATTTTGGCCAGGCTGGTCTCAAACTCCTGACCTTGTGATCCACCTGCCTCAGCCTCCCAAAGTGCTGGGATTACAGGCGGGAACCACCTTGCCCAGCCTGTGAGCCTTTTGAGAAATGTCTATTCATGTCCTGTGCCCACTTTTTGATGGGATTATTTGTTTTTCTCTTCATTTAATGCTTTATTTTTATTTATTTATTTTTTGAGATAGAGTCTCACTCTGTCACCCAGGCTACAGTGCAGTGGTGTGATCTCAGGTCACTGCAGCCTTGACTTCCTGGGCTCCAGTGATCCTCCCATCTCAGCCTCCTGAGTAGCTGGGACCACAGGCACCCCCCTCTTCACACCCGTCTAACTTTTGTATTTTTGGTAGAGACGGGGTTTCGCCATGTTGCCCAGGCTGGTCTCGAACTCCTGGCCTCAAGTGATCCACCTGCCTCGTGCTCCCAAAGTGCTGAGATTATAGTCTGAGCCACTGTGCCCGGCCTCATGTAATACTTTAAAACCCCTATGAGTGAATTATTATTACACCATTTGAAAAATGAGACTATTGAGGTAAGAGAGGCTAAGAACCGTACCCAAGGCCACGCAGCTTCTGGGCTTCAGAGCTAGGATGTGGCCTGGGCGGCTGCCTGTGGTTCACTGTACCACACTGTCTGCCCAGCACTTGGGGTACCCAGTATTGTTGTGTTCCGGACCTGGAGCAGAGCCTGGGCAGAGAGAACAGTGTGGATAAAGGATTGGAGTCCTGAGAGAATGCGGCACGTGGAGAACTTTAAGTGATTTAGGGGCTGCAGCATGACCTGTGGATCTAGACTCCTGGCTGAAGACACAGCCGGCCCTGGGCCCAGCAGGCCCTTGCAGTGTGGTAGAGGATCCAGCCTTGGCCTCTGGCAACAAGGAGCTCTGGGGACCCCGGAGTAGGGAGTGGTGCATCAGAAAGCTCATTCTGGGCTGGGCGCAGTGGCTCATGCCTGTAATTCCAACACTTTGGGAGGCTGAGGCGGTGGATCACCTGAGGTCAGGAGTTAGAGACCAGCCTGGGCAACATGGCAAAACCCCGCCTCTACTAAAAATACAAAAATAAGCCGGGCGTGATGGCATGGGCCTGTAGTCCCAGCTACTTGGGAGACTGAGGCAGGAGAATTGCTTGAACTCAGAAGGCAGAGGTTGTAGTTCTTTTAAAAGAACTACAATCCTTTATCCAGTGAGCTGAGATCGCGCCAACTACAATCCTTTATCCAGTGAGCTGAGATCACGGCAACTACAATCCTTTATCCAGTGAGCTGAGATCGTGCCACTGCACTTCAGCCTGGGCGACAAAGCGAGACTCCATCTCAAAAAGAAAAAAAAAAAAAAGAAAGAAAGAAAGAAAGAAAGAAAGCTCATTCTGGTGGCTGCCTGTTGTGTGGCCGTGGGCAGAGAGCAGACAGGGAGAGGCAACAAATGCAAGGAGATTGGGGGCAGCCAAGGATATCGCATGCAGTGTTGGAGACCTTTCAAATGAGAGGACAAGGAGGTGAGGAGGGCGGGGAGGGCAGTGGTCTTGGTTCAGGGGGACTTGGGTTTCTGGCTCTAGAGGAGGGAGGTTGGGGGTGCCATTCACTGGGGCAGATGTGCCAGATGGGGAGAGGTCGGGGCAATGGGGCAAGAGATCACAGGTTCCATTTGGGGCTTATGGTGTCTGAGATGCTTGGCAGGGTGTGTGGAGTCTCCCTGTAGCTCCTCCACCGAGGGGTGTCCAGCCCCACAGAATGAAGGACCAGGCAAGACAGGCAGGAAGCCCCCACCATGCCCTCGCCCCTCTGCACCTGCGTTTCCACTCACAGGTCGACACACTCACTCCTTTACCCTCATACACCCCAGGCCTGGACGCTGGCACCATGCAGGGTGGGGAGGGCTATGGGAGAGCCTTGCCCTGGGAGAGGGGCTGGCAGCTCTGGACTTACATCTACTCCACATTTCCAGGCCAGGAAACCAGTATCCTGGAAGCTGTCCCTGCTCCCCGTTGGGCTGGATGCCAGCATGGAGATTCATGCTTTTCAGCCCAAACCTCACATTGTCCTGGGATGGGACCTCCATGCCTGGGTCCCTGGGCTTGCCAGCCACAGGGAGAGATCTGTACATGCCCATCTGTGTGAAGGCCCTGCAAGCCCAGCCGCTTAGCTGTACCGAGGCAGGGGAGGGGTGCACAGGGAGATGGAGACACGGGAGGAGGAAGCTCGGGCTCTGCTCTCGGGAGCTCACAATCTGTGGGGGTCAAGGAAGGAGGTTATCCAGGCCCTTCCTTACAGGGTTCCCAATCTGGGGGCAGTGGAGGGGAGACCTGGCCCTGGCTCAGCGGCGCCTGGGGGACACTTAAGGCAGGTTGTAAACCTTTCTTGAGAGGTGAGTGCTGAAGGAGCCAGGAGGACTTCCTGGAAGAGGGGAACTGTGGGCTGCTTGTTTGTCCTCTCTAGTGAACAGGAGGTGCTGACCTCCAATGGAAGCAGTGAAGCGGGCTTGGGTGAGATTCCAGTGGAGCCAGGGGTCTCCCTCCGCAGCACGTGCTGCTATGCGTCATGCCTAATATCTCACAGCTAGAAATGAATAGAGCCAGAAGTCCAATGCCCGCGGGTCTGCCTGATGCCGGGGCTCTTGTTTTGATGTCCTGGAGGCAGCGCTGTGTTGATTGGAGAAAGTGTGGCCTTCACTCTGCGTCCCAGGGTTACCAGGGACACACTGCCCTGCCTGTGCCTGTTCGGAGGACCAAACTGCAATGTCAGAAGGTCTGTCCAGCTCCTACAGTGACTGTCATGTTCTGAGTGTGTCCCCCTGGAGCTCTGAGACAAATGCCAGGACAAATGTCGTGGGTGGGCCAGGACCACAGGAGCGCCTGCTAAGAAGCTCTCAACAGCTCACCCAAAGGAGGGTGATAGAGGCAACAGAAGTGCAGCGGCCACCCCTACCTGCTCTCTCTGAGCAGCTGGGCCAGGTTGGCTGCAGGGGAAATATGTCTACTGGCCCTCTCAGAGAGAGTCCGGTCCTCGCGCAGCTGGGCGTCTAAGCCCAGACTCCTTCCTGGGCTGGTACCTGCCCCTCCAGTTTCCATGGAGCCGGCTGCTTTCCCCGGGCAGGTGGGTTTTATTGGAACCCTCTTGCGTCTGTTTCCTGAAACCATTTTCTAACGGCATTGCGGAACATCATATATATTTCCTACAAACCTTGGGAGGCTGACACATCCTTGTTGTGACTGTGAACATCAGAAGTGACATGTAATTGCAGTGATCCATCCTGTTAAGTAGCTGGCAATACATTATCTCAAAATCAGCAGGGCTGGAACTCTCAGAACCCAGTGTTTCTAAACAATGCACCTGCAGCTTCAAACTCTCTTCCTGAACAGCGCCCAAGGCTGGCAAGGGCCACCTCGCCCTCCCATGCCTCACTTTTCCTGGGCCACAGCAGAGACAATTTCACTCCAGGGAAAGCCACCTACTGGGTTTTCAGTACTCCTGGAGTGCCTTCTCCTTGTCACCTAATGCACCAGGCTCTCCGCTCAGGGCTGTGGGTGGGGTCCTTGTCACAGTGTTTCTTCCAAGCGTGGCTCTGGAAGTCCTGCCCTCCTTTTTTCTCATAAACTCCAGAATGTCTTCGTGGGGGTTCCTCCTAGGCCAGGCCAGCCATCATTATGCACAATTGGAGGTGGGGAGGGGCAGAGAGGGTGGCCAGAGCCCAGGGGCACAGAAAGCCAAGCCCCAGTTGCTACTTTGCACCCAGCAGGGACACACCCACACTGTGCTTTATGCTAATTCTGGGGTATGGTTCACATAGATTGCAGTGTGAAGGGTGTCCCCTGGAGTTGTGCAAAGACCAGTACTGATGGAGGGATGGACATGGAGTGCTCCTTGCGTGGTGATTGCCCAAGTGCCAGAAATAGGCAGGGTCGGAACATGGAACCTTCAGGTCTGGATACCCCGAGCCTAGTGGGTTTGATGCGTCTGGGCGGTGCTAGCTTTGGGACCATCATTGAATTCTGCTGTTTGAGGGTGGGGGTCATGAAGGACCTTCACTGCCACACTCCCTGGGAGGCCCTGATTTGGAGGGGGAGCCCACTGTGGACCCTGTCTCTGCAGTGAAAGTTTCTCAGTTCAAGCCTCTCTCACCTGAGCCCAGGCCGTTCCCCTTAGCAGTGCCATCCTGTGTCTTCCCAGTCTTCTACGTGGCCACGATTTCCTGGGTTCCTCCACCCCCTGCAATTGGAGTGAATATTCGCCTCTTCCTGCAGAAGACACCCTGGGGGTCTCTAGCCAGAGCCTCACTTTCCTTTGGTACATTAAAATATGCTAAATGAAAAATAATGAGCATGTAGGAAGTAATAACAGGAATCACCTAATTAAATTAGGAAACAGACATCACATCGCTGTAATCTGAAAATTGATATTAATAGAAACGGTCCCAGAATTGTTATGCTAAAAGTTCCTAGGGGCGGGGAAATTAAAAAGGAGAGCAGAATAGAAAATTGGGACAATCATGTCCAATAAGAGTGAGACTTATGTTTTAAAAGGAACTACAGTAACATGCTAAAAATAGAAGAGGAGATCTAATGAAGTCATGGACAAAAGTGGCTTTGAAAACCGCAGAGCTCCAACGCACGTGTATGATGGTAATTTATAAAATGAGACAATGTAATCAAGCTTCAATGTGCATGAAATGTAGTCAGGGTTATTGTTTATTGGGTGCCTGGCACGTGGTACTCATTCTATTTTCCCTCGCCCTCCTCGGCAGGCGTCTTTATCCTCAACTGAAACTTAGGGAGATTCATTCATTTACCCAAAGTCCTGAAGCCTGCGTGGCTCAGCCAGGATTTGACCCCAGATCTGCCTGATTCCAAAGCCTGTGCTCCCCCTTCTCTGTCCTTCTTTCCTTTTGCTATTAGTTAATGTCATGGTCTATATGTTTGTTTGTTTGTTTGTTTTTGTTTTTTGAGATGGAATCTCGCTGTGTCACCCAGGCTGGATCTCAGCTCACTGCAACTTCCGCCTCCCAAGTTCAAGCGATTCTCCTGTCTCAGCCTCCCGAGTAGGTGGGATTACAGGCATGCACCACCACTCCCAGTTTATTTTGTATTTTTAGTAAAGACGGAGTTTCACCATGTTGGCCAGGCTGGTCTCAAACTCCTGACCTCGGTGATCCACCACAGGAATCCACCTGCCTTGGCATCCCAAAGTGCTGGGATTATAGGCGTGAGCCACCACACCCGGCCTATGTTTTGTTTTAAGGTAAGGGGTCTTGCTCTGTCACCCAGGCTGCAGTGCAGTGGCATGATCATAGCTCTCTGCCACCTCAAACTCCTCGATATTTCTTTTCTTTTCTGATGTTATTCTACCATTTTTCTCAAAGGACATTTCTTGCCAACACCCAGCAGATTGTGGCAACTGTCAGCTCCCCAAACCGAAGCCCCAAGGCTCTTCCATTGGTTGAATTAATAAAACCTACAACAAAGACACCTTCTGAAATTTCAGTCCAACTGGAAAACTGGGTCTCCCATTATGTGGGGGCCTGGGCAGGGTCCAGGAGGGGCAGGCGGTTCCGATGCTTGTCCTGCGTCCCCAGGTAGCCCCAGTGTTGGGTTGCGTCTCCACAGTGGCCAATTGTTCCCCAGAGGACCCCCGAGGGGGATGAATCTGGCTCTGTTCACCTGCCGTGTGAGTCACAGCCCAGAGGGCCCAGAGCAGGTCTCAGGTGTGGAGTGACCCCGTTCCCACTCTGCCTGGCCCAGAATGCATTGGAGGGACCGGGGGAGGAGGAAGCGGAGGTCACAATCTGTGCATGAGATGCCTCAGGATTACCTCGGGTCTGGAGTGCTGGGACTGCTCCGAGGGCCAGGCATTGAGCCCAAGGAGGACTGAAGGCTGGGGGCTGGGGAGGGATGCCACATGGCTGGACTTCTTTTCCCTCCTCCTGTGCCTACACCTCCCCCACCTCTGTTCCCATTCACTGCCTGAGCATCTTCAGTGAGAGTCACCTGGCATCAGAGCCAAGCCTCCCGCACAGCCCAGGGCAGCTGCCGTGGAGAGGTGGAGGGCAGGGGAGACTCCACTCCCCAAGTGGCACCAGGCTCCAAAGAGGCCCGAGGTAGGGGGCCCTTTGCCCGGCTCTGTCCCCTTCCCCCAGCCTCACTTGGCCTGGAGTCTCAGGGCCAAGGGGGAGGGCCTGGAGACATCCAGTGGGTTGAAACGGGGCACACCCACTGCCAGCATGAAGAAGGGCCCGGTGGGGTCCCACCGTGTGCCAACCCTCCTGATGTCCTCGAGCCCCTGTTCCTAACACAGGCAGCAGGGAAGTGGTGAGGAGTCCACCCACGCTCCAAGGACAGGGCTGTTGCTACGATTGCTGTCCTTCTCCATGGCCACTGCGTAGGTCTTGGTTTTTTAAAACTCTGAAAAAGTTACGGTGGTAGTTATGACAACAGAAGCCTGGAGGTCCAGTTCTGGAGGCCAAATGCGTGGGTCGGTAGGGGCGGGCGCGGGCCCACACACCCTGGGGCTAGACGCACCTTCTGCTGGGCTCCAACTGCCTGCCGGTGGGGTTATCCCGCTCTTGCATTGAGGTTGACACCATTTGTGGTGCCTTTAGGGTCACTGCAGATCCCCCTCTCCTTCTCACAATATTTGCAGAAGTTGGGAGCCTCTGGGCGGATCTCATTTAAGCCAAAAAAGCTTCACCATTATATGCCTGCTGATGTTTTCATTATGAAGCTTATTTTCCAGGATTTGTGGCTCTGCAGTTTTGACTTGAATCATAGTGGAAGTCAGTGGAAGATTCGCTCATTTTGAAATTTTATTTTATGTGGGGAAAATAGCTGAGCTTAAATCGGTTCAGTTGTGCCCTCTGACAGCTGCCACTGGGGAGTCCCTGCACAGCGCAGGCTCCTAGTGGGGGGTGGAGGAGCTCCTGGGGGCTTCTCATGTTCGCGTCTGGGGTCCCAGAGGGAAGTCGGGGGCTGCCTGTCATCTTGCCCTCAGGCCTGGATGAGGCATTTTTCAGCCCTCCCCAAAAGGCCTGAAGACTTCTGAGAGGGTGGGCTGGCCCCATCCTAGCTCCCCACCAAGCTCTGTGCCTGGTCTTGGTTTTCCACCAGGGCGGGACTGCAGGGATGATGATCCGTGAGCCCCTCACTACATCTGGTTGTGTCCAAAGGTGCTTCACCATGGGAAGGCTGCTCCTGGCATTCCTCAAGTCCTGGATGGAGTCCCAAGACCCCATCCCACCTCCTCCAAAGGCTACAGCCATTTATGAGTGCATTTGACCTTTGCCCTCAGGGTCTGGGTCTGCATTGGAGGGAGGGGAATGAGGAGATGTCCATGGGAACTGTGCAGGGTCACTGGGATCCATCAGACAGTAGGCCTGACAGAGCCACAGGGAGCGGGAGACCACAGGATGGGGGAAAGGGGATGGGGTGAGGGGGAAGTGGACAGACAGGCCCCAGGGCCAGGGGCCACCGATGCTCCACTCCAGCCCAGAGCTCTGTGCAGGAGTGTAAGTCCAGGGTGGCCAGGTCATCCTTTTTGTTTTTGTTTTGTTTTTTATAAAAGCTAAGAATCTGGCCAGGTGCAGTGGCTCACACCTGTAATCCCAGCACTTTGGGAGGCCGAAGCAGGCGGATCACTTGAGGTCAGGAGTTCGAGACTAGCCTGGCCAACGTGGTGAAACCCCATCTCTACTAAAATTACAAAATTTAGCCGGAGTTGGTGGCAGGCACCTATAATCCCAGGTATTTAGGAGGCCGAGGCAGGAGAATAGCTTGAACCCAGGAGGTGGAAGTTGCAGTGAGCTGAAATCACGCACTACATTCCAGCTTGGGCGACAGAGTGAGATGCTGTCTTAAAAAAAAAAAAAAAAAGCTAAGAATCGGTAACATACATTTATGTGGATTCTCCTGATTTTAAAGGGGCAGCTCTAATTTGGAATGTGTTTTTTAACGTTAGATAATAGGTGATGTTTGGCACCTACTGTTGGTTGGATGGGCTGGGAGGACTAGATCTTTCCAATACCCTAAACCCCCGTAGGGCTGAGACCTGCCCCCTAGGCCCTATTTGGCTCCATGCCTGCTCTCCCTATACCCCCTGGGAGGACACAGAGGAGGTGGGTCTCCTGGTGGGAAGGGGATGCTAAGAATTACTTCCAGCCCCATAGGACCCCCATGAAGCCAGACCCCAAGCGGTCCATGAGCAGAGCATCTCCTGGGCTCCGCTGACCAACAGTGGCTGCACAGAGCCCCTCAGTGGCATTGTTTGGTTCAGCAGCCGGGAGCCCTGCCAGATACCTGTTCACTGTTCAGGTCAGGCAGGGGACCTGAGGGGTCGGGGAGGTGACTGGTCAGCAGAGATACAGGGAAGGCAAGGGCCAGAGAGTGGGGTTCTGGGGAGCGCACCTAATTAAAACCTCCTTCATTTACGCACAGTTACTCACATGCAAATATTTGCACCCACTGACAAGCTTCTGTTGCTGTAGCAAAGGAAGAATCAATTCAAGCAAAGCTTTCCTGCGAGTGGGCACTCTCTCCAGTATCTACCTGGAGATGCGGGTGTGGGTGCCCGTGGGTGTAAATGGAGGAGGATTTCTGACTTGGCAGCCTGCTTCCCACAGTGATGGGGTGTGGCAGGCATGGCCACCCTGGCTCCCTTTCTGCCCCCCTAGGGCACCATGGCAGCCACACTCAGCAAGGGTCCCTTTGGAGAGGGGCCTGGCCTGGCCCAGCAAGGGACTCTGCAGATTCGCCTTCCCTGCTGCCTCTGTGTCACAGCGATGTCCCCAGTACTAGGAGAGGGACCCAAGAGTCCTGAGAGCATTCAAGGAGGTGGCATCCAGGGGTGTGGTATGGGCAATGATGATGGTGTGAGCACTCAGTGCCTACTGTGTACCAGGCACTGTGTTTTACATGCTTTACCAATATCCTCATGCCAGAGCCTCGCTGTACCCGTCTCTATTTTATAGATGAAAAAACTGAAGCACAGAGAGGCAAAGTCACTTGCCCAAGGTCACACAGCCAGGAAGTATCAGTGCTTGAACTAAAACCCGGTTCCTCAGATCCCAAAAGTCTGAAGTCTTCTTGGTGACCGGACAACCACTCAGGGCTGGGAGCAAGCACCACACTATGAGATGCATGGCATTGGAGGGCCAGCCTGGGTTAGAGGTTGGGGAGCTGCACGGCACTGCCCTTCAGACTGTCAGGGCGTGCTTCATTCCTGCTCACAGCAGACATGTTCTGGTTCTTGTGCACACGTGTGTGTGTCCTGATGAAGAGTCAGGTGCCCATGTGTGTGCATGTGTGTGTGCATCTGGCCCTCACCCATAATCCTAGCTGTGTACAAGTATGTGTGCTCACCTCAGTATTACTATACACCCATGGGTGGACAGATGCCTTACGGTTCATGTGGAAAGCACTTCACCCTGAAGTCTGGGCTGGCTGCTGTGAGCGTACCCTGACAATGTCACCTGCCAGGTCATGGGGCAGGCAGGGGCAAATGACTTGGGCCCCACAGAGTGAGTTGTCTGTCGGTTGTCAGCCACAGGATTGGGTGACAAATTGCCATTCCAGCAGGCACTCAGCAAAGCCAATTATTGTAACCCCTTGCCCACGACCCGCACAGACCAAATAATGAAATTACATTCATAATATTTCAGGTCAAGTGATCGCTGCTTGAATTAGTTCCTTCCCAGAACCCAGCCAGAAGTAGCGGCAGTAATTAAAGGATTTTCTGGGCTTAAATCAACTGTGCGCGTCAAGCGTGTACAACACACAGAGCTTGCAAAATGTGTGCAGGCCTCGTCCCTTCACTGGGGAGTGAAAAGGACAGGCCATGATTGTGGGAGGACCACAGGCCGGGAGGAGGTGTGTTATTCCTGCCAGGGAAATTTTCCACTTTCACTCACTTATTTTAGAGACGTTTACTGAAAGATCCCTGCTCCAATGGGGCCTCACAGTGAGTAAGGTGATGGGGACTTTCTGGGGTCCACCCTGACTCCTCCCAAGCAGGTATTTTAGCAGTGTTGCAGGGGTAGGGTGCTGTGTTTCCCAGACTAAAGTGCAGGTCAGAGTTCACTGCAGCTTTAAACTCCTGGGCTCAAGCGATCCTCCCACCTCAGCCTCCCCAGTAGCTGGGACCACAGGCACATGCCACTGTGCCCGGCTAACTTTCCAATTTTTCTGTAGAGACAGGGTCTTGCTGTGTTGCCCAGGCTAGTCTTGAACTCCTTGCCTCAAGTGATTCTCCTGCCTTGGCCTGCCAAAGTGCTGGGATTACACGCATGAGCCACCTAGCCTGACCTAATTTTAGGATAATTCCATTGCCCCCGCCACTAAATCTTTTGTGCCCACTTCAATCACTCCCCATTTTCACCCTCAGCCCCAGGCAACTACAAATCTCCTTTTTATCACTATAGCGCTACCCTTTCTAAACATTTCATATCAATGTAATCATACACTGTGTGGTCTATCATATCTGGTTTCTTTCACTCTGCATGATGGTTTTGAGAGTCATATTTTTTGATATTTACTCATATCAGTTTGTTTCTTTTTATTGTCAAATAATATTATTCTATTACATGGAATTGCGGTTGATCTGTTCACCAGCTGCTGGATACGGGATTGTTGATACTTTTGGCCATTAGGACTAATGCTGCTATGAACATTCATGTGAAAGTTTTTATGCAAACCTATGTTTTCATTTTTCTTGGGTAAATATTTAGGAGTAGAATGGCTAGGTTGTAATAGTAAATTTACGTTAAATTTAAGGGATACTGACAAACTGTTGGCTAAAATTGCTGTACCATTTTACATTCTCACCAGCAGGGTATGAAGGTTCCAATTGCTCCACATTCTCATCAAGACTTGTTATTATCTGTCTTTTTAATTATAGCTATTCTAGTGGGTGTGAAGTGGTGTCTCATTGTGGTTTTAATTTGCATCTCTCTAATGAGTACTATTAAGCATATTTTCATGTGCTTATTAGCCATTTGGATATATTCTTTAGTGAAATATCTATTCAAGGCTTGGCCCATTTTAAAAATTGGTTTATTTATCTTTTTATTGTGTTGTAATTATTTTCTAGATATAAGTATTATTTGACTTGCAAATAACTTATCCCATCTGTGGCTTGTCTTTTCATTTTCTTAATAGTGTCTTCTGGAGTGGAAAAGTTTCTAAATTTGAAAAAGTGCAATTCAACATGTTTTTCGTTGATGGATTATGCTTTTTGTGTTGCGTCTAAGAAATTTTTTCCTAATCTTAGCCATAAAGATTTTCTCTTATGTTTTCTTCTAAGTTTTTAAGTTTTGGCTGTTACATCTGTGTCTGCGGTCCATTTTGAGCCACGTTTTGTGTATTGTGTGAGGTCTGACTTCTTCTCTTTGCATGTGAATATCCAGTTATCCCAGTTCCCAGCACGTGCTGAAGACTATCTGTTCCCTATCGAATTGCCTTCGCACCTTGGTCAAAAATAAATTGACCATAAATTTAAGAGTTTATTTCTGGAATCTCAATTTATTTCATTGATCTGTATGTCTATTCTTTTGCCAATAGTGCAGTGTCTTGATTAGTATAGATTTATAAAAAGTTGTGAAATCAGGAAGTGTAAATCCTTCAGCTTTGTTCTTTTTCAAAACCATTTTGGGTATTCTGAGTCTTTTGCATTTCCATGTAAATTTTAGGATCAGCTCATCAATTTCTGCCAAAAAGAACAACACCTGCTGTGACTTGATAGGAATGGCATTGACTGTAATAATAAACTTGAGAGAATTGTCTTCTTAACAATATTGAATCTTACAATCCATGAACGTGGAATGTCTCTCCACTTGTTTAAATCATCTTTAATTCTTCTTACCATTATATTGTAGCTTTCAGTATACAAGTCTTATCTTTCTTTAGTTAAATTTATTCCTAAGTATTTTACTCTTTTTGATGCTACAGTGAATGGAATTGTTTTTCTAATTTAATTTTGGGATCATTCATTGCTAATATATAGAAATACAATTGATTTTTGTATATTTATCTTGGAACCTGTAATTTGTTAGTTAATTCTAATTGTTTATGTAAATTCCCTAAGATTTTCTACATACAGAATTATGCTCTCTGCAAATAATGAGATGTTTACATCGTCATTTCCAGCTCGAATGCCTTTTATTTCTTTTTCCTGCCTGATTCAACTGACTAGAACCTCTAGTATGGTAGGAAATTGAAGTGGTGAGAGTAGACATTCATGCTTTATTCCGGATCTTAGGGGAAAAACATTCCATCTTTCACCAATAAGTATAATGGTTGCTCTAGGATTTTTGCAAATGACTTTTATGACCTTCAGGAAATTGTCTTCTATTACTAGTTTATTAGAAAAAAAAATTTAACCATGAATAGGTGTTGGATTTTGTCAAATACTTGTTCTACATCTATTGAGATGTTTATGTTGTTTCATCCTTTATTCTGTCAAAACGGTGTATTATATTGATACATTAGCCTCACATTCTTGTGATAAATCTCACTTGGTCATGGTGTATAATCCTTTTTATATGTTACTGAATTAAGTTTGCTCAAATTTTGTTGTGGATTTTTTTTTTTTGAGGGATAGTTGTAGTTTTCTTGTGATGTCTTTATCTGGCTTTGCTATCAGATTAATACAGGATTTAAAATGAATTGGGAAGTATTTTTACCTCCTCCTACCCTATTTCTCTGGAATAGTTTAGGGAGGATTGGCATTATTTCTTTTTAAATGTTTATTAGAATTTATCAGTGAAGATATCTGAGACTAGACTTTTCTTTGTGAGACATTACTTTTTTTAAAGATGGAGTTTTGCTATTGTTGCCCAGGCTGGCCTCTAACTCCTAGGCTCAAGAGAACCTCCTGCCTCAGCCTCCTAAGTAGCTGGGACTACAGGTTCATGCCACTACACCTGGCTCCAGACTTTAAAATTTTAAATTTCTAGCTCAATGTCTTCACCATAGTTCTATTCAGGTTTTCTATTTCTTCTTGAGTCAGCTCTAGTAATTTATGTCTTTCTAGGGCTTTGTTCATGTCTTTCTAGGGCTTTGTTCATTTCATTCAAGTTGTCTCATTTGTTTAGCATAACAGTGTTCATAGTATTCTCTTATAATCACTAGTGATGTCCTCATTTTCATTCATGATGTTAGTAGTTTGTATTGTCTCTCTGTTTTCTTTCAAAGTCTAGCTAAAGGTTTGTCAATTTTGTTGATCTTTTCAAAGAACCAACTTTTAGTTTCATTGTTTTTGTCTGTTGTTTTCCTGCTTTGTATTTTATTATTTCCTTGCTTTAGTTTGCTTCAGGTTTAGTTTGTCCTTTTTTCCTCTCTTTTGTTTGCTTTATTTGTTACTTCCTCTCTTTTGTTTGCTTCAGATCTAGTTTGTTCTTCTTTTTTCATTTCTTAAGGTGGAAGATTAGGCTATTGATTTGAGATTCTTCTTTTCTAATATAGACATTACTGCTATAAATTTTCCTCTAAGCACTGTGTTAGCTTTAGTCAACTTTAATTGTCTGATTTCCAGATCTTCTTATTAAATTTCTGTCTGATCTGCTGATCTATTGGTTCTACCAATTTTATCACAACCTTGGGCTAGCTAAGATTTTTGAATTATTTTCAGCAACACTCTTGGGCATGGAATTTTCCAATCAATCAATGTTCATGCCTGATTCCCCTTGGTAGAATGTAAGCCCCCAGGGAACTGGGCAAGGTGATGAAAGCAGCCCCAGGCTACAATGCCATAACCTCACACTGTTCAGTAGATTTTCTTGAATAAACGCTTCTTGATATGTTGTATGCTTTTGGTCAATTTCTGGAGTTTTTTTTTTTTTTTTTAAGGGGTAGGGTCTCACTCTGTCACCCAGACTGGAGTGCAGAGGTATGATCATAGCTCACTGCAGCCTCAAGCTCCTGAGCTCAGGCGATCCTCCCTCAGCCCCCCAAGTAGCTGGAACTACAAGCATATATGACCATGTCCAGCTAATTTCTTTATTTTTTGTTGAGAGAGGCATCTCACTATATTATCTAGGCTGGTCTTGAACTCCTGATATCAAGCAATCTTCCTGCCTTGGCCTTTCAGAGTGCTGGGATTACCAGTGTGAGCCACCATGCCTGGCCCAAACTTTTTAAATGGTGATGGTTGTTGTTTTTCCTGTTCCGTCATTTCATTTTGGGAAAGAAGCTACCAGGCTTCTCACTCAGCTCTTTCAGAAGCCCTAAGTCTAGGACTGGGGTCTTGATATCTACACAGACAGGAGATGAGGTCTCTGACTCAACCACAGTGCTGAGCTGGAAGTGCAACTGCTCTGTAAATAGAGCCCTCAGAAGGTATCAGAACCTCTGGCCATTGGTGGAGTATGTTGGGACAATCCTAGTTTACACCTGTGGCCTGGTGTAATTATTATCAGTGCCCCCTTACTCTCAGAAGTGGGTTTATTTGATGATAAATCATATGGTCATTGTGTAGTATAAATTATTGTATACTTCTGTACTTCTGTAAGAAGAAAATGCAACCAGAAAGAATGGATACAAGAAGTAGTAGTAAGGAAATAAATTGTAGGAACATTGTTAAGTATAAATAAGTATTTACTTTTTTTGGTGAGACAGAATCTTTGTCACCCAGGCTGGAGTGCAGTGGCATGATCTTGGCTCACTGCAACCTCCATCTCCCAGGTTCAAGCAATTATCGTGCCTCAGCCTCCCGAGTACCTGGGATTATAGGTGCACGCCACCACACCCAGCTAATTTTTGTATTTTTTAGTAGAGATGGGGTTTCACCATGTTGGCCAGGCTGGTCTCGAACTCCTGACCTCAAATGATCTGCCTGCCTTGGCCTCCCAAAGTGCTGGGATTACAGATGTGAGCCACCACACCCAGCCAATATTTACTTTAAAAATAATAAACACTAATTTTGCCAGTGTGTAAGGACAGCGACAACGTGGAAGTTTAGACAGGAAACCGTAATTGGAATGAAAAGGTCTATAAGATCTTTATGTTGTTAGGGAAGACAATAAGGATAGTAAAACAAACAAAGAAACAAAAACCAACTTTGGACTTTATTTAAAACAAGGCTAGTCACTGGAATTGTGATGTATATTTTCTGGCCTCTGCACTGACCCCTCCCAGTAGAGCCCACTCCTAGAGCTGGGTGGCTGTTTAATCACTTCCCGTTCACCCGATTGGTGAGGGGGGATTCCCATCCATGGTTATGGGGATGGCCAGCACTCAACACTGGACAGAAGAGATCAACAGCAGTTTATTTGTTATTATGCCCAAGCCTGGGGGAGGAGGATTGCAGGGGTTGCACTCGGAAACAGGGTGGACAAGCGGGGGCTGTGGGAGGCAGGCTTTGTAGTATCAAGAAGGTGAGGTGACCCCTGGTTGCTGTGGGAGGATGTCATGGGTTTGTTTGAATAATTCCATGGGCGGGCAGGGAGTGAAACCTGCTACTTGTGAATCAGCAGGCACTGTGCCTAGTCCCTTGATAAGTAGGTCATTTGGCTGGGGGACTTATCCAAGCGAACAGTGGGGAGAGGAACTTGCCGTTAGTCCATTTGCAGCCGCCCACACTTGCTCCAGGTGTCAAGGTAGCACATAATTTTAAGGGTCTTAACTTTAGGCCTTGCACTGCAGCGGCAGACTGTCTCACAGGAGCCTAAGGGTGGGAGCACTCCCTCTATCCTGAGTAGGGGCTGACCCAAGCCAAGTGAGTTGAGGAGGAGACTCCTTGCCCGAGTCTCAAAACCCCCACCCCCAACTTTGGTGCTGGGATCCCCTGCTCAGTGTCTGCCCTGATCACCCTCTGCCCTCTCACTCTGCCTGTCTGTATATTGGTCTCTACCATCTGTCCATCTTCACTTTCAGGGACGTGCTGTCAAAATCCATAGCCCTGGGGCTCATTTGTGGCTCCTCCTTCAATGATGTATATGGAGGCTGGCCAACCCATGTGGCCCTCGCCCCATGGAGAGCAGCTGGGCATCGTTGATGAGGTGCTGAGCCCAGCATCGGGTGGCTGGCACTCATACTCCCCACCAGCCATAGGCAACCCCAGCCTCCTCTGACATAAGCCCCTCCATCCCTGACACACATGAGGGGGTCCATAGCCTAGCAGTGCTCACTGTCATCCCAAGACCTAATGTGATTCTGTGGGTGGGTGCAGGTGAAGTTCACCTGCTGCTTCTCGCTACCCACAGCAGTCTGTGGAGATGCCACATCTTCCTTTCAAGATCTGCGATCTCCTAATGGAGGAAGGAGGATTGGCTCCCCTGGTAGGCCACCATCACCTGGGAGATGCAATGGTGCCCTCCCAGGGGAGCCAATTATGCAATGGCATGCTTGGTGAGTGACATTCTCATGAACGCCACTGCAGCCTGGGCAGTTGGCCAAGCAGCTGCCCACTTCCCTCTTTTCCTACAGGGTCTCCATTTCTCCTGGGAGCATATAGCTCTCAG
The DNA here is from genome assembly GCF_000001405.40 of Homo sapiens. Lineage (NCBI taxonomy): Eukaryota > Metazoa > Chordata > Mammalia > Primates > Hominidae > Homo > Homo sapiens. The sequence goes on from NC_000019.10 coordinate 33,713,505, forward strand.
GCAAAACCTGAGTATTCTGAGTTATGTCCACTGGGGAGGCTGGCACTGGGGCTTTTTTTGTTTTTGTTTTTGTTTTTTTGAGACAGAGTCTTGCTCTGTTGCCCTGGCTGGAGTGCAGTGACACCATCTGGGCTCACTGCAACCTCCAACTCCCAGGTTCAAGTGCCCCTGTCTACCTCCTAAATAGATAGGATTACAGGTACCTGCCACCACGCCCGGCTAATTTTTGTGTTTTTAGTAGCGACAGGGTTTCACCATGTTGGCCAGGCTGGTCTCAAACTCCTGACTTCGAACGGGCACCCGCCTTGGCCTCCTAGTGTTGGAATTACAGGCGTTGAGTTACCACACCCAGCCACTGGGGGTTTTGAACCTGCCACTCTTTTGAGCTGCAGAATCCCTGACAGAGCCTGGCTGAGGAGTGCAGGGCTGGGGGCAAGAACAGCCAGAACACTGTGGCTTCCTTCAATCTACCTGCACCAGGAGGGGCAGGCGTTGCTTAGAACAACAGTTCTCAACCTTGACTGCTTGTTAGGATCACCTGTGGAGGTGTTAAAAACCCCAGTGTCCTCTATGGAAAACAGTATGGAGATTTCTCAAACAACTAAAAGTAAAACTACCATTTGATCCCGCAGTTCCACTACCGGGCTATCTACCCAAAGGAAAAGAAGTCACTCTATAAAAAAGACACCTGCCTTATATTTCTTGCAGCAGTACTATTCACAGTAGCTAAGTCTTGGAATCAACCTAAATGTCCACCAAGAGAGAATTCGGTAAAGAAAATCTGGTACATATATACCATGGAATACTATGCAGCCATAAAAAAAGAATGAAATCATGTCTTTTGCTGCAATGTGGATGGAACTGGAGGCCATTATCCTAAGTGAAATAACTCAGAAACAGTCAAATACCACATGTTCTCAGTAAGTGGGAGCTAAACGATGGGTACCCATGGACATACAGAATGGTATGATAGACATTGGAGACTCAAAGGTGGGAGGATAAGAGGGGCACGGGGGAGGAAAAAACCTATTGGGTACAAAGCACACTATTTGGGTGATGGGTACACTAAAAGCCTGGACTTCACCACTAATATGGTTTGGCTGTGTCCCCATCCAAATCTCATCTTGAATTGTAACTCCCACAATTCCCACATGTCCTGGGAGGGACCCAGTGGGAGGTGATTGAATCATGGGAGTGGGTCTTTCCTGTGCTGTTCTCGTGATAGTGAATGAGTCTCATGAGATCTGATGGTTTTGAAAAGGGGAATTTCCCACACAGTCTCTCTCTTCTCTTGTTTGCTGCCATGTGAGACATGCCTGTCATCTTCTGCCATGATTGTGAGGCCTCCCCAGCCACATGGAACTGTGAGTCCAATAAACCTCTTTCTTTTGTAAATTGCCCAGTCTTTAGTATGTCTTTATCAGCAGCATGAAAATGGACAATACACCTCTGCAGCCCACCCTGAGAGATCCAGCCAGCCCCTCCCTCCACAGGCTCTGTCCCAGCACCATGGTGACTTGTCACTTCTCCCTCCATTCCTGTTCCTCAAGATCACTCCTCCACACAATTGCTCTGTTCATATTTGCCCTGTTGCCCTCCAAGCTTCTCCAGACAAGAAAGAACTTTGGTCCTGCCCTTGACCAAGTCACTTTCTCACCCTGTGCCCTGGTCCTCCCCTTCCCGACTCGCCCAGGGCTGCTGTTTGGTCAAGGTCATGGACGTGTGTGAATGCCAGAAGCTCCCAATCCCCTCTCTGGCTGTGGCATCACCTGCCTTGTCCTGCTGTCTCCAGCATGATCTCAGCCCCTGCTGGAGCTCAGACCCATGTGGGTAACATGGGGCTCTTGGCTGGGTGGTAGCAGTTTCTCCTGGAAACTGGGGTCAGGGAGAGAAATCAGTGACACAGAGGGCCTGTTTCTGAACAGATAGATAGGATCAGACCTTGAGAGACAACTTGATAGGATAGTAATTTAGGAAATGGAAGGCAGAATTTCCTTGGGCCTGTCAGCTCTGCATCCCAGCATGCTTCTGGTTGCCTTGACAACTCAACAGGTTAAACTTCTTTTCTGGGCATCAGTGTCTGCTCAGGCAGGAGGTGACAGAACCCCTGGAGGTGTGCAGATCTTCAGCAGGCAGATGACTCAGAGCTCAGGCTGACCTTCACCTTGCTGGGCTAGCTGGCCTTGGGTTGTCCCTGGCTGCCTGCATGAGCTTACGATCATGTCCAACCAGCTGCCTCTGCCTCCTATCCCTCCTATTCATCCATCCATTCATCCATCTGTTTATCCAGTAAGCAGTCATTGAGCACCTGCTGTGTGCCTGGCCCCATGCTAGCTTCTCCAGGCAGGTACATGAGTTCCTGGCCCTCTCTCCAGGTCAAACAGGAATAAGCTGGGAGGTCAGGAAGTCCATAGAGGCTTTACACCTGGCATATGTGTGGGTCCATTTAGAAAGATACTCTCAACACATGCAATGTTGCAAGCCTGTCACCCAACGTCTACCAGACCCTTCTTATAGATGCGTCATTTGCAAAAACAAAAACAGTCTGTTTTCTTTCACTTAACACTGCAGGGTGGACCTCTTAACCTCTTTCCATATCGAGACGGATTTTTTTCACCCATTTCAGTGGCTTTCAGTGTTCGTTGTAAAGATGCACCATTAGTTTATTTAGCCAGCTCCTTTCTGGTTCATATTTAAACTGTTTGTAGTTTTATGGCTATTCCTGAATTATTTCTGTTTCCTCTGATGTCATCTTTTTCTGTTTGCTTCTTTTGATGTCTCTTGTGGTGGAGGCTGTCCTCAGATGCTTGATGAGCCCTAGTTACCCATTCATAGTTGAGAGTGGAGCAATAAACATGTGATTGATTTTGTTTTGTTTTTGAGACAGGGTCTCACTCGGTCACCCAGACTGGAGTACAGTGGCACGATCACGACTCACCACAGCCTCCACTTCCTAGGCTCAAGCAATCCTCCTACCCCAGCCTTTTCAGTAGCTGGGACTACAGGTGTGTGCCACCATGCCTGGCTAATTTTGTTTCCTTTTTGTAGAGACAAGGTCTTACTCTGTTGCCCAGGCTGATCTCGAACTCCTGGGCTGAAGCGATCCTCCCGCACTGGCCTCTCAAGGTGCTGGAATTACAGATGTGAGCCACCACACCCAGCCACCTGATTTTGTAATCGGAAGGAGGGGGAAGAGCTTTTCTTCAGGGTATTCGGGTGAGGAGTCAACCCTCTTGGTTCCAAGGGAGAATCATTAGTTGGCTAGGGTTGCTGTAGCAAAGTATTATGGACTAAGTGGCTTAAACAACAGAAATGTGTTTTTTCACAGTCCTGGAGGCCAGGAGTCTGAGATCAAGGCATTGGGCAGCGTCGGTTTCTTCTGGGACCTTTCTCCTGGGTTTGTAGATGGCCATCTTCTCCCTGTGTCCTCCCATGGTTTTCCCTCTGCCCCTGTCTGCATCAGAATTTCCTCTTTATAAGGATACCCGTTCTAGGGATCACTAGGGTACACTCTAATGACTCCATTTTTGATACCGGTGGGCTGGGGGAGGTCCTCGAATGCCAGTGGGGCCTCAACCCCAGCCAGTGTCCAGGCTCTTGACACCCTTGCAAGAAGGAATTCAGAAAATAGTGCAAGTATAGGGATTTATTACAAAGTGAAAAGTACATGCTCTGGCTGGGTGAGGTGGCTCATGCTTATAATCCCAGCACTTTGGGAGGCCAAGGCAGGCAGATCACCTGAGGTTGGGAGTTCGAGACCAGCCTGACCAATATGGTGAGACCCTGTCTCTAATAAAAATACAAAAATTAGCCAGGCGTGGTGGTGCGCGCCTGTAGTCCCAGCTTCTCAGGAGGCTGAGACAGGAGAATTGCTTGAACCCAGGAGGCAGAGGTTGCAGTGAGCCGAGATCACACCACTGCACTCCAGCCTGGGCAACAGAGCGAGACTCCATCTCAAAAAAGAAAAAAAAAGTACACGCTCAAGAAAGGAGTGCCGGCAGACTCAAGAGTCGTGTGGTGGGGTGTGGGGCTGCTACCTTTATGCGTTTATTTAATCCAGGGGTGGAATATTCATGAAAATTCCTGGGAAAAAAGTGGAGATTTCTTAGAACTGTAGTGCCACACGTTTTTACACCAAACATGGGTGGTCTCGGAACTGTCACAGCACTGGTGGGTGAGTGAGTTAGGATGTTAATGAGCATACAGCGAGGTCCTAGGAGAAACCGAGGTCATATCTAGTGCCATGTTGGGCCCAGTTGGTCTTAGCCAGCTTGGTCCACACCCTGTTTTTCAGGGTGTCATATGAAACTACTGCCTGGAATTTTTATTCTCCTGTGGCCACCTTGTATTATTCCTGTCTCATTTTAACTTAATTACCTCTGCAAAGACTCTATCTGCAGTCACATTCAGAGGTACTGGGGGTTAGGACTTCAAGGTGGATTTGGAGGGGAATGCAGTTCATTCTATACCAAACGGACTTGCAGTCTCCATCCTGGCAGAAGACCCCCAGTGTGTACAGGACCGGAAGGCAGCCAGGGCTTTGATCACTCTGTCTGAAGCCTCCCAGTTAGTCCTCTGAAAGCAGTGCTCCCTGCTCCTCCTCCCAGCTTGGAGTCCATAGGTTATTTGCAGTTTCCTCAGCAGGTACATCTTCCATCTCCCGCCAGGGGTGCAGTAGGGGATAGTTGCCTGGTCACTGGATTGTCTTTTTTTCTTTCTTTTTTTTTTTTTTTAAACAGACTCTTGCTCTGTTGCCCAGGCTGGACTACAGTGGCCCAATCATAGCTCACTGCTGCTTTGAACTCCTGGACTCAAGTGATCCTCCCATCTTGGCCTCCCAAAGTGCTGGGATTACAGGCGTGAGCCTCTGTGCCCAACTGCCACTAGATTTTTAAGCCCACATTTCACCCCTGCCATCTGCCTGTCCTGGTGCTTCCAAGTCCTGCACTTTGCTGCATTCTGTGGGGCAAGGCAGTCTTCCCCGCACTCCTCTGCAGGCTCAGCTAGCATGTCCCCTTCACCCTGTAGAATCTGCTCCCACCCTCCGTCCCCTTCCCATCTTCCAAAATCATGTTGCAATCTGGCATCTGCTGCTGTTCCTCTCTAGCTCTCTTCATTACCATGGGCCCCTCTGTTTCATTCCTTCGCTGTCATTATGCTGGGATCTCAGGAGGAAGATGAGCTCAACGTACACGTTCAGTCCCTGTGTTTACCCAGAATCCTCCTGGCTTCTCCCCAAGAAGAGGTCAGAGCCGCAGCCTGCGGAGGAGGGTGTTGAGGCAGCTCAGCCAGCATGAGGCTGGCCCTGCTGGATCCAGTGGGGAGAGGTCACGGTCCCCTAGGGCTGAGGAGGGAGAGAGAGAGCTGTGGGCGGGGCCTGTGCATCTGTCCTTGGAGTCCTGAAGTCTTGAATCTCTGTTGCTACTGAGAGGGAAGGAGGCCTCCAGGTCTTGCTCTGCACTACAGGGGCTCTGGACTTGTTGGAGAGGTGTCTCTTCACTCCAGGGCTTCCACCCGAGACCTGGGCTCCCGGGACTGGGTGTGCCCAGCCTCCTCTCCCCCACCCCCCTGCCAGTGATGTCATAGGTGTGACACTGCAGCCAAAGACCAGGCGAACTCAGGCGGGTGTCTACCACCTCCAAAATAAAACGTGTTTTCTAAACTGTTGCTGAAGCTGCTGAAATGTTTTGTAAAATGTTTACACCTCCCTTGATATAAGGCAAATACCTTCTGTCAGCCGGGGGTGGGCCGGGTGGGGGAGCCCTGGGCGGGGAGGCAGGATCAAGTGGCTCTGGTGTCATTGGTGACACCCATGTGTGTTCACTCCTGGTGGAATTTCTCCTCTCAAGGTCTCTCTGTCCTTGCTGGGGAGATGGGGACTGGGTCCTTGGACACTTCTGTTTTAGGAAGCCTAAGCTCACTGAGGAATTGTTCTAGGGGAAGTGTCTTTGAAGGAGGTGAGGCAGACACGAAGTCCAAAGCTGAGGGGATGGGGAGTTGCTGAAAATGAGTGTTCCCTGGAGAGTGGCAACCATCCCTGGAGGTGGCAGGCGCTGAGAGACAGAACTCGGGGGGACACCTAGGGAGACTGGACTGCAGCCCCAGGGCTGACTTCCCAGCCATCTGACCAGAGGGAATGGAAGGCAGAGATCCCCCAGACACCCCAGGCTGTCTGGGTCCAGGGAGCTTCACAGGGTCCTAAAGAGGGGGATGGGGACCTGGAGCAATTTACTGTGAGTTACAAAAAAAAAAAAAAATCACATGCAGTCGGACCTGAACCATGCACAGTGAGCCTGGCTTTACACTTGAGCATGACACGTGATACCCACTGTCTCCTCCAGCAGCTCTCTTGAAGGCCAGGGAAGCCAGCCCGTCCGTGACCTCTGTGACAGAGCTACTGCTGCAGCCACACACTCAGTGTGTCAGGCACTAGATAGAAATGGAAAGGCTTCAGGCCACACACAAGGCCGTGGGGCTCCAGCTTCCCCTCTGGGAGAGCTTCGGCACTACATGTTCTCTCCTAGGCAGCACTGTGGTGTCGGCAGCCCCGCTGTCTGTACACACAGCTCCTCCGCCAGGCTGGAGTCACCCTCTATGCCCAGAAACTCCCACGGAAGAAGGGCATGGGCAGCTCCTCATACCATGGGGAGGGACAGGAGGGACTGTGTGGGCCTGGTGGTGACATGCACACATGACATACACCCATACATGTACCACACATACACACCCCATACCCCATACACACGCCACACATACACCACACATACGCAGGCCACACACACATACACACTCCCACACACACATCACATATACACACTGCACACACACACCACACATACATACACACCACACATGCATCACACATACCCCACATACACCACACATGCACCACACACCCCGCACACATGTACCACACACATGCACCACACATATATACCACACATACCCACACTGCACACACATGCACCACACATACACACTGCACACCACACACACCACATATGCTTGCCACACACACACGGAATGCATGTAGCAAACACACTCTGCCCATTGGCCTCTGTCCACCATCCAAAGCTTCTCTGCCAGCCCTGGCATCTGCTTACAGTGGAGGGGCAGCCCTTTTCTTCCTGGGGCTCCCACAGTAAGCTGAGCAGAGCACACTGCTGAGAGCTGGAAGTTCTCCCCTCAAGACCATGGGGACACAGGAGGCAGGGAGCTGGGCAGGCAGTGGTATGCAGTGTCAGGAGCCTCCAGGGCAGGCCCCCACTCCCCTATCCTCCTTCCACTATGCAGTTCCTTCCCCTTGCAGGGGTCAGCCTAGCCTGGGAGCTGGGGCCAGTTCAGGGGCTTCCATATCAGTGAGGGCCACGTCCATCATTGCTGAAAGCAGAGTGGCCACCAGCACTGGCCCGACGTGGACGCAGGGAGGAGTGGTGCCCAGACCTGGCCCAAGCCAGGGTGGCTACAGTTTGATCTGACCAGAGTTGCCCTGTCTGTCTTCAGCTTGCACCTCTGGCCATCCCAGGTTCAGGGCCACTCATCTCAGCTCTGTCTTATCTGTGGAAATAGGAAATCAAAGTCCATGTAATCACAAGGGAATCGTTCATTGGGAGGCAACTGGACCCAACCAGAAAGCTAGTGCTCTCGGGGACCCTCTCTGGGGGCCCGCAGCCATGGCTGGAAACCCTATTGCAGGGTCCTCGGAGTCAGCATTGGCTCCAGCAGCATGTGTTTGCCTTGACACCAGAAGATGGAGCCCTGAGCCAACTCACATTCCTCCAGTCCCCAGTCCTTCTCCATCTTCTGTCCTCTGAGATCGGGCATCCTCCAGGACAGAGCCCAGGTATCTTCCTATCTCTGAACACCCACAGTCACCTTCCCACACTGCATCACCACAGGGTGTGCAGGGCCTAACACTGCTATGCTAGGTTCTTAACACATGTCTGTTGTGTGGTTGGATGGATGGACAGATGGATGCATGGATGGTGAGTGGGAAGATGGATGGATGGATGGGTGGATGGATGGATAGATAGGTGGATGGACAGATTGATGGAAAGATGGATGGGTAGGCAGATGAGTGGGCATATGGATGGATGGATGGATGGATGAGTAGGCAGATAGATGGATGTGTGGGTGGGTGGGTGGGTAGATGGATGGAGGGATGTATGAATGGATAGAGGGATGGCTGGGTGGAAGAATGTATGGAGGGAAGGGTGGATGGATAGATGAATGGAAGGACGGATAGATGGATGGAAAGTTGGACAGATGGGTAGGTGAGTGGGCAAATGGAAGTATGTGTGGGCAGATAGGTGATGGAGGGATAGATGTTTGTATAGAGGGATGGATGGATGGATGGATGGACAGATGGATGGATGGGTGGGTGAGTGGGTAGATGGATGGATGGATGGATGGACAGATGGATGGACAGATGGATGGATGGGTGGGTGAGTGGGCAGATGGATGGATGGATGGCTGTTTGGATGGATGGATGGATAGATGGAAAGATGGACAGATAGGTAGTGAGTGGGCATATGGATGGATGGGTAGACAGACTGATGGATGAGATGGATGGATGGATGGATGGATGGATGGATGGATGGATGGATGAAGGGATGGATGGATAGATGAATGGATGGATGGACAGATAGATGGGAAGATGGACAGCTAGGTGGGTGGGTGGGCAGATGGATGGATGGGTGGGTAGACAGTCTGGATGAGCTGAATGAATGGGTGGATGGAAGGTGGGAGGGAGGGAGTGATAGATGAATGGATGGATGGACAGACGGATGGAAAGATGGACAGATGGGTGGGTGCATGGGCAGATGGATGGATGGATGGGTGGACAGACTGATGGATGGACGGACGGACAGACGGATGGGTAGGTACATGTAGTAAAAGAAGGAAATACATGAGGGGAGGCAAAGATTTGTTGGTAGACTGAACCGTAGCCCCTCTGGGGACTAAATTCTCTCAGGAAACAGGTTGAAAGCTCAACATCATCTCCAGAAGCTATTTTCTTGCAGTTCGCACACCCAGCATTCCTGTGGTCTTGTCATCAGGCTGCCTCTGGCCCTGTCTTTCTTACCTCTTTGTTCCTTGGTTGCACCCCTTCCCCCTCTTCCCTGGGGCTGGGCATTCTCAATTGGTAACACGAACCTGGAGGGGATGTGAATGGAGATGAGGTTTCTGGGGAGAAACAGCTGTTTCCCACCCCGAGCGTAACTCCCATCACGGGCCTTGGGAAGCTGGAACAGCCTAACAGCCACCCCCAGTTCCCCACCCACATCTCTCTTTTCTCCCTGCTTTGATGTTCTCCAGTTAGTCCTGGCTCAGCCTCTGCAGCTGCTGATATGAATACACTAAGTGGATCAATAACATGTCAGTCCTTTGCCAGGAGCAAGGGTAAGAGGGGGTCTGCATCTATCAAGTGCTGAGTGACAGCTAATCATTTTTCACCTGGCATTCACCCTTCCGAAGATAAGCCCGGCTCTGCTGGGAACAAGAAGACAACGTCAGAGGCTCCCCTGCTCCACTTCCTGCAGAGCCCAGGGCACCAGCCTGGCTCACATTTCCACTCCCTATGCGTGATCCTGTGTTAAGTGTGGGGCTCAGTGGGAATGTGTGCACGCCCTGGGTTCATGAGCAAATGTGTCTGTGGGTGGGATTGGATCTTTGTGTGTGCGTGCATGCCTGGAGGCTGAATACCTGTGAGTGTGTGTGTATCTGAGTATTTGTTTGAGAATGTGCATGACTGCGTATGTGCAGATGTCTGTGTGCACATCCATGCAGATCTCAGTATCCATGTGAGTGTGTGCATGCACAGGCACCTAGGAGCATATGTTTGACCATTTGTGTGTGCACGCGTGTGTCTACACAAAGGTGTGTGAGGGGCCTGTGTTCATCATCAAGGTGTTGCTGTATATGCCAACATCTGCATCTCCCTTGGTTACCCTTGAGTCCTCTCTCTAGGAGACAGGATTCCCAGCAGGCTGTCCTTCCCTGAGCCATTTCACTGCCACTCCCTGCTCAGCTGGTGCCTAGAAGAGAGGAGTGGTGGCTGGAACCCTGTGCTCACCTACCATCCCCCTTCCTGCTGGAGAAAGCAGGTGCCTGTAGAAGGAAGGCAGTCTGAGGGTGAAGGATCCTGGATTGGACAGGAACATTTCAATTGCAAGGGACAGCATCAGGTAGGGCTGTATCTAGGCTCTGCCTTGGTGTGGTCAGAACTTAGCTTCTCCATTCCTTGCCTCTGCTTCTCCTCTCGTGGGCTTCAGTCCCAGATAGCCTTTTGCCAAGGGGTGGCCCTGGCATCTCTGGGCCGCCATTGTCACCCCATTGTGTTACCTGATCATCCTCGAGCCAATTCCTTTGGCAGGAGGATCCCATGCCCCTTCTGGTGTGGGTGGTGCCACCTCATCCAAACCACAGGGGCTGAGAGTGGGGAGGAGTAGCTTCCCGTGGCGAAGGGGTGCTGGTGTGGTTGTGAAGGGGGAGGTTAGGTGGACAGAAACTGAGTGTGGGTACTTTCCTCCTGGGGTGAGGTCTTGCGTCTCAGGCACTAAGAGGCTCAGCCTGCAGGCACCGGGCCTGGCTCCTCGGTGCCCTTGGCCCCACATGGGTGCTGTGCAGTCACTTCCATGCAGCCACAGGCAGCTGCTCTGGCCTCAAGCTTTAGATGAGCCTAGCCTCCTGACCAGGCTCCACCGGTTACCCCACACCCAGGCCCAGCCCCCTCCTGACACACCCTGCCCCACAGGCAGCTTCCATGCCCTGGGTGTGGGGCCTGGGACCTCCACCATCCTCTCACTGTGCAGAAGGGGAAGGTGCTGGGCGAGCCCCCACCCGGGGGTCAGGTGCTGCATTAGGGGCCTCACCTTCCCCAGTGTTCCCTCCACTTTTAGATGAGGATACCCCCGGCCCCCATCCGGGCTCAGCCAAGGAGCCGTAAGCAGTTCTGTAAAGTGTGGCTGCGGGGCTGGCAGCCGGGCTGCTCTTCCCAGGCTCCATGAATAATTGAAGCTCCATTAAAATGTGCGTCTGCAGCCTGGAGGACACGCCCTCCCTCACTGAGTGTGGGCGCAAGCCTGGACAGTATTGCCTGGGGCTGCATCTGCCTCGGAAGGCCCTGGAGGGGCACAAAGACCAGGTCAGACCTGCCACTCCTGGGCCCTGCCCCTGCCCCCTCTCCTTCCCTGCCTTCCCTTTTCTCCCCATCCTAGCATGTGGCAGGCATGGAGACCTGGCCCTGGAGCTCCCCAGCCAGGTGGCACAGAGAGGCCCACTCCGGGTGGGCTGGGGAGGTCCCCAGCTGCTCCACCTCTCCTTGGGCACTGACAGAGCCTGCTCCAAGGGTGGACTGTGGCCCAGAGTGGGGGGCCACACCTCGGCACACCCCAGCCAGGGACCAGGCCGCAGCTGCTCACCAGCAGATCCCTGGAGGATCGACCCAGCAGATGCTGGGGGTTGGGGAGGGAGTGAGGGCACAGAGCTCCCGGGAGCCATCGGCAGCGCACAGCTGTCATCAGGAGACCAGCACTGCTGTGTGTGCAAGTGCAAGCATATGTATCGGGGGGCGCTGTTATGAGGGACATGAGTGTGCGTGCACAGAGTGTGAGGGTGTCTCCAGAGCTGCGTGGCTGCATGTGATTGTGGGGACACAACCGAGTCTCTACGTCTGTGGCTCTATGTCTGCGCGTCACAAACCCTTGATCAGGCTAAGAGGTCCCCGTGGGGAAGGGCATTTCTCCTTGGCTCCTGACTGATGCCCCTCCCCACACACTCACCCCCCAGGGGCATCCTGTACCTGCTGTTGTGGGCCCCTCCTCGACTCATTCTGAGAGCTAAGCCTCGAGTCCTAATCCAAATCTGAAATTCCTGGTAATGAAATCTGTGAAAGGTGAAAATTAAAAACCCATGGCCACAATCTCCTGGTCCCTGCAGTGGCCCAGGGTCCCTGCTGAGCCCTGCGTGGGGCCTCGAGGCGCCAGTACCAGCCCTTTCCCCACTGCCCTGCCCTGAGCTCAGTGAGCCTTCACTCCCTCATTAGCAAGAAGGGTGCTTCTCCTGCCTTCACCTTCCTTTGCCCCAAATGCGACGCAAGCGAAAGATACTCTTTCTCCCTTGGCTCTCCCACCCACTCTGGCCTCCCTGGTCCTCACCACTGGGACTCTGGGGGTCTCGGCACAGAGGTGTGATGAAAGAAGGGTTAGGGGCTGCCAGGGTGAGCCAAGAGAACAGAGCTGGAGGCTTCAGCCTCGGCCAGCCCCTTATCTCTAGCCTCATCTTCTATATTCTCTCATCTGGTCGTGGTGGGTGCTTTGGGAAGGATCAGGGCAGAGTGACCTGGGCCGGAGCCTGGCCACAGGGTCTAGGTGGCTGGTATTTTGGGCTGAGCTGGACTTGCCCACTGGAGACACTGGGAATGGGGCCGCTCAGGGCTCTTGCCTGGAAGTGGTCCGATTCCCCTTGGCCCAGAGAGAAGCTTTCAGGGTGGGGCATGAAGGTCATTGCCCGCTGCAGCAGGGGCTTCTTGCATTCTCCCTCTTCCTCCTGTAAGAACCGGGGTCTGAGTTGACCCAGTTCTATCCCAAGGCCTTCAGCAACCGGGCAGAAGGCCCTCAGGCCACTGACCTCTTGAGATGACTGTGCTTTGTGGCCAGGAGTGGAAGGTGTGGTGGTAGATGGGGCAGGGGACAGGGCCAGCCAGTCACATACCAGGTCCTAAAGGCCTTGCCATCCTGGGACCTGGTATTGATGTCTTTAAAGGTGAGTATCAGCTGGTCACATTGGCTCATGCCTGTAATCCCAGCACTGTGGGAAGCTGAGGTGGGAGGATCACTTTAGCTCAGGAGTTCGAGACCAGCCTGGGCAATATAGCGAGACCCCGTTTCTACCCATAATACAAAAATTAGCATGGTGGCGCATGCCTGTAGTCCCAGCTACTCAGGGGCTTGAGCTCAGGAGATAGAGGCTGCTGGAAGTCCTGGTTGCACCACTGTCCTCCAGCCTGGGTGACAGAGCAAGACCCTGTCTCAATAATAATAATAATAATAAAAGTGTGAGCATCAGCTGGGAGGTGGGGAGTGAAGGGTGTGGGCACTAGAACTCCCTCTGGGTGGCTCACAGGATGGGGCTGGATCGGTGTCCCAGGAGCAGGGAAAGCCACCCAAATGTCCCACCTCTCGACAGCAGTGCTGAACTCCAGACATGGCGAGGACAGGTTTAGATTTGATTCTTCCTCCTGACCGCCATAAAGAAGGGGGCTCCCTGGCAAGGGGCTAGGAGACGTGGGCCAGGGGCTGCAAAGAAAGGGGCTGAGGGGACAGTGCATGCCGGCAACCCAGCCCTCAGGGCCATCCCGAGTGCTCAGCCTCAGTGCAGCTGCTCCTGCTCCCCCACCTCGACCCGCACCTCTGCTGGCAGTGCTCCCCTCCCAGCTCCTGCACCTTCCCCTCCTCTGCTTGTATCTCAGTCCCACCCACTTTTCCAAGCCCAGCCCTTCCGTGCCACTTTCGCTGATGCCTGATCCTGAGCCCTCTCCTCCCCTTCCCAGGCCCTTTCTGTGCCAAAGATGCACTTCATCCACAGTCGCCCGGGAGCCACTTCTGGCCACGCGTCCTGCTCCCCAGGTGCGTCCTATGGTGGGGATCCTCTCCCACCACCTCCCTTTCTTCAAATGAGGCTCCCTGGCTGATCCTGTGTTCCTGCCAGGGGAAAAACTTGGTACCTTGGGCATCCCCTTCTGGAAATCTTCCATATGTCAGGCTTAGGACGGACAGGCAGCGCAGGACCACAACTTGTGCCGACCCAGGAGGCTGAACCAGCCTCCCGTGGTGGCTGCAGCACTGCCCAAGGAGTCGCCGTATGTGTGAACCCGTGTCTGTGTGTGTAGAGTGTGTGCTCCCGGCCCCTGAAAGCCTGTGGCCACTTGCATTCATGCACATGAGTGTCCATGCACATGTGTGTGCCACAGAGTCCCAGAGTGGGCTGTAGTGGAGCCGAGAGTCTGCCGTGGTCAGGCCGTGCTTGGGGCTGGGGCCTCAGCACCGGATGGGGCTGTGCATCTTGTCGCGCCTGGCTTTATTAATCCATTTTGTGAATAGACTTGGGAGTTCATGTTGGGAATCTGGCCATTTGCTCCCATTTCCTCCAGGCCCCCCGGAAGGAGGAACACATGTTAAATATTTGCGGTTTTGCTGCGTTAGGTTTTAAAGTTCAGCAGTAATTACCGTGACCAGGTGCCAAGTGGATCTGCTCCCTGGAGAAGGCTCCTGCCGTAGCGGGCTGGTGGCTGCATTCCAGGCCAGCCTCTGTGTGGCGTTTGCACAAGCCTGTGTGCCTTGCTTTCCGGCGCCTCTCTTTTTCGGCCTCCACTGACTGCTGGGCCCTTCACTCGGCTGGGCTGTGCCTTCTGTGGGTGGGTGCTCTCCTCTGGCCCAGCCCCGGCCCACACTCCCAAAGAGCAGGCTGCGGGCAGCTGAGGCACCAATGTGGGACTTTGGTAAGCAGAGCCTGGGGGCTCCAGCAAGTGCCTTCGCTCCCACGGCAGGTTCATGGCCACACCTGTGGCTGTCCACACACATGCCATCAGAGCAGACAGAACTGTATTTCCAGAGCACATGTTAGTTTTTAAATCCCTCACCCCAGCCAGCCCCATTTCAGACTACTCAGTTACTCTTTCATGTAAATTTCATCCAATCATGTTTTCTTGCACAAATTCAGCATCATTCACACATCCCCGTTGAGTTCACAGTTCTCTCTAGGCTCTGGCCTGGGTGAGTGGTGACATCTATGTCCTTGATGTGGATATATGCAGATGCTGCTTTTGGGGCGGCTTCTGTAGCCAGGGCGGTGCCCTCTGCTTCCTGGGTAGCAGCTGTGTCTCTGCTGGGCTTGACCTAGGACTACATGTCACACCCCTCAACAGTGATGTCTTTCAGGGTTGCTGCCAGATCAAAGGAAGAGTTGGGGGAACACAGTGCCAGCAATGCCAGGCAAAGGAAAAGGGGCACATTCAGCCAAGCCTCAAGTAACCATGCCCTGCAGGCCTCACACAGTCCCAAGAGAGAACCCCGCATGGCCTCTGATATTTGGGTGTGGTTCGATGAGCATCCCTGAGACAGCCACAGGCACCCAGACATGCACCTGCCCTCAACAGACTCCCAGCCCACTGGGAAGAGAGCCACACATGCTCAGAGTACAGGTGCTTAGGAGGGGGAGGTGCAGGGGAGCCCAGGCCAGGGAAGGGAGAGAGGGAAGCAGACCCCACTTCTTCGAGCTCCCTGGGAGGCCTGTGAGCCCAGGGCAGGAGGAGCTGGGGTCATCTGGGGAGAAGATGCAACACAAGGCAAGCTTGCCCAGTGAGGGAGACTCAGTCATGAGGACAGAGGTGAGCTCCATAGGGTGCTGCTGCGTTAGTCTGACTTCTGGCCCTGCCCTCTGTGGACCACATCTGAGTCCTGCGGGATGGGCTTGGAATAAGCAAGAAGAGCATCTAGGGCATGTTGAGAAAGACTCTGGCACAGGGAGCTGCTCTGCTGGCTTCTAGCAGGCGTGGGCAGAGAGGAGATGGGCACTCCCCCACTGTGCAACAGGATACCCTGCAATTTAGTAATCCCAAGACCTCCAGGCCTCAGTTTCCGGTAGAACTTAGAGGGAAATCCAAAGGAAGCCCACAGGGAAACAGACTGTCATTAAAGTGCAGCTGGGGCTGCAGTCTCATCTGACGGCTCAACAACTGAGGGAGGATCTGTTTCCAAGCTCAGCCAAGTGGCTGCTGGCAGGATTGAGTCCGTCTCAGGCTGTTGGCCAGAGAACTCCCTCAGTTCCTTGCCATGTGGGCCTCTCCGTAGCACAGTTCATGGCATAGGAGCTGGCTTCTTTCAGCGTGAGCAAGCCAGAGAGGGAAATGAGACAGAAGTCACAGCGCGTGTGTAACTTAACCTCAGAAGTGACAGCCCGTCATTGTAGCTGTGGTCTATGTGTTAGACGCTAGCCTCCAAGTCCAGCCCACCTGGGAAGGGATTGCAAGAGCATGTTGCCAGGTGGTGAGGATTGCTGGCACCATCTTGGAGGCTGCCTGCCGCAGGTGAGGTATGGTTGAGGTGCTTTCATAGGGAAATTGTAACCATCATAGGTCCACTGGCCAAAGCATACAGCAAGTCAATACACCCAAACCTGGTTGCAACAGAGAAAGAGATTTAATTGTAGGGTCACTGAACAAGGAAATGGGAAAAAACCTCAAATCCAGCTCCCCAAGGAGTTTGGGCCTGGGGTTTTTAAGGGTTTTGGAGTGGGCTGAAGGATAGAGATTGTCGACTGGTGGAAGAGTGCAGGGTGAAGTGCCAGGGGCAGTGAGAGGAAGAACCTGTGTTCTCAGGCTGATCCCCATCTTCTGTGGGGTCTTCAAACTAGTTTTGCTGGAATTCACAGTCTGAAAGAAAAACATCGTATATGATCCTTAAACAAAAGCCTATGATTTTAAGGTTGGAGATCCTGTCTATAGGAGCAATGGGGATGCCAATCAATTCTCAAACAGTCTTAGGACCCTCATGTCAGAAATCCTACCTATAGGAGCACTGGGGGTGTGCATCGTCAAGACTTAGTGCCATGTGACTTTCTGCTACAAGGAAGTGGGCCAAAGTGCAGCCTGATTGATGCTTAATTATAACTATATTCCCGTCGAGAACCCGGCGTGCAATTCTTGCCAATTCCGTGGGGACAGTTTCAAAATGACATGCTCTGCCTTCCCCTGTAAAAGGATCACTGGATGCTGTGAAGAAACAGTCAGAGGAAGCAAGGTTGAAGCAGGGAGACCTCTTGGGAGAAACACTTCACTAAAACTAGTTTCTCTCTCTGTACAATAGATGTAAGGTTAATCATAGAAGCTGTCTCAGGCGACATTGTAAGAATTAAATGAGATAATACAGGGACCACGCTAAGCTCATTCTTTGGTCTTTTCCCCTAAGGAAAGAAGTGGCACATGCCCCACTGCCTTTTCGAGAGTCTGGCTTATGCTGCTGCCTACTCGAGTTCATTGGATGTGTTACTGGAAAGGGGTCCCAATCCAGACCCCAAGAGAGGGTTATTGGATCTCACGCAAGAAAGAATTCAGGGCGAATTCATCAAGTGAAAGAAAGTGTATTAGTCAGGGTTTTCTAAAGGGACAGAACTAATAAGATAGATGTATGTATGAGGGGGAGTTTATTAAGAAGTATTGACTCCCACAATCACAAAGTGAAATTCCACAATAGGCCGTCTGCAAGCTGAGGAGCAAGGAAGCCAGTCTGAGTCCCAAAACTTCAAAAGTAGGGAATCCAACAGCACAGCCTTCAGTCTATGGCTGAAGGCCCCAGAGCCCCTGGCAAACAACTGGTGTGAGTCCAGGAGTCCAAAACCTGAAGAACTGGGAGTCCGATGTTCGAGGGCAGGAAGCATCCAGCACAGAGAAAGATGGAAGCTGGAAGACTCAGCCAGTCAAGTTCTGCCTGCTTTATTCTAGCCGTGCTTGCAACTGATTAGATGGTGCCCACCCAGATTGAGGGTGTGTCTGCCTCTCCCAGTCCACTGACTCAAATGTTAAAGTCCTTTGGCAACACCCTCACAGACACACCCAGGAACAATGCTTTGCATCCTTCAATCCAATCAAGTTGACACTCAATAGTAATCATCACAGCAAGTTTATTAAGAAAGTAAAGGAATAGAGAATGACTACTCCATAGGCGGAGCAGCAGCTTGGGCTGCTGGACTAAGGATACTTATTGTTACTTTGTGATTATATGCTAAACAAGGGGTGGATTAATTATGAGTTTTCCGAGAAAGGGGTGGGCAATTCCCAGAACTTAGGGTTTCTCCCCTTTTTAGACCATAAAGGGTAAATTCTAGGTGTTGCCATGGCATCTGTAAACTGTCACGGCACTGGTGGGAGTGTTTCTTAGCATGCTAATGCATTATAATTAGCGTATAATAAGCAGTGAGGACAACCGGGGGTCACTTTCATCACCATCTTGGATTTGGTGAGGTTTGGCCAGCTTCTTTACCACAGCCTGCTTTATCAGCAAGGTCTTTGTGACCTGTATCTTGTTCCAACCTCCTATGTCATTCTGTGACTTAGAATGCCTAACCTCCTGGGAATGCAGCCCAGTAGGTCTCAGCCTTATTTTACCCAGTATCTATACAAGATGGAGTCACTCTAGTTCAAACGCCTTTGACAGATGTGTTTTCGTGTATGCAAACAATGATTGAGATGAGGTTTGGGTTCTTCACAAGGAGCCCAGAGCCTGTGCCCAAGGCTGTGGCCAGATCCTCTGGTTTACACAGAGAAGATCTCAGGCAGAGAAAAGGTGTAAAGATGCACTGTTCTCCTTGCTGGCTGCCGGTGACCTCTTTTCCACTCCAAGAAGCTCATGGACTCAGGGAAACAAGACAGCCTGTCTCAATGGCTCAGTCCACACGGACAGAGATTGAGGTGCAAGGGGAGGGAGTCCCTTAATCCACACACTGCTCACACTGGGACAGCTGCGTCTCCACTTCAACCCAGCCAGCTCTGCCCTGCATGAGCTTGGCCATGTGAGTTCAGCTGCATACCGACTGTGCTCTGTTGCAATGCTGCCTCTTTCTTTTGGGCTCTGAAAAGCCGCCCCCTGAGGCTCATGATTGCCCTTACTTTAAAGATGAGGTCAAGCACATTTGGCCGTCACTCAGGAGATCCTCTTGTCTGGTCCTTCTACCAAGAATCGTTGTTCTGCACCAGCTGTTGCAAGGCTCACGCCTAATAAATAAGCCCGCGTTCTGTTTTGCCCCCAGCTGGGCTGTACTACATACTGTCCTGACACTGACCACCTGGAGTTAGCACCAGACGCCACAAGTAAAGGACAGAGCCCTCCACAAGACTGACTTTACTTCAGACACTGGCCGCAAGTGGGGTCCCCAGGCCACCTGCACCGCTGGCCAACTGGCTACAGAGTCAGGTGTTCCTGTGAATCTGTAGCCAGCTGGCCAGCAGTGTAGGTGCTGGGGCCCCTCCAGTTTGAA
Source organism: Homo sapiens (assembly GCF_000001405.40). Classification (NCBI taxonomy): domain Eukaryota; kingdom Metazoa; phylum Chordata; class Mammalia; order Primates; family Hominidae; genus Homo; species Homo sapiens. Next base: position 33,732,537 of record NC_000019.10, read on the forward strand.
AATTTGTTTTAAAGATGCAGAACACAGGCAAGTACTATACTTAAAATTGCATTTTTATTAGAAAGGATACCCATAGATAGAACAGGGTCTGGGAGGGTCCCAAACACAATTTTCTCAGGCTCTGGGCTCCTGGTCAAGAGCCCAAACCTCATCTCAATCATTATTTGTTCACATGAAGACACATCCAATGAACCGAAGTGGGCAGCAGGGCAACGCCAGACCCTCGGAAAGGCAGTGGGGCATGTGCATCTTAGAGGAAGAGACAAAGCATGAGCTTAGCTTGATTCCTGTATCATCTCATTTAATTCTCACAAGGTTCCCTAAGGTAGGTTCCATGGTACCTCCTTCATGGAGGGCATATCACCCTCCCAGCAGATCAGTGTGTTCAACTGGGAGCTCCTCTGAGCCTCAGTGTCTAGAGTTTTTATTAGGATTGCATTATGAATTGGGGTTTGATTATGAGTAATCAATGATTGATGATTGATTGGCTGCATGACAGAACTCAATCTCCAATCACCCTCCCCTCCTCTCTTCAAGTGGTTGGTCTTTCTGGTGACCAGCTCCTATACTGAAGCTCTCTAGGAGCCCACCAGGACCCATCTCATTGGCATAACAAGACATGCCTATCACTGTGGAAATTCCAAGGGTTTTTGAAGCACTGTGTCTGGAACCAAGAGACAAAGACCAGATATATTCTTTTTTTTTTTTTTTTTTTGAGATGGAGTCTTGCTCTGTTGCCCAGGCTGGAGTGCAATGACATGATCTTGGCTCACTGAAACCTCCACCTCCTGGGTTCAAGCAATTCTCCTGCCTCAGCCTCCCAAGTAGCTAAGATTACAGGCCCCCACAACAATGCCCAGCTAATTTTTTGTACTTTTAGTAGAGATGGGGTTTCATCATGTTGGCCAAGCTGGTCTTGAAGTCCTGAACTCAGGTAATCTACCCGCCTTGGCCTCCCAAAGTGCTGGGATTACAGGCGTGAGCCACAGTGCCTGGCCCAGATATATTCTTGATACCACAGCCCATTACCAAGTGAATACAGCCTTGTAAAGTGCAACTTTCAAACTTACTTTGGGATCCATTTTATTATCTCTTTACTAGTTGTTCTTGCATCTGTCAGTTCCATTCTGATTTATGCCCTCATTTCTTGTATGGCATCCTAAACCCCCTCTCTGCATAAATTGGGGTGTAACAGATAGATTATTGCAGGCCCTTCCTTCAGCTCCGAAAGAACATGCAACATAAGAGCTGGAACTTCCTACATAGGAGCCACTGCTAGCCTCTAGGAGCCACAGCCAGCCTCTAGGAGCACTTTCTCAACGGCCCACACACCATCATAACTGCAGCCTGCTGCAGAGAGCTCTACAAACTTCCGTCGTTGATCTGTGATCTATGAGGCAAGCCTCCTCTCCCTGTGAGCAGACAGCGGTGTCAGAGGTGTGTAAACCAGAGCAACTCCATCTTGACTAGGGCCTGGGAAAAAAGAGGCTGAGACCTACTGGGCTGCATTCCCAGATGGTTAAGGCATTCTAAGTCACAGGATAAGATAGAAGGTTGGCACAAGATACAGGTAATAAAGACCTTGCTGATAAAACAGGTTGCAGTAAGGAAGCCGGCTAAAACCCACCAAAACCAATGGCCATGGGAGTGACCTCTGGTGGTCCTCACTGCTACACTCCCACCAGCGCCATGACAGTTTACAAATGCCATGGCAACGTCAAGAAGTTACCCTATATGGTCTATAAAGGAGAGGCATGAATAATCCACCTCTTGTTTAGCATATCATCAAGAAATAACCATAAAAATGGGCAATGAAGAATGGAATAGCCATTCTTCATTCCTTTACTTCTTAATAAACTTGCTTTCACTTTACTCTATGAACTCACCCTGAATTATTTCTTGTGCAAGATCCAAGAACCCTCTCTGGGGGTCTGGATCGAGACCCCTTCCCTATAACAGCAATGGGGACCCACACTGTGTGACACAGTGGTGCTGTCCCCCAGGTGGGATGAATATGAAGGAATGGGGTGGCAGCTCACTGGGCCAGCCCCCAGCCCCCAGGAGAACGCCCTGCCATCGTTGTCCCAACTGCAGGAGCTCAGGGAGAGGAGAGGAAGGAGGGAGAGCACTTTCTCAGTGCCCAGGCCAGGAGGGGCATCACGAGTGGGGTCTGTTGGGAGTGAGGACCCACCTTCCTGATCCCAGAGCTGCCCACTCCCACTGGGCCCAGCATACCACCCTGGGAGCACTGACTTCCCCCAGGGACCTTCCTGACATGGGGACAGGGAAAGGCACTACAGGGTGAGGTGGGGGTGAGGTTCTGTTGACAACCAAGTCTCCTGCACAGCTTGGTCCCTGAAACATCCCCTGACCCCAGCATCAAGCTGAACAGAGGGTAAACGGGATCTCTGTGTGAGGGTCCTCCATGCCACGGCTTGGGCAAGGCCAGAAGCTGCATCAAATGTCAGATAGGGAAGTCCCAGCCCAGGCAAGAAGGAGGCTTTAAAAAAGGCTTGTGTTTGTTGGCAAGCAGCAGTGCCAGGCCTGGCTTTTGATCAAAACATCCTAGCTGTTGGCAGAGACAAAGGCAATCCCTGGAAACAGCCTGGCTGGGGAGAGATGGAAGAGAGGGCAGGGTTGGGTAGGGGGGTCAGCTCTGGCCCCTCCCCAGCTGGCTCACAGCTTCCTACCCTCAGGGCCCGACCTTGCTCCTCCATGGGGAGGGAGGGGGTACTTGGAGAAAAGGCTTTAAATGCCTCACAGGCAGAGTTAGCAATCAGGTTTCAGGAGGAAACTCACAGATTGATGGGGAAGCCGTCAAATGCACCCCTGGCAGCAGGAGAGTGTGAATGGGACCGGGAACAGTGTCTGCCTCCAGCCAGGCTGCCCCCTTCTCCCGACTGCCCACTGCAAGGGCAGTCAGAGGGTCTTAGGTTCTGACACACAGACACACGCAGACACACACACACTCTTCACTCTCCACTGCAGCCATACAAAATCACATTCTTGGCCAGTCATGGTGGCTCACACCTGTAATCCCAGCACTTTGGGAGCCCAAGGTGGGCAGATTACTTGAGGTCAGAAGTTCAAGACCAGCCTGACCAACATGGTGAAACCCTGTGTCCACTGAAAATACAAAAATTAGCCGGGCGTGCTGGTGCACACCTGTAATCCCAGCTACTTGAGACGCTGAGGCAGGAGAATCATTTGAACCCGGAGGGTAGAGGTTGCAGTGAGCCGAGATCGCGCCACTGCCTGGGGGACAGAGCGAGACTCCGTCTCAAAGAAAAACAGAAACAAAAACAAACCAAAATCACATTCCCCACCTTTTACCAGAAGGCTTGCTCACACCTGTAAATGGAGTGTGCCTCCTCTCCACCTGTTTCTAATTAAAGATGTGTATTTTCTAAGGCACCACCCGCCACCTGGCAATGTCCTTACAAAAGAGACTGCTCCCTGCTGCAGGGCCAGGGATGGCTTCAGCCCAACGATGCTAAGAATCCATGGTGACAGAGACAGACATGGGGCCGGGATCCCAGGCCCAGCCTGCGCTTGGAAGCACCTCTTGCCTCACTATGGTGTCATAGACCCTCAGCCTGAGAACAGTCTCAGGATGCTGTTGAACTGAGACTTGGACTGAGAAAGGAGGCCAGGGGATAGACTGGAGGGTGCTTCCGAGTTGAGGTGTTGTCCTGAAGGTCAACAGTGGAGGACTAGCCAGGAACTGATCACGCCAGATTCTATACCAGCCTGGAGCCCACCTGGGCTCTCCCGGATGCTGCTAATCAGGATGGAGGGTAGGGGTGCTTGCTGCAGGTATTTAGAAGGCTCCCCAGCTAACCGCTCCCAGGCCTGCCTCCCTGTGGATGATTTGCACCAGGCTGTTTTGTCAGCCTAGCACTGCCTTCCCCGGGGAATAGTGAACTCACTTTTGCAGAGAAGGGATCTCTCAGAGGGCCCTTCCGAGGCACTCTCTGGTGTCTGCCCAAGCTCAGACAAGATGCATAGCCTGGTGCCTGCCAGGCCAACGGGGGTGACTACTTATCCAGCAGATAAGTGTGTGTGAGCAGCTCTGGGGACATGGGGCAATAAGGGGAGGTCTCATGTGTCAGGGGCAGCCAGGAAATGTTCTGTTAAGATGTCCTTTCTGTTCCTGAGATTTTCTAGCACCAGCAGACACCGTGGCCACCACCCCTCTCTCCCTACCCCATACTGCAGACGTTGGGAGTCTGCGGCCATGTAGGATGCAGCCCACAGCTTTGTCCCCAACATTCATGAAGGAATGCATGGTGTGTCACTGCCATTCTGAGATAGGAGTTCAGCAGGACTAGTTTCCCAGGACCCTGATGAAAAAACAGGATGCAGTAGAGAAGCTGGCCAAAACCCGCCAAAACCAAAGGTGGTGATGGAAGCAACCTCCGGTTACCCTTACTGCTCCTAAGATGCTAATTATAATACATTAGCATGCTAAAAGACATACCCACCAGCACCATGACAGTTTACAGATGCCATGGCAACTCCTGGAAGTTATCCTATATGGTTTAAAAAGGGGAGGGACCCTCAGTTCCAGGAACTCCCAGCTCCTTTCCAGAAAAACTCATTAATAATCTACCCGTTATTTAGCATGTAGTCAAAAATAACCATAAAAATAATCAACCAGCAGCCCTAAGGGCTTCTCTGCGTATGGAATAGCCACTTTTTATTCCTTTACTGTCTTAATAAACTTGTTTTCACTTTGCTCTGTCAGCTCACTCTTGAATTCTTTCCTGCACAAAGCCAAGAACCCACTTGGCCTTCTGGGCTGAGCCCCAGTTTTGGGGTTTGCCCTGTGACAATTCCATCCCCAGGTTCAGGGCCACTGAGACACGCATTCGGAACTGTCCCTAGCACTGGGTATTGGCTGCCTTGGTGACCAGGGCTAAGCGTTCACTGTGGCCATAATTAGAGCTGGGACAAATGGCTATTAGGTCCTAATTGTCAGCTTTTCCAAATCTGGAAAAAAGCCACGGGACAGAATTCCCAGAAGGGAATTGTCCCCACGGACTACTGGGGACCCTTCTCAAGGCTGTGGGCATCTGTTTGCGGAACTGTGTCATGGAAGCCACGTGCCATACTAAGTTTGAAGTCTGAGCCAGGCTCTCCTCTAAAGCATGGCTGTCCTCCTAGGTCCTCCTAGGATGGGCATCCTGGCCACCCCTTCCTTTGAGCTTCCCCCAGCCTTCTCCAATGTGTTTTCTGCCCAGCTAATGCCCCTTGCCTAACCCTGGACTTCTCACTCTCCTCCAAGCCCATTCCCTCTGCATTTGATAGCCACGTACCTGGCCCCCAGGCTGTGACTCACTGTTATCTCCAAGCACTAGAGAATTTTCTCCTGTCATCTTCAGCAACAAGTGGTTGCAGTTTTCATTGCAGTTTTCATTATAATAAGACCAAAAGAAAAAAAAAACTGTAGCTGAGAAAATAGATGTGTGCTTTCCACCCTACACTGAGAACATCTTGACATTTAAATCCAATTACCCTTTTCCCATTCTTGATGAGGATATGACATGCTGCTAGAACATTCTGCTAGATAAATATATCATATTCTCTGACTGCTCAAAACCTCCCAGGGGTGGATTTGGGGGTTCTGTGACCCCCGTTCACTATCGGCCTCTGTGAGAGGACAGGGTCGTGGACTGGCTGAGCTAAAAGGCCCTGAAAATGTTTGCCTGGAAAAATTTTGCAGCATTTGACCTCTGCCTTTCACTGAGTCATTAATTGGGAGAATGGAACAATTGCAGAAACAGGGGGACTTTTGTCCTTTGTATCAGATCTGTACACATTCAAACCCCCCATCCCTGGGCTTTCAGCAAAACACCACAAACCAGTAGGCCCTGGGCAGAGAGGTATTAATTAAGCACATTCCCATATTACTTCAAAATGTCTATCCTCCCAGAAGCAAAGAGTCATTGACTCTAAATGAAGCAGAAAGCCAGAAAGGAGCCCTTACAGCTATTATTCTGCTGTAAATATTAGTTCTCTTTTGACATCTGGAGAGAGAGAGTGCAAGTTTTTTCTTTTTTTCTTCTTTTGAGATGGAGTCTTGCTCTGTCACCCAGGCTGGAGTGCAGTGGTACGACCTCGGCTCACTGCAACCTCCGCCTCCAGGGTTCAAGCAATTCTCCTGCCTCAGCCTCCTGAGTAGCTGGGATTACAGGCACACACCAGCATGCCCGGCTAATTTTTGTACTTTTAGTAGAGATGAGGTTTCACCATGTTGGCCAGGCTGGTCTTGAACTTCTGACCGTGGGTGATCCACCCCTCTCGGCCTCCCAAAGTGCTGGGATTACAGGCATGAGCCACCGTGCCCGGCCGGAGTCCAAGATTTTTAGCAAGTGTGCATACTGTTCTGTGGCTAGAGAGGGAGATGGTGGGTGGGGAGGATATTGCCAGGATTAAAGCCGGGAGGACCCTGCATCCTTTGCCTTCCAGTAGGGTTCCCCAGTATGGGCCGCATCCACAGGGATCAGGCAAAACTCCCCCGCCCTCCTTCTGAAACCCACTTACCATGTAAAGTTACACGGTTTTAACTTGACTCTGCATCCATTTCCACCTGCAGAGAAAGAGGAAAATGAAAGTTCTGGGAGATTTAGAATCTCATTGTAACTGTTAATTTCAGCCAGGATGGAATCCCTTTCCTATCCTTGTCCCAGCCATGACTATTATCATCCTCCGTTGACCTCTCTCCCCCCTCCTCCACAAGATGAAGTGTTAACAAGCAGAGGAAAATTAGCTCCACTCCCCCAGCACAACATCCCCTGCCCTGCAGAAGTCGTGGAAGCCATAAGCCATCCCTCCCTGCCTTCCTCCCCCTTCATCAGGGCTGAGTGGCCAGTTGTCTTCCTCCCCTGAGGATTTCATCATCCTCAGATATCCCAGAGAGTGTTTGCAGTTGTTCATCCTAAATTACACTGTTGTTTTAGCCTGTTGTGTGCTCAGAGCTGATTAATAAACAGAAATTAAGTCACTTATTTACTTTTTGCTTCAAATCACAGTGTGCGACTCGAGTGGTTGATATCTCACTGATATTTGTGAATGCGTGGATGAGTGACTGGATCTGCTTGTGTGTTGAATGGAATTCAAGGTTCCTTCCATCAGTCCCAAAACATCATTCCTAAGAGCTCACATGTGCCTGTCTGTTTTTTTACAAAAACACCTTTTGTCTCTTCTAATAGTCCCTGAATGCTTAGGTAAGAGTGGAGAATGAGAGCTCTCTTCTCTGACATCCAGGCTCTGGGCATCTCTCAAAAAGAGATGGTCAAAGAATCTGATGAGGTCTGCTGAAAAGGAAGGGTGCCATAGAGAACCAGACCAGCCCCCATCCTGGTGAGCGGTGCCTCCTCACACAAAAAGCTAATGGTTTGGGTTGGTGTGGTCAGAGGAGAGCAGCTCTCAGAGACAGAGGTGAGGATGGAGGCCCTTTCATTTTCCTGGTGAGTCTTTCCATACTACTTTTTAAAAGAAAGTCGGTACTTTAAAATATTTTGTAAGTCAATTTGTCCAGGATGCCTGCAAGTTTTCCTGGAATTTGATGCAAATACGAGGCTATGCTAAAGCCATTCAGCAAGCTGTAGGAGCCCCAAGTGGAGAAACTCAAACTAGTTCACAGGAGCAAACATCATGCAGCTCCCTCCAAGGCTACATCACTCGTGGGTTGTGGTGTTTCTTTGTGGAAGTCCCCAAGCTCTTAGGGTGAGAGGGCTCTTCAGTGACGCCCAGGGACCTTTCTCAAGGCTGTGGGCATCGGTTTGCAGAACCGTGTCATGGAAACCACATGCCATACTAAGTTTGAAGTCTGAGCAACTGCTGGGCTGAGAAGATCTTCAGGTTTCCCTGTGGCCGTGCAGCCTGTGTGGCATCTGCCATGCAAGGAGGGATCTGGGACAAAGACAGCTTGCTGGACTGGGTCACTTCAGGGAATTCATGGCAATAGCTTTCCCAGGGAAAGGAGAATCACCCTGAAACAGACCCAGACTGGCAATGTAAGTCGGACTGTCATACCACTGTGTTGAAACTGCAGCACGAAGTTTCTCTGCCTCTTCTTTCTCTGTTTCAGCTCTCTGTTTCAGGAGGTTCAGCAAGCCCTAAAGGCCATTACCTGGCCACCTACCTATCTTCCCCACTAGAGAGTAAACCTCTCTAGAGATTAGTTATTTATCTTTCCATCAGCCCCCAGAACTGGCATCATATGGGACAGTGCACACACAAGTCTTGGTTTCTGAACTTATCGGCATCTTGTGGGGGCTGTCCATGGTGTTGAGGCCCCACTGTAGTCATTTCAGTTAATCATATAAATGGCCAGAACCTCACGGGTTATCCATGGTGTTGACAGATTTCACACCTTACATTCCCCGGGTCCTCCTATCCCAGAGAACAGAACCTGGAGCTAAACCCTTAGAGCGGGGTATCATTGGGAGCTGTCCGTGGTTCTGAAAACAGCACTCCCTCTCCTTCCAGTTGCCTGAGCTGCTGCGGCAGGGTCAGAACTGTTTGTGGTGTCAGCCTCGTTTTGATCAGCTAATTGCCAATTTTCTGCTTCTTGGTCCAGCTTAGACCCCAGCCAGAATCTGGCCTGCTGCTGCTGTCAATCATGCTCTGAGGTACCTACATGGTCCTGCTTGTATTGACTCTGCCTGTAACGTCAGTCCTGCCAGGCCCTGACCAAGGACTGGCCTCTGACTGCAAGGCTGCGTTTTATTCCAGCCTGTTGTATGTCAGGTTCCCTGGAAAGCAGACTGAGGCAGCGATTTGCACTCAGGAAGCTTGTTGGGTTTATATTATGACAAAGAAGAGTTAAAATAACTTTGGAGAAAAATATAAGTGTCTGCTGTCCACTGCAAGTCAACATGAACTGTTTCTGATAGTCCTTTTTGACAGGGATGGAAAACAACCTATTTTTCAAACCAGTGGTCACACACCACATACCTGAGGCCACAAACATCTTCCCTAGCAAATATACCATCATCCCACCAACATGGTGGTTGCAACTGGGGCTATATCTTGATAGAGTTTATGGGATTCTGGTGGGACTTGCGTGTCTTTTGTAGGACTGGACTGGTGAAATTCCATGGTGATTTGATGGTGATGACTACTCCTGCATCCTTGAGGTCTTTTATCAAGCAGAGTCCTGTGGATTTTTTTTTTTTTAAATTGTGCTAATCTCTATGAGACCCCCAGGAAGTAATATTGCCTTTGATTTAATGTCTAGATTCATGGGAGAGGGTCACTGTCAAAGGCTGGCATTCCCTATGGTGACGGTCCTTATCCCACAGATCAAGGACATGGGGGTTTTGCCAGCTGTCACATCTATCTATTCGGATTATACATCTGGGAACTGGGGAGAAATGCTCGCCAGATGGGAGTCTGTGAACCCAACATGAGCCAGGCTTGGGTCATTTATTACCTGGTACCCTATGTGCCCTCACTGTATCAGGGTGCAATGGCAACACTTCCAGTTCTCAGGGGCTAAGACCCCAGATGTAAATGTCAAAAAAAAATCTAGAAATGTCTGAGTGTTCTCCTTCCCCAAGTGTACACCTGTTTAACCAAATGGCTGTGGGTCCTGTTGGGGAAAGACTGAGAAAACATTCCCATGTGTATTTGCCATGATGCCATGGGGTTCTTCTTGGGGATGTGGTCTCTCCTTTGGTCACTGAGTTCTGGATCTGAAAACTGGGTGTATTAGTTTGCATTGTGTTTCTATAAAGGAATACCTGAGACTGGGTAATTTAAAAGAAACGAGGCTTATTTGGCTCATCATTCTGCAGGCTGTACAAGCGTGGCACCAACATCTGCTCAGCCTCAGGAAGCTTTTACTCATGGCAGAAGGCGAAGGGGTAGCAGGCATGTCACATAGCGAGAGAGGGAACAAGAGACATGCCAGACTCTTTTAAACAACCAGTTTTCATGTGAGTTGACAGAGCAAGAACTCGCTCATTACCATGGGGAGGGCAACAAGCCATTCATGATGGCTGCACCCCCATGACTGAAACACCCCACCAGACTCCACCTCTACATTGGGGATTTCATTTCAACATGAGATTTGGAGGAGACAAAACATCCAAACCATAACAGTGGGCAAAGAACTGTGCCATTTTCTTGGGACAGCTGATCACCCCTCCTTGATTTGTTTTTGTTGTATATATCGGCTTGTCGACCACCTGACTTTCTTGTTTTTTGGGATGCCATGTTTTGGTGACCACCTCCATAGCTCTCTGCAGATCAGCCCCTCTTGGCTGCTACACCAACATTGCTACTCAGTAGGACAAGTGTGCACACTTTGGTTATGATGGCTAAGTACCACCGTGTGGTTTCTGTTATTTTACAATCCTATTGTCCCCCATCAGTCTCGGGGTGTCCAGGTCTGTAGTGGCACTGCCTACATTCAGCCCTGTCCTACAGAGGAGAGGCACTGCTGGGCTTCTCACTCATGCTGGTGCTTCCTGAACTCTCTGGGCTGCAGAGGCATTCTGCCCTCTGCAATATAGGCTGGTGGCCCTCTGTTCATTGAAGACACTACAGAGATCTCTGTCCTACAACACAACATATGCCCCCTGATCCTCCTTCCCCTCTCACCAGTGTGTTCTATATTGCTTTAGAAAGGGGTGGGGGTATCTTCTAGGCAGTAGTGGATTTTCCAGCTTTCCCTAGCATGTCCACTGTAGCATAACCACCTTTGGGAGCCTTTTGATCTCTTCCTGCACTATCTACCACAGCAATTCTTTTTTTTTTTTTTTTTTTTTTTGAGACGGAGTCTCGCTGTTACCCAGGTTGGAGTGCAGTGGCGCGATCTCGGCTCACTGCAGGCTCCGCCCCCCGGGGGTTCATGCCATTCTCCTGCCTCAGCCTCCCGAGTAGCTGGGACTACAGGCGCCCACCACCTCGCCCGGCTAATTTTTTCTATTTTTAGTAGAGACGGGATTTCACCGTGTTAGCCAGGATGGTCTCGATCTCCTGACCTCGTGATCTGCCCACCTCGGCCTCCCAAAGTGCTGGGATTACAGGCGTGAGCCACTGCGCCCGGCCTACCACAGCAATTCTATCATCCCTGCTTCATTGAGTGTGGGCATTGCTTTCTGCACGTATCTGAGAGCCATCTAGCAGCATGTCTGCATCGTCTCCTGGGGTCGTTGCTGCACTGTCAGATCCTCTAACCCAAGAGAATCCTCCCTTATCAATTACTGCTCTATCCAACTTTGTGTTCTGCTTTTTTCTTTTTTTCTTTTTTTTTTTTTGAGATGGAGTCTCACTCTGTCGACCAGGCTGGAGTGCAGTGGTGCAGTCTCGGTTCACTGCAACCTCTGCCTCCCAAGCTCAAGTGACTCTCCTGCCTCAGCCTCCCAAGTAGCTGGGATTACAGGCACCTGCCACCACGCCTGGCTGATTTTTGTATTTTAGTAGAGACAGGGTTTCACCATGTTGACCAGGCTGGTCTCGAACTCCTGACCTCCGGTGATCCACCTGCCTTGGCCTCCCAAAGTGCTGGGATTACAGGCATGAGCCCCCGTGCCCAGCCTCTCTGATCTCTTGTCTACCCCGCACACCCTGCCCCAGCGTCAAGGTCTATGTGTACTCTCCTGGTTCCTGCCAATACCTGATTTCTGGATCCTTCTTTTCTTTTGGGGTATAGTTCCTTTCTTCCCTTAGCAAATCTAGCACTTCCCCAGTGGGGACATGCTGTGATTTAACCGTAGTTATTGGTCTAGTGGAGAAAAGGTGGGGGCAGATTCTGAGGAAGGCATGTGTTATGTTGCAGGACAGAGACCTCTGCGGTGTCTTCAATTAATGGAAGACCACCAGCCTGTATTGCAGAGGGTGGCGTGCTTCTGCAGCCCAGAAGATTAGAGGAAATCTGGGAATTCAAGACTTTCACAGGCATCGACCTACAGTCCCCAACGCATTTCTCAGGGTCCTGTTCCTTCTCAGCCAGGTGCCTGCCATTGCCAAGAGTCACCCTTCAGAAGCTGGATACTCTTCCTTTCTCCCCTTCATTTTTTTTTCTTTAAGAGACAGTTTTGTTCTGTCAGCCAGGTTGTAGTGCAGTGCTGCAATCATAGCTCACTGCAGCCTCGAATGAACTCTTCGGCTCAAGCAATCCTTCCACCTCAGCCTCCTGGGTAGCTGCAACCACAGGTGTGCACCACAACCCCCACCTAATTAATTAATTGATTTATTATTTATTTATTTATTTTGAGACGGAGTCTTGCTCTGTCGCCCAGGCTAGAGTACAGTGGCATGATCTCAGCCCACTGCAACCTCCACCTCCCGGGTTCAAGCAATTCTCCTGCCTCAGCCTCCCGAGTAGCTGGGATTACAGGTGCCTGCCACCACACTCGGCTAATTTTTGTATTTTTAGTAGATATGGGGTTTCACCGTGTTGGCCAGGGTGGTCTCGAACTCCTGACCTTGTGATCCACCCACCTCAGCCTCCCAAAGTGCTGGGATTACAGGCATGAGCCACCATGCCCAGCCTAATTTATTTTTATTTTGTGTAGAGATGGGCTCTGGCTATGTTGCCCAGGCTGATCTTGAGCTCCAGCCTTAAAGACCTTCCTGCCCTGGACTCCCAAAGTGTTGGGATTACAGGTGTGAGCCACAGTGCCTGGCCTCTGCTACTCTTAAGTCTTGAGACCTGTCCTCTTGCTGGAGGTAAGAGTCTCTATATAGGCTGCCACAGAGTTAATTGCCAGCCAATGCCATTGTTCCCAAATTACTATTTGCCCCATATTTCTTAGCCTCCAGATACATTTTTTTACATGCCAGGGCATTTTCTTCCACTGGTACGCCATCCTAGTTTATCATCAATAAACATTTTAACGGAGGCATTACTGCCTCTGGCCTTGTGCCACAGCTGCCTGTGCTCCACCTACCACCAATGCTGGGGACCTCCTTGCTGGCTGGTTGGCAGGTGATTCAACCCTAACATTTCATCTTAGCATCTGCTCTCTCTGCCCCACTGGCACTGACTGTCGGGTTCCTGGGAAAGAGACTCTGAAGAAGTGCAGGAGGTGAATTGCACGGGGCTGGGAGGGAGGTGCCCTCTGATCAACACCTGTAAGGGAACGAAGGAAGCAGGAGTGAGGGCACCGGGTGGGGATTTAGTCTGCCAGTCCCACAGGGAGCTCTGGAGCTGGGATATTCCCACAGAATTGACCTGAATTGATGCAAGGGGGCTGTGCCTTTATACCACACATCAACTAGTGTCTGGATGCAGGCAGCCCCTTGGGTGAGGGGACTTTGTCCAGCTGAGACCACTCTCTGGAGAGAGACCCAGCCAAGCTGCAGGGCTGTGATTTCACAATCTCACCTGACCCCAGCCTCCCTGCACCCTTCACCTCTGGCTCCCAGCCCCTGCTGTCCTGGCTCCTCCATTCCACATGGGACAAGGAGTGACTAAGGTTTACTTGACTGGGGCGGAGACAGTTTTTCCAAATTCCTTTGCTTATTCAAGGATCATTGAAAATTAATTGTAGCTGGTGTTATTGAACTCACAGCAGTCTTTAGTTTTATAAAAGCCTTTTCCTTCCAAGTGTTGCCATTTGGTGTTACTGAGATACAAGCAAGATGTCTGCAAAACTAAAATAGCATTTTTTTAAAAAACATGGCACTTTAGAGTTCTAAAATATGTTCACATCGTTTTTTATCAATTTGATTGAGGTGTAATTTATAAACAAGAAAACACATGCATTGTTTATCAAATGTATTCCATCACCCCAATTGGAGACGTGAAACATTTCCCCCACCCCAGAACATTCCCTCGTGTTCCTGCTCACTCACTCCCCGCACCGCCCCCGGCAACCACTGATCTTATTCCATCTCTAGAGATTCATTTTGCCTGTTCTAGAATTTTACATAAGTGAGATCCTACAGTGTGTGTTCCTTTATGCCTGGCTGATTTTGCACAGCAAAATGTTTGTGAAATTCATCCATGATCGTCATGTATATGAGTAGTTGGTGTTTTTCTTACAGGCAAGCAGTATTCCGTAGAATGGATGTACCATGTTCATTTATCAGTTTGCCTGTTGATGGGCATGTTCTTTGAGTTTCCTGACACAGCATACCTGGACACAGGCCATGTTGTCTTTAGTGACATTCAGGCAGGAGGAGTGACCTAGTCACAGCCATGCGGCCAGGAGTTAGTGGGAGGTGAGTTCTGCGAAGCAGGGGGCCTGACTTCACTCCATTCCAGCGTCACCTAACAAAAGACCCTAGAAAACAAGGATCTGGCCAGATAACTGGTACATTTTGTTCTTTTTTTTTTTCAAGGCATTTATTTTTCCATAAGATGCTCTGGTCATTTTCTTTGGATGCTACTTGAGTTAGCATCCTGCCAAGCAATATGAATTCTCCTTTTTAAATCAGGGCGATGGTAATTGAGGGGCAGACCTGCAGAGCAATCGGTTTGGGCACATGCATGTCAAACGGACTATATATCATGACATCAGACATTTTGAGAAAATTGCTGTTCCTCCCTGAATGTCAAGTCATAAATAATTTCAGGTTGGGGAGAGCTCTGGTAAGCATATGTTTGACTCCAGGGAATGGCCTGTAAATATGGTGGGCCAGAGAATAAAGAACGAGGGGGCAGATTTGTGGGGTCACTTCTGGTCTGGACCTTGCTATAACTTGTTGTAGAGAAGCCATAGGTGCCCCACTCAGACACACTTCAGCGGGCAGGTGCGCCCTTCCCCTGCTGCAGTTAGTGGGGACAGCTAATTGCTCACAGCTGCACCCGTCCTTAGAGATCTGACCTCAGCTGATAGGATACTCCTCTTCTGGAAGGCGACACCTTCCCCCTGGAGTTGGCCTGCAACCCATTCACATGCTGGTAAACCCCTTCTCCAGGGAGGAAGAGAATAGAGCCCTGATTTGTAGCACTTGCCAATATCTATGGTGTAAATACTCCCACTGCATCCAGCTCTAAGCTACCATGTAAAAATAAACAATACGTTGCTTAGGGGATATAGACATATGCCACACACACATACACACACACACACATACACACTACTAAGAAGAGAAAGGAATGATAAACACAGAATTCTGTGAAGTGATTACCCCGGCAGGAGCAGGAGAGGGCTGTCCAAGAGGGGCAAAGAGGGAGCGTCAATGATATTGATAGAATTCTGTTTCTGAAACTGGGTGGTGAATACCTGGCTGTTTGTTTTCTTCGTCTTTATAGTGTTATATATTTTCTTTTGCATGAATGAAATGTTTCATGACAAAAAACAAGTCTAAGGAAGGCTTTTAAGCTTTGAGATTTTTTTTTAACTGACACACAAGGGGGGTTCCTAGCTCTTTGTGGAGGCCGAGGAGGTGGCTCAGCGGGTCTCCTGGCTCCCCTGCACTTGCCCGCTGGGTATGATGACAAAGTCCACACTTCTAATGAGTTCTGGTGGAGAAGGAACATGGCCTGGGGAAGGAGATTTTCCTTTCCCTCAGGACAGGCAGGAAGAGGAGGTGGATGAGGGGCTGTCCACAGAGCTGTCCCGTCCAGTGCTCCCTCCTGCCAAGGACCCAGGGGAATGCCGCCTGCCACTCACCCAAAGCCAGGCTGTTCGCACTGTCTGATCCACGGCATCTAGGGCCTTAATCAATAGTCATGTAGCTATGCCCCAGGCACTCGCCAGGCCCAGGCACTCAGCTTCCACTGGATGGCGGTGAGCTCAGGGACCCTCCACATCCCCCATTATCATCTCCACTCTCCAAGGGCAGAAGTGCAGGACCTAATGGGTCCGAACCTGACCAAGTCCCCACACCTGGTGAGAAGTGGAGACACAGCTTCTGCCAGGACAGATGGGGCCTGCAGCCCATGCTCTGGCCATCACACAGGGCTACCCGCTCGTTGGTGCCAGCGCCGCTGGGCAGGCTCATGGCCGTGTCGCCCCAGGTTCCTTTCCCCTGAGCCTTCCTGGCCTGAGGTTCCACTTCTGCTCACAGCTTCTGCTGGGGTCCCAGCTGGGGAGGGGGAGATGAAAGGTCTGGCCCAGATCTGGGACCCAGGGTCTCTTACTGTCTCAACATGGTGTTGGGGGTGGCTCCTGCAGGTTCCTTCAGCAAGCCCACAGGCCCGGCTGCTCACCTTGTCCTCTATTGCAGGAGACGCACACAGCCTTGGACAGTAAGCCCTGATTTCCCATTATACAGATAGTGAAACTGAGGCTGCAGGCAGGTAAATTGCTGCCGCTCCTGGGCCCTTAGGAGGCTCTCACAGCTCAGATCCTCAGTGTCTAGGCCACTTTGCTTCATCCAGAAGCCAGTGCAGTGAGGAAGGAGAGGCCACACCATGGATAAGTGTGTGACAGGCCTTGGAGGAGAAGGCAGGTGAAGGCATCAGGACCGAAGGCTCACTCGGAGGAGAGCCTCAAGGAGTGAGGCTGGGAAGCTCCCACCCAACAGGCGCACACCCCTGAGGGCATCAGAGGAATTCAGGACGCCATGTGAGATGAGGCCTGGGTGGTGCCAGAGGGACAGCAGCAAGGGGGGCCCCCAGCAGGAGAGGCCCTGGTGGGCAGAAGGGGTGTGCATGCCCCAGGGATGGCAGCAAAAGCAGCTATGTCCGGGGCTCCCCCACCTCACCACAGGTCCCGCCTTGCAGCCATGAACAAAGCTCTGAGGGAAAGCAGCAGGTGGCTAGGAGAGCACACCCGGAGCCAGGGACAACTGAGTTTGATCCCTGAGTTCAATCCCTGGCTCAGCCACTGGCCAGCTGTGTGACCTTAGTGGCTAAATATGTGTATATCACAGCTTCATCAGTGTCAAGCTGGGGCAAAATAATAACCTTTCTCCCACCAGCCACCCACCATCCTCCTACCATCCCCCCTCCATCCTCCTATCATCCCCCCTCCATCCTCCCCATCATCCCCCCATCTCCCCACCATCCCCCCACCAACCAACCACCAATCTCATGGCCTTCTGTAGGGGCCGATGCTATGAGCTCTTCACAACACATGGGTGGCTGGAATCAGTGGGTGCTCAATGAACCCCATCACAGATGAAGACAGCGGTGATGAGGCACAGGGCAGGGTCAGGCTCTGCCTCTAAGTCCCTGGGTGGTCACTAGGGCCAGTAACTTGGGCAGGTCCTGCAGCCCTCAGTCTTACTGCTACTCACCCACCTCCCTCCCAGGCACTGTGGGTGCTAGAGGCCAGTGGGTGCACCTCCCTGAGGCCCCAGGCTGCTGAGCCAGGAGACCCAGGGTCAGGCTCCAAAGGGAGGAAGGACATGTGCCCTTAGCTATGGGTGGGTTGTATGTCACGTGCTGTGCGCTGTCCAGCTGGCGCACCAAGCACCCAGCTCATGAAAGGGTCCGGGTCGTGGCCCTCATCGTGCAGCAGCCATTGGCAGGTGCGTTGTGCCTTGCTTCCTGCCTTTCTCCTGTCCACAGGCTGCACTCTCTGAGTCCTCCCTGAGGCCTGGCGCCCCAGCTAGGTGTGGTCCAGGAAGCTGGCATGGCTGGGAGACCGAAACGCCCTGAGACGGGCCAGAGGCTCAGGCCTGGAAGGACCCTGAGAAGGCAGGGCCCCTCGCCAAGGGGGTGCAACAAGGTGGTCTGGAACCCAAGAGAGGAGGGTGACCTAAGGGGGGTGGTGACAGCATGAGGTCACAGGGGTCATCAAGTGCTAGTTAAGCAGGGTCAGCAGGGTTGGGAGGATGCACTTTTGGGCAGGGTCCTATTACTTGAGTAGGGTCCTGGCTGAGTTCAACTGCTCCAGCCTCTCCTAACTAGCCGTCTGCTATAGGGGCTGTGGTCACCAGCATAGGCACACGCTGGGACAGACCTCAGGGTTTCCTGCTCAGTCCCCTCTGGGGCTACCCCCAGGACCCCAGGGCCTGGATCTGAGAGCCATCCATCCGGGAGGAGAAGCCACCAGAGTTGGCACATCCCTGTGTCCTGGGCCACTCTGCCTCTGCATCCCACACCCCGCCCCTGTATCCCCCACCCCTAAGCCTCGGGATAAGCCATCCCTGAAGGCTGCTGGAGGCGAGAGCCACTCCCCAGTGTCCACCAGCCGCTCAGTTTCCCATCAGGGTCCAGAAGTATTGATTCTCTTAATTGGTTGCCCATAGGGAACCAAAGAATAAAACCAGGCAAAGCAAAATAGAGCATTCTTTTTCGTTTTCCAGAAGTGTGATCAGCAAAGCCTCACGGTTCTCTTACAAGGCCCCAGGCACCAGCCGCCCACCCCCAACGGAGGGAAGAGGCAGTGGTGGGCCCTGGGCCAAGCCTCCTGGCTGGGGCATCTGATACCCTTTCAGACCGAGCCTCTCCAGGCTCGGTCCAGGCTCACCACTGGTACCCCTCAGCAGCAGGCAGATGCACCCCCACCCCCACCCAGCCCTGCAACCCTCCCAGCCAAGCCAGGGAGGGCCTGAGGATTTCATTATGAGCTCAGATTATCATCAAGGACAAGGGGGAGTGATGGGGAAGTTACAAGCTCTCCTTTTAATAATGAATCCCATTTCCTCTTGGAGTTGGTTTTCTTGCAACAGATGCTGTTGCAGAAAATGGAACAAAATGGAAAAGATAAAAAGGCAAGTCATTAACGTGGCCAAAAAGCCTTCCCAGCAGATGTTGGGGATGGCGGGGCAGGGTGCCCACAGCCTGCCCACCGCACCCTCGCTTGGCCCGGCTGACCAGCTGCCACGGCAGGGACCCATATGTTCTCAGGATTCACGGCTTGGCTCGGTGTTGGGAAGCACAGAGCCACCCTCCCGCTGTTCAATAACTGATGACCATTTTTCTCCAATTAAGCTGAAATTGAAGGATCCTCAGACGTAGACATCCAAGGGAAATAATTAGTGCTTAAAATGTTAATTGTGCTCAGATATGCCTGTGCTGTGGCGGCAGCTTGCCAGTGAGCAGGCATAGGTAAGTCACCTTCTGCCCTCAAGCAGCCCCCATCAGGCAGGCTGGTCTCCCCAGGGACCCAGTGTGGGCAGCCCAAGGCCAAGACCCTGGCAGCTTTTCTGATGGTGGACACTGGCTTAATGATAGTGAGACGTTCTGTGAACCCCCCAGCCTCCTGCCTGACCGGCCCACCGTCCCCGGGCACTGGCAGGCAGCATCAGAGAGTGGTTACAGCAAGGACATGGAATCAGACAGCTCGGGCCTGGACCCACCACTCTGCCAGCCTACCTGGGCAGCAGTGTGGATGAGGGTGACCCACTTAACCTCTTTGAGACTCAGTGAGTGCCCTCATGCCAAACAGGGATAGTAAAACCTATCCTGCTGAAGCCCCCACGGGAGCGGGATCATTTCTCTGTCCAGCCTTTAACACCCCTCAGCATGGGGCCTGCGGCACCAGCTCCCAAATGAACAATGACAGAATGAGTGTTTTCCCTCCAACGGCGCCAGGAGGGGTCAGGGATCGGGGTAGCAGCGTGGTGTTTCCCCCTTCTGGGCAGCGGAGGGGCCCTGCTTGGCCAGCCATTCAGACCCCACCAACCCTGCACCTAGGATTGGATGAGATTTCCTGCCCAGGGGTTGGAGTGAGATTTGCTGCCACAGCTGCCTGAGCCCCAGGACGAAGGGGAGGCTCCGCCTAGCGGGTATTGGACGCCCCAGCTGCCTGAGCCCGGGAGCCCTGGGATGAAGTAGGGGCTGCCCATGCCAACCGCAGTTCCCCCAACCTGCCCGCCGCCTAGGGGGAAGCACCACCCCCTGCCCGGGGAGAGGAATTCACTCCCACAGGGATTCTCCTGCTCATTACTCGACCCACGCGTGAGCCAGGCTTCGCTCTCTGCCAAGATGACACGTCTAAGAGGCTTAGTCTTCTTTATGCTGTGGATCCTGAGGAAATCCACTTAGATATTCTGTGTTCCCTGATCCGCCACATAAGATTCCTTTATCTCTTGTTGTCATGGGAAGTATATATTAACTGATTAATATTAATGTGTTGGCCGATTAATATTCATATCTGAACCGATTCGTATTTCACAGGCAACGATACTGAGGAGCATGGCAGAGCCCAGACAGCTGTCGGTTTTAGGCAGTTCCCCGGGGAGTCGCAGAAGTCGCATCTGACCCTTCCCGCCGCCCCACGTTATGGACACCCTCTCATTAGCAGTGTCTGTCAGGGCTGGCATGCAAGTGTGTTTGGACTCTGATTGTGGCAATTAAAATCCTTGCCATCCAAGACAGCATATTTTATCGTTTAAATAGCATTTTACATTCTTCTAACATATTTCCCCAGTAACATTGTTAAATTAGGTGATAAAAGGTTATTTTTGCTTCTGAAGTTGAAATACGTTACCATTATTCCTTATCTGCCTGGAATTAGAAAGGTTTCAGAATTAGTGTTCCAATGGTTTCATTATCAAAATTTGCCAGACTTTATAAAACAAACAACAATTTTTTTGCCCTTGTGTTCAACAAAGATGGGCAAAGGCTTTGTCTTCTGACATTGGAGATTGCTTTCAGCGTTCGGTGGAGAAAGAAGCCACAGCCTTCCCTGCAGCCAGGGGGGTGCACTGGGGGCTGGGGGAAGGCTCGCTTGCATTTGAATTGGAGCCACCACTGTCACCTGTGCCACTGCCTGGGCATCAGAGGCCACACAGGTCAGGGAGGTCACTCTTGCCCGTGGGAACGGCACAGCCAGAGCCTGCACCTTCACCAGGGGGAGCGGCCAGGAGCCTGCCTATGTAGCCTGCATGTAGCTTCTCCATCTCTGCTCCTGTCTCCCTCCAGCACCCCTTTCCAGCCCCAGCCCTTTCTAGGCCCCATCTCCAATCTTTTCTTCAGGACTTCTAACACCACCAACTGTCCTCCATCTACCTATTATCCTCCCACCCACCATCTCCCCACCAACTTCCCACCTTCCCCCTACCAACCACCCACCTTCCTCCCACCACCCACCCTCCATCCTCCCACCACCCACCCACCATCCTCCCACCACCCACCCACCATCCTCCTACCATCCCCCCTCCATCCTCCACCATCCCCCATCTCCTCACCATCCACCTGCCATCTCCTAACCATCCCCCACCAACCTCACACCATCCCCCCTCCATCTCCCACCATCCCCCACCAACCTCCCACCATCTCCCACCATCCCCCCACCACCCACCATCCCCCCTCCATCCCCCACCAACCACCCACCATCCCCCCACCACCCACCATCCTCCTACCAACCCTCTCCATCCCCCACCATCCCCCGTCTCCTCACCATCCACCTGCCATCCCCCACCAACCACCCACCATCCCCACACCACCCACACACCATCCTCCTACCATCCCAACACCACCTACCCACCATCCCCCACCAACCACCCACCCACCATCCCCCCACCACCCACCATCCTCCTACCACTACCCCTCCATCCCCCACCATCCCCCATCCCCTCACCATCCCCCACCAACCTCCCACCATCCCCACACCAACCACCCACCATCCTCCTACCATCCCCCCTCCATCCCCCCACCATCCCCCATCTCCTCACCATCCCCCCTCCATCCCCCCACCATCCCCCAACAACCTCCCACCATCCCCACACCATCTCCCACCATCCATATGCCATCCCCACACCATCTCCCCACTACCCTCTGTGTACCATCCTACCTGACATCAGTGTGCCCCCCGTGTGCATCTCCCCATCATCAGTGCATCACATCTGACAAGGAAGACACCCTTGTGTGGTACAAACCCCCTCCTCACTCACACTTGGCAGTCAAGTGTGCTATGAGCTGGGCCTGGGGCCTCATACCTGCTAATGGACTGCTTTATCCCCGCACCTGGCATCCCCAAGTCACCCGGGTCCATGACCTCTTATGAGCAAACCGTCCTTGCTACAGCACTCTAGGCTGCGGGGCTCTTCCGAGAACACATTTCTCTCTAGAAGAAGCACACCAGGCAGGATGAGGGACTGTTCTGCTGGGATCAGGGGACCTTGCCGTGCATCTTAACCCTATGCCTGCTCTCATCCCCTTTCCCTCTGTTTTTGGTTTGATCCAAGGACAGGATCGACTTTACCAAAGAGGAGGCTCATCCTCTCCCAGACGTCCAACCAGGATGGAGCTTTAGCTTGACTGGTGGGAACAGTCCAGGGTGCTGTGTGGCAGCCCCTCAAGTGTTTGCCCACCTGCATGCCCGCTCCAGCCTCTGCCACGTCTCACAGGGACAACTGTCCCAGCTGTCAGAGGCAGGGGTGACAGCCTCTCAAATAGACTAGCTAAGAACAGAGCTGGGAGAGCAAGGCTACCAGTTTCCTCCTGAGCCCAGGCTGGGGTCCATGCAAATCTGTTGTGGATGTGAACCTTGAAGTTGATTGCAGATGATGTGAACCTCTGAGATCCTGCTCTGCAGGGCCAGGTCTTGATGGAAAAGGATCCCTTTCTGCTGAGCACCTGAGTGAGAGATGCCGGCTCAGGGGCACCTGTCTGCAGCCTGATCCTCCTTCTTCCGAGCAGCTCAGCCCTGCAGAGCCATCCTAGCCTGGCCCATCCTTGTGTCTCTCACTTGCGGATGCAGCAGAGCTAAAGGCTGGAAATGACATTCTCAGGATGCCCACCACCCATGCACCCCCCAGGGGCTCAGGATGGTGCCTTCCTGTGGACTTCCGGATTTCCAAAATCCCTGCTGTCTGCAACCACAGATTTTCACAGAAGCCTCTGGCACTGGAAACCTTCTGATGCCCCTGTCAAAGCTCCCACCGCCTGACACACCTGTGCTGTGCTCACCCCGCCCCATACTCCCTGTTACACAGCAGCCCTTCATTCTGTAATCAACTCCCAGACAAACAGAAAACATGCTAGCAGCCGTCGTAAGCATCCCCCATGTGATTTATTGCCATCATCACAATATTTTGTTTGGAGCTGTAATCCTCCGGACATAAATCAAGTCATTAGAAGGAATGACGTTTAATCCTGGGGAAGATGCTGTGGTGGGCTGAGCAGCAGTGAATCACCTCTCACCCTGCTAGTGAATCATTCATTCTAGAAAGAACGGCCCTCCACACACCTACCTGGCCCGCTCCTCATCCCTGCCACGCGCAGGCGTGAAAGACAGAAGGCACAAGCCAGGCTTGTTTGTTTCCCGGAATAGCACATTTCACAACCGCAAAGAGGTGCCCAAAACACATGCCCGGTGCTCCAGACTGGAGCCTTAATTCCTCCAGAAATGCACGCAGCCTGGAGGGGCTGCCTCTGTGTCCGTGGTGGGCTCTCTTCGTCCCGAGAGCAGCTGCGCTGGTTGGACTTCAAAGGAAGCAGGAAAACAGCTCAGATATCTTCTTTAGCTCTCCTTTCACGGTGACCCCAGACGCCCTACCAACAGCCATTACATGGGAGCACATTCCGTTTGCAAAGCTGGCGGGTCTAATTGCAGGGCCTTTGGTGGAGATGTGCAGGCAGAGGCTAAGCAAAGAGTTTGAGGCCTTGAAAGGGGAATTCAGGGACCTCGGGCACTGTCTTCCAGGAGCCCAGTAAGCTCCTCCACCCCCACCCAGGCAAACACCGGCTTCCAGTTCCCTGCAAATGGCACCTCTCTTGGAGCAAGGAGACACCCCCAAAGTGCTGGAGAGCGAAGAACGGGAAGGGGGTTGGGTCTTGGCTGACGGATTGCCTTAGAAGACTTCATGTTATTGAATAACGTGAATACTGTGATGATGGCCAATTCCAGGTGCGCATGAAGATCGTGAAAATAACAGCTATTTCCAGTGTTTACATCTACTTAATATTCTCGTGCTCAGAGCTAACGAGGCTGGCGTTAGGCGGTGACGTGGGCCTGTTTGAAGGATGCTGGAAGTCGCGGGCCTAGGTTGCATGGTGTGTGTCTGGGCTGCCTCCCAAACCGAGGTATGTGGCCCAGATCTGGCTAATGGACAGTTTCACCCAAGCTCTGTCCTGTTTCCAGCTGACAGCTGCTACCTGCAGGTGCTGCTCGAGTCTGTCTCTGGTTCACCATAAGCCAAGGTTGGGTCTTCTCCCCCAAGGGCTCCTCCATTCCCTGAGACCTCCCTGTCTGGGGGTCCTGGCAGCATGCTATGGGAGGAGTCCTCCAGACATTTCCCTCACCCTCACCCCTCATACCCCTGACTCACCAAACCCTCTAGCCCTCTGGCTTTGTTGTTCTGCAAAATCCAACATTTCCTTTTCCTACCCCCGCCCAACCTGCCTAAGTTCAGATGTCCCCACTCCTCACCTCCATCATAAGGTAAGAACCTGAATTTGTTTTCCCACTTCCTTTTGGGCCTCACTCTTCTCCAAGTTCCCCAGTCACCTCCAGAATGACTTCTGAACATGCAACCCTCAGGAGTCTCTCCGCCCTCCCCACTTTCCCCAACCCTGCAGTCAGCACCCCAGGGCTCTGGAGGCTGTACAGGTATGAGATGCAAAGGGCCTGTGGTTTAGGTGTGAGTGTGGTATGGGGGTGTGGAGGCAGCCCCGTCTGGCATGGCTGTGAGGGGGCAGTGGAAGACAGGCTGTCTGTGCTCCCATGATGGTCTGGGGCCCCCCTGGTCAGCCCACATGGCCCTGTGGGGGCTCCTGCTGCTACAGGGTGCTGGGCTGGGCGGAGGAAGAGCTGGCCATTCAGGATGGGCGCAGTGGCTCATGCCTGTAATCCCAGCACTTTGGGAGGCCCAGGCAGGTGGATTGCTTGAGCCCAGGAGTTCAAGACCAGCCTGGGCAACATAGTAAAACCCCGTCTTTACTGAAAACACAAAATTTAGCCAGGTGTGGTGGCGCACGCCTGCTACTCTGGAGGCTGAGGCATGAGAATCGCTTGAACCAGGAGGTGGAGGTTGCAGTGAGCCAAAACCATGCCACTGCACTCCAGCCTGGGCAACAGAGTGAGACGCGGTCTCAAAAAAAGAAGAAAGAAAGAAAGAAAGAAAGAAAGAAAGAAAGAAAGAAAGAAAGAAAGAAAGAAAGAAAGAAAGAAAGAAAGAAAGAAAGAAAGAAAGAAAGAAAGAAAGAAAGAAAGAAAGAAAGAAAGAAAGAAAGAAAGAGAAAGAAAGAAAGAAAGAAAGAAAGAAAGAAAGAAAGAAAGAAAGAAAGAAAGAAAGAAAGAAAGAAAGAAAGAAAGAAAGAGCCGGCCATTCAGAAGGGAGCAGAAAGGGGCTCTTGGACAGGTATCCAGGGGAGGTGATGTCCCCACAGCCAGCCACTGACAAGCCCAAGATTGGCATCCATACTCAGGTTTGGTGTCTTTTTTTAAGAGATGGGATCTCACTATGTTGCCCAGACTCAACATGGGAGCTCAAACTCCTGGGCTCAAGCAATCCTCCTGCCCCAGCCTCCCGAGTAGCTGGGATTCCATGTGTGCACCACCACGCCAGTATTATGCTCAAGTTTGACCCCTCAAAGAAGCTGGTGTAATCCTCAGGCCAGAGCCTTCCAGAGCTTCTCTTGCCCCAGCCCTTGGCTGGACCTGACTCCAGCTTCAAGGCCCTGCCCTGGGAGATTCACCCCAGCTCTGAAATGTAGACTGCAGCTATCCAGACCCTCGGCAGGGAAGAGCCGGACTGACGGCCAGAGCCCCTGAGTGCTCCGGGCAGTCTCTGGCCTTGTCCCTGCAACCTGTGAATTGCCAGAGTCTCTGTTCTGTTCTGGTGGGGTGGGGTGGGGGGGCACACAGGATGACCCCTCAGCTGCAGCTGCCCCTCGGTGTTCCCTGAGATGCCAGAGAGAAGACACTGGAGATGTTGGTGTAGGGGTGGGGGTGGGCCTGGAACTGTAGCTGCCCATTCACTGTGCTTGAGTCAGGGCCGTCACCCAGACTCCGGGACCCCTGTGGGTACAGTCAGTGACCATCAGTGCTCAGCCGTCTGGGAGCTCTTCCAAGGATCAGAGCACCCATCCCTGAGCCCCTAGGCAGCCCTTTGCAGTCTGGAGCCCCACTCTCCCCAGGGTGTCTGCAGAGCCCCACCCAGGCCAGAGCGGCCTGCAGTGGGGGTCACTTCAAAGAAGCATCACTTAAGACAGATTCACTTTTGTGGCTCTTTAGGGTATCACAGCAACAGCTGTGACAGGCTTGACAGCTCCAGGCCAGCTCGGTAATTGACGTGGCAGCCAGAACAATGCATCCCAAGGCCGGCTGGAGCTGGACCGATCATTTTCTTGCAGCTGGGCCACAGTGGTAATGAGGCTGCCGTCCTGGCTGCCTGACTCCATTCCAGGGTGAAGAAGGACATGCTGCCCACGTCTGCCCCTGGAGGGCCTGTCTCAGGGCTGGGCCAGTGGGTAGGGAGCACTTTTCCTGTAAACAGGCATGTGTCAGCACATTCTTGCACTGCTATAAATAAATACCTGAGACTGGGCAGTTTATAAAGAAAAGAGGTTTCATTGGCTCACGGCTCTGCAGGCTGGACAGGAAGTGTGGCCCCAGCATCCACTTGGTTTCTTGGCGGGGGGGGGCGGTGCTCAAAGAGCTTTTACTCATGGCAGCGGGCAAGCGGGAGTGTGCGTGTCACCTGGTGAAAGCAGGAACAAAGGGTGAGACTTGGGGGCAGGCGGTGCCACACTTCACAACAACCAGATCTCATGAGAATTCATTCACTATTACAGGGATGGCACCAAGCCATGAAGGATCCCCCCATGAGCCAAACACCCCCCACCAGGACCCACCCCCAACACTGGGGATCACACTTCAACATGAGATTTGGGCGGGGACGAATGTCCAAACTACATCAAGACAGCCCCTTTATGGGGCCACCCCAGCCTCGGGCTCCAGCCTGACTCACTTGCTTCTATTTGCTGGTAACCCCACAATGGGAATTCACCATTATTTAGACCAAATGAGGTGCCTTCCTGCAGAGCTGGCTGCAGAGTGGTCACCACGTGCCATGTCAGCCAGACAAGAGGAGGCGTTGACATCCGTCCCATTTAACCCACCAGGCATGGTGCTGTGAGGTCACGGCTGCTGAGAGCCTGGGGTGGGATCCCGGTGGGCCCAGAAAATGGCAGCCTCCAGGCCCAGGCCCACTGCCTCTACCCCTCTTTCCCTGAGAAGTGCTGGTATCATGCCCCCACTGGCCCAGAAGAGCCACAGGTGGCTGAATGAGCTCCCACAGGCACGTCTGCCCCCCGCACCTCTGACCAGCCACCCCTGATCCCCTAATTCCCTCTCCTCCAACTGCCCTCTGGATGTCTGCACTTGGGAGACCTGTAGTCAGGTCTCCTCAAAGTCCACAGGGATCTGTCCTCCTGCGCAGGGAATAGCATCAGCATTCACCACTGCTAAAGTCAGAAGCCAGCGTCTCCCTCTGCAGTCAGCCAGTCCCAGGTCCTGCTGATGTAGTGGCGAGTTCAGGCCAACTTGTCCTGGCCCCCAAGGGCCCAGCCCCACATGACATCAGTAGTTTGAAATCTGCCATGATGGGATTTCAGACCACGGAAATCAGCAAACACTGCAAACCAGGCTGCTCCCCGCTCCCACCCCATCACCCAGAAAGTCAGGTGTTCAACATTTCCCAGCACACCTCCATCTCCCGAAATGTTCTTCAACTCTCCCTCCACTGTTTCATCATCCCCTGGGTCCAGGCCTCAAGAGTCTCCTGCCTGGATAGTGACAGCAATCCCCTGACCAACCTTTCTGCTGTATCTTTGACTCCATCTCAGAATGGTCCTTAAATTCAAAATAACTCCACACCCTAAAGCTCTTTGAGACTCTCCTGGGCCTTAGGAGGTAAGGTCTAGTGTCTTTGCATGGCTATAAAGCCTCTTTCTTGCCGGCCAGCCATCATGGTTGCCCTTCCTTCCTTCCCTCCTTCCTTCCCTCCCTTCCTCCCTTCTTCCTTCCTTTCTCTTTTCTTTTCTTTTGAGACAGGATCTCACTCTGTCACCCAGGCTGGAGTGCAGTGGTGCAATCATAGCTCACTGCAGCCTCTAACGCTTGGACTCAACTGATCCTCCCACCTTAGCCTTCTGAGCAGCTGGGACTACAGGTGCCCATCACTGTGCCCAGGCTAATTTTTTCATTTTTTTTTAGAGATGGGGTCTCACTATGTTGTCCAGGCTGGTCTTAAACTTCTGGCCTCAAGTAATCCATCCATCTTGGCCTCCAAAGCACTGGGATTAAAGGTGTAAACCACTGTACCTGGCCCTGCCTTTTCTTGACACTCTTCAGTCTCTGGACCCATCTCTTCATCCCAGGAGCCTTGCTTTCATGGTGGAAGGCCATGAAGCTCTGCCAGAAATGTCCTCATTACCCTCAGGTGCCAATTTATTGTCACGATCTTCAGGAGCTGTCACCTGCAACACTGAGCTAGCTAACATGTCAACTGTCCCACATTGCCTGCAAAGTCCTCCATGGCTGCCATCACACATGGAGTTGCTGGCCAGTGCCTCTCCTCCTTGCTAGACTGGAAGCTTCATGAGGGCAGGGGCCACACTATCCCATTCCTGGTTAAGACACTGTCATCAGTACCTAAGATGCTACTGGCCCGTATAGGTGCTCCATCAATGTGAAGTGAATGGATACATGGGGGCAGATGGCAGGATCATTCCGCGTGGTGTACTGCAAAGTGGAGGCCAGCCAGTTGGTCTTGCTGTCAACATCCCACGTGGGAAGCAGAGACAGGGCAAGCCAGGGAGCGACACTGGGTTGTGGGATAGGGCCACGCAGTTCGTTCTTTCCCATTTGCAGCAGCAACCACTAGCTCTGGCTTGTTCTTCCAGGCCCACATGTGTTGAAGGAAGACAAGCAGCCAGGCACGGTGGCTTATGCCTGTAATCCCACCACTTTGGGAGGCTGATGCAGGAGGATCGCTTGAGGCCAGGAGTTGCTGGGCAGCATAGTGAGACCTTGCCTCTATGAATTTTTTTTTTTTCTGAGACAGAGTCTCACTCTGTCATCCAGGCTGGAGTGCAGTGGCACAATCTCAGCTCACTGCAACCTCCACCTCCCAGGTTCAAGTAAGGCTCATGCCCCAGCCTCCTGAGTAGCTGGGATTACAGGTCTCCACCACCACACTGGCCAATTTTTGTATTTACTTAGTGGAGATGGGATTTCGTCATGTTGGCCAGGCTGGTCTTGAACTGCTGACCTCAGGTGATACACCCGCCTCAGCCTCCCAAAGTGCTGGGATTACAGGCATGAGCCAGCACACCTGGCCAAAATATACATATATATATATAGTATAAAAATATGTATATATGTATATATTTTTTTAATTAGCTGGGCTTGGTGGTGCACACCTGTAGTCCCAGCTACTTGGGAGGCTGAAGTGGGAGGATCACTTGAGCCCAGGAGTTCAGGATTATAGTGAGCCATGACCACGGCACTCCAGCATGGGCAACAGAATGAGACACTGTCTCAAAAAAGAAAGGAAGGAAGGAAGTGGGGGAGGGAGAGAGGGAAAGGATACATAAAGGAAAGAAGAGGCATGATCTGCTGTAAGCCATGTGCCATGGACTCCTAGAAACCACACAGGGATGTGCACACAACCACACACTCCCCACCCAGGGCACGCTACATCACACACACAGGAAGCAGGCACCTGTGCAGCACAAATGTGTGCTGTGGTGCATTTCCTCGGCATGCCTGGTGTGACAGACCATAGGACATGCACACCTGATCCCATGCGACATGCACATGTGTAAGGGGTGATGCAGTGGGTGGCGCGGGTGTGCTGGGGTCACACACACCCTGAACACTGTAGAGGTCACTGCAGGCTCTGACCGAGGGATGCTGAGAAGCAGGAGCTGAGGATCTCTCCCTGTAGACAGGCAGGGCACCAGCTCAGGACTCCCCTTCCCAACCCACTCAGTGATGGGCAGGTGGGTAGATGTGGCGCAGGCGGGACAGCCGTTGGGTTTGTAGACTGGCTGACCAGCTGACCGGCTGACTGACAGGCAGCTCTGATGCTCGACTCTCTGACAGCTCCAAGGGAATTCACGACCAAGGCTGAGCTGACAGGAACCACCCAGCTGAATCGTGGATCCTAATCACTAAGGCGAGGGAACAGAATCACTAAACGAAACAAGTGCGGTCAGAGCCGTCAGGCGCTCATCGGCCAGAGACAGGAAGATGCAGGCTCCGCTCCTCTGCAGATGCACCCCAGTGTCGCTGCGCTGGGGGCAGGAGCTGCGCTGCGGGAGATTCAGCCCCTGCAAAGGGAACCAGGTGATCAGCATGCCAGGAGCAGCTGACTTTCAACCAATGGGCTCTGGCTCTGCCCCGCTTTGTGTCCCATTTGGTGTGCACATTTGTGGATTTGCAAGATGCATATGTTTGGCACATTTTACCGATGAATTTTTAGCCCATTTTACCAATGAAACACGTTCAGCAAGGTCAAGGCACTTGTCCAAGGTCACACAGCAGTGGGTGTGTGCGCTCAGTTTTCTCTCTTTTTTTTTTTTTTTGAGATGGAGCCTTGCTCTGTCGCCCAGGCTGGAGTGCAGTGGCACGATCTCAGCTCACTGCAATCTCTAACCTCCACTTCCCAGGTTCAAGTGATTCTCCTGCCTCAGCCTCCAGAGTAGCTGAGATTACAGGCGCCCACCATCATGCCTGGCTAATTTTTGTATTTTTAGTAGAGACAGGGTTTCACCACGTTGGCCAAGTTCTTGACCTCAGATGATCTGCCCGCCTCAGTCTCCCAAAGTGCTAGAATTACAAGTGTAAGCCACCACGCCTGGCCTGTCTTCTAATTTTTGATGTGCTAAGCCTGCATTAAAAACTACAACTCCACATGGACCCTCCAGGGTGGTCCTCCGCGTGGTCCACAGAGGGAGGGAGTAAGCCTTTGCTCTGGTCTGAGCCAAAGGTCACTGTGACTGAGTTTGATCATCTCAGAGCCTAGGGGAAGAAGCCCCCCACCCAGAGGCCAAAGCTGGAGGAGAGAGGCCAATACATGACCAGTCTGATGCAGCTCTCCAGTGTGTCTGGCCTGACTGCTGCCTCCCCTCGAAGTCCACACTCTGACCACAGAGCTGTCATCAGGGCCCAGGAACAGCCGGCTCCTGTGCTGGGGCAGCCCTGCCACCTGGAACCCCACGTACCTGTCCCGTGTCCTAGGGCAGCAGGTGGCCGTGACTGTGACAGAGGCTGGTCTCCAGGCTGTGCCCTGGGGACCCAGCAGAGAATGTAAGAAGTTGGATTTTCCCATGAACACAGATGAGAATTGAAGCCCTTGGGTGAGGCTTTTTTCCGGGCGTTCTGTGCCCAGGAGTCCAGGCTGCCCGCTCATTGCTGCATGTGTTGAAACTTCAGTTTTGCATCTAATTTGCATATGAACAGCCTGCCTCAGATGGAGGATGCAGTTCACAGTGAGGCAGTCAGAGGCCCATGGGGACAATGTGTCCCTCAGCCCTGGGGCAGTGGAGACCTCACAAGGGCAGAGCCTGAGCCGGTGGGAGAGGAGCCAGAGAAGGTGTGGCCCGGTCCCAAAGCAGGCCCCGGCCTGGCATACTGTGGATGGTGAAAGGAGCTGGCAGAGCCAGTCTTCATGGCCACCCAGCCAGGGCTGGGGGTGGACAGACTCCTCCAGTGGGATTGCCCCTGTCTGCATCTAGCCAGGGGGCTGGCACCTGCTGCCCAGATGCGTGGGCCCTTCCCAGCTGGGAGGCTCCAGCCAGAACCCTGGGCCCAGCTTCTGGGAAGCCCCATACCCTTCCTCATGTCCAAGGCCAGCTCTCAGTCCAGAAAGCACCAGCCTTTCCACAGGCATTGATGGGCATTGTGCCAGAATGACACAGATGGACATGACACAGGCCCTGCCCCAAACACACCGAGAACCAACAACCCTTCACTACTGATCAGCAGGCGATCTAAACCAGCAGACGAGCTGTTTCTTCACCTCCTTCAGGCTATCCTGCCCTGTCTTCAGAACATCCAGCTGGGCGTGGTGGCTCATGGCTGTAATCCCAGCACTTTGCGAGGCCAAAGCGGGAGGATCATTTGAGCCCAGGAGTTCAAGACTGCAGTGAGCCAGGATTATGCCACTGCACTCCAGCCTGGGTGACTGAGCAAGACTTTGTCTCTTCAAACAACAAACAAAAAAACACTCTTAAAGCCCCATGAGATCACATGAGACCCTGTCTGTACTGGGTCAAATTGGGTGCCCGCCCCACCCTCAAAAAATGCTCAATCCCAGCTCCCTGTGCTTGTAAACTGTGACCTTGTAGGGTCTTTGCCGATGTAATCAAGTTAGGCCACTAGAGTGGGCCCTTTTTAAAAACATTTTATTTCCATAGGTTTCTGCGGAACAGGTGGTGTTTGATTACCTAAGTTCTTTAGTTAGCGGTGAATGGTGAGATTTTGATGTACCCATAACTGGAGCAGTGTACACTGCACACAATTTGTAGTTTTTTATCCTTCACCCCCTTCCCACCCTTTCCCCGAGTTCCCAAAATCCACTGTATCATTCTTATGCCTTCGCATCCTCATAGCTCAGCTCCCACTTATGAATGAGAACATACAATGTTTGGTTTTCCATTCCTGAGTTATTTCA
Organism: Homo sapiens; assembly: GCF_000001405.40. NCBI lineage: Eukaryota > Metazoa > Chordata > Mammalia > Primates > Hominidae > Homo > Homo sapiens. Next base: position 33,764,970 of record NC_000019.10, read on the forward strand.
CTTAGAAAAATAGTCTCCAGTCTCACCCAGGTGGCTGCGAATGCCATTAATTCATTCCTTTTTATGGCTAAGTACTATTCCATCATATATATATATATATATATCAGAGTTTCTTTATCCACTCGTTGATTGATGGGCATTTGGGTTGGTTGAGTGGGCCCTATTTTAATATGACTGGTGTCCTTATAAGAAGAGGAGAAGAGACACACGTGTGCAACAGCTGTGTGAAGACGAAGCAGAGATTGATCTTCTGTTGTTGCAAGCCAAGGAACGCCTGGGCTGTCGAAAGCTGGAAGAGTCGAGGAAGCATCAGCCCGTACCCAAGAGGCAGTGGAGGGAGTGTGACCCTGCTGGCACCTTCATTTCAGACATCTAGCCTTCGGAACTGTGAGAGAACACATTTTTGTCATTTTAAGCCTCCCAGTTTGGGATACTTTGTTACAGCAGCTGCAGGAACAAACCAAAGCACCTCCCGTGATGGTTAATTATATACGTCACCTTGCCTAGGCCATGGTGCCACAGGGTTTAGACAAATGCCAGTCTTTGTGTGTGTGTGTGTGTGTGTGTGTGTGTGTGTGTGTGTGTCAGAGAGAGAGAGAGAGAGAGAGAGAGAGACGGAGTCTTACTCTGTTGCCAGGTTAGAGTGTAGTGGCGCGATCTCCGCTCACTGCAACCTCCACCTCCTGGGTTTAAGCGATTCTCCTGCCTCAGCCTTTCGAGTAGCTGGGATTACAGGCACACACCACCATGCCCAGCTAATTTTTGTGTTTTAGTAGAGACGAGGTTTCACCATGTTGGCCAGGATGGTCTTGATCTCTTGTGGTCTCGCGATCCACCTGCCGTAGCCTCCAAAGTGCTGGGATTACAGGTGTGAGCCACCACGCCCGGCCAGGAAGGCATTTTTTAGATGTGATTTGCTGTAAAATGTGTAGCCTTTGAGTAGAGGAAATGACCTTCCACAATGTGGGTGGGCTTCATCCAATTAGTTGTAGGCCTGAAGAGAAAAGAGTGAAGTTCCCCAAGTAGGAGGGAGTCTCGGACCTCCTTCCCATGCAAGCTGCGGCACCAGGTCTTCCCTGGGTCTCCGGCCTGCTGGCAGATTTTAGATTGCCAGCCCCCAGAATCACATGAGCCAGTTTCTTAAAATCAACCCGTCTCGCTCTCTCCTCTCTCTCTCTTCTTCTTCCTTTCCTCCTTCTCTCCTCTCCCTGTCTCGCTTCCCTCTCTCCTTCTCCCCTCCTCCACCTCTACCTCTCCCTTCCCTCTCTCTTTCTCTCCGTCTCTTTCCCGCCTCCATATATATCACCTGTGGGCTCTCTGTCTCTCTGATAACCCTAACTAGCATGCCACCCCCCCATTCAGAACCCTTCATACTTCCCATGGAGTGGAGCCTGGCATTTCCCTCAGGCCTCTCTCCCCCAACCCGCCCACCTTCTCTCCTGCCAGCACCCTGCACTCGGGGCAGGCCATCTGTAGCTCAGCACTGCACTGTGAGGTCAGGTGCGTGACCAGCTGTGGGGCTGCCCCAGGGCTCGGAGGCCTTTCTTGTGTGCACCTTAGGTGTGGGAGCTGCTTCTTCCTAATGGGGGCATGGAAGCAGCAGGGCAGAGGCCGGCAGCCTGGGCTGTCCGGGACAACAGTGTTCATCCCACCAGATGCCACTGTAAGGAGTCCAGGTGGAGCCGAAGCTCAGAATCCGGGTACTGCACGTGCTGAGGACCAAGATGCAGTCGGGACCTTGCCTTCAGGGAACTCCCCACCCCCAGTCGGGCCAGCCTGAGCCAAGAGAAGCAGCCAAAAGCCCTGGAGGCTCCCTGGCCTGTTGGGCAATGGAAGTGGACGTGGAGTGGACAGCGCCAATGGGTGTGGGGCAACCTGCCAGCAGACTCAGCCACCAGAAGCCCCGGGCACATGGAAACGCGGCCACACAAACGGCCCCATCAGGAAATCCCAAAAGACCAAGAAGCACGACTCAAACTCCACCACAGACAGGGACCTGGGACTGGCATGGCCGCTCCTGCCCTCCTTCCCCAGTTCTCTCCCATGCCTGTCCCTCTGCAGATTTGACTCTTTAAGGACAGTCGCAGTGATGGGAGTGGCGGGACACTAGCATCATCGCCCATCAGGGCTCGGGGCTGGGACATGAGCAGCCAATGCAGCCGTCATTCTCCCAAGAGTGAGCCACCTGGGGCTGGGGGAGGCCAAGGGCTCATTCGAGGCAGTTGGGTCCTGTCCTCACCTGTCAGTGCTGCCTGTCTACAGGGCCTGACCAAAAGGCTGCTCCCCAGTTACCACCCTCCATGGCTCCTGGGCAGTGGGGATTGGGGCTTTTGTGTGGCACCCTGCAGGTCTTCCTCCTGTGAGCCTAGAGAGGAGCGGGCAAGAGACCCTTCTCCTTGGACATGCTGGTATAGCCTCCTCCCCAACTCTGCCCCAAACCCAGGCCTGATGACTAAGAAACTGGCCTCACACACTCATCAGTCTCTGCCTCTCCTCAATCAGGAGGCTTTTCAGCTAAACGCTGAGAACTTCAGCCAATGAAGAGTTCACACTGTGGAACACATTTGGCAGTGCCCATAACTCACGCCTTGTTTATTCTCACCGATGCTCTTATCATAGCGCATGTGTTCCAGCCACTCCACGCATGTCATCTGTCCAGAAAGAGAAAGTGCTTGTTTATTTCTTACTGTGCGGGGGGATGGAGCTCCCTTACAGATTGTGAACCTTATATTGACAGGAGAAGAGAGGTAACTCAAGACACCGAAAGTGGGGTGTGCGTGGTTGGTCTTGGATTCTGTCGCAGGGGTGGAGGTGGGGAGGCAGGGAAGGTGCGTGGCAGCATTGGTGGCGTTGGATGGAAGAGGAGGTGGGTTGTGGCTGGAGTTGCTCTGCAAGGCCACTGATGTTATCTAGATTGTACGTTTTATTTGGGGGCTTGAGAGGGGCTGGAGGTGGTTATACTGAGGCCAAAACTCCTTCCCACCCATAAGTGCCCCCCACGGCACTGGTACCACTGACCCCTGGTGGCAAACCTTCCTCATCCTCGTGAGCCCTTAGCTGTACTTCCCTGAGCGCTGATGGAGCTGTCCAGGGTCCTGACGTGCAGCCCACTTGGGGATGTGCAGACCCCTGCCCCAGGATACCTAAGGTTTCTCCTGGTTTTCACTTGCCCAGAGCCAGCAGTGGTTTTTGCTTCAGCCTTTATCTGACTGGTGCATGGAAGAGCAGTTTTCTTCCTAGTGGGGACACTAGGTTCACGGCAAAGGGGAGGTCCCTTTAGATTTCCTTCATTACGTTTCTTCTTTATTCGAAAGTGAACTTGTAGCCAGGTATGGTGGCTCGCACCTATAATTCCAGCCCTTTGGGAGGCCGAGGCAGGAGGATTTCTTGAGGCCAGGTGTTTGAGACCAGCCTGGACAACATAGCAAGACCCCATCTCTAACTATTTCTAAAATAAATGTAAATTTTTTTTCTTTTTCTTTATTTTATTTTATTTTTTTGAGACAAAGTCTCACTCTGTTGCTCAGGCTGTAGTGCAGTGGTGTGATCTCAGCTCACTGCAATCTCTGCCTCCTGGGTTCAAGTAATTTTCATGTCTCAGCCTACTGAGTAGCTGGGATAACAGGCATGCACCACCACACCCAGCTAATTTTTTTGTATTTTTAGTAGAGATCGGGTTTCACTATATTGGCCAGGCTAGTCTCGAACTCCCGGACTCAAGTGATCAGCCCATCTCAGCCTCCCAAGTGCTGGGATGACAGGCATGAGCCACCGTGCCCGGCAGTAAATTTTTAAAAATGTTAAAGTGAGCTTGTGGGGATAGGTCTAATCTTTGCCTGATAAGCTGCCGTAAGTCTAAGGGTTGGGAATAGCTTATGGCAAACTCAGGCTCTACTTAAGATGTTACTGATCTCTCTTACTCTCCACAAGGCAATTTTTCCTTTCAAAGGAGGAAGTTGCAGGCAGGTTGGCTTTATGGACACATGTAAACAGGAAATCAGGAGACTCGCCCAGCCCCAGGCTTTGTCTAGAAGGAACTTTTCCTCTAGTTAATGCCAAGGGCTCTAGCTCAGCGAGCATTAGAGTGGGACAGCCCCAGAAGCTTAGGCTCAGAGTCCAGAGGTCCAGGAGACAGTGTCCCCCTGTCCAGTCCTCACAGGTAAAATGGAACAGGACCACAGCCCACTGCCCTCCGAGGCTGTGGGGACAGTGCCAGTGGGAGGTCATGGCCTCAGGGGCTGCAACCTCAACAAGCACATGGCCTTCCATCTTCCCCCCGACTGGCAGGATCCCTTTTGGAAGTGGCTTCTCAGCCCCACTCTTGGCCAAATCTGGCATGACTCATTTGCTTTAGAAAAGGAATATATAAGCACCGTCACACCTTGATGAGATGACAGGAGTGACAAGCAGAGTGATTTCCCATATCTGAGACTCTGAGGAGGAGAGGTGGTTTAGCAGAGCCAGCTGCCATAACCAGAAGAAAATAATTAAGGAAATCTGGCAGAGTAGAGGAAAACCAAGTGGTGCAGCGGGTCCCTTCTAGTGAAGGGAGCTGTCATCATCGGCTGCGGGAGAGAAAGGAGCTCTGGAGGCTCGTGCTGGGACAGCTGCAGTAATGATGGGATGGGGAAGAGGAGGGGGTGGCTGTCAAGGAGGGAAATAGACTCTGGGCATGGCAGGGGGTGGCAATGAGCAGCTTGATTCTAAAGACTCCTCTCTCAGGCCAGGCACCTGCTACTTACACCCCACACCCTGAAGGGTGCAGCCAGGTCTACTTGGAGCTTCCCCTCAGTCTCCAGGGAAGAGTCTAGAAGGCCTGTTTCAAAGATCCCCCACATGCACGCATGTGCACATAAGCTTGGGAGTGCCCAGGAAGATGGGGACACTCTGCCCTTTGCCCAGGGGAGAGCATACCCTTGTTCCCAGCCCAAAGGGACAAGCGGAAGAAAGATGAAATGTGTCCCAGTTCTGCCTGCATTTCTGCCTCTCTTGGGACTTGAGGAAGGTTCGGGCAAGCTCAGGGAATTCAGGCTGTCCATTCCAGGGCTGACCTTGCATCTCCTTCCTGGCCTGCTAATGACTGAAGGAGACGTGCGGGCACGGCCTCAGCCTTACATTGTCTGGGGCATGGCAGTGGCTGAGTCTGTAAAACTGGACCTCATGGAGAAATCCACAGAATCTCTGGCTCAGGGAAGACCTGGAGATCCCTTCACCAGCTGGGCTCCTGCCACTGGACCTCTGCCCAGGACGTGGAGACAGCCAGGAAAGTGGTGGGACACTGGAACCCCCCTCCCGCAGGCAGCAGCCAGGATTTGCTCAGGTGTGGTCGGGCATGGTGCCCCGGCGCGCCAGCCAGAAGATCCAGCTCTCTCCTTAAGGGATAGCTGGCTCTGATGGTGACCATGGCTTTTGGCAGAGCCTCAGGACGAAAATGTCCACCCACATGGTACTGGAGCAGAAAGAGCCCCTGATTCCTCGGTGGCCAGGTAGGGACTGGGGAAGGAGGCTCCAGCTTCTAAATAGATTCCCCCCAAAGGGAATCTCCTTGTCCTCCTGCGACTTTCCCCCAAAGCAGACCAAATGAGGTATGACACAGAATATTCTGCTCTGGCCAAAGGTTCACCTCACCAGAGCTTGCTTCTTAGGTGAGCCCAGCCCAGGCATGGGCCTCCTTGGTAGGCAGAGGGGGCGTTCCAGAGCATGGCCATTGATGCACTGGTCTCTCTGTGTCTTCCTGAGGTCATCAGTAAGTTAACGCTGGACAATTACCCTCTACCTGGGCGCTGCTTAGGGCTTTGGGGGAGACCAGGGCGAGCAAGATATGCTTAGCTCACCCCAGAACTCCAGAGCCAGCTGAGAAGGCCAAGATCACAAAGCAAATGCCCAGGTTAGGGAACTTCCTGTAGCAAGAGGAGAAGAAGCACGTTCCATTCCTAGGCCTGGTGTGTGCAAAGGTGTGGGTGTGAATCATATTCCAAGCATAGAGAATCCACAGTGGCCAGAACTGGGGCATGGCTGATGGGGTGTGGAGAGAGAGTGGATCGAGCTTTCTGAAGGGTCCTTTCCCTGTGACTTAATGACATGGTGGGGTGCAGGAGGAGGTGGCCTGTGAGAGTCCTGGCTGCTCCACAGGGCAGGTATGGGCACACCTGGGCAGGGTGCCTTTCCAGACCTTGTAGATCACATCAGGAGGCAGGCGTGATGCAGAGAAGAGAGCCTCAGCTGCGAGCCAGTGGGACCACATGTTTGCTGCGTCCCCATTTTCTGCATGGGTAGGGGATGGAGGGGCTCCAGCACTGAGCCATGCCCTAAGCTGCCTTTCCCTAGAGCCTACCCCAAGATCCCTCCAGCCTGGATGTCCACAGCCAGCAGCCCATAAGCAGTTCCCTGGGAGCCATGTGGCAGATCCGCTAATACTGTCCTCTCCTCTGTTTGCTTTTCAGGAATAAAGTTCAACATCAGGCCAAGGCAGCCCCACCACGTAAGTTCTGAGAGTCAGATAAATCTCAGTGCACACAGCCCTTGGGAAACTGGGGAGGGCTGGGAAGAAAATTAGGAGCTCACATTGGATCCATTCTTGGAAAGAAAAATGTGTCCAGCCTTTCCCAGGAGCCTTGGGAACAAAGCCCAGGGCTCTGGACCCATGAATTTTCCCTTCCTTGTTAGAAGGCTTCTTTGCACGGTGCTAATAGAGGCCGTAAATCTGAGCCCGCCTGCAGGCCACCTATTCCCGCCACCCTCTCCCAGGCCAGGTTCCTGGGAGGACCGCGCCATCTTGTGGCCGAAATGACACTTACACCTCAGCGGGAGGGAGGCCTTTGGGTGCCGGGCCAGGGCTCAGACCGGAGGGGTCTCACCTACAGAGTCAGCCTGTCTCCCTCACCTGAGAGGGACAGGAACCCCAGCCGTGGTGAGAGCCTGACCTGTGTGGCCCTCAGTGCCCAGCTGTCCTTTCCACTCAGATAACCACTTCTCTTCTTGCCCCAGGACCTCCCACCAGGCGGCTCCCAGGATGGTGACTTGAAGGAACCCACAGAGAGGGTCACTCGGGACTTATCCAGTGGGGCCCCGAGGGGCCGCAACCTGCCAGCGCCTGACCAGCCTCAACCCCCGCTGCAGAGGGGAACCCGTCTGCGGCTCCGCCAGCGCCGTCGCCGTCTGCTCATCAAGAAAATGCCAGCTGCGGCGACCATCCCGGCCAACAGCTCGGACGCGCCCTTCATCCGGCCGGGACCCGGGACGCTGGATGGCCGCTGGGTCAGCCTGCACCGGAGCCAGCAGGAGCGCAAGCGGGTGATGCAGGAGGCCTGCGCCAAGTACCGGGCGAGCAGCAGCCGCCGGGCCGTCACGCCCCGCCACGTGTCCCGTATCTTCGTGGAGGACCGCCACCGCGTGCTCTACTGCGAGGTGCCCAAGGCCGGCTGCTCCAATTGGAAGCGGGTGCTCATGGTGCTGGCCGGCCTGGCCTCGTCCACTGCCGACATCCAGCACAACACCGTCCACTATGGCAGCGCTCTCAAGCGCCTGGACACCTTCGACCGCCAGGGTATCTTGCACCGTCTCAGCACCTACACCAAGATGCTCTTTGTCCGCGAGCCCTTCGAGAGGCTGGTGTCCGCCTTCCGCGACAAGTTTGAGCACCCCAACAGCTACTATCACCCGGTCTTCGGCAAGGCCATCCTGGCCCGGTACCGCGCCAATGCCTCTCGGGAGGCCCTGCGGACCGGCTCTGGGGTGCGTTTTCCCGAGTTCGTCCAGTACCTGCTGGACGTGCACCGGCCCGTGGGGATGGACATTCACTGGGACCATGTCAGCCGGCTCTGCAGCCCCTGCCTCATCGACTACGATTTCGTAGGCAAGTTCGAGAGCATGGAGGACGATGCCAACTTCTTCCTGAGCCTCATCCGCGCGCCGCGGAACCTGACCTTCCCCCGGTTCAAGGACCGGCACTCGCAGGAGGCGCGGACCACAGCGAGGATCGCCCACCAGTACTTCGCCCAACTCTCGGCCCTGCAAAGGCAGCGCACCTACGACTTCTACTACATGGATTACCTGATGTTCAACTATTCCAAGCCCTTTGCAGATCTGTACTGAGGGGCGCCGCAGCTGGCCGGGGCCGCCCTGCCCCGGTCACTCACCTGTGCTCCCGGGCATCCTCCTGTCCCTGGCTCCTCATCCTGGGAGCAACAGGGCTCTGAGGACGTGAGGAGCCATCGCTGTGGGAGGCAGCAGGCCCCGGGTGGGGGGCAGAGGCGCCCAGCCTTGGATGGGGACCCCAGCCCCTGGCCTGTACCTGTTTCCTCATTCCTTGGCTGAGGGAGAGGCTGAGAACTGGGCAGACACCCCTGGAGCTCAGCCGACAGTTTTGATGAGCAGGGAAGTCTGAGGCCCAGAGGACGGGGGGCCCAGCGGTAAGGGATGTCCCGCACTCCCTTAGCCATTGCCTTGGACCAAACCACGTGGTTTGCAGCTTTTCTACGAGCCAGGGGGGAGGTTCCCTTGGATTAAGGTTCCAAATAAAGCACATGGTTTCCAGAGCAGCGGTGTGTACTCTGTGGTGGCGTGGGAGCACGTGGACCCTGGGCTGGGCTTTCTGGGGCTCTTTCTGCCTTCCCGGGGCAGCTTGAGCCAGGTGCTGCAGGCCCCACTGCAGAGAAGTCCAGTTCAGGAGCAGCTTCCTGGGAGAAGAGCACAGAGGACCCAGCGGCTCTCAGCCAGGACCTGCAGGCGTCTGAGGCTAGGTCCCAGTCAACTGGGGTGCTTCCGTCTCAGTCCTGGCACATTAATCCTGAAAGGAAAAGATAGGCCTGTTCCTATGGGGGCCTCCTGGGGTGTCTTCTTATCAGTGCACCTTGCAGGGGCCTCTGGGGACTGCCAGAGCAGTAGCCAGCTCTCCAGGCAAGCTGCCAATCAGGGCTGAGGCCGGAGCCAGGGGGCACGGGGCATGCATCTCGGTGGGTGTGGTACTCCCAGCAGGAAGCAAGGCTGTCCCTGGCTTTCTGCACCTCTGAGCCAAGCAGGACTCTGGCCTGAGGCTGTCATCTGCAGACACTCACCCTGATCCCTGGCCCCACTCACCCTGATCCCTGGCCCCACTCACCTGACAAAACCACCTCAGGGCTGTCAGGATGCACATGCTCTGGAGGAGGAGAGGAGAAGCCATAGAGGAAACTTCTCCAAAAGCATACATGTTCACACCAGAGAGGGCTCCAGAAGTGTCAGCAGTCAATGTGGTTCTGGGAAGGTCTGGGAGGAGGTGTTTGTTGGAGTGTTGAGTGTGGGCATGAGTGTGGCTGCATTTGGGTTTTGTTTGTGATGGGAAGGGCTGCCTGACTCTGGAGTCTCTGCCCTCTGTCAGCCTGTCTGCAGGAGCCTCTGCATGCCCTCCTGGGTCATTCTGTGGGTTGCTCTGTGGGCCCTCCCAGGAGGCTGCCCTCTGTCTGTCCCTATTTGCTAGGGGAGATGCTGCTGATTCTCCACGTGGAGGTGCCACTGGATCCCTGGGTGGACCCCCAGGTGGAGGCCCTGCTGATTCCCAGGTGGAGAAACTGCCGGATCCCCAGGTGGAGGAACTGCTGGATCCCCAGATAGAGGAACTGCTGGATCTCCAGGTAGAGGAACTGCTGGATCCCCAGATGGAGGAAATGCTGGATCCCCAAGTGGAGGAATTGCTGATCCCCAGGTGGAGGAGCTGCTGGATCCTCAGTTGGAGGCGCTCCTGTATTACTAGTTGGAGGTGCTTCTGGAATCTCCCCAGGCTCACACCAGCCTGAGCTGCTCCATCTCCTTTTCTGCCTCCATCTTGGACCCTGGAACATTGCAAAGGGGAACAAGGCACTGAGCCTTCCTCCTGCCCCTTTGGGGTAACATCCATCCAGGAGATCTGAGAAGCAGGGAGACCTCCCTCGGGTTCCAGCTGGAAGCGGCTTGGACCATCCAACAGAAGTGACCCAGAGGGGCAGGGAAGAGGCTGTGGTCAGGGCCTGGGGAACTCTTGGGACCCGTGGAAGCTGAGACAGCAGATGCTGAGGGGCCCAGAAAGCCAGAGTAGCTGCCCTGCACCTTGGCCAGGACCAGGGTCCATGTGAGAGGAGACAGGGAAGTGCCTGGCTGAGGACAACCTAAAAAGAGGTGCCCTGGGTCCCGGTGCTCAAACGTGAGACCACGTTCATGTGCAGGAAAGTGTCCCTGGTCATGGGTGCATTTGGTGAAGCCAGAGGCAGTGCCCCTATGGCATCTGCTCAGCAGGGAACACCTGAACTCTCCGCTGACACAGCATCTGGGAGCAGCTTGGAGACAGTGAGGATGACACAGCCCCTCCCCTGGGTGAGCGTGTGTGTGCGTCTGCATGTGTGTGTCGGGGGAGAAGGCACATGCACTTGTATCATCTCTCAGAGAAACGCCGGCTCAAGCTGGACAGACGTGGACACACAACGCATCCATCAGTGGGGGGCTTTTGTTGCAGGTGGTGATGACAGAAGACAGGTGCAGGCAGTGACCATGATCACCACTTGACAGCCCTGAGAGTGACCTCCAACTGAAGGCCAGAGGCCCAGCCTGGAGACCAACCCAGCTCCAACCCCCAACCCCAGCCCCAAACCTCACAGGGCTCAGGAAGAGCCGACTCAGTGCAGTGGTAGGGAAGTATGTGTGTGTGCACGTGTGCATGTGTCTGTGTGTGTGTCTGGGTGTCTGTGTGGGTGTCTGGCCTGTGCTGTGGGGTGGGTGGATGTGAGCGCGTATATGTCTATGTGTGTGTCTGGCCTATACTCTCCACATGTGTGTTTGTGAGTGTGTGTGTTTGGCCTGTACTGTGGGTGGGTGTGAGCATATGGATCATGTGGGTGGGTGTGTTTGTGTGGATGTCTGGCCTGTGCTGTGGGATAAACGGGTGTGAGCATGTGGGTGTGTGTGTCTGGCCTGTGATGTGGGGTGGGTGGGTATGAGCGTGTGTGTGTGTGTCTGTGTCTATGTCTGTGTGTGTGTGTGTGTTTCTGCCCTGTGCTGTAGGGTGGGTGGGTGTGAACGTGTGTGTGTGTCTCTGGCCTGTGCTGTGGGGTGGGTGTGAGCATGTGTGTGTTTGTGTCTGTGTGTGTCTCTGTGTGTATGTCTGGCCTGTGCTGTGGGGTGGGTGGGTGTAAGTGTATGTCTGTATGTGTGTTTCTGTGTGTGTCTGGCCTGTACAGTGTGAGTGTATGTTTGGCCTGTATCATGTGGATGGGAGTGAGCATACAGGTAATGTGGGTCTGTGTGTCTGCGTGGGTGTGTGTCTGTGTGGGTGTCTGGCCTGTGCTGTGGGCTAAATGGGTAATGAGTATGTGGGTGTGTGTGGGGGGAGGGAGGTATCTGGCCTGTGCTGTGGGGTGGGTGTGAGCGTGTGTGTGTGTGTGTGTTTCTAGCCTGTGCTATGGGGTCAGTGGGAGCGTGTGTGTCTGTGTGTGTGTGTTCCTGGAGTGAGGGGTGTGCATTGTGTGTGAGCCCGCGTCCATGCCGGGTGTGGGCTGTGTGCAGTCTGAGTCCTGCCCGTCTCCAGGACCATCTCGTGCACCTGCTCCTCGTCTCTCCCTGCCCATTCGCTGGCCATTTTGTGGATGTCACCTGGAAGGGGCCAACTGATCAGAGACCCTAGAAAGGGCCACTGGCAGCTCCCAGGGGCAAAGGAGGCCCATTGAGTTGGGAGAAGAACAGCCCAAGCCCCAGGGCCCTCCCCAGCTTGGTCCCCCTGTGGGCCCCTCCGGGCGGCCCCAGGGAAGTCCCTGCCAGGCCTCTGCCCTTGAGTGGCTGAGACCTCCTGGATGGGAGCCCCACTCTCTGAGTGGTGACGAGAACAGACGTCCCAAAGCCTAGGGTCCCTCCTGGGGCTTGGGAGCCCCAAAGGCCTTGAGTATCCTGGGGAGATAGGATTCAAGGTCCACACAGATGGTCAGGTGGGAAACTCGGGCAGTTCTGGCTCCCCCCAGCTCCCCCTCCTCCCTGCTGTCTCGACAGGGTTTGGTGGCCCATACAGGGCCTGTCCAAGGGGCCCAGGACAAAGTCAGGCAGGCAGTGGACAGGGGGTCCCCCATCATCTCCCCCTACTCTCAGGCAGGGTTTGCCAATTTCATCCTCAGGGCTGAGCCCCTTGGTGGGGGACAGGAGCCTGTGGAGCCCATGGTTCTGAGGCCTGGAGGCGGCCTCACCTCACTGCCCCTATCTCTTCTTGGCCCCTTCCTCTTCAGGGAGCACTCGTGGTGAACCCAGCGAACATCCTGCTGGCGTCCCTCACTCCTCCACTGCTCTACAAGCCCAGGGGACCCAGAGCTGGGCACAAGAGGCTGTGTTGAACCACGGGATCCAGAAATGGGCAAAGGTGAAAGTTGGGGGTGGGGTAGTCTGGGCTCAAGTAACACTGCCCCTACCTCCGGGGACTCCCAGCTGATGGGTACCATGACTCCTGAATGAGGAATAGGCAGGCGCCCCGGGGAGCAGGGTGTGGGGAGAGGACTGTATGTTAGCCCCACTGCCCTGCCCGGGCCGGGGAGGGGGTGTGGGAGCCCTGAGCTGGGTTCTTCACACTGCCCTGGCCTGGCTGCTTGTTGGCCCTTCTCACTGCCCAGGGCACGCTTTGCACAAGAGGCTCTGTTGGGAGATGGCAGCAGAGGGGGACCCGGGGTCTGGGCCAGGCCGGGGCTACTAGGGGACTATCCTCCTGCCTCTCCTTCACCCTGGGCCGGCCTCAGGAAAGGAGGAGCAGGGGAGCAGCTGGAGGTGCCAAGAGCTCTGGAAGCTAGGGAAGGGGGCAGGGGGCAGGGGCAGAGGGCAGAGAGAGCAACTTCCTGTCACGGGCCTGGGCGACCCTTCCGCGCCACCTGGGTATGCCAGCCTGAGTCAAGTGGACAGTGAGTGCTGAGCGTGGAGAAGTGCAGGTGCGTGCGCGAGGTGTTTAAAGAGGAGACCAAGGGACTGGGACCCTGAGTGTGTCGGGGGTGCAGGTGTCGGGGGTCACTCGTGCTGGGTGCTGCGCTGTGGCCTCGTGTGCGTTGCCCAGTGCCCCTCTCCCAGCGGTGCTGTCCACTCATGCCTCGCTCTACTGTATAGGTGAGAAGACTGAGGCACAGAAAGGCGTGGCCAGAGCTGTGCAGCGCAGGAGTTGGAGCTGGGATTGCGCCCAAGCGGCCGGCAGGGGCTCCCTCGCGTTCGTACCCACAGGCGCAGAGCCGTTCTCCGCCGCCAGGTGGGGCTAAGTCCCCGCTCCCGAGCAGCGGCTTGGGGATCCCCGGCGGGGCCGCCAGGTGGCAGCAGCGCTCTGGCCGCGCGGCTCCAGCTCCCGGGCGCCCCGCGTCCCCAGCCTCCCCACCGCGCAGTCGGCTCCTCTGTCACCTCGCCCTCCCAACCATGGGGTCACGGGGCTCCCGCCCCTCCACTGTCTGCGGGCGGCCTCCAGAGGTTACTCTCAAACCCACCAGCTCCAGGGGACCCGCCTGTGCTAACACTAAGCCCCCAAACACCCGCAGCGCCCCTAAAGCAGTGACATCCACAACCTCCCCGGGGGCTTGTCCTGCACGCTCCATCAGGGTGATGTCAGGCCTTCTCCAACCTCAACCACAACACGAACGCACACGCGCAAACACAAATGCATGCACACACACAGGCACAGACGCACAGACACACACAACCACACACACAGACACACAGACACCCATCCTCACAAACACACACCCAGACAGATATGCAGACACACGCATGCACACAGACCCAGATGCACGCGGACACACAGACACACACGTAAACACACAGAAACATGCACGGCTCAGGACGGGGCTTCTTGCTGCATTGAAATAAATGGGAAGAACCGGAAGGTCCCTCACTGTCTCAGCCAAGTGCATGCACTTCCCACGCTGAGCCCTGTCCTCCACTTCCCCTCCTGCACTGGCCAGAGGTCACCCCCGACACACACACACACACACACACACACACACACACACACACCAGATCCCAGTCCCTTAGCCTACTCCTTAAGCACCTCCCGCGCGCACCTGCGCCCTCTCTGCACACACAGCAGGCTTTCCCATCAGCAGAAAACAAGCTGTCAATGCCCCACCTTTAAAAACGGGGAAGCCGTAGCCAGATGGCCCCTGCAGCGCCTGCCCATTTCTCTCCTCTCCTTCCTGGCAGAACCCACCCCTCAGCCCCCATGGCTTCACCTCCTTTTCCACTCTGGACCCCACCCTGGCCTGCCTTCCAATCTTGCCACCCGCAGAGTCCGCTGACAAGGCACCTTCCACTGCCGCACGCTGGCAATCCCAGGCACTCTTCTGCCTACACACTCCCTGGGCGAGCTCCCCATCACCCCTGTGCTAGACTCCCGGATTTGCCCCTGCAGCCCTGATCGGTAGACCCCCATGGCCAGCCGCCTCACCCCCAGCTGTCGGCACGTCCAGCGGGTGTCTCCACTTGAACGTCTCACCTGAGCCGCACACCTTTCACACCTCAAGCCCCTCCTCTCCCGGCTTCCCGGCTCAGCCTTCCCTACAAGCCCTGGATCGTCCCTTTCGCCCTGCCTCCCAAGGGCATACTGAATCCATGTCCATTCTCCCTCTCCAGGGCTGTCATTTAACCCAAGCCATTATCACACTAGCATCTCCTGCCTTGGCACCTAAAGTAATAAGTAACTATGGAATTTACCGGTTTACCAGGTACTGCTCTAAGTATTTCATATTTTTTGTACCCTGCCCCTCGCGATCCCGGCTGACTGCAAACTCCGCCTCCTAGGTTCAAGAAATTTTCCTGCCTCAGCCCCCCGAGTAGCTGGGATCACAGGGGCCTGCCACCACACCGGGCTAATTTTTGTATTTTTAATAGAGACGGAGTTTCACCATGTTGGACAGGCTGGTCTCAAACTCCCGACCTCAAGTGATTCACTCGCCTCGGCCTCCCAGAGTGCTGGGATTACAGGCTTAAGCCACCTCGCCTGGCTAGCGTTTCACATATAAGAGCTTATCTAATCCTCACTACAACCCTGGAAGACCGTTATCATCCTCCCCATTTTTTGCAGATGAAGACATTGAGACACAGAGAGGTTAAGTAATCTGCCCAAGGCCACACAGCTATAATGGGGATCTTCCAGAATTCAGAGCCTGATGGTTTGGCCCTGGCTCTGTGTGCCCATGAGTGCACAGTTCTTACTGGCTCTCTGGTGTTCCAATGGGGTAGGAGGTTTTGCGACAGCAGAGAAGGAATTGAATGGTCACTAGGGCAAGGGAAAGACAAGCTCTCTGGAGAAAGAGAGGGAGTGTCTCAGGCATTGCTTTGCACCCATTTGCAGTTTATGATGGATGTGCAGGGCACCAGCATGCCTTCCTGCTGCAGCATAAGCAAGGTCACAGCGGGGCTCCTCCTAGACCTGTGTGACAGAGGAGTGAAGGACACAGAGAATAGTCACCCAATCAGGACAAGGCTGGATGAGGAAGGGCATCAAGACAGGAAGGGCTGATAGGCAGAGAGAAGGCGCTGGGGTCTGCGGAGGAAGTGAGGCGGGAGTTGGGGACCTGTGACCTTGGAGATGGTGTGGTTTCCTGTGGTGACAGGCAAACTGTGGCCAGGGGTGGCAGTGGCCAGGATCACGATGATGACTTTCACCTCTGCCCACCATGATAATCTCCTGGATGGAGATGACCTCGGTTCCAGGGCTTGTGAACAAGTCACGCCCCACAGAGGGACCCTCTTCAGCCTCCTCTGGGGTCTGGTGACACGGTGGTCCTGTACCTGTGCCTCTGGCTCCATCAGTTCACACTTGCTACCTGCCTGCTTACCTGCCTGCTGTCACCTGTTCCAGCCTGTATCCACCTGCCTGTGACTACCTGAGTTTGCCTGTGACCACCCACACCCATCTGTCTCTCTCTGCCTTGGTGGGTGGTGGTTTTGGGGCTACAGGTCAGCCCCCTCCTCCGCGTGCAGGGCCTGAGAGCAGGGGCGTGGGAGACGGAGTCTGCCAATCTGGCCGCACCAGCTGGAGATGAGCCCAGGACTGCTGACGCCTCCAGCCTGCCTCTGGGGAGACCATGCTGTGTGGATGACAGTCCCCTAAGACCCGGAAGCGAGCCACGTCTGGGAGGATGAGATGGGGTCGGCAAATCTGGGCCGGGAGGGAAGGCTGCATTCTTGCTCTCCAAACCGATGTGCTGAATTTTACTTTTCCTTTTAGTTATTTCTTCTTCTTAAATCCTGTTTCTCTCCCTGAGGCAGCTAATCTATTATTTAACATCGGATTGTGGGATTGAAACTCCAAGGCAAATTGAAAATTATTTGTGTTTGAGGTTTCAGGCGTGAAGCTGAGGCAACCATTTCTGAGAGATCCTGAGAACCCGGGCAAAGGTAGCGAACCCACAGCACTGTTCCTGGAAGGGGCTGAGAGGACTGGGGTGCAGGAAGCGTTCCACAGACCTGGCAGGCTGGGGGGCCCCGCTATGCTCCAGCCTTGCCCACCCAAAGCCCGCAGCTCGGGGGTCATTAATCTCCATGTGGCATTTCACTTGGGAAATGCTGTCAACACCTCCCACTGGCCAAAGTCCTCAAGAGGCTGGGCAGGTGCCATCAGTCACCCTGGGCCTGTGCCCACCCTGGGGGAAATGCCTCGGTCATGAGAGGATTAATGACACGAGGAGAAGGGCTCGTCATCATTTTTCAAGGTTCGGCTCTCTGTAGATCTGCAGGCAGGATTGCTGGCCTAACAGTCAGTGGAGAGTGACCCAAGGCTCTGGAGAGTGACCAAGGAACACGGCTGAGGGTGGGGGGCCCTGGCCTGGACCCCCGCTGAGTGCCCGAAGACTGATGGAGCATGCGACCTCCTAGCGCTGGCTCTCAGGACATGAATCGGGACCAGAAGGAGGAGTGGGCTTGAGCCCAGGGGAGTGTGAACAAACACTGTGTGAGCCCCACATAGACATCTGCGGATCACGGAATGGGGGAACTGGGAGACGCCAGGTCAGGGAGATCCTTGGATTTTGGATAAGGGATAAGGAGATTGGATTTTGTGTTGGAAACAGCGGAACCATTGAAGGAGGGGTGTACTACGGTCAAGTTCCATGCCCAGAAGGATCCAGAATGAGGCTGAGGGGCTGTCTTCATCCATCTTAGTCTGTCTGGGCTGCTACATCAAAAATCCCATAGACTGGGTGACTCAGACAACAAACAATTTCTCACAGTTCTGGAGGCTGAGATCAAGGCGCCAGCAGATGCAGTGTCTGGGGAGGGCCGGTTTCCTGGTTCATAGGGGGCCCTCTTCCTGCTGTGAACTCATGGCAGAAGGGGTGAGGAGCTCCCCAGGGCCTCGTTTATCAGGGTGCTAATCCCATTCACGAGGGCTCCACCCTTAGGACCTAATCACCACCAAAAGGCCCCACCTCCTCACACCATCACTTTGGGGTTGAGGATTTCAACATAGGACACAATATTGTCAGGGGACATTCGGCGCATAGAAGAGGCTATCAGCACATCTCCATCCAACACTTAGAGCGGTCACACGTGTCAGGCCTTGTGCTAGACCTGGGTGATGGCACCCTTATGCCCCCAGCTCAGAACAGAGCTGAGCATCGAGGATCTGGGACCACAGAGAAGTGGGAGGAGTCTCCCACAAGGTCCTCTGCCACCCAGATTTATAAAGGAAAGAGGTTTAATCGACTCACAGTTCCACATGGCTGGGGATGCTTCAGGAAACTTACGATCATGGCAGAAAGGGAAGCAAACACGTCTTTCTTCACATGGCAGCAGGAGAGAGAAGTGCCGAGCAAAGGAGGAAAAGCGTCTTATAAAACCATCAGATCTTGTGGAACTCACTCACTATTACAAGAACAGCACGGGGGTAACCGCCCCCACGATTCAATTACCTCCCAGTGGATCCCTCCCATGACACGTGGGGCTTATGGGAACTACAATTCAAGATAAGATTTGGGTGGAGACACAGCCAAACCATATCACCGTGGGATCTCAATGAAACTGCAGCCATAGCTGCCCATCATGAACTGGGTCCTGTCAGAACCACCAAGTCAAAAGGCCAAGTGGACTCAGCACCTCCTATCAAAAGATAGAAGTTGGCCAGATGCAGTGGTCACACCTGTAATCCCAGCACTTTGGGAGGCAGAGGCAAGAGGATCGCTTAAGGCCAAGAGTTTGAGACCAGCCTGAGCAACATAGAGAGACCACGTTTCTACAAACAAAAAGTAAAAAATCATCCAGGTTTGGTGATGCACACCTGCAGTCCCAGCTACTCAGGAGGCTGAGGCAGGAGAATTGCTTGAGCCCAGGAGTTGGAGGCTGCAATGAGCTGTGATTGCACCACTGCGCTCTAGCCTGGGTGACAGAGTAAGACCTTGTCTCTAACTAGTAATAATAAGATAGAAGTGGCACACCCAGGATCAAGTGCAAGCAGGGTGGGAGGACACAAGCGAGCTGTGTGAGCAGGGAGCCTGGGCACCTTGGGATCCCCACTGCTGCACTGAGACCTCTTCCTCAGTTTACCTCTGAGGCCATATGGTGAGGGGCATGATCAGCTAATGAAAGAGGAAAAGGCTAGAGCTTTTTTCACAGATGTGTTGGCTTGTGTAGAAGCAGGTAAAAAGTGGATGGTGGCCAGGCATGGTGGCACATACCTGTAATCCCAGCTACTCCACAGGCTGAGGTACAAGAATCACTTGAACCCGGGAGGTGGAGGTTGCAGTGAGCCAAGATCGTGCCACTGCACTCCAGCTTGGGCAACAGAGTGAGACTCCATCTCAAAAAAAAAAAAAAAAAAAAAAAAAGTGGATGGTGACCAGGGTACAGTGGTCACATCTGTAATCCCAGCACTTCAGGAGGCCAAGGCAGGAGGATTGCTTGAGGCTAGGAGTTAGACAGGCCTGGGCAACACAGCAAGACCCCCATATCTTTTTTTTTTTTTAAATAAAAATTCAAAATAAAAGCTGATGGTGTCTGCACTGCAGCAGTGGATGGTGTGTGCACCACAGCTCCACCCAGGAGTGGCCTGGAAAGATGGTGGTAAAGTGAAATACTCCCAGTGGGTAGAGCTTTAGACACCGGTCATCCACTTTGGTGAAAAGGGAAATGGCCTGAGTTCAGAATATACATGGACTCATGGGCAGTGGCCGATGGCTTGGCCAGATAGTCAGGAGCCTAGAAGGAGAAAGATTAGAAGTTAGGAGACAAGGGGAAGTCATGTGGATGGGACTTGGCACAAAGTGTGACGATGTCTCTCACATTAGCACTCATTGGAAGAGGCACCAAGCAACCAAGTGGGCAGAACTACTTGGGTATGCAACATCAGCCAGCTTCTGTCATTGGCTTCTTCACGGCTGGTACAAAAAGCACACACAAGGAGGACGTGGTGACAGGGATGGAGGTTATGCATGGGTCCAGCAACAGGGGCTCCCACTCACCATGGTTGATCTAGCTGCTGCTATTGCTGCTGCCAAATCTCCAATTCTCCAGTAACAGAGACCCACACTAAGTCCCAAATGCAGCATCATTCCATGAGGACACCAACCTATCACTTGGTGGCAAGCCCACCACACTGGATCCCTTTCATCCTGGAAGGAGCAGTGATTCATTTTGTCAGGAATAAACACAAAGTCTGAGGATGGGTTTGCCTTTCCTGCCCACAGGGCCCGAGCCAGACCACAAGCCCAAGGGCTTACAGAGTGTCTGATGCACAGCGCAGCATCCCACGTGCCATTGCATCAGATAAAGGGACTCACTTTACAGAAAGGAGGTGCAAGGGTGGGCTGGTCATATCATCTACCGTATCCCTCCGAATCTGCTAATCTGATAAGCAATGGAAGGGCCTGTTGAAATCACAGCTTTTTGCAAAGATGAGGTGCCATTCTCCAGATGAAAGTAGGTACCTTAAATGAACAAAAGGTGGACATGGGTCTACCTGGGTGTGGTAGGCAGAATCATCACCCTTTTCCCCCAAAGCGATCTGCATCCTGACTCCCAGGACCCGTGGTTATGTAACCTTACATGGCAAAGAGGACCATCTAGACAGGATGTGATTAAGTGAAGGATCTTGACGTGGGGAAATTATCCTGGATTACCTGGGGGTGAGGGGCGGCTAATGTAATCACAAGGGTTCTCCTAGCTGCAAGAGGAAGGCAGGAGAGTCACTGTGGGAGTGATGCAGTGTGAAACGGATTCAACCAGCCTTTGCTGGCTTTGAAGACAGTGGGAGCCATGAGCCAAGGGAGCAACAGGCCCCTTGAAGCTGAGAAAGACAAGGAAATCATTCCTCCCTGGAGCCTCTAGAGGGAATGCAGCCCTACCTACACCTTAATTTCCACCCTGGGAGACTCATGTTGGACTCCAACTTCCTGAGCTGTAAAGTAATAGATTTGTGTTGTTCTAACTCACCAGATCTGTGGTGTGTTCTCACAGCAGCAACAGGAAACCAACACCCTATGTCCTAGGTAAGATGGGTCTGGGAACCAAAGAGCGGATGCAAGAGGTCCTGCTTACCCTCATGCTCATCTGCCCACTTGGAGAACATGTGCTTCTTGTTCCCACAGACCTGGGCTCTGAGGATTTGGAAATCCTGCTTCCCACATGAGCTATGCGTCTATCAATGAACACGGCAAGAGTCCTGTGGAACTGTAAGCTGTGGCTGCTGCCTGGACACTTTAGACTGCTTGGGCTAAGACACCAGCAAGCAAGATGAGTTACCCTCTTGGCAACTTAGCTAAGTGACATCAGCCAGCTTCTGTCATTGGCCTCTTCATGGCTGGTACAAAAAACACACACGAGGAGGACGTGGTGACAGGGATGGAGGCTATGTATAGGTCCAACAGCATGGGTTCCCACTCAGCATGGCTGACCTAGCTGCTGTTGCTCCTGCCAGATCTCCGATTCTCCAGCAGCAGAGATCGATGCTAAGTCTGGAATGCACCACCATTCCATGAGGACACCCACCCTTCACTTGGTGGCAAGCCGACCATACTGGATCGCTTTCATCCTGGAAGAAGTAGTGACTCATTTTGTCAGGAATAAATACATATTCTGAGTATAGGTTTGCATTTCCTGCCACAGGACCTGAGCCAGACCACAAGCCCTGATCATCAGTAAGAGGGAGCATTTTTATTATACAGTGGGGCTGGGAGAAATCTATTTGGTGTCTGGTTAATCCACTTGGATGCTTTTCGATACTCCCTTGCCCAGTTTTGACAGCGAATGGGCAAGTGCAGCAACTCTGGTCTGAGAAGGTGATGTTGGCCAGAGTCTCAGACCCCTCAGGGATGAAGATCTGGTTTTTCCACCAGGTAAGCCCCTGAGACCAGGTTGCTGTTCGCTGAGGGTGCAGGAGTCCTGAAGAGATAATAAGGAGGAGAGAAGCTGAGTATCTGTTGCAGCTCCAAGACCAACTGTGACAGTGGAGGCTGTAATCTTTTTTTTTTTTTTTTTTTTTTTGAGACAGAGTCTTGCTCTGTTGCCCAGGCTGGAGTGCAGTGGTACAATTTCAGCTCAGTGAAACCTCTGCCTCCTGGGTTCAAGCAATTCTCCTGCCTCAGCTGGGATTACAGGCATGTGCCACCATGCCTGGCTAATTTTTGCATTTTTAGTAGAGATGTTGTCCAGGCTGGTCTCGAATTCCTGACCTCAAGTGATCCACCCACCTTGGCCTCCCAAAGTGCTGGGATTACAGGTGTGAGCCACTGTGCCCAGACAGCTGTATAATCTAATCTTCTTCTAAGATCCCCCAGGGAGAGGCATACCAGAATCCTGGAGGAGCTGGGTCCCTTTTCTCTCCCTGCCTCTCTAGAGAGGGTTCAGCCTGGTCAGGTGGACAGCCGGCTGGAATTGGGGCTGGTTGGCTGGGACTTTGTGGTCACTTAGGTCCAGAAAAGCAGATCATGGGGACAGGCACCAGGGTTTTAAGGACATCGTTAAATACCTCACAAGACAGACCCTGGCTGCATGTCTTCTAACCCACGATGGCCTCAGCTTAACGAGTCCTAAGAAAGAACTAGCCCTCCTTAAGTCATTCCTAGAGTTCTTCAATAGCAGCCAAACTATACACATGAACCAACCCCTCCAAACAGCATGGCTATGCAGCAGGTCAGAAGAGAAAGGCATGTTGGACTTACCACTGGGCTTTGGGGGGAGCTGCTTCACCTCCCTGGGCCTCGGTTTCCCCATGTATGGAAAGGGCCAGTGATATGGTCTGGATCTGTGACCCCACCACATCTCATGTTGAATTGTAATCCCCAGTGTTGGAGGGGAGGCCTGGTGGGAGGTAATTGGATCACAGGGGTGATTTATCATGAATGGTTTAGCATCATCTCTTAGTGCTGTTCTCATGATAGTGAGCGAGTTCTCCCGAGATCTGGTTGTTTAAAAGTGCGTAGCACCTTTCCCCCTCACTCTCTTGCTCCTACTCCAGCCATGTGATGTGCCTGCTTCCCCTTCACCTTCCGCCATGATTGTAAGTTTCCTGAGGCCTCCCCAGCCATGCTTCCTGTACAGCCTGCAGCACTGTACAGTGAGCCAAGATCTCTCCACCTCTTTTCTGTATAAATTACCCAGTCTCAGGTATTTCTTTATAGCAATGCAAGAATGGACTAATACAGCCAGCTCTTCCCAAGCCAGCACATTCCAGCACCCCACTCCAAGGAATCCAAGAATTCCAGACCGAACCCGGGCTTCCAGGTCATTATGAAGGTATATTCATCAAGGTGGGAGAATATAATGTATGTTATTAAATAGTTGCTAGCTTGATTTACACCTTTTAGGTATTTAGACATATGATACGTGGATCTCTATTTATCCTCTTCTTCTCAGCCCTGAAAATGTTAGGGGTGGGCCAAGATATGTAATACACACACATGCATAATTTTATATAATATCTATAGTATATATAACATATGATTATATATATTATATAATTATAAATAATAGAGTAACATGTATATCATCCCAGTCTAATTCGTGTATGGATGTGTATACATACACACACACACACACACACACATACAGATATATAGTTTATAGTCAGCTATTGCCGTGTGACAAAGACACACACAATTTCAGCGGCATACAGTGATAAGCACGAATTTCTCCTGTGTCTGTGGGAGGCTTATGCAACCCCACTCTGTGTATGTCACTCGATGGCTCCAGTCTCCAGCTGCCTGGAGCTTATTCTTATGGCCACAGCAGAAACTCCAAGTCCAGCCACAGAAGCACACTTTAAGCCTCTCCGTAAAGCCACTACCTGCTAACTCCCACTTGGTGAAGCCCCGTATCAGGGTGTGGAGAAGTTATTTCTGCCAACCACGAAGCTGTAGCAAGGGTGTAGTTGTCTCTAGGTACTACAGGGCAGGGAAAAATTGGAATCAATAATTTAACCCATCACACATACCAAACAGAGGTTCCCTAGGAAGAAGAAAATGAGATTGTCAGGGTGTGGGGGATTAATTTGTAATTAGTTCTAATTACTAAAAGAATCGATGTTTTAATTTTTTACAAAGTATCTGTATTCCCATATTCTTTCTGTAATAAAGCAAAAATCAGAAGCCCTCAATTCTCCCCAATTCCAGTTAAAATCCTAATAAATACAATTGTTACGAGTTGATTCCTTTGGAAGACTGCCTAGCCATTTTGAAAAATAAATTCTTTTTTAGATACAGACCTCAAACCATAGGCAGAAGTTAATTCCAAAAGGATGAGAGACCTAGATGTAAAAACAGAACTGTAAAAATTCAGAGGGCGATAATATTATGAAATATATCAAGACGTTTTTCTTTTTTGCACTTCCTTGGGTGACCTTCTAGCTTTTCAGCCAGAGGCTCGCATTGCCTAGAGGTGGTGGCAGATGGAGGGAGGGAGACGAGGATGAGGGAGGGAGGGAGGAGGGAAGGGGGAGGAGGAGAAGAAGAAGAGAGAGAAGACAGGGAAGAGAGGAGGGAGAGAAGGGTGACAGGGAGCTGGTTGAGGGAGGGGACACAGAGCAGGAGACAGAGGCCCCATGTGGATCAAAGGAGTGACAAGGGAGGGCCCATGCTCAGTGATATGAGAACAGCAAGAGGCAACAAACAAGATACAAAAGGATACACACTTCCATCCCATTCATGTACAAGTTTAAAACCTACACAAGTGTTACCATTGTTTATGAACATATCCCAATGTTGCAAAAAGTATAAAAGGGTGCACAGGAGGGATACAACTGGCTGGGGAGGAAGGGAGGGGTTTAATACATCTGTATCATTTCGTATTGTTTTTTAAAGAGGATCTGAAGCAAATATTCAAAATGGTTTGTTACATTTGGGTGTCTGTTACATTATTTTTTACGTTGTGAAATGCATGCATGATGGAGGAAAGGCAGGCTGTGAATCAGTATGAATAGGTTGATCCCATACTTTAAAAGCACATGTGTGAGTGCCTGTGTGCACATCTGTGTGCTCAGGTGTGTGTGTAGGTGTCTTTTTACCTATGGTTCTGTGCATGTCTGTGTCTGTAGATTATGTGTGTGGGTGTGGTATGGGTACGTGTGTGTCTCTTTGTGTCGCTTGTGTGTGCATGTGTCTGCGTATCTGTGCAACTATATGTCCGTGTCTCTGCATATTTGTTAGTATGTGTGTCCATGTCTGTGTCTGTGCAATTGTGTCTATAGTTATGTTTCTGTATGTTTGTCATTGACTGTGTGTATTTGCACGTGTGTGTGTGTGTAAGTGTGTTTTGTTTTGTTTTGTTTTGTTTTTTGAGATGTAGTCTCACTCTGTCACCCAGGCTGGAGTGCAGTGGAGAGATCTTGGCTCACTGCAACGTCCACCTCCTGGGTTCAAGCAATTCTCCTGACTCAGCCTCCCCAGTAGCCAGGATTACAGGTGTCCGCCACCATATCCAGCTAGTTTTTGTATCTTTAGTAGAGACGGGGTTTCATTATGTTGGCCAGGCTGGTCTCGAACTCCTGACCTCAAGTTATCTGCCCTCATCGGCCTTCCAAAGTGCTGGGATCACAGGTATCAGCCACCACACCGAGCCACTGCATGTGTGTATCTGTGTGGGTCTGTGTAGTTGTGTGTCTGTGTGTGCCTGCACACCTGTGTGTTTATAAATAGAAAAAAAACTAGATGGACAAATGTCAAATCATTGACACAGTTCTTTCTGGGAAGGGGAGACAGAGGACTTTTGTTTCCCTTTCACACATTTTATGGTGATACATTATTTTTTGATGATGATGATGATGTATTCTTTATTTATATTTTTAAATACTTTTTAAAAAGACAGTACACGGAGGCCGGGCACAGTGGCTCACACCTGAAATCCCAGCACTTTGAGAGGCTGAGGCAGGTGGGTCACTTGGGCTCAGGAGTTTGAGACCAGCCTGGCCAACATGGTGAAACCCCATCTCTACTAAAAATACAAAAATTAGCCAGGTGTCATGGCGCAGACCTGTAATCCCAGCTACTCAGGAGGCTGAGGCAGGAGAAACGCTTGAACCCGGGAAGTAGAGGTTGCACTGAGCTGAGATTGCACCACTGCCCTCCAGCCTGGGGGGGAGAGTGAGACTCTGTCTCAAAAAATAAAAATAAAATAAAAGACAGTACAGAGTTTCACAGCTTGAAAAATAAGAATTTACCAGCCGACTCTGCACTCTGCTCCAGGGCTCCTCCCTTGAGCCGCACTTTGCTTTGCCTCCGGGGCCTGGATCATCCATCCCACCCATCCACAAGGGCCCTGGGGACAGAGGAGCCTGGGGACACTTCCCGGCCCAACCCCAGGGGCACAGCCCAAAGCAATCATGACATTTCTCTGGAGTCTTGTATTTTATCTTTAAATGTTAGGCAGAGTTTACGTTCTCCCTTGTAATGTATACATGTTTGTCTTGCTGACTTGTTTGTCAATTCTGGAGTCAAGGGGGCACTCAAATGGACTCCACTGGGCACTTGTCTGTAAACCCAGCACTTTGGGAGGAGAAGGCAGGAGGATTGCTTGAGGTCAGGTGTTTGAAACCAGCTTGGGCAACATAGCAAGACCCCATCTCTCTACTAAAGATTTTTTTTTTTAAGATGGAGATTTGCTCTTGTTGCCCAGGCTGAAGTGCAATGGCACAATCTTGGCTCACTGCAGCCTCTGTCTCCCAGGTTCAAGCAATTCTCCTGCCTCAGCCTCCCGAGTAGCTGGGATTACAGGCACATGCCACCATGCCCAGCTAACTTTTTGTATTTTTAGTAGAGACGGGGTTTCACCACGTTGGCCAGGCTGGTCTCAAACTTTTGGTCTCAGGTGATCCGCCTGCCTTGGCCTCCCAATATGCTGGGATTATAGGCATGAGACATTGTGCCTGGTCTACTAAAGATTTTTAAATTGGCCCCTGATGTAGTGGTGCACGCTTATTGTCCCAGCTACTTAGGTGGCTGAAGTGGGAGGATTGCTTCAGCCCAGGAGTTTGAGGCTGCAGGGAGCTATCATCATGCTGCTGCACTCCAACCTGGGCAATGGAGTCAGCCTCATCCTCTTAAACAAACAAAAAAAGTGAAAGGGGACTCTGCTGTACGCGCCTTCCTGTGCTCCTGTGCATCTCTTGTGGGTGGGCTCTGGGCAACGGTACCTGAGGGGTGGAGCTGAAACCATGGCTTGACGGGAGGCATGTTGGAAGAGGAAATCAGCCATCAGCTCTAAACAACAGCTGCTACTTACAGAGCACTCACACTGGCTGGGCCGAGTTCTTTGCTTTGCTGTGTTCTCCCATTTAATTCTTCCAGCAACCCCACCCGTTAGGTCCTATCTCTGTTCCCACACTACACAGGAGGACACTGAGACTGGAGAGGTAAAGCCCAAGGTCAACCAGCTGCACTCAGATTCTCAAGTTGATGCTCTGCACAGACTGTCTACTACAGGGCAGGCCCAAGGAGAAGGGATTGCCTGTCACATGGAAGGGGCTCCATGTACTGGGCTTGGGTCCAAGGAAGGAGAGCCCTGGGTTTCTGATGGAACAAAGGCCACTCTCATTGTCTAAACTTTTTTCATGGGAAAAACTCCCTTGGACCCTTGCAAATGTATCTGCAGAGCCTCAGGTGGTCACTTGGAGCCAGAGTGGCAGCCACACACAGTCACTTGGGGCAGGATTCTATGGAAAGCCATTCTCCCACGGATCCCGTCTGGGCTTATATTGATTGAGAAAAGTGGAGGACTCCCCCGACCCCCCTGGAGAGGGCCTCCCTGGCATCCCTTGACTGCAACAGCCTAATCTGTTCCAACAATCTTCTCAGCGCTGTTGCACAAGAAGGGCTACGGGTCCCTGGGAGTGCTCTTGAACTTTCCCCAGTGTCAGGCCAGCTCAGGGTTCCGTGCTTAAAACATTCAGCGGCCCAGCCCTCAACACAGAATCCATCCTCTCCTCCCCAACCCCCACCCCCCCGCCCCACTCCCACCCCCAGGGAAAGTCTGACTTTGCCCAGTACCCACTTCCCTCCCAGGGGTTCAGGGCAGCAGTCCCATTGGCTTGTAACTTGGCATGTGACCCAGTTTTTGCCAATAGGACGTGACAAGGAGGGCTGTGGGAGCCACTAGGATAATTCCATTGTTTTCTATAGGTGTCCAGGCAGGTGTGAAGCTTTGAGCTCTGTTCATTTTGAGACCAGAGAAGTGCTGGCATGAGAACAGGCCAACGTGCTGAGGATGGTAGAGGAAAGCTGGGGAGAGCTGGTCCTTGAATAGTATTCCAATCCACTGATTCACCTCCAGGCGCATTCTGTGAATCAGGTGTTCTATCATGAAGCTATTCTGTTGCAGCCTTTGCTACTTGCACCCAAATCCATATAGCATTTGAGAATTTGATGGAAAAGGCTCAAATGCAGTTTTGAGCAATTTAGGGGGCTGCTGGCTCCCCCACAGGCTGCAAAAATGTTAAAATTCCTGGTCAGGAGGTCTTAGTCTTGTCTCGTTCTCACCCCAGTGCTGGCTCCCAGGGCCGGCAGGGTTGGTTTGGTTCAGAATGGCACACCCAGGCTGTTGGCAGAAGGTAGAAAGGCAACCCCTGCCTTCCTGCCCACTAGGAGTCCTGAGTGCCCACTGAGCGTGGTGCCAGGGACTGGGCAAGGGCAATTTGGGTGAGGGGACAGGTGAGGGGACTAACAGTCCCATGTTTCGTCACTCCCTTTAGTCTCCAGATTCTCTGGGGTCCTAACTAGGAGGGAAGATTGGGGGGATTCCCAGGGTAGAGGCGGAGGCCAGGTGGGTGTGACCGTGAGCTCTGGTCCAGGCTGGCTTATTCCTAGCCTGTACAGGAGCCATCTCTGGAGCCTGAGGTGAGCACAGATCTAAGAAGGACTGACCAGCACCCCAGGAAGCCTGGGGGTGGGGGAAGAGACAACCCGGTGCTAAAACCCCAGTCCTCCCTCCCGGAGACAGCAGCAGGCAGGTCTCTCAGTCTGTTCATCTGCTTGTCTGATTATAGCCTTGCTGAGAAGGTTGGGTTCAGCAGAGTCTGTGATCTCATTTTGGGTTCATTTTCCCTTCCTTATTAAGATCCTAATTTTTAAACATAGCCTGCAAACAGCAATAGCAACAAAGAACAACATCACATTGGAAGCCACCTTGAAACATCTGGAAACCTGAGGTCTTGCCATGGGTTTTACATCCTGCAAATGCCCCGCTGTGTGAGAGCACAGGTTTGAATCTGCTTTTTAAACTATGAACTGTAATGACTTAAGTGCCAGTCAACTCTTAATGATAGAGCAAGTTCTGATTGGACTCACGTCCGATGTCATCTCTTGAACCACAGTAATGAAACAGGATGTACTCCACGAGATGTTTCAATATGTTCTCAGTCCAAATTCTACATCTTTCAATTAAAAAATGCATCACCATTGCATTATATACCACAGATCATTAAATACCTATCACTGTCCATATCCAAGTCTCCCAGTGGAAGAGATGGCTGACATTTAGCTAGGAACTTTTAAAACACTTGAGAATAAATTATGACCCAAACTTACTGTTCTTAATGACACGTATAAAGTTCAGCTCTTAAATAAAAGGATTCAGGAATACAGAAACAAAGTCCCCAGCCGTACTAAGGAAATAAAAGTCGTCCAGTTCTTGTTTCCACTAAATTGTACATTTTTATTATAATTGGTATAAAGTGAAACTCTTAAAAAAACACGTAGGAATTTAAAATAAAGTAGAATATCCTATTTTCAGGGTCACCAGTACCATGGTGAGATTTGTCTCTTAAACAATGACACTTAGTAGCTCTGTAGTTCCATGAATACTTTTGAAGTGTCATATTAAAACCAATCTCATGGCCTTGAGGCAAAGAGAAGCAATTAGTCTTGGAGTTGTGAATAAATAAAAATCCATTTATACACCCGTCCTTGACATGTACCTTGCAAATCTTAGAAACTTCATCTAGTGGGAAAATAAATGTTAAATCATGAATACCCATACTAATCACATTGCCATGTGGCTTCCTAAAACAGTTTCGCTTATACCAATCTTTCAAGTATTAATTTATATGTATATATTCACCCAGATTGAACACGAAACAAAGGCGTTACCGCAGCCACCTAGGATGAGGGACAAAAGAGGTGTGAGGGGCGCTGGGGGCCACAGGAGCCATGACAAGCGGATTTTCAGTGAGTCCCTCATCCTCCAACACAAGCCTGCTCCACCTTCCCTCATTCCACCCTCCACAAAGGCCTGGGGCGGGGGAGGACGTTTCTGTCCATGAAGTTGGGGGCACCCACACACACAACCTCGTCCGATTGTGATTCTAGCCAGCATTTAAGGGTGGATACAGGAGATCAAAGTATTTGAATACTTGCTTCACTTTCTATTTGTGTCTGGTCCCTCAATGCTGAGTGGGATGTGCATTGATGGAGGGCTTTGCTGTTCCTATGTCGTGCTTGGGACAGTCGGCCACAAAGCTGGGCTGACCTCTCGGGCCGGGCCGGGCCTGGCCAGCGTGCCGAACGCGCAGAGAGCGCGCTGCTGAGCCGAAGCTGGGAGCTGGAAGCCCGGAGGTACCGGGGCGTAGGGAGCAGAGTGGGCAGCCCTTGGGCCTCGCGGGAGCCCCTCCCAACCCCTGCACAGATCCCTGACCTACTTCCAGGGCTTCTTTCTGTTCCAGGAGCAGCTCAAAATCCATAAATTAAGGAAATTAACTGATGGGGCCTGCGGCATCTTTGTAAGCTATTTAAATCTATAAATTTACAACATCTTCTGCATATATCAAATAATTGAACTAACTGCAGGGATGTAACTTTAATGAGAAAATTTCCCCCTTTTTCCTGTAGTTCGAACTCGAAAATAAATAAATAAATAAAACCTTCCCTTAGGAGGAAAGTTTCGGCTGATTCCCGCGTAAAGAAGTTACGGAAGCGCTGTCTGGACGCTCTCTCCACGCGCGCGAGGTCCTCTAGTAGAGGGAGAAAGCCCCCCCCACTTCACCTTCCTCCCACTGGCACCCCGAGTCCCCCTCACCCCAGCTCCAGGCCGACCCCGAGCGCCCCCCACCCCGGGAGTGCGGCCGCTAGGGGGCGTCCAGGCCCGGCCGGAGCCGGCGGTCGGGACCCAGGCGCCGTTCCGGCCCGTGCGCACCCGCCCCGCGGTCCCAGCCGGTCTCCGGCCCGGGCGTCCCTGGAGCCAGGCGGGGGCGCAGTGCCGGCCAGTCGCGCGCTCCGTTTCCTAGGAGCCGGGAAATGGTCGCCGAGGAGGAGGAGGAGGCACGGGCGGGGCGCAAAGGAAACAGGAGGAAGAGGAAGGGGAGGAGGAGTGGGAGTGGGAGAAAAGGAGGAAGGGGCGGCCGAAGCGGAGACTGGGGAGGGGCGTCCGGGGCGCGGACCTCGGCCGCGGGGAGTCTTGGCTGCCGCCGTCTCCATCGCGCCGCGCGCGTAAAGGAAATGGCGCGTCTAGCCGCGAGCGGTCGGCCCGGTGCCCCAGCGCGTCCCTCCCCCGCGGCGGCCGACCGCGTGTCCGCAGACGTCACGGGAGAGGGGCAGCGGGGCAGAGACCCTGGGAGGGCGGCCAGGGAGCGGGGGAGGGGCGGCCTGGCCCCCGGCTCCGCTCCAGCCCCGACCGACTGGCAGCCCAGTTTCTTCCCAAGTCCCGCCCCCAGCCCCGGGCGCCGCGGCGGCGGCTGCTCTCCTCTTTGTAACCGAGGAGTCAAGAAATGTGAGAAACGTGCCCTGTGTTACTTATTTGGGAGCCGAAAATTTATGCCCAGCTGAAAGCGCCCGGGGAAATATTACATCAGATGAAATGACAATGATTAAAATCAGCCTCTCCCCCGCCCCCTCCCCGAGCCCGGAGGAGGCCCGGGCGCCGCGTGGCCGGCCGGCGGGGGGCGGGGGGCTGGGCCGCGGAGGGCGCTGGGGCCTGGGCGCACCGCTCCCGGGAGGGTCCTGGCCGCGGCCCCGGCGGGAAGGCGCGGGCTTCGGGAGAGGCGGGTGGGGATCGCCCGGCGAAAGGAGGGGAAACGGCGCGTTTTTGTCGCCAGGCGCGGGCGCGCGGAGCTAATTGCGACTCTAATCCTCTGCCCCGCGGCGCAGCCGAGCCCCGAGCCAGGAGTCGCCGCGCGCGCCCGTTCGCGCTGGGTAATTTGGGGCCGGATCGCTGCCCTTTACGTCCGGGCTGGGCCGCGGCGAGGCGCTGGCTAGGGGCTGGAGTGGGGGGCTGGTTTTCTCTCCAGCAATCGAGGGAGGCCGCCGGAGAGAGAGGAGGGAGGAGAGGAGGTGGGAGCGGCGGGAGGGCAGCCGGAGAGCGGCGCGAGGAGGAGGCGGCGGCGGCGGAGGCGGCGGCCGCGAAGAGGGGAGGAGGCGAGGGGAGGGTGGGGAGGGGAGGCCCCGGCGCGCCGCGCCGCGAGGGGCCGCGTGAAGCGGGGGCCGGGGCGGGAGGGGTGGGTGGGGGGAGGGTTGGGGGCGAGAGAGAAAGTAACTCCAGGACGAGACCGGAGCGACCCGCGCAGCGAGCATAGGCGGCGAAGCTGCGCCCGGCGCCCGAGACCGGCAGCTGCGTGGGGCGGGGGCTGCGCCCGAGCCCGATCTGCCGGCTCCGAGGTAAGCTCAGCGCGGGCGGCCACCGCTCAGAGCCGCGCAACCCTGCCCCGAAGTGGCTGCGATACCGAGAAAGTCGCCCGGCCAGGGTCTGGACCTGGGCGGGGGCGGCCGCTTTGTCCCTCTGCTGGGCGGCGGGGGCTGGCGGCGCGGGGGTGCCCAGCACAAAGGCCTGGTGCAAGAGTGGGGTTGCCCACGTGGGCTGGTCCTGGCCGCGGGTGGACCCTCCCCACGCGGGCGGTCTCGGAGCTTCCTGCCGCGCGGTGTGTGTGTGTGTGTGTGTGTGTGTGTGTGTGTGTGCGCGCGCGCGCGCGCGCGCTTGTGGAGGTCCCCGCACTCTGGCCCCTGTTCTGGGCCGAGCGCCCTGCAGAGCTGGCGAGTTTCCGGGGTCAGAAACGGGCTCACGCAACTGGGGCTTCGGGATGCACAAGTCCCGGCTTGGCGCCCAAAATCAGAGAAAGTCTCCAGTGGGACAGATGTGCGTCCTCTGACGCCCACCCCACGAGTCCGAAACCTGGCAGGAGGGGCTGTCGCGCTGGTGGTGGTCCCGGGCGCGCAGGGTTTGGGGCTGGGAGAGGGGCCGCGATGGGAGGGATCGCCGCCTGCAGATCCGGTTCCCCGCTGCCCGCCCGCACCCCCTGACCTGGACGCGCGCACCCGGCACACACTCGCAAACACACCCGGGGGCGGACCCCCGCCTCTGCAGCGCCTTTCTGTCTTCCGGCGGCCCCCACCCGCGACTGCAGAAAGATAAGCTTCAAGTTTTCGCTCCGTATCTCAAATGTGCATGAAGGAATTTAACTGCACGAGTGAATAACAGCATTAGTTTCAATTAATTTTTTTTTAATCCCGGCAACAATAAACTTTGAGAACAAAAGCGCTTTTACGTCCTTAATTAGGCGAGCTTCCCATCTGTGGTCTCCAAGTGTCTGCCTCTTGATTTAACTTTGTCCCCGCCCCGCCTCCGCGGCAACCCCTCCCAGCCCAGCCCCGCGCTTCGGGTGCCGCGGCCACCCCGCCCCGCGGCGCCTCCAGCCTTGGCCCAAGCCCTCTCCCGTCGCCCCTAAGTTCACACCGGCCGGCTGGCTCCGCGGCGGAGGCGGGAGGGGGGGGGTGGGGAGGCTGGCGCGCACCAGGTGGCCCGCCTGCCTCTCCGGGGCCACCCCTGGGACAATTGTGCAGGCCCCCAGGACTTTCGCCCCGGGCCAGCGCCCTGAGTGCGGAGCCGAGGGGAGCTCGAGAGGCGCCTTCTGTTTACCTTTTATGGTTAAAATAACAGCTTAGCAAAGAAGCGACTTCAGAAGAAGCGATTTAGTGAAATCGTCTCAAGCTGCCGCAGCTCAGCCAGTTTAATCACCCCCAGAGAGCCGAACAACTGCGAGCGCAATGGGACACAAAATCATTTTGTGTGTAAATGAGCGTGGCATTCTGCTCACTTCTCTCTGCTCGGGCGGGCGGGGCTCGGCGGCGGGCGGGCAGGGACCCGGGTCTCCCGCCGCAGCTGGAGAAGCGGGTCACTACCGGGCCAGTTTGGAAACCTGTGGGCCCTCCCGACCGCTATCGCTGAGGCCCCTGCAACAGGCGGGCCAGGGCGCACTGGGGCTGGGTGCTGGGTTTGATGCTGGTGCTGGTGGAATGAACTTGTATCTCTCACTGCACCCACTTTTGTGCTTCTGACTTAAGCAGTGGTCTCGGAAAGAGGGTCGTGGTCCCGCACGGATGCGCTTGTTGGGAGAAACCTTGGAGATTCACGGCAAGGCGTAAAGCCTGGGGCTTCCAACGGTAAGTTTCTGGCTTGCCATGAACATCAGGTTGTTCTTGGGAGGGAAAAGGGGCTAAGAACAGAGTGGAGCGGCTTCTGTGATGGAGGCTTGGTGTTCACGTCACTTTGGAATAGTGTCCTGGTATTGGGGAAAACATCTTGCAGTCCGCTTTGATAGAATTTCAGCCAGAATTCCTTCCTGTTCAGTTTATCCTCAGCGCGTCTTCCCTTCTGACTCCTCCCCCAGCAGAGCCTCCTAGGGCAGGATAATCCATTCCTGAGGTCTGTTTTGGTTCTCAGAACTCCTTGAGCTAAGTGACCTGGTTTTGTTTTTTTAAGCTTGTAGAACTCAGGAATGCCAAAAGCAGTGGATTCTGAGTCCACAGGCCCCAGTGAGGGTATATATTAAACATCACTGTCTGCCCATTGCAACCTCCCACCCCAGTTTTATGTCAGGAAACTTGCCCGGGCACTCAGGGAGAGCAACCTTGCTTACATTTGCAGGATTTGATTCTGGTTGGATTAAAATTGGATATTGAATTTCAAGGCACAAATTTTGATCCCAGAGTTTTAATGGGAAAAAGCAATCCCATGGGTCCCAAGAATTTCAAGTGGTTTCTCTCTTAAAGGTTAAACCTTCGAGAGACGTCCAGGGTAGGTTTGTGGAAGCCAGTGTCTGTGGATGTGTGAAGGGGGGTGACTATTCACGTGCAAATCTCCTCTTTCCTCCCTTTTGAGACAGCTGTAAATCAGTGAACGGGGCTGCAGAATTCTGCCCCTCCTGCATAGGGCCTGCAAAGCGCCCCTGGGTGTGGCTTCCAGGGACTGAGGGACAATCTTATTTCAGGTGACTACGGCACAGAGGAGAGTTACTGAGTGCCTCTGGGGAGGAGCAGTAGAAAGGGTCCATTGGCTGATCTGCTTGCTCTGTGCTTCCTCCTGGCCACCTGGCCATCTCCTGATGCCTCGGGGGTATGTGATCCTGAGGGGTCTGGAATGCATTAGGCATAGACAACACCACTCTGGGAGTCTGGGGAGAAACTGTGAGGTACAGACTAGGCAAACAAAGACAGGTTTTCTCTGCTATTGGGAGCCACAGAGAAGAGGCGGCTTCCCAAGTGACTTGCCCTCATCCATGTGCCTGGACTTCTGCTGAACGGCTTCCCTGTGTCTGGCCAGATGCAAGCTGTATCTTATCACCATGGGGATGGTATTAAGAGAGGTCCTAGGTTCCCTGGCCCATGGAGGGTGAGGGGTGCTTTCTGAGCCTTGGTCCACAAGGCTGTTGCAAGAGGAGACACGCTTGGTAACATGGCTTGAAAGGAAAATACCAGGAAAATCTGGTTTGTTCTGAAATATTTTGGGGCAATAATGGTGAGCATATGTTTCAGTGCTGTCATTAGCCGAATTAGCAGACATGGAGCTGCCCAGAAAACACATGTGTGAGTGTGACTGTGTGTGTGTGCATGTATGTGTGTGTCATCTGCTACAGCCTGGAGGCCTGCTTTGGGGTGTGGAGACAGATAGAGAGATAGTGGCGGTGGAGTCAATCAGGGAGGGCTGCATGGACCTCGCAGGGTCTCAGAGAGCATGCAGAAAGGACAATTCTAAGTGTCTTTGACCCCATGGTACATGACTAGGAGGAATAAGCCTTCTCTGGTTTTGTCGATGCCTCCCGCAGATACTCTGGGCAGGGATGGAAGCCTAGATGCCTCACCGCAAGGAGCGGCCGAGCGGGTCCTCGCTTCACACACACGGCAGCACCGGCACCGCGGTGAGCCTGCAGGGTGGGCTGGGTCCCTGCCGGGAGTTCCCTCTTTCCCTTCTTCCCCAGTGCCTGTTTACTGGCTGTCCTTCCTTGGGACCATGACACTCCAGGTGGCTGTTGACTGGCTGTAGGATTATGTATTTTTGAAACAAAAATGCTCTTAATTTGATGTGAAATTTACTACATGTATAAAACTCAACGCCTTAGGTGCTGAGGAAGTCACTAATTTAGAGGTGTCTCGTTACTGAGACAAACTTGCAAAAAACCCCTGAATCCCAATTCACAAATTGGTGATTCGTTTGTCAGGGGATATTTCACATCTAACACATAAGCCCACGACCTTTAATTAGAATTTTGCAGTTTGTTTTATGCCCCTGGAGGCTGACACCTTGAAAAATTTTTTTTCTTGATTTCTTATTGCTAATAAGCATCTTTCTTTTTCCCTCTGGTACTTTGAAGAAAATGATGCAAATACACTTAATTACAGTGGTGGCCATAATTTGTCAGCTGAATATATGATCAGGCACGGGCAGAAGTGATCTGATTAGATCTGTGATCACACTCTCAATAAAGGGAGTGCATGGCTGTGTTGTGGAGAAACTCTTGTGTTCCGCTTTGAAACTCTTGTGTTCCGCTTTGTTTCCATCTCTAGGAGGGAGGAAACATGTCCCGGCTGTCTCTCACCCGGTCGCCTGTGTCTCCCCTGGCTGCCCAGGGCATCCCCCTGCCAGCCCAGCTCACCAAGTCCAATGCACCTGTGCACATCGATGTGGGCGGCCACATGTACACCAGCAGCCTGGCCACGCTCACCAAGTACCCTGACTCCAGGTAAGAGTAAGCCCCTTGAAACATCAGGCATGTGTGGGTCAGGGCAGCATCTGTAATCTGCTGCCTAGGGGGTGGGGTCTCTCCCCACTGTCACTCCACCCACCAGGGTCTCCAGGGTGCACAAGCTGACACAGCCTGAGGGAGCTAGGGTTGGGGAGTCCAAGTCTGCCTGTTGAAAGCTGCTATGCACAGAGGCTTGTGACCCTGACTTGGCGGCATTGGTAGTGCAAGGTGGAGCTCCTGACCCACCTGCAGGGGACTAGGGCTTATTCAGAGCCAGCCCAGCCTGAGCCTGCCGGCAGCGGGCAGGGGAGTCTCACGTACCTTCAAGGTTCCTCTGGAGGGAGACTTAGGCCCGGCCCCTGCAGGGGGTCATTTGTGAGTGATACTGAGTAGGTAAGTCTTGGGGGCATGGGGGTGGGTATTTAATCCTATTTTCTATTCCACCCCTGGGAAATTCACAAGGGGAGGGAAGAGGAGCTGTGGTGAGCTGCAGTGTGCCATCTTTGTCATTTTCCGTGGCCACTGCTGGGCCCTAGAGGCTAGCAGCAGGCTTCCCTTGGAGCTGGTGCTGCAGTGACTAGCTAGGAATGAATCACATACCTCATCAGTGGATAAAGGGTCTCTGGCCAGGACCCTGGTTGGGGGCTCACAGGCACCCTCCATGCTGCTGAACTTATAGGCTGCCCAGGCCCTTGGGCCTGCGAGAGGTTTGGGGTGCTGGGTGCTGCCAGCTCTCCTGCTCTTCCTTGCAGGGTGTTTCTCTCCTGGGTGAGGGACCTGCTTTCCCCGTTGGCACGGCAGCAGGGCTGACCCGAGTAGGGTGGGTCTTGAGCAGCTTGCTCAGCCGAGGATGTTTGCTCCTGGCACAGAGAGGCGGTCATCGCTCCCCTGGGGCTGCTGAAGGCTGAGCGTGGGAGGGCCAAGGCTGTGGGCATCACCCCTGTGTTATGCATTTGAAATAACAGGAGGAGTTAATTAATCCCCCAGATACTGAGGGATCATCTCTGGGGAGCATACACGGCAGGCTGCATTGTCACCGGTGTGGTTCCTCAGAGCAGGGAGGATGGTAGTGCGCAGAGGTGGCTTTCCAAGCCTGTTGGGGCTGCAGGGGAGCCTGTGCAGGTGCAGGCATGGTCCCTTGAGGAGGAAAAACTGGAAATGGGTGCAGTGTCTAGTTCCAAATTTGGAGAGTCTAGGGTACAGATGGTGACTGGTGTTCCAGTACCCCAGGTGGACAGAGACTCAGCCTGGGGCCCTGTGGCCTTGGGGCTTGTGGGGTGGGGACAAGAGCCACGGGGCCAGGTCAGCAGTGTTGGCCTGTGTGCTCACTCACAGAGCCCTGTCTAGGATGGGAGATAGATTCTGCTTATTTAATTTCCATTTTGCCTTCTGCGGCATTTCTGAGTTGTTTGAGATAGATCATCCCTTAATCGGTTGACGACGTTTGTGAGTGAAATTCATAAAACCTTTGCCCACAACCCTCTCTGAAGAGTTTCCTGAAATCAGAGAGTTGCCTGTCTGGAGTAATCACAGCCCAGGCCCTGGGGGAGGCGGGTGGGAGAGGCTTCTCATTCTGGGCTCTTGGCTGCTGCCTGAGAGCAGGAGGGCAGGGGGCCATCTCCCCCCACCCAGCCCCACTGTGCTGCTCACCCATTGCTTTGTTCTGCTGTGGGATGTGCTCTCATGGGGAGCTAGGGCCCCTGTGGCCCTGTGATCTGGCACTTGGGACCCTCCTGGTGTGCCCAAGGGGTGGCAGTCTATGTTTATTCTTCCCCAGGGCTGGGGCTCAAGGTGAATCTGTTGTTCTGCCTGGATGGCCTCTGGCTGCTGTGGGGGTGCTCTGTAGGCCTGAAGCTTTGGACTAGAGGCCAGGGATGGCTGACCTGCAGGACAATCAGGGGACAGGAGGCCAGGGGGCCTGAGAAGTGGGTCAGGCAGCTGTGCTGGCAAGAGCCCCTCAGATCTCTCTTGTCCTTCCTGTAGTGGATTATTATAATATAAGCAGTTTTCTACCAATTCTGGAAAAAATCAATCTCACCTAGTGTCACTGATCTAGGAGACACCTGGAGATGGAGGACTAAGAGTGCTGTGGTCCTCAGGGGGTTTCTGGATGGTGAAGATGACCTGCCCTAGGCAGCATTGTAAAAGCTGGGACCTCTACCCTCGGCTCCCCTGAGAACTCTGCCTGAGCCTCTGGGTCTCGGCGGTTGGGGTGGCCTGGGTGCTGGAGAGTCTCGTGCTGGGTGACTCCTCTGGTCTGCCTAGGAGCAGTCACTGGTCCTCACCCGAGACAGCCAAGCACAGCCGGGGCTGGGAGTGGATTCCCTGGGCCGGCCCCCTTGCTGGTGTCCTGCCTGCTTGACCCCCGTTAGCTGCCGCCATCACAGCCACACTCTGACATCCATCCTGACTATGGGAAGCATCAAATGAAGATGGCCAGGAGCTTCAGAACTCTTAAAACCTGGTGCCTGAAACAGCCAGGAAATTGGAGCCAGAGCTTAAAAAAAAAAAGGAAATAAACGAGAAGACGAAGGCCATCCTGATGCTCCCCCTTGTGCACACAGGGCAGGTGGTTGGAGGCATCTTTTCTGCCCCTGAGGGTCCCACCTGCTGCAGCGTGAACTGGCCACCTCATTCCATGGAGGACTTCGGAAGCCGGCCCCTCAAACCCTGCATCCTCTCTCAGAGGGTGGCCTGGGCCATTTTCCACAGGGAACGTGGAGCCCCTGACAGAGCTGGGAACTCATACCTGCAGGGCTGAGAATGGCTGAGGGCTCCTCCATGGTGATTATCCTCACCTTTCCTCAACCTGCTCACGTCCTTGGCAGCCTCAGACGCTGAGGGCATGAAAGGCCTCTGTCCTGGGAGAGGCGGTACAGCTGCCGCTTGATCCAGGAGCCTATACTGAACCATGGAAAGATCTAGAATCAGCCTGTCCTGAAATAAGGCAGATGGAAAACCTTCTAAACTTGGACCGATGAGACAACCTAGAACCCATCCAGCCCTGGAATGTGGGTGCATCAGGAGTCTTCTAGACCAACAGGACCAGCTAGAGCCTCAGCCAGACCTGACGTCAGAAGGGTTGGGAACTCAGCCAGGCCTAGAATGCTGCCTGCTTACATGGACTTTGGAGCTCCACTGGGAAGGGTGGGGAGAGTTCCCAGGAGGCTGAGGGTTTGGATCTGCTGACTCACCTTGGATGTAGCTCTTACTTCCCACCGGTGCCACACATGGACCTCAGCCACCTGCCAACCACTGCCCATGGTATCTGGCAGCCTGGGACAGACCCATCTGTCTCCAGGAATGCTGGGTGGCCCTCACTCTGACATCTGGATGCCCACGCTCTACTAGGCCAGGTCCTAGGGCCTTTGTAACTGGAGCCAGCCGTGGAACCCACAGCCTTTCCAGCAGGGGCTGTGACCTGCAGTGCCATTGTCACCAGGCCTAGGGGGTTGACAGGGCTCATCGGCCTTTGGAGCTCTGAGATGAGTTGTATCTGGGTGGCTGCAGCTCTGGGTCCACAGACTCGGGCTCACAGCAGACTCTGACCTCCCCATGCCCATCCACGAGACAGCCTTGCCCTTTTCTTTCTTTCTTTTAAGCGACAGCGTTTGTCTTTCTTGGCCAGGCTGGAGTACGTGGTGTGATCTCGGCTCATTGCAACCTCAAACGCATGGACTCAAGTGATCCTCCCACCTCAGCCTCCCAAGTGGACTACAAGTGCATGCCACCATA
The DNA here is from genome assembly GCF_000001405.40 of Homo sapiens. Classification (NCBI taxonomy): domain Eukaryota; kingdom Metazoa; phylum Chordata; class Mammalia; order Primates; family Hominidae; genus Homo; species Homo sapiens. The sequence continues at coordinate 33,805,081 of NC_000019.10, forward strand.
CCCAGCTAATTTTTAAATTTTTTGTAGAGATGGGGTCTTGCTGCGTTGCCTAGGCTGGTCTCGAACCCCTGGCCTCAAGCAGTCCTCCACCTTAGCTTCCCAAAGTGCTGGGATTACAGGTGTGAGCCACGGTGCCCAGCTAAACCGTGCCCTTTATACTACCCTGCTAGGAGAGAAACCTGCACCGTGTTCCCAGAGACTCCATACCCGGGCAGACCATCATGGCTGATGCATTGAGTGTGCTGGGCCATCAGAGCATAGGATGGTGTGGACGGGAGGCCCTGAGGGCAGACTTGGGGGCTCTGACTCCCTCAGCTCCTGCCCAGCTAGTGTGTCCTGGGTGCAAGTGGCAGTGGGGCAGGGCCCTGGAGACGGCTGACTTGGAGTGGACAGAGGAGTGGGCTGCTGTTAGAACAGGGGGCATCCCTGCAGGGGTCCCTGCTGGTGCAGGCAGAGAGTGAGGGGCTTAGGCTCCAGATTGTGTGCAGGCCGGGCTGGGAAGCCTAGGTCCCAAGTTGGAGCTACTGTTCTCCCAGCTGTGCAGAGAAGCTGCCACCTTGGCAGGGTCCAGCTGGGCAGGAGTGTGGCCCTGCCTGCTGAAGGATGTGGTGGTGCTGCCCTTGGGGAAATGATGCCAACTTCCCTCCTGTTCCCAAACCAAGCCCTTGGCTACTCCCACCCCTCTTTAGGGTTCCTAGTTATCCCTAGCTCGACCTGGGGTCTGCCAGGGCAGTTGCCAAACCAGAGCTGGCCACCCTGGGCACTGGGGAGGTGGTATCAGCCCTGGCTCTGAGGCCTGGCTCCTTCTCCCCGGAGTGGACAGGGACAGGCATCAGGGGCTCCCCAAGACCCTTCTCCTGGTCTTGCATTTGTTAGAACCATTGCCCTTCAGAGGACAGGGTACCGGCACCTGCCTTCTCTCCAGTCCCCATCCGCCACCACTAGGTGTGGTGTGCATACGCTCTGGCATGTGTGCACATATGTATGCACTGTGGTGCATGTGTGTGCATGGTTTCTGTGTGCGTGTGTGTATGCCTGTGTTGTGGCATGTGTGCAAGGGCCCTGTTGCATGTGTGTGCTGTGGCACACTTGCCATCCCTCCTGTCTGCCTCTGTTTCTCCCTGTGGGCTCCCTGAGTGAGCGGCAGTAGGGGATTTGTGCCGTCATGTCTCTGGGTGCCTGGTGTTGACAGGTGTGTGTCCTTTCCTGGATGTGTCTGGATCTGCATGATATGTGTGTGTTGGGAAGGAAGGGACCATGTGACCCTGTGCCTGTTGCACAGGCCTGTGTGTCTCACACTCGTTTACATGGGTTGGGTGGGGAGGATGTATGTCCTGGCTCGTTTACTGGGTGTGTGGCTGTTGGCCGGGGTGTTGGATGGTTCATGTGCATTTTCTGGGTGGGTCTATCTGGCAAGGGTGTGTGCACCAGGCCTGTGACCAGCTGGTTTGTGTGTAGGGGGTAAGGTGCCTGTGTCTTGCTATACCTTTCCAGGCCTGTAACATAACGTGTGTTGGCAGGCTGGTGTGTACAGCTGGGTGTGTCCCTCTCTGGCTGTGACTTGCGGGTGTAGGCAGGATGTGTGGTGTGTCCTGTTAACTGTAGCCTGGCTGCCCCAGGTGTGTGCAGATGTTGTCAGGCCTGGAACAGTTCCAGAGTCACCCATGTCAGGTCCCTCGCCCCTCCAGCCGTGTGGGCCCTCAGGAGTGGGGGCGGGGTGTGGGAAGACAGGCAGACTTGTCCCCATCCCTTCAGACATCCCACCTCGCCTGTCTCTCCCAGGATAAGCCGCCTCTTCAATGGCACTGAACCCATCGTCCTGGACAGTTTGAAGCAACATTATTTCATTGACCGGGATGGGGAGATTTTCCGCTACGTCCTGAGCTTCCTGCGGACGTCCAAGCTGCTGCTTCCGGATGACTTTAAGGTAAGTCCATGGCTGGTGGCCCCCCTGCACTGCCTGTGTGATGGCATTACACAGGGGACGCTGTGACTTAATAAGTGGACCCCTGGTTGTCATGGTAACCATAAAAAGTTAAACGATGAAGCCGAGGGCTAAATCAGTTTTTCTAAACTAATTTTGTTTTCTCACATTTTTAGCTTATTTATCAGGGTATATAACAACAATCAAGCTGCAGAACGTATCCCAGCTGAACATTTGTCGTGTTTAAGGATGGGCGCGTGCCAGCGTTATAGTAGTTAGAGGTTCATAAATCTGTTCCATCGGCTGGGTGCAGTGGTTCATGCCTGTAATCCCAGCACTTTGGGAGGCCAAGGTGGGTGGATCACTTGAGGTCAGGAGTTCAAGACCAACTTGGCCAACTTGATGAAACCCCATCTCTACTGAAAATGCAAAAATTAGGCCTGGAGCGGTGGCTCACGCCTGTAATCCCAGCACTTTGGGAGGCCGAGGCGGGTGGATCACCAGGTCAGGAGTTTGAGACCAGCCTGGCCAAGATGGTGAAACACCGTCTCTGCTAAAAATAGAAAAATTAGCCAGGCGTGGTGGCAGGCCTGTAATCCCAGCTACTCGGGAGGCTGAGACAGGAGAACCACTTGAACCCAGGAGGCAGAGGTTACAGTGGGCCGAGATTGCGCCACTGCACTCTAGCCTGGGCGACAGAGCAAGACTCCGTCTCAAAAAAGAGAAAGAAAAGGACGGCTGTAATTAGACTTCAAAAAATAAAGTATAAAAAGAAAAATGCAAAAATTAGCCGGGCATGGTGACAGGTGCCTGTAATACCAGCCACTTGGGAAGCTGAGGCAGGAGAATCTCTTGAACCCAGGAGGTGGAGGCGGAGGTTGCAGTGAGCCGAGATCACGTCACTGCACTCCAGCCTGGATGACGGAGCAAGACTCTGTCTCAAAAAAAAAAAAAAATCTGTTCTGTGTTGGGCAATTTGCAGGGAGAAAAGCCCTGATGACCAAACAGATACCCTTTAAACAAAAGGTTAACCCCCAGGTCTCCGGGTGAGCCCGTCAGGGCAGGTGACCTGGTTCCCTGGGTCATGCCTCAGTGCTGAGCCCCTCCCACATGTCAGGGACTCTGGGAGGAAGGAAACTCAGGCCTGGGGTACACTGGCATGTATTAATACTAGCAAATGTCTGTCCTTCCTTCCTTCATTCCTTCCTCTATCCAGAGGACCAGTAGCCCTGGGGCCTTGTCTTTCATCCAGCTCAGTTACTGAGTGCCAGCCTCTGAATTCAGGCTGAAAACAGTGAAACACACACACTAGGACCTGCCCCACAACACTTAACAGTCTAGCGGGCAGACAGATACTGAACTTGAAGTCCATGTGACCTGGGCTGGGCGGGTTTGAAAGAAATGATGTTCATCTGGGTGGTGAAGGCAGAACGGGGCCAAACAGGTGTGAGGGCCTTGGTGCAGGGGATGGGGGTGGCAGATGGCTTGATGCATTCCAGAACTGGAAAGAAGGTGTCAAGCCTGGAGCTTTATGGACTGGGAGGGGAAGGTCAGGAAAGGAGGCTGCTGTTTGATGTCAGGACCTTGGTGGGTGGCCCAGTGCCTGGCATTTAACTCTGAATGCAGTGGAAGGGGTGTGTGCAGGGGAAGGGCAGTCAGATCTGCAAATTGGGAAGATCTCTCTGGCTGTTGGGTGGGGAAGAAGGCAGAGAGGGGTGGGGGTGGGTGCAGTGAGGCAATTATGGATGAGGCCCCTTCCCCAGGCCAAGGGAGGCTGGGTGGAGGCTTTGGATGGACCAGGATGGAGATAGAGAAGATGGAGCAAGGTGGCACATCAGACTTCTGTTTAGTACAGGCACAGTGGCTCACTTGGTCATCCCAGCACTTTGGGAGGCCGAATGGGGAGGATCCTTTGAGGCCTGGAGTTCAAGACCAGCCTGGACAACATAGCAAGATGCTGTCTATACAAATTTGTTTTTTAATTAAAAAAGGCCGGGTGCGGTGGCTCACACCTGTAATTCTAGCGCTTTGGGAGGCCGATTTAGGTGGATCACCTGAGGTCAGGAGTTCGAGACCAGCCTGACCAATATGGTGAAACCCCATCTCTCTTAAAAATACAAAAATGAGCCGGGCGTGGTGGTGTGCACCTGTAGTCCCAGCTACTCGGGAGACTGAGACAGGAGAATTGCTTGAACCCAGGAGGTGGATGTTGCAGTGAGCTGAGGTCACACCACTGCACTCCAGCCTGGGCAACAGAGCAAGGTTTCATAAGTAAATAAATAAACTTTACTTTTAAAGTTTTTTAAGAGTAATTTATTTACTTTTCATAAGTAAATAAATAAACAAGCAAGCAAGCTGCAAAAGCACGTGGCTGTGGTAGTGTAAAGGGCCTCTTGCAGGTGCCCCGGGACTTGTGGCTTGAATTCTGAGTTGGTAAGTTGAGGCCCGGGGTGGACCAGGCTGTGGGAGTGGGGTTTCTGCCCCTGCATGGGAGAGCTGGTGGGGCATCAGATGGAGAAATCCTGGGCCATGACAAAAGATGGGGTTGTCTGTCATGCAGTTGTCATTTAAAATCTCAGGAGAATGGCCAGGAGAGGTGGCTCACACCTGTAATCCCAGTGCTTTGGGAGGCCAAGCAGGAGGATCATTTGATCCCAGGAATTCCAGACCAGCCTGGACCTTGTGTCTACAAATAATTATTATTGTTATTATTATTATTATCCTGGCATGATGGCTCATGCCTGTAGTCTCAGCTGCTCGGGAGGCTGAGTCAGGAGGATCCCTTGAGCCTGGGAGTTCAAGGCTGCAGTGAGCTATGATCACATCACTGCACTCCAGTCTGGGCTACAGAATGAGACCCTGTCTAAAGAAAATAAAATAAAAATCTCAGGAGCAAGTGAGAGTGGAGAGAGCAGAGGCCCAGGATAGAGCCCTGAGGAGCCCTTGCATGGGGCAGGAGAGGCAGGATGGGCCACTGACCCATGACAGGCCCAGAGGTCAGGGTTAGAATCTAGGCCTCCCTCCAGGCGGCCAGCAGGTGGAAGGGACTTAGGGCCTGTAGGTCAGGGGGCTGGGCTTCCTTGCCTCTTCCTCAGGCATGAGTCATGGGGACCTATGGGACCTTGGCCATTCCCAGTGGGGTGGGTGTGTGTGAGCGTGTATAGTGTGCATATGTGGCCCAGGGCATGGGGCCAGTATCAGCGCCTGAGGGACAGTCTGTGCGAGGCTGCTTAGCCCAGAAGGGGGCTGCGTGGCAGGGGGCGGGCTTCCCCTCCCTGGACACTTTATCACACTCTGCCTGTTTGGGCAGGGGCTGGACCAGGCACTTGGCACATCTTGCATCCTTTGATCCTCACTTTCATTCTCTGAGCTGGTTGTTTATGTCCATTTTATACATAAGGGAACTGAGGCCGGGCGCAGTGGCTCACGCCTTGGGAGGCCGAGGCAGGTGGATCACATGAGGGCAGGAGTTCAAGACCAGCCTGGCCAACATGGGAAAACCCCATCTCTACTAAAAACATAAAAGTTAGCCGGGTGTGGTGGCAGGCACCTGTAGTCCCAGCTACTCGGGAGGCTGAGGCACGAGAATTGTGGAGTTTGCTGTGAGCCAAAATCGAGCCACTGCACTCCAGCCTGGGTGACAGAGAGAGTCTGTCTCAAAAAACAAAAACAAAAAAAAAAAACAAAAAAAAACGAAAAAAAAACCAAGAGGCTCAGTTAGTGAGGTATAGAGGTTTAGAGGTCTCAGGGCAGGTTGATGATGAAGCTGAAAATCTGACCCAGGCAGGCTTGGCTGGAGAAGAACTTTTTTTGCTTCCGGGTAGGCTGTGAGCTCCTAGGCCCGGCTGCCCTGTGCCCAGCATGATCTCTTCTCTCGGTGGGATTCTAAGGCAGCAGCAGGTCCCCAGGCATAGGCACAGCCTCGTCCTTTAGTGGAGCTTCCAGGTCTTTCCATGGGGAGGCTTCACTGCCCAGTGCCTGGGGCCAGATGGAAGGGCTCAGGGGGGCTGGCACAGGTGCACATCAGCGGCTGCCCTTGGGACAAGGCTAGGTTCTTTATACTTGCAAACCACTCAGTTGCCCCATCTGTACAATGGGTGCAACCGGCCCAGTCCACACAATACCCTGCGAGTCGCAGTTCCTGCAGAATTGGTTGGAACCGGCAGGCCGCCTCCCCTCTCCCCCTTCCCCCACCACCCCTACTCCGACACCCACATCAACACCCTGTGCGCCTGTCCCCAGGACTTCAGTCTGCTGTACGAGGAGGCGCGCTACTATCAGCTCCAGCCCATGGTGCGCGAGCTGGAGCGCTGGCAGCAGGAGCAGGAGCAGCGGCGCCGCAGCCGGGCCTGTGACTGCCTGGTGGTGCGCGTCACGCCCGACTTGGGCGAGCGGATCGCACTCAGCGGCGAGAAGGCCCTCATCGAGGAGGTCTTCCCCGAGACCGGAGACGTCATGTGCAACTCCGTCAACGCCGGCTGGAACCAGGACCCCACGCACGTCATCCGCTTCCCGCTCAATGGCTACTGCCGGCTCAACTCGGTACAGGTGAGGGCTGCACGCTGCCCCCTCCCCGCCGCACCCCCGGCGTCCGCGGAGCCCTCCAGGGGCAGAGTGAGCTGGAGGGAGGCGCGATCCCTGAAACGGTGAAGCCCCCCGTGCCATCCTACAAAAAAGGCAACAATGTGTCGATGCATAATTTATGTCCCTCTCATAATTAAATGATGGCGCCTGGGGGATGGACTTAAAAAAATCGATCTGTACTTTTTTTTTTTTTTTCCAAAAGGATGTTCTATAAAAATGGCCCAGAGTATTTTCAACAAAGCGTGCTTCATTTGACACCCAGAGTCTGACTTTGGATTCGAACTAAACCCAGGCAACAGGCGAGGCAGGACAGAGGCTGAGTGGAAAGGTGGTCTGGAGCCCCTTCCCTCTCCCTGCTGACCTGGGAGTCGCAGGCACCCACCAGCTGCCAAGAGAATCCCTGGACCGGCTCTTCCTGGATGGGTCCAAGAATTGGACAGCTCAGATGGAGTGAGGGCCTATTTTCCAACAGCTCTTCGCAGACCCAAGAGCTTGGCACATTTCCGGGTTAGGGTGGAATGGGCTTTGCAGGGAAGAGGGCCCCCTGTGCACGCATTCCACAGCCTGTCGGTCAGAACTTGCTAGTTGCAGGAGACGGGTGTTACACGCAGTCATCAGACCTCACCCTCACAGAGGCACAAACCCACATAGTTGTGGACGCCTGCAGAGACTCAAATATTGAGAGGACTTCTCCTTTTTCTCTCCCTCCAGAGCTCCCACGAGCTGATGCACCCCCAGGCTTCAAACCACCTGGAATGCACAGCTCAGGGAAGCTGGTGGATGCCTAGAGGCTGAAGGACAGGGAACTCTCCATTATTGGGGCAGGACTCAGGGAGGACACTTGGGGCCATGTGTCTGGAGAGAGGGCATAGGTTACACCCTACAGAATAAAGAAGGGACCCAAAGCCTCTTTTTGCCTCCCGGAATCAAGGCCCTGAGGGCAGCAGGATGGTGGCCTGGGTGGGGTCGTCCAACTAGGTTTGCTAACCTGAGGGGTCACTGGGCCTGGCCACTTCTGTCCCTCTGGTGGTGGAACCCAGCACGTGGTTCTGTAGGGACCTTTGTCAGTGAGCAAGACTGAGATCGTCACAGGAGAAGGTGCCCTTGCTGGCTGCCCCAGCAGGCACCCACCTCCCTGCCAGGCCAAGCCAGGTGTCCTCTTGCAGCTTGGCCTTGATGACCTCTGTTTCTTCCTGGGCAGGTCCTGGAGCGGCTGTTCCAGAGGGGTTTCAGCGTGGCTGCGTCCTGTGGGGGCGGTGTGGACTCCTCCCAGTTCAGCGAGTATGTGCTTTGCCGGGAGGAGCGGCGGCCGCAGCCCACCCCCACTGCTGTTCGAATCAAGCAGGAACCCCTGGACTAGGCCCTGCTTCAGTGCCCACCTGGGCCCCCCCAGGGACCTGGAAACAGTGCTGGGGAGTTCTGCCTGTGTATACTTGGCCGTGGGCATGAGACCGAGGGTGAGGCTGGAGGGTCCAAAGCTGGCCCAGCGAGCACCAGGGTCCCAGGTGTCATGGCAACAGAACGTGGGATGCTGGAGGCATGCCTGCAGAAGGACTGTTGATGCGACCCAAAGATACAGCGGTGGGATCTCTGCTGCCAGCTCTCCCAGCCCCTCAGCTTCGCAGCCTGGCGCAGCATCCTCTGAGGCCCCGGGGCCTGTTGGGGCGGGGTTGGAAGAGCCGTCTGCAGCTACTTCAGAGGAGCTGTTTATCCCTCTCCACGCGGGGCAGACTCTGGCGGGTCTCCTAGCGTCCGAGAGATGGCTTATTTTCTACAGTATTTAAAATGGATGCAGCCCTAACTGCAAAAGTCAGAGAGGCTGACAAGGACCAATGCTTCTTTATCTGGTGCTCAGTTCTCAGTCAGACGTGCAGCATGGCTGCAGGGTGGACCAGCTGCCTGGCATTCAGGCCCAGATGCCTGCAGGGCTGGGGCTCTCGGGACAGATGCAGGGATGTGTGCTGCAGGGCTGCTGGGAGGAGAGTGGTGGGGGCCTGAGGGCTGAGTGATTCTGTAACCACCTGAGACCTTCACGTTTGCTGCCGTTGGGGGCTCAGGCTGCACTCCCCGGGTCACCTGACCTGCTGCCCAGGGGCTTCCAGTCCTGTCTGTGTGGACTGGCACCTGGGCTGCTGGAGAAGTCTCCTCCCGTTCGGACCAGCCTCAGGGCTGCACGTTACCTCAGGAATGGGCCCCACCATGAAGGGGCCCATCTGTCAGCAGCGTCTTCTAGGTCCCCAGCTCAGGGAGCCATCCCCAGCTCCAGTTTTCTCATGCGAATATGCACAGTTTTAATTCACGTTGTTACACTAGCCTGCCGATGAGACCCAGACACAGGCAGACCTGGCGCTCTTGACCCCTGATTCCAGTGAGGACTGGCCCTGAGGAGTCCTTGCAGACCTGCTGCCTCCCCCACGACAGGCCCAAAGATGGACCCCCCCTGGCCTTGTGACAGCTCCCCAAGTGTTCTCCGGTGGAGAAACTGCAGAGGACTGGTGGGCGGGGCTCCCCAGCCATCACCATCCTGTGTACAATGGCTGTAGACTTGTATATGGCTCCTTTAATATTGTAAAGATGCTGATGTACAATTGTCGTGCATTTGTGTGAACACATTGCGTTCCCAGTCCATGCCATAAATGATGCTCTCAAGCAAAAGACTGGAGGCTCTGTCCTGTGCAGAAGCAGCAGCCAGACTCCCGCATTCGATGTTGTGCAGGGAGGTTTGGGGGCGGAACGGATTCCTCCCTTGGATCCTTCAGTTCCCATCGAGGAATAACCCGCAGCAGTGGTGGAGGAAGGTCAGTGGCTGGGTCCTGAGCTTGGTGTTATTTATTGCATTTGGGTGCCTGTCCCCTCAGGGCAGCACAGATTCTGAATTCTGATTCACAGTCCCTAGCCAGATGGGAACTGGGAAAGAGACAGAAGGCGTCTGGGTGCTTTTGAACCCTGTCTCAAATGTTTGGGATTTTCTCTCTCACTATTCTTTGGTTGGGGATGATGTCCTCTTTAGACCCCCACGTAATGGTATGAGAAGGTGGCAGGCAGTGGCTCAGCCAGCCAGGGGGCACCAAGTCATGCAGCCAGCGTGAGACCTGCAGTTCACCTAAGCACAGAACGAGATCTCAGTATGCCTCCATGTAAACAGATTCACATAGGCCTCCAATTTCAATGAGACCTTTTGCATTTTTTCTCAAAGCCCTTATGTTCTAACCCATGAGAACCATTTTACCTGCCCTCTAAGGGCCACCAGCTTCGACCTGCCTCAGGGGACAGCAGCACAGACCAGTGGCTCCCTGTCCAAGGCCGCAGAGCAGACGCCATCCCACTGTACAATCGAATTTGCTGGACAAACTTGATAGGTTTCTCTGCTTAGCAACGAGCCTATAGTTAGTTGGCACATCTGCGTTTTGGCATCTGAGGCTCCCATCTGAGTGGAGGAGAAAGTGTTGTGTTTATTAGCAGGAAGTCTTGTGAAAACAGCTCGCTGCTGTGTATGTTTATGGATTTTTCTGATATAACAGCCAGCATGGTTACCGAGTGGTAGAGATTCTCGAACATTCTCAAACTCTCTTTTTGGGTAAATGATTGTGCTAAAAATAAAATTTATTAATAAAGAAGGGGAAAAAGGAGTAACTCTACCTGACTAAATGTTACTCTAATTTATTTATTTCTTTACTAATTAAGTAAAACCAGGAAGTATGATTTTACATCAACCAGAGAATTTCTGAATTTATAGGGAAACACTATGTCCCCATAATGATGCTATAATTCTAATATATCTAGTCCCCATAAACAGTAAGTACAAATTATCATTCCTTTAAAGCATTTTTACACTTCCTGGAATGAGTATATTATCAGCAATCTTTTGTCAAATGCCAGCCGTATAAATGTTACTTCTGCTCTTTGTAAACCTCAAAACTCATTATTCTTGATTATAAGCAACTGGACAGAACCATGCCAAAGCTTCCCCGTTTCCCACCAAACCCCTGCCAGTGAGTGCAGAGAACTCGCAAAGCCACAGCAGGCGGTCTCAGCCACCGTCCCGCTCACAGGGGCCCAATGCCAGGTCACAACACTAAGAATATCTTTCAAAAAATGTGTCTTTTTTTTTTTTTTTTTTAAAGCTACTGCTTGACTGTTCCTTAGAATAAATAAAGGATATTTTATAAATTACAGCTCTAGCCCTTGGTTTGTAATTCACGGAAGCAGCCACAATCAGGTACTCCAGCATTGGTCCTCGGGAACCACCACTCCCCACACTTGGGACCTGGTGTGGCTACTGAGTAGGACCTTAACATCCCAAGTCCCAAATCCCAAAGCTTCCTGATTTGAGGACTGACCAGAGAGCAGCAGCGTTGTCTCTAGGCGCTCAGTGCACATGCTGTTGGCAGATCTGGCGGGGAAAATGGTGCAGGCATGGCCTCCCTTTACCTCTCCAGACCCCCAAGCCTGGACTCAAGTGTTCAGGCTGTGATGAGCATGTTGCACTACGTTGGTGTTGCATACATGTATATCTGTGGACCAAACCACTAACATTCAAAAGAAGGAAAGTGGGCGGGTCACAGTGACTCATGCCTGTAATCCCAACACTTTGGGAGGCTGAGGCGGGTGGATTGCTCCAGCACAGGAGTTCAAAACGAGCCTGGGCAATTTGGTGAGACCCCATCTCTACAAAAGAATTTAAAAATAAGCCACTCATGGTGGCATGTGCCTATAGTCCCAGCTACTCAGGAGGCTGAGGTGGGAGGATCACTTGAGTTCAGGAGGTTGAGGCTGCAGTGAGCCATGTTCACACCACTGCACTCCAGCCTAGACAACAGAGCAAGCCCCGTCTCAAAATAAATAAAATTAAAAAGAGAAAGCATGGCTGGGTGTGGTGGCTCACACCTGTAATGCCAGCACTTTGGGGCCAAGGTGGGTGGATCCCCTGAGGTCATGAGTTCAAGACCAGCCTGGCCAACATGGCAAAACCCCGTCTCTACTAAAAATACAAAAAAAAAAGGATTAGCTGGGTGTGCTGGCATGTGCCTGTAGTCCCAGCTACTCGGGAGGCTGGGGCACGAGAATCGCTTGAACCCGGGAGGCAGAAGTCGCAGTGAGCCGAGATCGCACCACTGCACTCTAGCCTGGCGACAGAGCGAGGCTCCATCTTAAAATAAAAAAATAATTAATTAAAAAAAAAGGGAAGCACAGATGTGAGAAATGGGGAAACTATATCCATTGAGCCACTGACCAAGATAATATTTAACTTGACTAAGCCTAGCAGAGCCTGCCCACTTCCCCTCCCTAGAGGCCAACCCATGTTCTCGAGGCAATGCTGTCTGCCAAGATGGCCCCATCCCATCAAGCCCTGCCTTCCCTCCTGATTCTCCAGAGACAGGAAAATGGCTGCATTGGCCCTGGAAGATACTCAATTTCTCCTAAGTAGATGACAAGGTGGAAAATACAAAAATGGGAAACTGCCAGGGGATATTCAGTTGGAGGCAGGAAATCTGCCTCAGTTCAAAACAATAGGGAGGTCTAGACAGAGCTAGAGGGACAACTGATGGCCAGAGAAGGCAGCCGCTGGCCTGGATGGAGTCTGACATCTGGGCTGATGTAGCTGTTGTAGGAAGTAGGATGTCACAGGTTGATGGCCATCTCAAGGGGGGTAGGCAATGTGTTTAGCCACAAGGCTCAAGTCAGCCAAGTAATATTGGTCTTGTCACATGTGTGATGAGAATGTGGGTGGCTCTCTTTGCTCACCCCAACCCCGCCCAAAGGAGGAGTTTCCTTGTAGAGAGAGGGCTTGCCCTCACCTGGAGATCAGGGGCTGGCAGCTGTCTTATCTCTGATGGAAGATTTGATGTGGAGTTACCTGCACTGAAGAGTCTGGGTCACTGTATAGGGTAAAAGCCCACATCGTTAACTGCCACAAATTTTAAAATTTTCTACAAATGGATTTGCTTAGAATGAATGGTAAGAAAAGGGTCAGGTGCAGTGGCACACACCTGTAATCCCAGCACTTTGGGAGGCCAAGGTGGGTGGATCATTTTAGGTCAGGAGTTCGAGACCAGCCTGGCCAACATGGTGAAACCCTGTCTCTACTAAAAATACAAAAATTAGCCAGGCATGGCGGTGCGTGCCTGTAGTTCCAGCTACTCGGGAGCCTGAGGCAGGAGAATCGCTTGAACCTGGGAGGCAGAGGTTGCAGTGAGCCGAAGTCTCACCACTGCACTCCAGCCTGGGTGACAGAGTGAGACTCCTTCTCAAAAACAGGAAAAAAAAATGGTAAGAATAGAAAGATGATATTAATGCATATGTGTCAAAAGCAGCTCCTGCCTTTATTAGTGAGAAGTTTCTCATTAGATCAAATGAAGTTTCTTGTCAGTATCCAGAGAAACCTACAAAGGCATCACAAAGATAAAGCTCTAACGTCCAACATAAAGCCCGAGACAAAAGATGGTCTAGAGCACCTGCTTGGAGGAAGGTCTATCCAGGAACAACTGTATTTAGGTTAAACTGCTAAATTCACCAACTAGGGCAGAGAGGCACAGAAACATTCCCTCCAGAACCCCTTTCCATTAAGAGTTCACTCCTGTCACCACATTCTAGGCAGCCCCGATGTTCTCTGGAGGACCGGTGAGGTAAGGTAATGCTTTGTGGACTAACAGAAAGAAAAAAGTGTTGGTGACAGCTAAGGGCAGCTTCCTGCCAGCACCAAGACTAGCGCTGATGTTCTCTTAGAAGCACCAGAGTTTTCTAAGGTGACCCAAATGGAACACAACCCCAGGGAAGGTTGAAAGTCAGAAAAGAAGAGCGCGTCTCTGCTCTTTCTGGATCTCACAACCAGCGAGTTCTCGCAGCCATGGCCTCTGTAAGCCCAGGGACATTTCTCTGTGAGCTTTCATTGGAAGGGAAACCCCAGCCCCAGAGAAGCCTACCCCGCCACATCCCAGGCTAATCCCTGGATCTGGTTCAGGAGCTCTCTTCCTGCAAGCCCCAAAGCTAGACAAGCAGAGCCCTGCCAGGCCCATGGTGACCTCTGCAGACCTAGGAACTGCAGGCAGAGTTGGGGGCTCGTTCCTGGGGAGGGGCCCACCCCTGAGGTTGTGCATCCAGGAGGGGCCCACCCCTGAGGTTGTGCATCCAGGCATGACTGACTGTTGGTAGCTGTTTACCCTCAGGGAAAGAGAACTTTCTGTGTTTTTATCTCCACCCCCAGTGGAAGGATATGTTGAGTAGAGTTTTTGCTTTTTGAGGAAAAGTCATGATTTGGAAAGGGGCGCTGATGTATCTGTTGAGGCTTTGGATGTTGATTTTTAAAGGGTCCCTGCTTCCCTGCAAAGATCCTTATCTTCACAACCACCCAAGAGCACCACTTATTGGTGGCCAGCATATGCCAAGCACTGCAGGTGCTTGGGAGGGCAAGATAGCTCATGAGGCTTGGAGCAGACATTTGTTTATGCACAGGAATTGTTCACTTTTTTTCTTCTCCTTTTTTTTTTTTTTTGTGAGACAGGGTCTCACTCCGTTGCCCAGGCTGGAGTGCAGTGGTGCAGTCTTGGCTTACTGCAACCTCTGCCTCCTGGGTTCAAGCGATTCTTGTGCCTCAGTCTCCCGAGTAGCTGGGATTACAGGTGTGCACCACCACGCCCAGCTAATTACTGTATTTTTAGTAGAGGCGGGGTTTTGCTTTGTTGGCCAGGCTGGTCTTGAACTCCTGGCCTCAAGTGATCCTCCCACCTTGGCCTCCCAAAATGCTGGGATTACAGGTGTGAGCCATTGCGCCCAGCCAGGAATTGTTTACTTTCAATTGTGTACTTGAAGCTCTGTAAATTTAACAGGAAGAGAGACCACATTGCAGTTTTCCACTTCGTCATGACACTGAACATGGATTACCCCAAATGCATTGATTTGCATGTAGAGAGAACCACCTCTCAGGCCTCAAGACTAGCGTCTCCATAGCAAAGGAAGCTTCTGTGAAATTCTAATGAGAGACCCAGAGAAAGAGGCAGGCACACTCCCGGGGACACACAAAGGAGAGGGGTTAGGGGTCAGCTGCATTTGGGGTTTTGTCTTTATTTCCATTACACAGAACAGCCAGTCCCGACAGCGCCCAGGCCCCACAGGACAATGCTGTTCCTGGACCCGGAGCCATGGCCGTGGAATAAGAGCTAGGTCTTCAGGGCCTCCTCCTAGGATCCTTCTTAACACAGAAATCACAAACCAGGCCAAAGTCTTAAAAAGCAGAGCCTGGGAGGGGCAGGGACGCCCAAGCCACGCTGGGGCCCGGGAGGCCTCCCGTCCTGCCCGCGGGAGAACCCAGGCCGCGCATCCCTGGCTGGACGGCGTCACCAGCCGTAGCTGGGCCAGGCCTGCTGCTCAAAGCCCGTGTCTAGGATGTCACCAGAGCTCCCTTTTCTGTGTCCTGGACCCGGTTCAGGGCCCCCGAGGAAGCTGCGGTTTGGGGCGAGCCGATTGCACCAGCAGGGCCGGGCTGCTGCTCCCGGGGCTGACGCGGGCCACGCCCTCCTGGACGCGGACACACCCCCATTTCCCCGGGCCCACAGAGCCACGCCTGGCCCTGCAGCCAAACAGCGGGAAGGCAGATTGGTACGAGTAGGTACAAGGCCCTGGAATTCTCGCCCGGTTGCCACACACTGCACGGAGCATAATTGGGGGAGGTTGTGCAACTGCCCGGGAAGCCGGGGCTCGCAACGAGGGCTCTCTCCAAGTCCCCATCACAGGCCTCCGGGGAGCCTCGGGACAGAGCCTGACGCCACCTTCGGGTGACATCGATGGCCTCGCTCTGGCAGAGGAGTAGTGTGGCTCTGCCGAGAACTGGGGAGCCCGGGTCCCCGCAGGGCCAAGGGGAGGGAGGGCTGGCGGAAGGGGCCGCGCCCACAGCCCCAGGTGGCAGCAGCGGCGGTGGCGGTCCCGACTGGCAGAGCCTAACGAGAACAGGGCCTATCCCCAGGGGCCCCGGGCTGGACGCAGACCAGATCTCGCGGGGGTGGGCTGGGAGGCGCCCGCCAGAGGCCGGAGGCTGACAGTGCCTTTCCTATCCTATGGGTCTATTGTGGGCCCGCGGAGCCCCCATGGGTGGGTCCATCCCCGGGCCCAGTGAGTCACTTCCCCAGGCCCCGGAGGCCTTCGTGGAAGGTGCCTCCCTTTCCGGCAAAGCATCCTTTGTTCTCCTGCTGGCTTTGCTTCCCAATCCTCTCTGAGTTGCAACCTTGAGGGTTTTAGGGGCACCAAGCTCCCAGGAGCACAGAGGTGGGCTTGGGTGCCACCTGGAGAGCGGGCTGCAGAAGGCTGCAGCTGCTTTTTTGCTTCCTCAGTTCCCTGCCCTCTCAAGGCCCAGGCTCTCCCACCTCCCCAGACGTCTGGGGAAACCCACACTGCCCTGCATAGGTTGTGGTGTGCAGCCTCCGGACTGCAGATCCTGAACGCGCATCAGGAGGGAGGGAGGGAGGTTTCGATGCTCTCGCCCTGGCCAGCACCGCTCTGAGTTGCTGAACTGGCCTCAAGGCTTCTCTTGCATCAGGGAGAGGCTTCCGGCACCACCACTGGCACTCCTCCTTCTCCCTCCCTTTAGCCTCCCCCAGTTCCCATGCCCAGGTGGAGGAACCCGTGTAGAAGCCCAGCCCAGGGAGGGAATTCATCAAAGCACCTTCCCACACAGCCTCTAGTTTGCCTCCTCTCCACTCCCACCTTCCAGCCCCAGCCTGGCTAGCCACGTGGGGGGCTCCTGTGCCAAGGAGTGCCCAGCTGCCGGGTGAGTGAGCAGCCCTGCACAGAAGGCAGCTGACTACCATACACACTACATGTGTGGAGAGCACCAGCCTTGCAGCCTGGCGAGGCTCTTGCTTTGAAGAAATAGAAGACTAATTATTTTATTTATTTATTTATTTATTTATTTATTTATTTATTTATTTATTTTTGAGATGGAGTCTTGCTCTGCCACCCAGGCTGGAGTGCATTGGTGTGATCTTGGCTCACTGCAACCTCCACCTCCCAGGTTCAAGTGATTCTCCTGCCTCAGCCTCCCGAGTAGCTGGGATTACAGGCGCCCACAACCACGCCTAGTTAATTTTTGTGTTTTTAGTATATGTGCTGCTGAAGTGAGCATGAATTTTTGTGTTTTTAGTACAGATGGGGTTTCACCATGTTGGACAGGCTGGTCTTGAACTCCTGACCTCAAGTGATCTACCCTCCTTGGCTTCCCAAAGTGCTGAGATTACAGGTGTGAACCACGGCACCCAGCCAGAAAACTAATTTCAAAACAAAAACAAAAGCACCCCTGTATGCACAGATTCTCAAATTGTATTTACTATTGGCAAAGAAAGGAAGGGGGCCCCTTAGTGTCCTAAAACCAGGAGAGATGAAATCGATTATGGAACATCAGTTGATGAAATACATTTATCCTTCCACAAATATCTACTGAGTGTCTACAATCAGCCTGGTTACTGGAGGCCAGGCTCTGAGTCGTGAGTGTCCCATGAATCACCAGCTCTCCAAACCCTGACATCTAACACCACCCACTTCCCACCCTCCCCAGGAAGAAACAATATTTAATAGTTTCATTTACACAGAAAAAGAAGGTGCAAGCTCTCTCCCTAAGGAAGAGCCAAAAAGCAGCCTCAACTGGCTCCAGAGCCTGTGCTCCTGGATTAAGAACAGAGATCAGTGTATTGGTTTCCTCTTGTGGCTATGACAAGTTACCACTAATGTGGCTTAGAAAAATACTATTTTTTTTTCTTTTTCTTTTTGTAGAGACAGGTCTCCCTATGATGCCCAGGCTGGTCTTGAACTCCTGGACTCAAGCGATCCTCCCACCTTGGCCTCTCAAAGTGCTGGGATAACAGGTGTGAGCCACCATGCCTAGCCCAACACTGATTTTAAGATGATATATTTTCATCTTACAGTTCCAGATGTCAGAAGTCTGACATGGGTCACACTGGGCTAAAATCAAGGTGTCAACAGAGCTGCTCTCCTTTCTGGAGCTCTAGGGGAGAATCTTTCCTTGTCCTTTCCAGCTTCTAGAGGCTGCCTTCATTCTGTAGCTTGTGGTCCCTTCCTTCATCCCCAAAACCAGAAGTGTAGCATCTTTAGATCCCCTCACCCTTGTTTTTCTGGACTCTAGTGATTCCATTGCCCACCCTCCACCCTGCAGATAATCTCCCTATTTTAAGGTCTACTAATTCACCTTAATTCCATTGGCAATCTTAAACCCCTTTGCCACATAACCTAAGATACTCACAGATCCCAGGTTTAGGATGTGGACATATTTGGTGGCATTATTCTGCCTGCCACATCTAGGTAGCAACTTTATCTACTCAAACAATTGTTATTGAACACATGCCCTCTTTCAGGCACTAGGATATAGTAGTGAATGAATACAGAAAAGCCCCAATCTTGTGGAGCTTACA
Source organism: Homo sapiens (assembly GCF_000001405.40). Classification (NCBI taxonomy): domain Eukaryota; kingdom Metazoa; phylum Chordata; class Mammalia; order Primates; family Hominidae; genus Homo; species Homo sapiens. The sequence continues at coordinate 33,823,003 of NC_000019.10, forward strand.
CTCCAGTGAAGAGAGATGGACAAGAAACAAAAGTAAGGCTGGGTGCGGTGGGTCACACCTATAATCCCAGCACTTTGAGAGGCCCAGGTGGGAGGATCGCTTGAGCCCAGGAGTTTGAGACCAGCCTGGGCAACATAGGGAAACCTCATCTCTCCAAAAAAAAAAAAAAAAAAAAAAAAATTTGCCAGGTGTGGTGGCATGCACCTGTGGTCTCAGCTAATCCAGAGGCTGAAGTGAGAGGATTGCTTGAGGCTGTTGAAGCTGCAGTGAGCTATGATCACGCCACTGAACTCCAGCCTGGGTGACAGAGCAAGACCCTGTCTCAAAAAAGAAAAACAAAAAATAAACAACAAAAACCCAATAACAAAAATAAGTAAAATGTGTCATAGGTTAAATAGTGCTAAAAATAAAGCAAGGAAGGGGAATAGGAGTGTGTGTGTTGCTATTTTGGACAGTATGCTGGACATCTCCCATTTACCCTGCCCCCTGCCCTGGGCCTGGAAGCTGACATTGTGAACAGTGTGAAGGGGCTCCCTTACCCTCTGGCTTCCTGTTGGGCATGGCTGATGGGAAGCATCTTCAGGAGACTGGAGGGCAGAAGGCAAGTCAGCCTCTCTCATCACTCATCTAAAGACCTCAGCCCTGGGCCAGGCCCAGTGGCTTATTGCCTGTAATCCCAGCACTTTGGGAGGCCAAGGTGGAAGGATTGCTTGAGTCCAGAAGTTGGAGACCATCATGGGCAATATAGCAAGAACCTGTCTCTATTTAAAAAAAAATAAAGAAATATTTCTTAACGGGTATGGTGACATATACCTGTAGTCCCAGCTACTTGGGAGGCTGAGGCAGGAGGATCCCTTGAGCCCAGGAGTTTGATGCTGCAGTGAGCTATGATCATGCCACTGCATGCCCACTGCCTGGGCAACAGAGCGAGACCCTGGTTCTAAAAAAAAAAAAAAAAAAAAGAACATAAAATAAATAAATAACAAAGACTTCAGCCCCTGCCAGAGGCTTTTCTCACACAGCCCACCTGGCTCTGAGAATACCTCTCCATTCTCCCCTTCCAGCCTAGGGATGGTAACTATGGTTGGCTATACTACCCCTGAGAGGACTCATTACCCCTGATTTCTATATACCCTGCCCTCACCTTTGTAAATACAGGTTGAGTATCCCTCATCTGGAAATGCTCGGGACCAGAAGTGTTTTGGATTTTGCTTTTTTTAAATTTTGGAATATTTGTAAATTTATATGTAATGAGATTTCTTGGGGATAGGACCCAAGTCTAAACACAAAATTTATCTCTTTTATATACATCTTATACACACAGCTGGAAGGTAATCATATAGAATAGTCTAAATAATTTTGTGCATGAAACAAAGTTTGTGCACATGGAGCAGCAGAAAGCAAAGGTGTCCCTATCTCAGCCATCCGGGTGGACAATCTGTGGTGGGTTGGCATCACCAACATTCCTTTTTTTTTCTTTTAGACCAAGTCTCACTCTATCACCCAGGCTGGAGTGCAGTGGTGCCATCTTGGCTCACTGCAGCCTCCACCTCCTGGGTTCAAGCGATTCTCCTGCCTCAGCCTCCCGAGTAGCTGGGATTACAGGCATGCGCCACCACACCCAGCTAATTTTTGTATTTTTAGTACAGACAGGGTTTCACCATGTTGGCCAGGTTGGTCTTGAACTCCTGGCCTCAAGTGATCTGCCTGCCTCAGCGTCCTAAAGTGCTGGGATTACAGGCATGAGCCACCGTGCCCGGCCATTCCTGACTCTGAATTTATATGCTATCAATAAGTAATCCATTTCTTGCACCTATTTACACATAAGTACTTAACAGTAAAAAATTTGGTATACCATTCATAAAATGAAAAAAATAATGTATTTAGGGTACCTAAGCAGCATGGTAGCATCACAGGAATACCGCATCAGTGGTTAAACAGCAGAGACCAACAATGGCAAAGCTTTCAGTCTCTTACCTCCGATGCTGCGTTTTGATTCAAAGGTTACTATATTTGCATTCAGCAGGAATGGGGTAAAGAAAAAAAGATGAAATATAAATTAATTTTACAAAAGTAAATTTTAAAAGGTTACTATACATTCTATTTTTAAATCTTTATTATTATTATTGAGACTGAGTTTCGCTCTTGTTGCCCAAGCTGGAGTGCAACGGCGCGATTTTGGCTCACTGCAACCTCTGCCTCCTGGGTTCAAGTGATTCTCCTGCTTCAGCCTCCAGAGTAGCTGGGATTACAGGCACGCACCACCATGCTTGGCTAATTATTACACTTTTAGTAGAGATGGGGTTTCACCATGTTGGCCAGGCTGGTCTCGAACTCCTGACTTCAGGTGATCCACCCACCTCAGCCTCCCAAAGTGCTGGGATTACAGATGTGAGCCACTGTGCCCAGCCATATACATATGCATGGTATATATATATATATGCATGGTATATATATATATATATATATATATATGCATGGTATATATATAAATATATATATATATATATGCATGGTATATATATATATGCATGGTATATATATAAATATATATATATATATGCATGGTATATATATATATGCATGGTATATATATATATATATATATATATATATATCATGCATATATATACACATACATACACATACACCATATATATGAGTAATGTCTTGGCCCCACGTGAGACATTGTGAGGAACCTGCCGTTGGTGCGTCCAGCCTGAACACGTGCTGTTTTATTACGCTTTGTGGGCGTGCTTATGTGGGGATCTGGGTGAGTGTGGAAAAGACATATTGCTGCTGATGGGAGCTGGGAAGTCTTTGATTCCTTGGAGACAGTGAATAAACTGTGTGTTGTGTGCTCATGTTTTAGCTCCAAACCATTACATGAAGTCAACTGTGGAATTTTCTACTTGTGACATCAGGGTGGCACCCAAAAAGTTTCAGATTTTGAAGCATTTTGGATTTCAGATTTTCAGTTTAGGGATGCTCAGCCAATAGTACTTTATTAATTGGCGAGTGCTGTCTGTTTTCACCAGGAAGGCCTCGCTGAGCCGCATGTAAAATTTAAATAAAGCCCCAAAGAAGGTAAGGCAGGAGGCTGGGCGGGATGGCTCACGCCTGTAATCCGGCACTTTGGGAGGCCGAGGTAAGTAAATCACCTGAGGTCAGGAGTTCAAGACCAGCCTGACCAATATGGTGAAAACCTATCTCTACTAAAAATACAAAAATTAGCTGGGCGTGGTGGCCTGCGCCTGTCGTCCCAGCTACTTAGGAGGCTGAGACAGGAGAATTGCTTGAACCTGTGAGGCAGAGGTTGCAGTGAGCCAAGATGGCACCACTGCACTCCAGCCTGGGCGACAGAGCGAGAGTCCATCACAAAACAAAATAAAATAAAAATACAAAAATTAGCCAGGCATGGTGGCTTGCACCTGTAGTCCCAGCTGCTCGGGAGGCTGAGGCAGGAGAATCATTTGAGCCCCGGAGGCAGAGGTTGCAGTGAGCCAAGATGGCGTCACTGCACTCCAGCCTGGGTGACTGAGCGAGACTCCATCCCTGCCCCCGGCAAAAAAGAAGAAGGTAAGGCGGGAGAAATGCAGATTTCTGGCAGAAGAGCATTTGGGGCAAAGGGGCTGCAAGGCAAAGGCCTCGAGGTAGGAGTGTGCATGATGTGTCTCAGAAACGCAAGAAGGAGGTTATGTGGCTGGAGTGTGAGGGGCTGGGGAGTTGCAGAAGGTGAGGTCGCAGGGGTGCCTGGGGTAGGAGGGAAGTCAGATCATGTAGGGTCTTTGAAAAACGTGTTGCCTGTACTCCACCCATTTCCCCTTAGCACTTGCCTTCAGGTGCACACAGACCCTATGGCTTCCTACTGCTCCTGTAGCTCTCTGCCTGAGGGTCTTTGTTGGTGAGGAGTGCAACAGCTCCTCATGCGTGGGGCAGGCCAGGAAGTCAATGCCCCCTTAGCTCTCTACTATTGTGGAGATGGCAAATAAACACCCAGGTGTCTTGCCTTTTGCGTCTGACAATGGGGAGGTCTGCTCTAGGCTCTCTCAGGGGCCTCCAGTGGGGTTAGAGTGCAACGGCATGATCTTGGCTCACTGCAACCCCTGCCTCCCAGGTATAAATGAGTCTCCTGCCTCAGCCTCCCAAGTAGCTGGGATTACAGGCATGCGCCACCATGTCTGGCTAATTTCTGTATTTTTAGTAAAGATGGGGTTTCACCATGTTGGCCAGGCTGGTCCCAAACTCCTGACCTCAGGTGATCCGTCTGCCTCGGCCTCCCAAAGTGCTGGGATTAGAGGCGTGAGCTACCATGCCCTGCCTCATTTGTTACTTTTTAAGGGCCAGGGTCTTGCTCTGTTGCCCAGGCTGGGGTGCAGTGGTAGATCATAGCACACTGTAAAGCTAAACTCCTGGCCTCAAGCGATCCTCCCACCTCAGCTTCCCTAGCAGCTAGAACTGCAGGCACATGCCACAATGCCTGGGTAATTTTTTATATTTATTTATTTATTTATTTATTTATTTATTTATTTATTTATTTATTGAGACCTAGTCTTGCTCTGTTGCCCAGGCTAGAATACAGTGGCACGATCTCAGCTCACTGCAACCTCCACCTCCCGGGTTCAAACGATTCTCGTGTCTCAGCTTCTCAAGTAGCTGGGATTACAGATGTGCACCACCACACCCGGCTAATTTTTGTATTTTTAGTAGAGATGGAGTTTTGCCATCTCTACTCATTGACCAGGCTCATCTCAAACTCCTGACCTCAAGTGATCTGTCAGCCTCTGCCTCCCAAAGTGCTGGGATTACAGGCATGAGCCATTGTGCCTGGCCAATTTTTATTTTTGCAGAGGTGGAGGTGCCTTTCTATGTTGCCCAGGCTGGTCTCAAACTCCTGGCCTCAAGTGGTCCTCCCACTTCAGCCTCCCAAAGCGCTGGGATTACAGGCATGAGCTGCCGTGCCCAGACAAGTAGCTCCCTTACTAGCCTTCCCTCTCTTGGCTTCCTTCCTTGCCCTGTCTTACTTCCCTCTCTCTCTTCCTATATACCAGGAATCACCTCCCAGTGAATGCTGCGTTCAAGGTCTTGTCTCGGCATCAGCTTCTGGAGCATCCCAATCTAAAACACTGCCATGAACCGTGATTGGGACTTGGGCTTCTATTTTTATTTTTATTTTGAGACGGAGTCTCGCTCTGTCTCCCAGGCTGGAGTGCAGTGGCATGATCTCGGCTCACTGCAACCTCTGCCTCCCGGGTTCAACTGATTCTCCTGCCTCAGCCTCCCCAGTAGCTGGGACTACAGGCACATGCCAGCATGCCTGGCTAATTACTTGTATTTTTAGTAGAGATGGAGTTTCACCGTGTTAGCCAGGATGGTCTGGAACTCCTGGCCTCCCAAAGCGCTGGGATTACAGGCGTGAGCCACTGCGCCAGGCCAGGACTTGGGCTTTTCCTGAGCTTGAGAGCAGTGGCCACTGCCCAGTGGTGAGCAGAGGAGGGAAATAGACTGAAGGGGGCTGGGGAGGAGCAGGGAAACCAGTTGGATGCGACCATGATCCTTCAGAGCGAGCTGAAGGTGGCCTGGAGCAGGGTGAGAGACGTGGGAGTAGGGAGAGGCAGTTCCATCCTGGGTACACTTGGAAGGAGGAGCCAACATAACTTGATGCCTGCTTAGATGTGAAATGTGGGAGGCAGTGAGGTGTCTAGGGTGGCTACAAGGGGGTTGGCCTGAGCAAAGGAAGGATGGAGTTGCCTTTTGCTGGGATGAGAAGATTGATGGTGTTGGGCAGATGGGGCAGGCTGTTGAGATGCCTGTTAAGCACAGGACTGACAAAGCTGGGCTGGGAGACAGGCAGGTACTTGGGAACTCAGGAGGGAGTCCAGGCTGCAGGTGTACGTTGGAGGGTCCTCACAAGTTAGACAGCATTCAAAGCCAAGACTGGATAAGGTCTCCAAGGCAGTAAGTGTCAAAAGAGAAGAGACTGGCTGGGCGCGGTGGCTCACGCCTATAATCCCAGCACTTTGGGAGGATGAGGCGGGCAGATGTCTTGAGGTCAGGAGTTCGAGACCAGCCTGACCAACATGGTGAAACCCTGTCTCTACTAAAAATGCAAAAATTAGCTTGCCATGGTGGCGGGCACCTGTAATCCCAGCTACGTAAGAGGCTGAGGCAGGAGAATCTCTTGAACCTAGGAGGCGGAGGCTGCAGTGAGCCGAGATCGTACCAGTGCACTCCAGCCTGAGCAGCACAGCAAGACTCCATCTCAAAACACACACACACACACACACACACACACACACATTAAAAAAAAAAAAAAAGAAGAGGTTTCCAGGATGAGCCCCGGGCACTCGGTGTTTGGAAGCTGGGAGAGGGAAGAAGGGTGCAGCAGAGGGTTTGGAGAAGGAGTGACCGCAGGGTGGGAGGAAAGAGAGAACAGGAGAGAAATGGAAGCAAGAATGGACCACACTTGATGGAAAATTATCTGATAAAATATTTTTAATTAATTTTGGTGTATTTTGAAACAATCACAAATTTACCAAAAAAATTTGCAAGGACAGTACAAAACTGTTTTGTTTGGTTTTACCATGAACAAAAGTATTTATTTAGAATGAGAAAAGTCACAACATAATACAAATTTAAAATACCACAAAATGGCCAGGCATGGTGGCTCATGCCTGTAATCCCAGCACTTTGGGAGGCCAAGGCAGGAGGATTGTTGAGCCCAGGAGTTCAAGACCAGCCTGGGCAACGTAGCAAAATTTAGCTAGAAATGGTGGTGCATGCCTGTAGTCCCAGCTATTCTGGAGGCCAAGTAGGGAAGATCCCTTGAGCCCAGAAGGTCAAGGCTGCAGTGAATTGTTGATCATGCCACTGCACTCTAGCCTAGGTGACACAGCAGGACTCTAGCTCTAAAAAATAAAATAATAAAATACTATGAACATCACAAAATTCAGAACAATACCATATTAGTATTTCATTCCTATATTATTAATCAACTGGCTGATGTAACACGCTTCCTACATAATTTAGCTGTCTACCCTGATCACTTCTTCAAATAGCAACAATAATATATGTTTTTATAGAGAGAATAGAAAAGCAATTTTGCATTTCCTCTAGAGTGATTGATCCAAAATTGTGATTTTTTATTATCAATATTGGAGGAAGCAAAACTTCTTTTTTTTTTCTTTTTTTGAGATGGAGTCTCGCTCTGTCACCCATGCTGGTCTCAAACTCCTGGGCTCAAGCAAGCCTCCTGCCTTGGCCTCCTAAAGTGCTAAGACTACAGGCGTGAGCCACTGCACCCAGCCCAATACTATTTTTTGATGAACCATTTCATATTGTTACTGACATGATGCCCCTTCACCCCCAAAATAGCTTGTGTTTTCTACAAACAAGGATATTCCCCTCCGTAACCACATACAGTCATCAATACCAGGAAACCACACAACTGCATTACTAACACCTGCTCTTCCGACCCATACAGATTTTACCAATTGCCCTGGTATCATCCTTAGTAGCAAAGCATCCAGCCCAGGATCAACACATTTAGCAGTCACATCTCTTCAGTTCCTGGGTCTTTCCCTGACTTTCATGACCTTGACACTTTTGATGATTACAAGCCACTTATTTTGTAGAATGTCCCTCAATTTGGGCTGGGCTGATATTTTCTAATGATAAGGTCATATTATGTGACCCAGCAATTCCATTCTTAGATACATACAAAATAACTGAAAACAGGTGCTGAAACAAATTTTTTTCTTTTTGAGGCCGAGTTTTACTCTGTCCCCCAGGCTGGAGTGCAGTGGCACGATCTCAGCTGACTGCAACCTCCTCCTCCTGGGTTCAAGCGATTCTCATGCCTCAGCCTCCCGAGTAGCTGGGATTACAAGTGTACATCACTGTGCCTGGCTAATTTTTGTATTATTAGTAGAAACAGGTTTTCACCATGTTGGCCAGGCTGGTCTAGAACTCCTGACTTCAAGTGATCTGCCTACCTCAGCCTCCCAAAGTGCTGGGATTATAGGTGTGAGCCACCGCACCTGGCCTCAAATACTTCCACACAAATGTTCATTGCAGCGTTATTCACCATAGCCAAAAGGTGGAACAACCCAAATCCCCATCAAAAGATGAATGGATAAACAACATAAGGTATATCCACACAATGGAATATTTAATTCAGCTATGAAAAGAGATGAAGCGCTAATACATGCTACAACATGGGCAAACTTCAAAAACATTGTGTGGCCAAGTGCGGTGACTCACACCTGTAATCCGAGCACTTTGGGAGGCCGAGGCGGGTGGATCACCTAAGGTTGGGAGTTCGAGACCAGTCTGGCCAACACGGCGAAACCCCGTCTCTACTAAAAATACAAAAATTAGCCAGGCGTGGTGGTGGGTGCCTGTAATCCCAGCTACTTGGGAGGCTGAGGCAGGAGAATCGCCTGAACCCGGGAGGCAGAGGTTGCCGTGAGTCAAGATCAGGCCACTATACTCCAGCCTAGGTGACAGAGCGAGACTCTGTCTCAAAAAAAAAAACAAAAATAAAAATAAGCCTGGATCAGAATACAAAGTTCTTCTGGATTTTAAAACTAAAACTTGAGTTCTGGTTCTGGAACAAGATGGTACTTTTCCTTGCTCCTCCCTTTGGTATAAAGGCTCACTCCCATGTGCTACCTTACATCTGGTAAAACCTGGAGGGCCTCGAGTGGCCTAACTGCAACTTTCCCTCCTCACTCTGCTCTCAGTGATAGGGTCCTCTAGCCAAACAGCCCTCCTCATCAGGGACACTAGGAGCAGTTCTTGTTTGTCCCTGAGTATTGGGTTTTGGTCCCTGTTAGCCCATGGAATTGTGTAAAAGGACCAGTCACAACCTCCCTTGGAAACCATGGAGCACCCCACTCTCTTGATACTGCAAAGCCTGCCTCCCACAGACCCTGGCTGCTCCTTCTGTCCCCAACACCCATGTGACCCTGTGGGGCGTGTGGTGCTCTCTGCCCCCAGGCCATGAGTATATGTGACTATTCACTGTTGATGTCATCTGTCCAGTCTCACCAGTTGTATGTTTGACCATCCCCACAACCCCAGGGCAGGAATTCCTCTCCTCCCCCACCAAGGGGGTGAGGAGGAGGCAATTAAAACACTCCCCTCTAAACAGAACTAAATATCCTGGGAATTATTTAACAGACAGCAATAAAAATGACTTAAAGCTGCAAAGAGAAAGGTGAGCTAGCTATGGAAAAATAATGCAGTGAGTTCCCTGAAACTTTTTTTTTCTTTTTCTTTTTTTGAGACAGGGTCTCACTCTGTTACCCAAGCAGGAGTGCAGTGGTGTGATCTAGGCTCACCGCAACCTCCACCTCCTGGGCTCAAGCAATCGATTCTCCTGCCTCAGCCTCCAGAGTAGCTGAGATTACAGGCACATGCCACCATACCCGGCTAATTTCTTTTTATTTTTAGTAGAGACGGGGTTTCACCTTGTTGGCCAGACTGGTCTCGAACCCCAACCTCAAGTGACCCACCTGCCTCAGCCTCTCAAAGTACTGAAATTACAGGCGTGAGCCACCATGCTTGGCCGTGTCTTCTTCTTTTAATCTTCCATATACCCTAGACCAGGTGCTGAAGATTCCCACAACCTAGAAATTCCATTAAGCACTTAAAAAAAAAAAGATAACAAAATCTTGCTCTCTCTGGACAAATGGACAAAGAATAACTTAAGGAAAACCCGAAAGACGCCTAGTGGGGAGTCCCATGCCCCCTCCACAGCGGAAGCACTGGCAGGCAGCCTGACCCACCTGCAATCACAGCCTGCAGGGGCAGCGTCAGCTTAGCTCTGTGTCTACCTGCCCTCCATGCAGTGGCATAAGAAGACCCAGGCCCTCTAAACCATTTAGCAGAAGAATGTAGCCCGCAAACACCAAGCAGCTCAGGGAAGTGCCTTCTGCCTTAAACGATGACATCGACAGAGATGGGGCAGGGCTAGAAGTAGCCCCAGCAGTGCTAGAAGAATCAAGCAGTTCCAAATCACATTGAAAGTGTTCTGATGGGCCGGGCGTGGTGGCTCACGCCTGTAATCCCAGCACTTTGGGAGGCTGAGGTGGGTGGATCACCTGAGGTCGGGAGTTCAAGACCAGCCTGACCAACATGGAGAAACCCCGTCTCTACTAAAAATACAAAATTAGCCAGGCGTGGTGCTGCATGACTGTAATCCCAGCTACTTGGGAGGCTGAGGCAGGAGGATCGCTTGAACCTGGGAGACAGAGATTGCAGTGAGCTGAGATTGCGTCATTGCACTCCAGCCTGGGCAACAAGAGTGAAACTCCATCTAAAAAAAAAAAAAAAAAACCAGAAAGAAAGTGTTCTGATGATGACCAAACTGTCCCTGGAACTAATGCCTACAAATATATGTCAGAACCTATATACTAAAGCTAAATAGAGTGACTGCCTGCTAAAACATATTAAAAAACAATTTTTTAAAAAAGGCAGACTTGTTCTGTCATCAGGCTGCAGTGCAGTGGTGCAATCACAGCCCACTGCAGCCTCAACCCCCTTAGCTCAAGTAATCCTCCTGCCTCAGCCTCCCGAGTAGCTGAGACCACAGGTGCACACCACCATGCTTGGCTAATTTTTGTCATATTATTATTTGTAGAGACAGGGTCTCGCTATGTTGCCCAGGTTGGTCTCAAACTCCTGGGCTCAAGTAATCCTCCCACCTCAGCCTCCCAAAGTTCTGGGATTATAGGTGTGAGACAACGCATGCAGCCCTAAAACAGATTTAAATAGGATCAAGCGTGTGCTAACATAATATCCAGTGTCCAGAATACAATTGCAAAACACTCATCATCCCAAAGAACCACAGTTCGAATGAGAAAAGACAAACTGCCTCCAAAACCCAGATAAATCAGATGTTGAAATTACCTGACAAGAATTTTAAAGCAGCCTCATAAAAATGCCTCAACAAACACTTATAATGAAAAAAACACTTATAATAAAAAAAATGTTTAAAATTCTCGGCAAAGAAAGAGCAGTAATTTAAACAAAGAACCAAATGGATCTTATAAAACTGAAAAATACAATAACTGAAATTTTTAAAAATGTACTAGATGGACTCAATAGTATAAAGGAGATGACACAAGATAGAAACGATAAACTTGCAACAGATCAATAGGATGTACTCCAACTAAACAACAGAAAGAAAACAGACTGAAAAAAGGAAAAAGAGCTTCAGTGTTCTGTGGGGCAGTAACAAAAGATATAATGTTTTTGTATATAATCCAAATCCCAGAATGAGAAAAGAGAGTGTGGACTAAAAAAGTATTAAAAGAAATACGAAAAGAAATCCACCCCAAGATATATCATAATCAAATTCTGAAAACTAAAAACAAAGACAAAAATCTTAAAACTAGCCAGGCAAACAATGTGTTCCCTATAAATGAATATCAATTCAAATGATAATGAATTTCCCACCGGAAACCACGGAGGCCAGAAAGAAGTGGCCCAACTTTTTTTTTTTTTTTTTTTTTTTGAGACAGGGTCTCACTTTGTCACCCAGGCTGGAGTGCAGTTGTGCAATCTTGCTTACTGCAGCCTCTGCCTTCTGGGATCAAGTGATCCTCCGACCTCAGCCTCCCAAGTAGCTGGGACTACAGGTGCACGCCACCAGGCTTTGCTAATTTTTTAAGGTTTTTATGGAGACAGGGTCTAACAATATTGCCCAGGCTGGTCTCGAACTCCTGGGCTCAGGAGATCCTCCTGCCTTGGCCTCCCAAAGTCCTGGGATTACAGGCATGAGCCACTGTGCCTGGCCAGCCCAACATTTTTTAACTGCTGAAAGAAAAGAACCTCCCACTGCAAATCCTCTATCCAGTGAAATCATCCTTCAGGAATAAAGGGAAAATAAAGTCATTTGCACACAAAGGAAAACTAAGAGAATTGTTGTTAGTGGATCTATCCTTAGAGGAAGCTCCCTAAACAGAAAGAAGATGGTAACAGAAGGAGGTTGGAACATTTAAGTCTTATGTTAGAAAAAAGGAAAAAATCTCAAATCAATCATTTAAGCTTCCTTCTCAATAACGTAGAAAAAGAAGAGCAAATTAATCCCAAAGCAAGTAGAAGGAAGGAAACAATAAACACAAGAGCAGAAATCAACAAAATTAAAAAAACAATAGAGAAAATTAAACCAAAATCTGGCTCTTCATAAAGATCAACAAAATATATAAAACTCTTGCAAGATTGACAGAGAGAAAAAGGGAGAAGACACACATCATCAATATCAAGACTGAAACGGATGATATTGCAATCGATCCTGCAGCCATTAAATAGATACTAATGGGATACTATAAATAACTTTACACTCATAAATTCAACAACTTAGAAGAAATAAGGTTATTCCTCAAAAACCACAAAACTGGGCCAAGATGAAATAGATAACCTGAATTATTCTATAACTGTTAAAGAAATTGAATTTATAATTATAAAACTCCTGAAAAAGGAATCTCTATGACCAGAATGTTTCATTAGAGACTTGTACCAAACATTCAAAAATGAATGTTTCAAAAGATTCATGAACATCAATTTTGCACAATGTCTTTCAGAAAGCAGAAGAGGAGTGAACACTTCCAAACTCATTTTATTGAGGCCAGAATTACCCTGATACCAAATTTTGACAAAAAAGAAAACTACAAGGCTGGGAGCGGTTGCTCACACCTGTAATCGCAGCATTGTGGGAGGCTGAGGTGGGCGGATCACCTGAGGTAGGGAGTTTGAGACTAGCCTGGCCAACATGGTGAAACCCTGTGTCTACAAAAAATACAAAAATCAGCCAGGTGTGGTGCCTTGTGCCTGTAACCCCAGCTACTCAGGAGGCTGAGGCAGGAGAATTGCTTGAGCCCAGGAGGCAGAGGTTGCAGTGAGCCGAGATCATACCACCACACTCCAGCCTGGGCAACAGAGCGAGACTCTGTCTCAAAAGAGAAAAAAAAAGAAAACTACGGACTAATATGTCTTATGAACTTAGAGACATTCTCGACAAAATTTTAGCAATTGAATTCAACAATGTATAAAAAGAATAATACACAACAACCAAGTGGAATTTTTTACAGGTATGCAAGGTTGGTTCACTATTCAAAAATCAATCAATGTCATCCACCAGATAAATAGGCTAAAGAAGAAAATCATATGATTATGTCAACTGATGCATTTGACAAAGCATTTGAAAAATTCAGCACCCATTCATGATAACAACTCTTGGTACGCTAGGAATTGAAGGACACTTCTTCAACCTCATAAAGGGCATCTACAAAAAACCTAAAGCTTACATCATACTTCATAGCAAAAGACTGCATGGTTTCCCCTATGGTCAGAAACAAGATAAGAATGTTCACTCTTATCATTTTTATTGAACATAATATTGGAAGTTCTAGCCACTGCAATAAGGCAAGGAAAAGAAAGAAGCATACAAATTGGAATGGAAAAAAGTAAAACTGTCTCTGTTTGCAGATGACATGTTGTCTACAAGGAAAATCCCAAGGAATCTACAAAAAACTCCTAGAACTAATTAAAAAGTTCAGTGAGTTCAGTAAGGTTGCAGGATACAAGATTAACATACAAAATCAATTGCATTTCTATATACTGACAGCAAACAAGTGGAAATCAAAATAAAAAACACAATACCACTTAAAACTGCTCCAAAGAAAATCAAATCCTTAGCTGTAAACCTAACAAAACATGTATAGAATCTGTATGATGAAAATTACAAAATGGTAATGAAAGAAATAAAAGAAAACCTAAATAGTTGGAGAGACATACTAAATTCATGGATCAAAAGACTTAACATAGTAAAAATGTCAAGTCTCTCTAAATGATCTATAGGTTTAATGCAATTCTTACCAAATTCTCAGCAAGAATTTTGTAGACATAACAAGCTTATGCTAAAATTTAGGCCGGGCACGATGGCTCATGCCTGTAATTCCAGCACTTTGGGAGGCCGAGGCAGGCAGATCACTTGAGGTCAGGAGTTTGAGACCAGCCTGGCCAACATGGCGAAACCCCGTCTCTACTAAAAATACAAAAATTAGCTGGGCATGGTGGTGCATGCCTGTAGTCCCAGCTACTCGGGAGGCTGAGGCAGGAGAATTGTTTGAACCCAGGAAGTAGAGGTTGTGGTAAGCCGAGATCGCACCACTGAACTCCAGCCTGGATGCTGCAGTGAGACTTTGTCTCAAAAAAATAAATAAATAAAATAAAATAATAAAATTTATAGGAAAAGATACAAGACCTAGCTTGGCCAAAGCAATTTTGAAAAAAGAAAAAAAGGGATATGGTGGAAGGAAACACTCTACTGGTGTTAAGATTTTAAGATTTTACTACATAGCTACAGTGAGTAAGACAATGTGGTACTGCCTAGGGATAGACATATGGATCAGTGGAACAGAATAGGGAATACAGAGGTAGATTCACATAAAGATGCCTAACAGTTGACAAAGGAGCAAAAGGAATTTAATGGAGGAGAAATACACTTTTCACTAAATCTGCTGGAGCAATTGGACATTCATAGGCAGAAAAATGAAACTCAACTTGTCTCACACCTCATACAAAAATTAAAAATGGATCATGGACTAAAATGTAAAATGTAAACTTATCAAACATCTAGGAGAAAATATAAGAGGAGGCGGGGCACGGTGGCTCACGCCTGTAATCCCAGCACTTTGGGAGGGTGAGGTGGGCGGATCACTTGAGGTCAGGAGTTCAAGACCAGCCTGGCCAACATGGCGAAACCCGTCTCTACTAAAAATACAAAAAATTAGCTAGGCATGGTGGCAGGTGCCTGTAATCCCAGCTACTTGTGAGGCTGAGGCAAGAGAATTGCCTGGACCCAGGAGGCAGAGGTTGCAGTGAGCCAAGATCATGCCACTGCACTCTAGCCTGGGTGACAGAGGGAGACTGTCAAAACATATATATATATATATATATGTTTCCATATATATATATATATATATGTTTCCATATATATATATATATATGTTTCCATATATATATATATATATGTTTCCATATATGTATATATGGAAATGTTCAGAATCTAAGATTGAGTATTATCTATAAAAACATGATCCATAAAAGGAAAATTTGATAAACCAGACCTTATTAACATTAAAATGAAAAACTTTTGCTTTGCATAAGACTAAGGATGAAGAGGCAAAACAGAGACTAAGAGATACTATTTGCAAATCACGTATGTGACCAAGGACTAGTATCTAGACTGTAAAAAACCCCTCAGAATTCAATAGTAAAAAATGAAACAAAACTCTCAAACAATCCAAATTAGAAAATAGGCATAAAATCTGCACAGACATTTTGCTAAAGAGGATATACAGATGGCAAATAAAGATGCTCAACATCATTAGCTGGTAGAGAAATGCAAATTAAAACTTATCGAGATACTACAGCACTCCTATCAGAATGGCTAAAATAAAAAAGTAGTGATAACACCAAATGCTGGTAGGCGTGTAGAAAAACTGGATCACTTATACATTGCTGATGGGAGCATGTAAAATAGTTCTGCCACTCTGAAAAATGGTTTGGCAGTTCCTTTGAAAACTAAAAGTGAACTTATCGTATGACCCAGCAATTATACTCTTGGGCATTTTTTTTCCAGATAAATGAAAACTTATTTTTATGTAGAAGCGTGTATATAAATGTTCATAGATGCTTTATTCATAATAGCTCCAACTTGAAAACTACCCAAATATCCTTCAGTGGGTGATGGTTAAACAAGCTGTGATAGATTCATACCATAGAGTGCTACTGGCAATAAAAAGGAATGATCTACTGATACACACAACAACATGAATGAACCTGCAGAAAATTATGTTGAAAAAAGCCAGTCTCAAAAGAATAATACTGCATGAATCTGCTTGTATAACATTTGTAAAATAATATAAAGACTGAGAATAGATTCCTCGTTGCCAGGGGTTAGGGTTGAGGGAGGATGGGGAAGAAGGAAGGGGTATTTGTATAAAAGGGCAGTACTAGGAATCTTGTAATAGCACAGTTAAGTTTGTTTGTTCGTTCGTTTGTTTGTTTGTTTGTTTTGAGACAGAACCTTGGTCTGTCGCCCAGGCTGGAGCGTGGTGACGTGATCCCAGCTCACTGCAACTTCCGCTTCCCAGGTTCAAGCAATTCACCTGCCTCAGCCTATGAAGTGGCTGGGATTACAGGCACCCACCACCATGTCTGGGTAGTTTTTATATTTTAGTAGAGATAGGGTTTCACCACGTTGGCCAGGCTGGTCTTGAACTCCTGACCTCAAGTGATCCACCCACCTCGGCCACCCAAAGTGCTGGGATTACAGGTGTGAGCCGCCATGCCCAGCCATTAAATATCTTGATTGGGGTGATGGTCACACAAAGCTACATATGTGACAAAATTGCATAGAGCTACCTGCACGCACACATGCATGCACACGCACAAAGGCATGGATAATCAGTAAAATCTAAATAAACTGTTCATGGCACCAATGTCCATTTCCTAGTGTTGATATTGTACTATAGTTATATAAGATGTTACCATAGCAGGGAATTGGGTGAAGTGTACACAGGACATCCCTGTACATTTATTTGCAATTTCCTGTGAATCTATAACTATTTCAAAATAAGCAGTTTTGAAAAATAAAGCTTGAGGCCCAGCAGTGGTGGCTCACACCTGTAATCCCAGCACCTTAGGAGGCTGAGGTGGGCGGATCACCTGAGGTTGGGAGTTCAAGACCAGCCTGACCAACATGGAGAAACCCCGTCTCTACTAATTATACAAAATTAGCCGGGCATGGTGGCACATGCCTGTAATCCCAGCTACTCGGGAGGCTGAGGCAGGAGAATCGCTTGAACCTGGGAGGCGGAGGTTGCAGTGAACCGAGATCGCACCATTGCACCCCAGCCTGGGCAAGAAGAGCGAAACTCCATCTCAAATAAATAAATAAAGTTTGAGACTTTGAGCCCATGGAGGACTTCACTTTGGACTCTGGGAGGCCGTCTCTGTGCTCTGCTACCCCTCTGGAACAGGATGTCAGTTTTATTATATGTCCTTACACAGTGCCCGACTCCTATGGGGTGCTCAATGAATATTTGCCCAACAAGAATGGTAAGGAATAAGGACATTGGGACTCCTTAGGGAGAAGTGGGAGCCCAGGACGCCCAGCTCCCCAGCCTGTGTTGGCCTTAATGTGTGTCTATACCAGGGGTCACCTAAATAAGCTCTAGGTATGGAAGAGAGCTTGCATTATTCCAGCAATGGGTACATGAAATGACACCAAGCTGGAGTTCGTTTATTCCTTCAGTATCTTCAGTAAAGGCAGGAGGTGAAAGGACCTTACAGCTAAGGTGCAGGGGATGTGGAGGGGCCATTCCCCATCTTTCTGTAGGGCACATTGAATAGAGGTTGTTTTGGTTGTTGAAGTGCTTTAGAAACCAAGTGGGGGCAAAAACACAAGTGTGTCAGGAGGCGTGGGTAAGAGAGGGGCATTCAGAGTTAGGTGGGCAGGTGAGGAGGCAGGGAGGTAGAGACGGTGGAGTCTGTCCCAGCATGGCCACGAGAGAAGCCACAGCCCTGGCAGGTGGGGCTGTTCACACCTCTGAGCCACAGGCACAGCCCCAGGTGGGGCAGCCCTCATGCCTCCAGTCCCCATCCCCTAAGCCTCAGGGCTTACGCCTTGTCTATGGGTGGCAGGGAAGTATTTTCTGCATTCTCTCTGTTCTCTTTCTTCCTCACAATGGCATCACCTCCTGTTCTCTCTTCTCTCACTTACATAACACGAGCTCCATTATCTCACAATAGATGTGAGTAGATACTGAGGAGGTAGGAGTAGAAGGTCTTGAGGTAGGGGGTGGGTTTCAACTCCAGAGGTGTGGCTCAGATGCTGGACCAGATTGAGGACTAGCTAAAACAGGGATGAGGTGGAAGCAGCTTTCCATAAGACACGCCCACCAGTGCGCCATGTCAGTTTATCATTGCCATGGCAACACCTGGAAGATACCCCCTGCCTTTTCATGGCAATGACACAGCGACCCAAAAGTTACTACCTCTTTCCTAGAAATTTCAGCATAAAACACCCCTTAATCTGCATGCAGATAAGAGTGGGTATAAATCTGACTGCAAAACTGCTCTGAGCTGCTACTCTCTGCCTATGGGGTTGCCCTGCTCTCAGGAGCAGTGACAGAGCTGCAACAGGGATGGAGCTGCAACACTGCTGCTTCAGGAAAGCGTTTTCTTCTACCTCTGGCTTGCCTTTGTTTTATTTGTTTTGTTTTGTTTTGTTTTGTTTTGTTTTGTTTTTATTTAGACAGAGTCTCGCTCTGTCGCACAGGCTGGAGTGCAGTGACGCAATCTCGGTTCACTGCAACCTTCGCCTCCCAGGTTCAAGCAATTCTCCTGCCTCAGCCTCCCGAGTAGCTGGGAGTACAGGCACCTGCTACCACACCTAGCTAATTTTTGTATTTTTAGTAGAGACGAGGCTTCACCATGTTGGCCAGGCTCGTCTCGAACTCCTGACCTCAGGCTATACGCCTGCCTTGGCCTCCCAAAGTGCTGGGATTACAGGTGTAAGTCACGGCACCCAGCCTCTGGCTTGCCTTTGAATTATTTCCTGGGCAAAGCCAAGAGCCCTAATGGGCTAAGCTCCAGTTTGGGGCTTGCCTGTCCTGCGTCAATCTGAATGGACATTTCGCATGGGCCCAGCACACAGTGCCTCCCAAACTATAAATCAGACCTGTTCTGAGGATCCTGTGCTCTCATCTCAGTTCTTGGCACCCAATGTGGGCCTGTCTCTGGCTAAGAACAGTGACTAGGAGCATGTCACCACCCTCCCCGCCCACAATGACTGTTTCAGAGATGGAAGTGTTACC
Organism: Homo sapiens; assembly: GCF_000001405.40. Classification (NCBI taxonomy): domain Eukaryota; kingdom Metazoa; phylum Chordata; class Mammalia; order Primates; family Hominidae; genus Homo; species Homo sapiens. The sequence goes on from NC_000019.10 coordinate 33,841,896, forward strand.
CAGGCAGCTCCAGAGGGAACTTTACTGTGTGCATGGGATCTCCCGCTTCTGCTGGAGCTGACAGCTACTTTCTCACCTCTAGGAAAGACCAAGAAGGAAACAGACGCCCAGGAGAGACAAACAGAGCTGAGGGCTGGGGCAGGAGACTGGGCCCTCCAGCTACCCCTGAAACAGCCTGCTTCAAGACCTCTGAGCTTTTCAGTTTATGTGAGCAAATATGTTTCCTTCATTGGCTTATGCCAGTTTGAACTGGGTTTTCTCTCCCTTGCAATACAGAGTCCTCACTGTATTGAATGTGGAGGGGCCATTCCCCATCTTTATATAGGGCACACTGAATAGAGGCTGTTTTGGTTGTGGAAGTGCATTAGAAACCAGGTGAGGGCAAAAACACATGTGTCAGGAGGTGTGGGTAAGAGAGGGGCATTTAGAGTTAGGTGGGCAGGAGAGGAGGCAGGGAGGTAGGGACAGTGGGGGTGATAAAATGATGATCTATACTCACATTGTCACAGGCCTAACATGTGGATTTTCAGCATCACATCTGCTGTTTAACATGATAGGGAAAACTCCCCATCACTATGAGAAACTAGGAAATGGCATGAGACTAGCCCATGATTCCTGCAAAGGGAAATCTCATCTGAGGAGCCGATGGATAGCAGAGTCTAGCAGAATGATGCTAAGACCTCAGAACTTCAGGGGCTGGGGATGAGGGTGAGCTATAGGGCAGTTATTAAAACCTCTAAGAAGTATATTGGACTCTGGAACCCCCAAATTTAGGATTTGGGATGACCCCCACAGTGGTCCAACAGAGATGTGCAAGAAAGAGTAAAATTTGTAAAGAATCTAATTCATATTCACAATTTTCAGAGGTAATTGCATCTAAAACATGAGAGCAAAAAAAAAAAATACACGAAAATGGAACAATCTAGGGACAGAAATGTTCTCGGAGATGAAAAAGTTGATCACTGAATTTTCATATGCAAGAGAGCTTGAATGTCAAATAAAAAAATAAAATGCAAAAGAGGCAGGAGGCAGTGAACAACAGACTCGATAATGAAAAAAGAAAACTGAGGCAGTGAATTAGAACACAGGATCAAAAAATTCTCCCAGGGAAAACCCGAGACATATAAAAGACTAAATAATACATATGAAGTTTGACTGAAGGTAGCTCTCAGCTAGACAAAGCAGAATCACTGGAAAAGAAATGATGGTCAAAAAACCAATATAGAGCCTTCAATCCCAGCACCATGGTGGGCTGAGCTAACAGAACCCCCTGCTCACCACACACATACAGAAACATTTGGTAAAATATAATAATACAGACTGGGTATCCCTTATCTGAAATGCTTAAGACCAGAAATGTTTTGAATTTCAGTTTTTTTTTTTTCAGACTTTGGAATGTTTGCATTGTGCTTATTGGTTCAGCATCCCTAATCCAAAAATCTGAAATCTAGAATGCTTCATTGAGTATTTTCTTTGAGTGTCATGTCAACACTCAAAAAGTTTGGAGCATTTTGAATTTCAGATGTTTAGATTAAGGATACTCAGTCTGTAGTTAATAATAATTAATAAAGCATTTTTAAATGCATGGCAGCTGGGCATGGTGGCTCAGACCTGTAATCCCAGGATTTTGGGAGGCTGAGGCAGGTGGATTGCTGGAGCCTGGGAGTTCGAGACCAGCCTGGGCAACATGGCAAAACCCCATCTCTACAAAAAATAGAAAAAGTTAGCTAGGCATGGTAGCATGTGCCTGTGGTCCCAGCTACTTGGGAGGCTGAGGTGGGAGGATTTCTTGAGCCCAGGAGGTCGAGGCTGCAGTGAGCTGTGATTGCACCATTGCACTCCAGCCTGGGAGACAGAGTGAGACCCTGTCTAAAAAAAAAAAAAAAAAAAAGCATGGCGGATCATGAAAGAACAAAAGAAATTTAAATCCCTGAGTACCAGAACTGGAGCAACAACTCAAGGCCAGAGAAGTGAGTTCATGGCAGAAGCTGAAGCAGCTGTGAGCCTATCAGACTAGATGCAGAGCCAGGGCCAGGGCTGGGGGGTAACATCTGCCGAAATAAAGGACAAGGACACAGACAACCCCAGGTGGGGAGCTGGAACCACAGTATGTGTGTAAAGCTGGGGCTCTGGAAAGGCTGTTCCCTAATGTGAGAAGAAACTAGAGAAATACCACTGGAGGGAGACAACAAGAACGTCTGTCTTTGCCTGGACCTCTAGATGGTTAAAAAAAAAAAGAAAAGAAAAGAAAAACAAACAAAAGAACAAACCCCCCACAACCTCTCATGAGAAAATAAAAACCAAGAATATATATGTGTAGGTACTGGATCCAAATTAATACTACGCACATTATATAAGCCCCAAGGTAAGGAGATTCAAAACCTAGCCCACAGTAGTGAAACTTCTGGACTTTCTTGGCATTAAAATGCATAGTTCAGGCCGGGAGTGGTGGCTCACGCCTGTAATCCCAGCACTTTAGGAGGCTGAGGCAGGAGGATCACTTGAGGTCAGGAGTTCAAGACCAGCCTGGCCAACATGATGAAACCCTGTCTCCACTAAAGTACAGAAGAATTAGCTGGGCATGGTGGTGTGCACCTGTAATCCCAGCTACTCAGGAGGTTGAGGCACGAGAATTGCTTCAACCTGGGAGGAGGAGGTTGCAGTGAGCTGAGATCGCACAACTGCACTCTAGTCTGAGCAACAGAGGGAGACTTATTCTCAAAAAAAAAAAAAAAAGCATAGTTCTGTTCTGTGGCAACACTGCTGTAACTTCAAGTACACAGAGCTTGATTCCATAGACAAAGACAATCTCCACTGAAGATGAGCTCACAGCTCTAAAATGTACATGTGTGAAGAAATAATTCATCTTGAAGGAGAGTCAGCAGACTCAACATACAAAGGAGTATCACCCCGAGAATTCAAGACAAAAGAACAAATTAAAAGGGACCAAAATAATGCTGCAAAAGAACAATTTGAAAGGGCTCCAAGGGTGTAAGACGATAAGAGATAAAAGGACTGGGAATTATAATGAAGTAATTAGAGTCTACAAGAAAAAAACCCCAGCAAGTTTGAAAAAGATAATAATTTTATTTTATTTTTTATTTTTTTTATTTTTTTTTGAGAGGAAGTCTCACTCTGTCACCCAGGCTGGAGTGCAGTGGTACAATTTTGGCTCACTGTAACCTCCACCTTGCAGGTTCAAACAATTCTCCTGCCTCAGCCTCCCGAGTAGCTGGGATTACAGGAACGTGCCACCACGCTCAATTTTTTATGTTTAGTAGAGACGGGTTTTTGCCATGTTGGCCAGTTTGGTCTCAAACTTCTGATCTCAGGCAATCTGCCCGCCTCAGCCTCCCAAAGTGTTGGGATTACAGGCGTGAGCCACTGCTCCAGGCCAAAGAGCATAATTTTAAACATACAAAATTAGCAAACTTGAAGACATGGCAACAGAAAACATAGAAGAGAAGCAAAGTGAAGAAGAAAGATAAAAGACTTTAACAAATGAACAGTCTCAGTGACATATGAGACAATATGAAATAGTCTAAAATAGGTAAAAAAGGAGATACACAATGAAGTGGGGCAGATTTTTCCCAAGAAATAAAGGTCCAAGATTTCCCAGAGTTGATGAAATATTTACACTCATAGATCAAAGAATGTTGACATCCCAAAGCAGGATAATCACAAAGAAATCGTAATTAAATGGTTGAAAACAGGTAATAAAGAGAAACTTAAAAGCAGTTATATGAAAATATTTTAAAGGCACATTACATACAGGGCTTACAAAGATAAGAGTTAATGCTGACTTGTCAGAAACAATGCAATCAAAAAGATAATGAAATAGCATCTTCAGGTGTTAAAAGAAAAAAAAGATCACCTTTGCTGGATATAGAATTACTGGTTGACTTTTTTTTTCCTTTTAGCACTTGAGAAAATATGTCACTAACGATCTTCACCTCAAGGAATAGCAAAGAAAGTTCTTCAGGCTGAAGGAATATGACACCTTGGATCAAATCAAATAAGGAAACTTGGATCAAATCAAATAAAGGGCCAGTCGTGGTGGCTCATGCCTGTAATCCCAGCACTTTGGGAAGCTGAGGTGGAAGCATCACCTGAGGTCAAGTGTTTGATACCAGCCTGGCCAACATGGTGAAACCCGGTCTCTACTGAAAACAAAAATTAGCCGGGCGTGGTAGCAGGCGCCTGTAGTCCCAGCTACTCGGGAGGCTGAGGCAGGAAAATTTCTTGAGCCTGGGAGGCGGAGGTTGCAGTGAGCCGAGATGACACCACTGCACTCCAGGCTGGGCAACAGAGCGAGACTCTGCCCTGCTGCCCCACCCCTACTCCCCCAAAATAAAAATCAAATAAGGGAAGGGAGGTGGAAATGGTAGATAGGTAAATAAATTTAAGCCTTTTCTTTTTTTTAACTTTAAAAATATATTTGATTATTTAAAGAAAAACAGTAAAACTGCATTTTGAGGTTTAGAACATATGCAAAAGTAAACTATATGGTGGCAAGTATACAGAGAGCAGGAGGTAAATAGAGTATACTATTGCACAGTTATTATACTATACATGAAGTAATATAATGTTACTTGGAGGCAGACTATGGTAAGTTAAAGATGCATAAAGTAAACCTTAGAGCATGACTAAAAGTAAAATGAAAAAGTATTGCTAATCAGCCAACATAGAAGTGGAATAAAGAAAAAAAAATGTATCTAAAAGAAGGCAGAAAAGAGGAGCAAAAGAACCATGAAAATGGAACAAAAAGAAAATAAACAAGACAGTGCACCAACACTCAACCATATCAATAATTAATTTAAATGTAAATGGTCTAAATGCCAAAAGGTGGAAATTGTCAAACTGGATAAAAAAGTAAGAGGAAATCATATGCTGTTTAAGAAACACTTTAAGGTAGAGCACAATGGCTCATGCCTATAATCCCAGCACATTGGGAGGCCAAGGCAGGAGGATTGCTTGAGCCCAAGCAGTTTGAGACAAGCCTGAGCAACATAGTGGGACCCCATGTTTACAAAAAGATGTCTAAAATTAGCTAGGTATAGTGGCACACGCCTGTAATCCTAGCCACTCGGGAGGCTGAGGAAGAAGGATCACTTGAGCCCAGGAGGTTGAGCCTGCATTGAGCCATGATTGTGCCCCTGCACTCCAGCCCACAGAGCACGACTCTGTCTCAAGAAAAGAAAAATAAATAAATAAATAAAAATAAAAACACTTTAAATAAAAAACAGATAAATGCGAAAAAAGGAAAAATAGATATCATATAAATACTTATAAGAAAACTGAAGTAGCTATATTAAAATGTTACAATGTAGACATCAGGATAGAGTATTATTGGAAATAAACAAGAGCATTCTATAATGATGAAAGGCTCAATTCATCAAGAAGACATTAAAAACCTAAAATTTTATGCACTTAATAACAGAGATGCAAAATGTGCAAAGCAAATAATAACATAATTAAAAAGCAGAAACAGATACAATTACAATCATGGTTGGAGATTTCCAGAATCCTCTTTATTAATTGATCAAATAAGTAGACAGAATATCAGTAAGAATATAGAAGACGTGAACAATTTTTTTTTTCTTTTTTGAGATGGAGTCTCACTCTGTCACCCAGGCTGGAGTGCAGTGGCACAATCTTGGCTCACTGCAACCTCCACCTCCCAGGTTTGACCAATTCTCCTGCCTTAGCCTCTCCAGTAACTGGGACTACAGGTGCACGTTGCCACACTCAGCTAATTTTTGTATTTTTAGTAAAGACAGGGTTTCAGCATGTTGGCCAGGCTGGTCTCGAACTCCTGACCTCAGGTGATCCGCCCGCCTCTGTCTCCCAAAGTGCTGGGGTGACAGGCATGAGCCACCGTGCTGAGCCGAAGACATGAACAATATTATCGGCTAACTTGTCATAACTGACACTTACAGAACACTACACTTAATAATGGTGAAATACACATTTTTTTCAAGTGCACATGGACCATTTGCTAAATAGATTGTATACTGTACTATAAACAAGTCTCAATACATTTAAAAGGATTGAAATAATAGAGTATGTTTTCTAACCATAAAATGTTAACTTAAAAATCAATAAGATAGCTATTAAATCCCCAAATATTTAGAAGTTAAACAATACAGTCTTAAATAATCTATGAGTCAAGAAGAAATCAGTCAGAAAATTAGAAAATATCTTGAACTGAGTAAATGGAACTGCAACACACTAATTTATTAGTACACAGTTAAAGTGGAGTTGAGAGCACCAAAACAGTGCTTAAAGGAAAACTTAAAAACATTTAGAAAAGAAGAAAAGTCTCAAGTCACCGTCACCAGTGGGGCCTGATCTAAGCTGATCTAAGCTTCCATCATAAGAAGCTAGAAAAAGAAGAGCAAATTAAACCCAAAAGAAGTAGAAGGAAATAGGCCGGGCATGGTGGCTCATGCCTGTAATCCCAACGTTTTGGGAGGCTGAGGTGGGGGGATCACGAGGTCAAGAGATCGAGACCATCCTGGCCAACATGGTGAAACCCCATCTCTACTAAAAACACAAAAATTAGCTGGGTGTGGTGGTGCAGGCCTGAAGTCTCAGCTACTCGGGTGGCTGAAGCAGGAGAATCGCTTCAACCCAGGAGGCGGAGGTTGCAGTGAGCTGAGATTGCACGACTGCACTCTAGCCTGGCAACAGAGCAAGACTCCGTCTAAAAAAAAAGAAAAAAAAAATGAAGGAAATAGTATAAATCAGGGTGGAAATCAATGAAATTGAAAATGTACAAATAATAGAGACAATCAAAGAAAGAAAACCCTGGTTATTTGAAAAGATCAATAAAATTATAAACATCTAATTAAAATGATCACAAAAAAGAATGAAGACACAAATGACCAACATCAGGTATGAAAGAGAAGTCAGCACTAAAGATCCTATAGACATTAAAAGAATAATAAAGAAATATTATAAACAAATGTATGCAAATAAATTGATAAACAGATGAATGGACAAGCTTCTTGAAAGATACAAAGTATCAAAACTGACTCAGAAAGATGGTTGACTGGATGCATCTGGTATTCGTCTCTTCCATGGAGAGGAATCAAAATAGCCCACAGATAATCACACTTTGGATAGATCATCTAAGAGAGAACACCGAATTCAACAGAGTAGCACTGAAAGCAAGGGAGGAGAAAGAAATGAGGCAGCTTATTCAGCTGAGATTGGCTAGAAGTCTGGAGCAGCTGTCTAATGCAGGGAAAGGTAAGTGAAAGACCCTAGATCCACATTCCTGCTGTGGACTCCTATAATCCTAGCCAAGGGAGAGCCCCTCGACCCTTGCAGGCCCCAAGATGAGCATAGGGAGCTGCCTAGAGACTATGCAAAGGTATAAATCCAGAAAGATAACTCATGCTGGGTCCCGCCAACTCCTGAGTCTTGAGCAGCTGCAGTATGGCACCGTTTTGAGAGCACAGGCCCCACCAGACTAAGTCCTGCCCTGGCACTGTACTGAGGCAGGGGCCACAGGCAGCAATCCCACCCCCCTACCCCCAGCAGAGGGACGACTGCACATCTTCATGCACCCCAAGGACAAATTCCACTGCTTACACCACTGCCACTGAGGGCTGCCGGGGGCCAAGGCATGAGTGTGAGCAAAGCCTGTACACTGCCCCACAGCTGCCTGCCTATGGCTGCTGCCAGGGAATCCAACCTCATCCTCCCCTGTAGCAAGGCCACAGGGCAGCAGCTGATGTCCCGACCTGAGCTTTCCATGAGCATCCTGGGGATCAGCCCACCTCTGCCTACCACAGCCAGAGATTGCATGCAGCACTAGGGGGCCTGAGGACAGGTCCGCCATGGCCTGTCTTCACCAACCTTAAAGTATCCAAGCATGCCATCCAGGGACCTGGGGATCACCTGTGCACACTGTCCAGGGCCCTGGGGATTGCCCAGCCTAATCCATCACTGGTGGCACCTGAGCACTCCCCCTGGGGTCTGAGGTCATGTTCACTCAAGCTCCCACTACTGCCACAGTTGGTACTCATCTGCATGTGCCATCTGTGGGTCTGGGGACCAGCCTGCCCAACCTGTCACAGCCATTACCAACTCCAGTGTGGACTGCTTGGGTCCCGGAGGGTTGTCTCACCACACTGCTACCTCCATTGCTCAGGGGCTCAAGAGCCTGCCCACGCATCTGACTGCTGCCGTTCCTGGCACCCAAGAAAGCCAGCAGGAGGCCCAAGAATCAGCCTACTAACACAAGTACCAGTGTATGCCACCCTGAGGCCCAAGGACAGGCATGTTCAGCCCATTGCTGTTACCACTGGGGACTGAAGACTGGCCCATTTAGCACCCCAGCCCTCAACAAAATTTCACCACAGCCTCCATTAACAACCACACCCTAAGCCACTAAAGAAATTGCAGACACCACTGGCAACGTCTACAGCCAAAGAAATCATACAGAGACTACACTACCGTACACACCCAGAATTTAAACTGAAGTGCCCTACCTACCAACACCATAGATACCTCTTAAGGAAAAAGTCCTCCCTGATGAAAGCAAATTCAAAAAAATAAAAAGGAAGAAGCAATTGTTACACCAGATGTGCACATATCAATGTACGGACACAAGAAAAATGAAAAATGAATATGACACCTCCAAAGGAATACAAGAAATCTCTAGCAACAGATCTCAAAAATAAATTAATGAAATCCCAGAGAAAGAATTCAAAATATTGATACTAAAGAAGTTCAATGAGAAAAGAGAATTCTGAAAAACAACACAAATCAGAAAAACAATTCAGGATATGAATGAGAAATTTACCAAAAAACCAAGCAGAAAAAAGAACCAAGCAGAAATTCAGGAACTGAATAATTTATTCAATGAAATACAAGATATATTTGAAAACTTCAACAATAGACTAGATCAAGCAGAAAAAGAATCTTAAAATTTGGCTGGGTTAGGTGGCTCATGCCTATAATCCCAGCACTTTGGGAGGCCGAAGTGGGCAGATCATCTGAGGTCAGGAGTTCAAGACCAGCCTGGTCAACATGGTGAAATCCCATCTCTACTAAAAATACAAAATTAGCTGGGTATGGTGGTGCATGCCTGTAATCCCAGTTACTTGGGAGGCTGAGGCAGGAGAATCGCTTGAACCCAGGAGGCAGAGGTTGCAGTGAGCTGAGATTGCGCCATTGCATTCCAGCCTGGGCGACAAGAGCAAATCTCTGTTAAAAAAAAAAAAAAAAAAAAAAGAGGAAAGAAAGAAAGAAAGAGAGAGAGAGAAAGAATCTTAGAATTTGAAGATGGGTCTTTTGAAATAACCCAGTCAGATAAAAATAAAGAAAAAAAAGAATGAGCCAAACCTTCATGACATGTGGGACACTATAAAGTGAGAAAATATTCAAATTTTTGATATCTCAAAAGGTGAAGGAAAAATGAAAGGGTTAGAAACCCTATTTAATGAAATAATAGATGAAAATTTCCCAAGACTAGCAAGAGATTTAGACATCCAGATACACAAGGCTCGAAGATCCCCAAATAGATACAATTCAAAATAGTCAAACTGTTGAGAGTCAAAAACAAAGAGAAAATTCTAAAAACAGCATGAGAAAGTATCTAGTCACCTAGAAAGGAACCCCAATCAGACTTACAGCGGATTTCTTAGGGGAAAACTTACAGGCCAGGAGAGAATGGGATGATATATTTTAAGTGATGGAGGAAAAAAACAAAAAAAAACAACAAAAAAACCCTGCCAGCCCAGGATACTCTACCCAGCAAAATTTTCCTTCACAAATGAAGGAGAAATAAAATCTTTCCCAGACAAGCAAAAGCTGGGGAATTCATCACTGTTAGACCAGTCCTACAAGAAATGCATAAGGGAGTCCTATACCTGGAAGTAAAAGATCAATACTAGCATCATGAAAATACACAAAAATATGAAAACCATTGGAAGAGCAAACACACAAACAAGAAAGAGAAAAAAACCTCAATTGTTATGACTGTAGAATACCACAAAACCATAGTGATAAACAAAAAGAGAGAAAGAAAAGAACAAAGCGTATAGAAAACAAGCAGAAATCAAGTAATAGAATGACAAGAATAAGCCCTTACATATCATTAATAACCTTGAATATAAATGAATTAAATTTTGGCCAGGTGTGGTGGCTCACACCTGTAATCCCAGCACTTTGGGAGGCTGAGAGGAGTGGATCACCTGAGGTCAGGAGTTTGAGACCAGCTTGGCCAACATGGTGAAACCCTGTCTCTACTAAAAATACAAAAAAATTAGCCAGGTATGGTGGCCAGCACCTGTAATCCCAGCTATTTGGGAGGTTGAGGCAGGAGAATTGCTTGAACCTGGAAGGCGGAGATTGCAGTGAGCCAAGATAGAGCCATTGCACTCCAGCCTGGGCAACAGAGAGAGACTTCATCTCCCAAAAAAGTATAATAACAATAAAATAAAAAATAAATAAATAAATAAACATGGCTTAAATTTCCACTCATATAGACTGGCTGAATGGATAAAAAAAAAACATGACCTAACTATATGCTGCCTACAAGACTGAAAACAAAGGAATGGAAGAAGATATTTTATGCAAATAGAAACCAAAAGTGAGCAGGAGTAGCTATACTTATATAAGTCAGACTTTGTGTCAAAAATAGTATAAAAGAGACAAAAAAGGTCACCATATAATGAAAAAGAGATCAATTCAGCAAGAGGATATAACAATTCTAAACATATATGCACCCAACACTGGAGCACCTAGATATATAAAGCAAATATTATTAGATCTAAAGGGAGTGATAGACTCCAACACAGAAATAGTTGGAGACTTCAACACCCTATTCTCAGCATTAGACTGATCATCTAGATAGAAAATTAAGAAAAAAAATTGGATTTAAACTGCACATTAGACCAAATGGACATAACAGAAATTTATAGAACATTTCATCCAACAGCTGCAGAATACACAGTCTTCTCATCAGTACACGAAACATTCTCCAGGATAGACCATATGTTAGAACACAAAACAAGTCTCAATAAATTTTTAAAGATTAAAATTATATCAAGTATCTTCTCAGATCACAATGAAATAAAACTAGAAATCAATAACAAGAGAAACTTTGAAAACTGTACAAATACATGGAAATTAAATGACATACTCTTGAATGACCATTGGGTCAAGAAAGAAATAAAGAGGAGATTTAAAAAATTTATGAAATAAATGAAAATCAAAACAGAACATATCAAAACCTTTGAGATATAGCAAAAACAGTGCTAAGAGAGAATTTTATAGCAATAAATGCCTACATCAAAAAGTAGAGAAATTTAAAATAAATAATTTAATGATGTACTTCAAGGAACTAGAAAATCAAGAACAAACCAAACCCAGAATTAACAGAAGAAAATAAATAATAAAAATCAGAGCAGAACTAAATGAAATAGAGACTTAAAAATTACAAAGGATAAATAAATGAAAAGTTGGTTTTTTGAAAAGATAAACAAAATTGATAAACCACTTGCTAGACTAAACAGGAAAAAAAGAGAGAAGGCCCAAGTAAACAAAATAAAAAATAAAAAAGGAGACATTACAACTCATACTACAGAAATACAAAAGATCGTGAGAGACTATGATGAACGTCTACACACTAACAAACTAGAAAACCTAGAGTAAATGGATAAATCCAGGACACGTACTACCTACCAAGATGGAATCAGGAAGCAACAGAAAACCTGAACAGGCCAATAATGAGTAATGAGATTGAATCAATAATTAAAAGTCCAAGACAGGATGGCTTCACTGCCAAATTCTACCAAGATTCCAAAGAAGGACTAATATCAATTCTCCTCAAACTAATCAAAAAAATTGAAGAGTAAGGAATTCTCCCTACTCATTCTATGAGACCAAAATTACCTTGATACCAAAACCAGACAAAGACACAACAACAAAAGAAAACTACAGGCCAATATCCCTGATGAACACGATTGCAAAAATTCTGAACAAAATACTAGCAAACCAAATCCAGCAGCACATGAAAAAAAAAAAAATAGGGCCGGGTGCAGTGGCTCATGCCTGTAATCTCAGCACTTTGGGAGGCTGAGGTGGGAGGATCACCTGAGGTCAGGAGTTCAAGACCAGCCTGGCCAAGATGGTGAAACCCCCCCATCTCTACTAAAAATACAAAAATTAGCTGGGCGTGGTAGCGGGCCCCTGTAATCCCAGCTACTCGGGAGGCTGAGGCAGAATCGCTTGAATCCAGGAGGCAGAGGTTGCAGTAAGCTGAGATCGCACCATTGCACTCCAGCCTGGGTGACAGAGTGACACTCTATCTTAAACAAACAAACAAACAAAAAAATACACCATGAAAAATTAGCCGGGCATGGTAGTAGGCACCTGTAGTCCCAGCTACTTGGCAGGCTGAGGCAGGAGAATCGCTTGAACCGGGGAGGCGGAGGTTGCAGTGAGCTGAGATTGCGTCACTGAACTCCAGTCTGGGTGACAGAGCTAGACTTCGTCTTAAAAAACAAAAACAAAAACAAAACGAAAACAAACAAACAAAAAACACCATGATCAAGTGGAACTTTGAAAACTATGCAAATACATGAAAATTAATCCCAGGGATGCAAGGATCATTCAACATACACAAATCAAAAAATGTGATACATCATATCAACAGAATGAGGGACAAAAAAACCCATATGATCATCTCAATAGATACAGAAAAAGCATTTGATAAAAACACTCAATAAACTAAGTATAGAAGGAATATAGCTCAATATAATAAAGGCCATATATGACAAAACCACAGCTAACATCATAATGAATGGAGAAAAGGTAAAAGCCTTTCCCCTAAGAACTGAAACAACACAAGGATGCCTTTTTTCACCACTCCTATTCAACATAGTACTGGAAGTCCTAGCCAGAGTAATCAGACAAGAGAAAGAAACAGAAGGCATCCAAATTGGAAAATAAGAAGTCAAATTGTTGATCTTTCCATATGTATATATAAACAGGGTCTTGCTCTTTCACCCAGGCTGGAGTGCAGTGGTGCGATCTTGGCTCACTGAATCCTCCGCCCCCAGGCTCAAGCGATCCTTCCGCCTCAGCCCCCTGAGATATATATCTCTCTATATAAATATAAATATAAATATATATATATATATATATATATATATATATATAGTTTTGAACAACATGGCAAGACCCCATCGCTACCAAAAATACAAAATATTAGCCAGGCATGGTGGTGTGTGCCTGTGGTCTCAGCTACTCAGGGGGCTGAGGTGGGAGGATCACGCCCGGCCAGGTTACTTGATTTTTGACACAGGTGCTAAGGTTATTTAGCATCAAGAAAATGAAAGTCTTCATAGAAAATAGTCCCAGACACTTGGACATCCATAGGCAAAAGTGAACCTCAACCTTTATGTCTCACCTTACACAAAAATTAACTTGAAATAGAGTAGTAGACTTAAATGCAAAATACAACATTAAGAAACTTCTATAAGTGAATAGAGGAGACAATCTTTGTGAGCTTGGGATAGGCAAAGATGTCTTAAACAAGACATAAAAGCACTAATCTTAAAGGAAAAACTTGACAATTTTTTTCCTTCATCAAAATAAAAAAAACTGCTTTCTGAAAGGCACTTTAAAAATAAAGTCTTGAAGTCAGGATTTAAGACCGGCATGGGCAACATGGTAAGACTCTGTCTCTACTAAAAATGCAAAAAATTACCCAGGCATGGTGGTGCATGTCTGTCATCCCAGCTACTTGGGGGGGGTGAGGTGAGAGAATTGTTTGAGCCTTGGAGGGTGGAGGTTGCAGTGAGGAGCCAGGATCACACCACTGCACTCCAGCCTGCGTGACAGAGAGAGGCCCTGTCTAAATAAATAAATAAATAAAGTCAAGACAAAGGGTATAAGACAATATTGTCAATACACAGCTCTTACAGAAAGACTTGTATAATATCTTACAAAAGATTCAATAAGAAGAAGACAACTGAATTTTAAAATGGACGAAAGATTTGAACAGACATTTCACGGGCTAAGAAGCACATGAAAAATGCTCCACATGATTAGTCATTAGGAAAATATTAATTAAAACTACAATAAGATATCAATAAGCATCCCTACTAAAATGGGCTAAAACGAAAAAGACAGATATTCTGAGCTCTGGTGGAGGAGCTAGAGCTCGAATCCCTGGCTGGAGGAAGTGTAAAATCGCTCAGCTCCTTTGCAAACAGTTTAGCAGTTGTTATAATATTAAACGTACACTCGATAAAGAAAATGTGATATATATATACCATGGAACGCTACTCAGCCATAAAAAGGAATGAAATAATGGCATTGGCAGCAACCTGGATGGAATTGGAGACCGTTATTCTAAGTGAAATAACTCCGGAATGGAAAACCAAACATTGTATGTTCTTACTCATAAGTGGGAGCTAAGCTATGAGGATGCAAAGGCATAAAAATGATACAATGGACTTTTGGGACTCAGAGGAAAGGGTAGTGGGTGAGGGATAAAATACTATACATTAAATACAGTGTACACTGCTCGGGTGATGGGTGCACCAAAATCTCAGAAATCACCACGAAAGAACTTATGCATGTAACCAAACACCACCTGTTCCCCACAAAACCTATTGAAATAAAAAAATAAAAATAAAGTTGAACAGGAGAAAAAAAAAATACACTCATCACATGACCCAGAGATTCCACACTTAGATATTTACCCAAGAGAAAGAAAAACATATACCCATACCGAGACTTGTACACAAATGTTCATAGCAGCTTTACTCATAAAAACCAAAAACTGGAAACAATCCAAACGACAGATAAGTGAAAACACAAATTGTGGTGTATCCATACAACAGAACACTATTCAGCACAAAAGAGGATAAACTGCTGGTATGTGCAATGGCATGGCTGATTCTCAAAAGCATAAGTGATCTCTCAAAATGATGCCTCAGCCAGCAGAGGTGGCTCATGCCTGTAATCCCAGCACTTTGGGAGGCCGGGGTGGGCGGATCACTTGAGGCCAGGAGTTCGAGACCAGCCTGGCCAACTTGGCAAAAACCCCATCTCTACTAAAAAAACAAAAAACAAACAAAAAAAATGAGCCAGGCATGGTGGTGCATACCTGTAATCTTAGCTACTCGGGAGGCTGAGGCAGGAGAATTACTTGAACCCAGGAAGCAGAGGTTGCAGTGAGCTGAGATCACAATACTGCACTCCAGCCTGGGCAACAGAACAAGACTCCATCTCAAAAATCAAAAAAACAAAACAAAATGATGCCTCAAAAGTATGATGCTGGGTGCAGCAAACCACCGTGGCAAACCATGTAGGTAAACATGGTACAGGTTTACCATGTAACAAACCTGCACATGTACCCTAGAACTAAAAAAAAAAAAAAAAAAAGCAGCATGATGCCGGGCAAAAGAAGCCAGATACAAGAGTATGTGCTGTACTATTCTGTTGATATGAAATAGAAATAGTGACAAAAAGCAGATTGGTCACTGCCTAGAGCAGGGGCTAGGAAGGCAGGTTATCTACTAGGCAGGAGCAGGAAAGCAGCTATAGGTGTGGAAACGTTCTATGTCTTTTTTGGGTGGAGGGTGGTTACATGGTTGTATACATTTGTCAAAATGCATGGGTGCATTTTATTTTGTAAAAATTATGCCTCAATAAGTTGGAATTAAAGAAAAAAGAAAGAAAAAATATTTTTATGCCATTGGGGGTAGAGAAAGTTCTTTTTGAATAAGATATAAAAACTATAAACCACAAAAGACAAAGAGAATTCTACTACATTAAAATTTACAACTTCTGCATATCAGAAGACACCAACCTCAATATTAAAAAACAACCCACAGGCTGGGCACGGTGGCTCACACCTATAATCTCAGCACTTTGGGAGATCAAGGCAGGTGGATCACCTGAGGTCAGAAGTTCAAGACCACCCTGGCCAACATGGTGAAACCCCATCTCTACTAAAAATACAAAAATTAGCCAGGCGTGGTTGGTGGGCACCTGTAATCCCAGCTACTCCGGAGGCTGAGACAGGAGAATTGCTTGTACCTGGGAGGCGACAGAGCGAGGCTTTGTCTTAAAAAACAAAAACAACAACAACAACAAAAAAAACTCCGACAGACTGGGAGAGGATATTTACAACCCATGTAACAACAACAACAAAAGATTGGTATCCAGAATATTTTATAAACTATTATGAAGCAATCAGAAAAATACAATCTAATGAAAAATGGCTGGGATATCACTGGGCAAATCATAAGTGAAAAAATCAAATCATCCACAAGCATGTGAGAAGATGTCAACTCACTCTCAACCAGGAAAATAGAAATTAGAAATGGCAAAATGTGATCGTCAGATAACAGACTGTGGGCAGGGATGTGGGGAAATGGGATCCGTTTTGTGTTCCTAATGGTAGTGTATCTTCAGAGAACAAATTGATGAGGAATTTGGCAAGAGCTAGGGAATTTGAAGATGCACATCCCCACATCACCTGACATTTCTTCATTTAGCTATCTGCCCTGCAATGCTCAAGGTTATGTGCACCAGGTTAGGTGCTCAACATGTGTTGAGCACTGCCTTGTTTTTTTGCCTTTACTTTGTTTTTTGACACGGATCTCGTTCTGTCGCGCAGGGCTACAGTGCAGTGGCGTGATCACGGCTCACTGCAGTCTTGACCTCCTGGGCTCAGTGATCCTCCCACCTCAGCATCCTGAGTAGCTGGGACTACAGGCATGCTCCACCATGCCTGGATATTTTTTGTAGAGACGGGGTCTCATGGTGTTGCCCAGGCTTGCATTGTTAGCCCCGAAGTGGGAATATCCTAAATTTCTAATAATTGAGCAATAGGTAAAAAAAAAAAAAAAAAAAGTATAGCTATGCAATGGAATACTATCGAAGAATCAAAATGAATAAACTAGATCTAGATCTATATGTATGAACACGGTGAGATATATATATATATATATATATATATATATATATATATATATATATATATGAGAGAGAGCCGTATAGCAAGAGAGGGAATGCGCTACAGAAGGATATATACCGCCCAGAAAGAGAGGTGCTCAGCAGGACCCTAAGAAAGGGTTCCCACTGCAGCCCCATAAAAGGGGGCAGTGTTGGAGCAAGTGGACAGCTGAAAACTGCCTGCAAATAAGGAGTTTCCCAGACTCTGGGGTGTCTCTACAGAGACCCAATCCCCGGCTCTCTGACAGCGATGCAGGTCTTTTGAACGCCTGGGCTGCTGCTGCCCGCGCGCCTCCCCCGTGGCAATAAGCTATGAACAGGCGCTCGCAAGCGCTGCGATCCCACACCACCTGCGCGGTGCAGAATGCGAGATGAGCGAGCCCACAGGGCCTCCAGCTCTGTGCCGCATCACAGCCTCCCCTGCGTCTTTCTTCTCTGCTACCATCCCACTCACTTTGGCTCCACAGACTTGCTTTGAGGTTTGGCACTTCCACATTTTTAATATAAACTCAGATTCTGAAGACTCCAGCATCAAATCCTTATTTTAAAAAAAAAAAAAAAGACCCCCCAA
Source organism: Homo sapiens (assembly GCF_000001405.40). Taxonomy (NCBI): domain Eukaryota; kingdom Metazoa; phylum Chordata; class Mammalia; order Primates; family Hominidae; genus Homo; species Homo sapiens. The sequence goes on from NC_000019.10 coordinate 33,859,459, forward strand.
AGAAACTGACTTCCTAACTTTCCACCTGCCCATTGTTTTCTAAAGAACAGGTGTTTGAGTAGCTTGTAGGTCGTAACCTTTTATCCCAAAAAAGAAATCTATTTTCTCCTTCCCATGCACTCTAACCTCAACAAACCCAAATCAGTTTGGAGATGGAGCCCTGCTTGATTTTATTTTATTTAGAGAGAGGGTCTCGCTCTATCACCCAGACTGGAGTGCAGTGGCACGATCACAGCTCACTGAAGCCTCCAACTCCTGGGCTCAAGTGATCCTCCCACCTTGGCCTCCCAAGAAGCTGGGACTACAGGTGTGCACCACCATGGCTAATTTCTTTATTTTTTGTAGAGAGGGGGTTTTGCTGTGTTGCCCAGGCTAGTCTCTAACACTCAGCCTCAAACGATCTTCCTGCCTTGCTTGGCCTCCCAAGGCCTTGGGATTGTAGGAACAGCCACCATGCCTGGCCATGACTTCTGATCTCCCTTCTGAGATTTGGTTGTAGGAAGGTGGGGGATGGATGGATGTGTCCGAGGTCTGCCTCTAACCACATTTCTTTCTTTTTCTTTTTTTCTTTTTAGATGCAGTCTTGCTCTGTTTGCCCAGGCTGGAGTGCAGTGGCGTGATCTTGGCTCACTGCAACCCCTCAAGCGATTCTCCTGCCTCAGCCTCCCAAGTAGCTGGGATTATAGGTGCCCGCCACCACACCCGGCTAATTTTTTTGTATTTTTAGTAGAGATGGGGTTTCACCATATTGGCCAGGCTGGTCTTGAACTCCCGAGCTCAAGTGATCTGCCCACCTTGGCCTCCCAAAGTGTTGGGATTACAGGCTTGAGCCACTGCACCCGGCCTCTTACCGTATTTCTATCTGAGCCTGCCTTTGCTTGTCTTCGGTGGGGGAATTGAGAATCCATTGGTATCTGAGCTGGAGAGGATCAACAAAGCTGTATGAAGCCCCCTTGGTACAGATCAGAGAAACCTGCTGAGAAAAGAGAACCACTTCCCTGCCTTCCCTTGGAAGCCCAAGTGTTTCCTGTGCCTTTCATATCCGCCCTCAAGGCTGGCCCATGTGGACTGCATCAATGTCTCCCTTGCCTCTGACTTTTAGTTGGATCTGGCTCCTGGGATTCTCTGGCCCAAGACGGGAATGAGAGACGATAGGGAGGAAGGCCCTTTATTCCCTCCAGGGCCACCCTCCTTGAAGGTCACAGCCCAGAGGGGCTATCACATGGCCTTTGGTTTTTTCCCCATCCCACCCACAACCAGATTTTTGTGACAGTATCCGGAGAGTGAAATAAACCTGCATTGCCATTTTCTCAGCAATTTCCGTCTCCCACTCCCTCTTCTCTACCAATGCACTCACAGCATCTATGTGCAGTGCCTTCCACATTCTAGACGCTGGAAGGATGCTGCCGGGAGAGGGTTGGATGTAGTCCCTGACTTCGAAGAGATGTTGGTGTGTCCAGAAGAGGGAGGTGCAGGCACAGAGCTGCCAGTGCCAACATGAGGGCAGAACTTCTGACCATCTGACCATCTAAAAGGCAGCCTCTCGGGCTTTCCTGTATCTCTTTACTAGATAATCTTTACTAACCTTTAATAGAGTAAAGATTAAATGACAAAGGTGGCCAGGAGCAATGGCTCACACCTGTAATCCTAGCACTTTGGGTGGCCAAGGTGGGCGGATCACTTGAGGTCAGGAGTTCGAGACCAGCCTGGTCAACATGGTGAAATTCCGTCTCTACTGAAAATACAGAAATTAGCCGGAAATCACTTGAACCATTGGGGGGGGGGGGTGCAGACATTGCAGTGACCTGAGATTGTGCCATTGCACTCCAGCCTAGGCAACAGGGCGAGACTCCATCTCAAAAAAAAAAAAAAAAAAAGGCCAGGCACAGTGGCTCACATCTGTAATCCCAGCACTTTGGGAGGCTGAGGCGGGTGGATCACCTGAGGTCAGGAGTTCGAGACAAGCCTGGCCAACATGCTGAAACCCCATCTCTACTAAAAATGCAAAAACTAGCTGGGTGTGGTGGTGCACCCCTGTAATCCCAGCTAGTGGGGAGGCTGGGATGGGAGAATTGCTTGAACCTGGGAGGCGGAGGCTGCAGTGAGCTGAGATCGTGCCACTGCACTCCAGCCTGGGCAACAGAGCAAGACCCTATCTCAAAACAAACAAAAAGATTAAACAAGAAAGATGATCGATAATAACTTGGCATTTATAAGTACCATCAGTCACTCAAGATTTTCCAAGCACTTTTCACAGGGGAGGCCTGTGCTAAGTACTCCAGCACTGAGGGCAGGTGTACAAGGCAGGGTACCACTCCTTTTCTGCCCTTCCTTGAAGAGTGCAGTCTTTTGGGGGAATCAGGTGAGTGAGTGGTCAACGTGGCTGAGGGATTTCTGGTGAGACAGCGGCCAGTGGGCCCTGGAGTGAGTGAGGAAGTTCTTGGAACAGCAGGGATTTCACTAATGCTCTCCTCCTACGTGGAAGGGGCTCATTGAGTCCAAGTCCCCAAAAATGCTTACAGAACAAAGTGGTTTAAAAAAATCTAAATCACAACTGCTGGACTCTTATGTCATCTAGTGACTAACCAGTTCCTGACCAGGTATTTGAACTGCTGGGAAGTTGCCATCTTGAATGGATGCCTGGCAGCAGCCATATCAGTTTTCCCAGGGGACCTTGCGAGCAGCTCCACACACAGGACCTGGGAGTGGGCCCGGGGGGATGGATTCAGGTCGCTTTGTAGGACAGCATGCCCAGCTCTTCCTTCCTACTAACAATAGCAAAACCCCTCATCACCCTCATCACAAGCCAATCTGCCAACAAGTGTTCATTCAATAGCTGCTGTCTCTGCCCCTGCTGTTACCCCAGCTGTGGTGGTCAGTGGGGAGGAGTGAGCTGTTTGCTGAGAAGAGGTGAGATGGCGAGTAATAGTAGTAATAATAATAACAATAATAATAAAGACAGTGGGCCAGGCGAGGTGGCTCACTCCTGTAATCCCAGCACTTTGGGAGGCCAAGGTGGGAGGATCACTTGAGCCCAGGAGTTCAATACCAGCCTAGGCAACAAAATGAGACCCTGTCTCTGAAAACAAATAAAAAGGTAACGTATCTTCTAAAATTATCTTTTCTAGACTTTGTGTAAGACTGAAAAAAATGAAGCCAAGCCCACAATGGCTCACACCTGTAACCCCAGCACATTGGGAGGCTGAGGCAGGAGGACTGCTTGAGCCCAGGAGTTCAAGACCAGCCTGGGCAACATAGCAAGACCCCCTCTCTCCAATAAATAAATAAATTAGCTGGGTGTGGTTGCATGCATCTATAGTCCCAGCTACTTGGGAGGCCGAGGCTGGAGGATCACTGGAGGCCAGGAGTTGGAGGCTGCAGTGAGCTCTGATTGCACCACTACACTCCAGCCTGGGCGACAGAGTGAGACCCTGTCTCTAAAAATTAAAAAAAGAAAAAAGAGAGAGAATGCACAACAAATGTTATCTGTGTCCTAGGCCAGCTGAGGGCTTCCCATGAATCTTCTCACTAAGTCCTTGCTGGAGCCCTTTGAAGGAGGCATCAGCATCCTCAATTACAGATGAGGAGACTAACAGGGAAACAGCATGTGACCTGTCCAGTGATTCAAAAGTGCCTTCTCCACCGTGGTGCCAGACTGACCTCCGAGAAGACACTGACCAGAAGGCATAGCAAGGTTGACAGCTGACGGGTGCAGCTGGAGGCCAGGCAGGCTGGAGCAGGGGCCTGGAGAGGGGATGTGGAGTGGCAGGGAGAGCCTCTGCTGAGGCCTTCCTGGGCTAGGCCAGGGGGTCAGGGCTGCAGGGGGAGGGTGGAGAGGGGGAAGAGGTGGGGGTGGAGAGAGCCCAGGAGGGGAGCCTGGCCTGCAGTGGTGCTTCAGGCAGAAGCGGCCCTCCCACCAGCCCCTTTCCAGTCACATAAAGCTGGGTTTGTTTCCATTTATCTGCTTGACTTTTCAGCCAAGATGCTGTTTGAAAAACATATTGCTCTAATTTAATCCACATGTGCACCCCCAGGACAGAGTCTAAAGAAAGCTTCCGTCACGGCCCCAAAGTCTCAGCCTCATGGAGGTGGTAGGGGTGGGCCTTGTGGGTGACCCCAACCCACCTTTAAGGGCCCACCCTAAAGCCAGGGCCCACCCTACTTCTGTCCTGGACAAGCGGGTGGGGGTGTTGGTGGGACAGGGGACTCCCAAGGTAGTGTCCATGGCCCGCTCCCTGCACCTGCCCACAGGGGAAGGATGCAAAGAGCAGGAGGCCAGTGGACACAGTGGGCATGGGCTTGGGGTAGGGTTGGTGCATGAGGGGGTTTGACTTTTTTTTTTTTTTTGCAATGGAGTCTCACTCAGTCTGTCGCCCAGGCTGAAGTGCAGTGGCATGATCTTGGCTCACTGCAACCTCCATCTCCCAGGTTCAAACAATTCTCCTGCCTCAGCCTCCCAAGTAGCCAGCACTACAGGTGTCCGCCACCATGCCTGGATAATTTTTTTTTTTTTTTGAGACAGAGTCTCGCTCTGTCCCCAGGTTGGAGGGCAGTGGCGCAATCTCGGCTCACTGCAACCTCCACCTTCTGGGTTCAAGTGATTCTCCTGCCTCAGCCTCCCGAGTGGCTGAGGTACAGGTGCATGCCATCATACCTGGCTAAATTTTTGTATTTTTAGTAGAGATAAGGTTTCACCATATTGGCCAGGCTGGTCTTGAACTCCTGATCTCAAGTGATCCACCCACCTCAGCCTCCCAGTGTTAGGATTACAGGTGTAAGCCACAGCGCCTGACCCAGCTACCTTTTTTTTTTTTTTTTTTTGGTATTTTTAGTGAAGACAGGGTATTGCCATGTTGGCCAGGCTGGTCTCAAACCCCTGACCTCAAGTGATCTGCCCACCATGGCCTCCCAGAGTGTTGGGATGACAGGTGTGAGCCACCACACCTGGTCAAGGGGGCTTTGACTTCTAATCAGTTCCTTTCCCTCCCTTCCTCAGATACAGACCCAAACTCTGGGGCACACAGTGGTGACATAAGGCAGTTTATCCAAGCATGTGGAGTTGGGGGAGATGCTGTCTACAGGGTGGAAGCCAGGATGAGCCAGGAGCAGGGCTCTGAGATGGGGCACAGGACCACCTACGATCTCGCCTGAGCGCCTGGCTGCATATGAGGTGAGTTTAGGAAGCTTGTCTCACAGCCACACCCCACTGGCAAGAAGCCAGCAGGGAGCAAAACCAGTATGTTCATTTCAGTATTCTCTCCCAAGTGTGTGCCTGTCACATATCTTATTTTGAATCAAATTATGTATATTATTTGGAGGGATTGATTGCTGAAAATGAGAAAAGCTAGAAGGACCTGTCTCACACAGGTTTATTCAGAACTGAGACCAGAGATACAGCACTGGAGCATAGAACTGAAATGTCTGACTTTGATTCAGGGCCTAGGACCCTTCTGGTGTCCTACGAGTCAGGATCCTGGTGCACTGGTCCATGCAGAAATGACACTTCTCTTTCCTTCTAGAGTCATTCCCTCCACTCCACAACTCATTGTCCGCTTGGACTAGGCTGGATTCCCAAGCAAAGAACAATGCAGGAGGATTGCTTGAGCCCAGGAATTCAGAACCAGCCTGAGCAACATAGTGAGATTCTGTATCTACAAAAAATTTTTAAAAATTAGCCAGGCATGGTGGTGCACACCTGTACTCCCAACTACTCAGGAGGCTGAGGCAGGAGGATCACTTGAGCCCAGGAGTTGAAGGCTGCAGTGAGCTATGATCACACCAGCCTGGGCAACAGAATGAGACCCTGTCTTTGAAAATTAAAAACAGAAGAAAAAAAATGATAATGCACAACGAATGTTATCTGTGTCCTAGGCACCATGCTAAGGGCTTCCCATAAATTGTCTCGTCCTTGCCCGAGCCCTGTGGAAGAGGTGCCGACATCCCTCCCATCTTACAGGAGAGGAAACTGACAGTGAAACAGCACTTGACCTGCGTGGCGACTCTGTAACGTATCCTCTCTGCTGCGGTGCTGGACGGACTTAAGAGAAGATGCTGGCCAGAGGGCACCTTAGAACTCCTGGTTTGTTCTAGCCCATTTTTGTGTCGCTAAAAAGGAAGACCTGAGACCTGGGTAACTGATAAAGAAAAGAGGTTTATTTGCCTCACAGATCTGCAGGCTGTACAAGAAGCATGGCATCAGCACCTGCTTCTGGTGGGGCCTCAGGAAGCTTCCACTCATGGCAGAAGGAAAAAGGGAGCTGTGTGTCACATGGCAAGAGAGGGAGCAAGAGAGAGGGGAGAGAGGTGCCAGGCTCTTTTAAACAGCCAGATCTCGCAGGAACTCAGAGCGAGAATTCACTCATTCACCAAGCCATTCATGAGGAATCCATCCCCATGACCCAAACACCTCCCATCAGGCCCCCACTCCAACACTGGGGATCACATTTCAACATGAGGTTTGGAGGGGACACACACCCAAACCATATCACCTGATATTTGTAGAAATCAATGCCTGGGGCAGCTCCAGAGTGTCTATATAAGCAGCGTACATCTGGGACCCTCAGAGACTCCATGCCCCCTTGTGACTTCTAAGAATTGAATTCAGGCCAGGCTCAGTGGCTCACATCTGTAATCCCAGCAGTTCGGGAGGCTGAGGCGAGCAGATCACTTGAGGTCAGGAGTTCGAAAACAGCCTGACCAACATGGTGAAACCCTGTCTCTACTAAAAATACAAAAAAAAGTCAGGCATGGTTGGTGCATGCCTGCAATCACAACTACTGAGGCATGAGAATCACTTGAACCCAGGAGGTGGATGCAGTGAGCTGAGATCACACCACTGCACTCCAGCCTGGGTGACAGAGTGAGACTCCGTTTCAAAAAAAAAGAATTGAGACCCCCTCTGCTGGGAAGGACCAGGAGCAGCCCTCAGAGCCCATCTGGGTGGCATCTCAAAAGATGCTGCTGGAAAGAAGGAATCTGGGCAGATTATGGGGTTTCTGAAATGCACTAATGTATTTCTATCAGAAATGGCAAAGAAGTTGAAAATAGTATCTGAGAAGGTCAGAATGGAATGAGTTTCCATTGCTGCCTGCTAACCAGAGAATAGCTCTTGTTCATGTCTGTGACTGGGCAGGATTCTCGGGGCTGCCTCTGCCAAAGGCCGAGTATGGGGGTCTCTGGGGTCTTACCTGGAAAGCTTTGGAATTTCCCAGGCTGCAAGATACTCCCCTTTGTCTCAAGACAAGAGCTCAGCTGTGCAGCCAGGATGCAGCCATCAGGAGCTTCCTTGATGCTGGGAAGGGCTTGGGAGACCCTCCTGGGGCATGGCCGGCTCCACAGATGGGCAAAGGCAGGGAGGACGTCCTGCATTTTTCAAAGATGGACATCCATGCCAGGTCTGAGTGGTTCTGGTCCTATGGGGGTATCTCCTGGCCAAACCTTTGGTGAACCCCACCTGAGAAGCCAACAGGCACTTGCATGGCAGAGACACTTAGTGAGAACCCAGGGTCGGCGAGCAGGCAGGCAACAGAGGGCTGGAACACTAGGTCCACAAATATCAGTCCTGTGCTTGCGGGTACCTCCAGAGGAGGAGGCCAAAGTGAAGGCCTAGGACTCCACAGCTCCTGCTGTGGAGGGAGGGCAGGATGGGAGTTGAAGGTAGGGAGGCGCCCAGATACACAGGTCCAGTAGCAGATGCTGGCCACTACACACAGGCTCCAGGGAGGAAATCTGGCCAACACAACAGTAGAGCACCTCTTCTGTAACCTCTGCACTTTGGGAAGCCGAAGCATGAGAATTGCTTGAGGCCAGGAGTTTAAGACCAGCCTGGGCAACATAGTGAGACCCCCATCTCTACAAAACATATTTTTTTTTTTTTTTTTTGAGACAGAGTTTCACTTTGTCGCTCAGGCTGGAGTGAAGTGGTGCAATCTTGGCTCACTGCAACCTCTGCCTCCCAGATTCAAGCGATTCTTGTCCCTCAGCCTCTCCAGTAGCTGGGATTACAGGCATGTGCCACCAGGCCCAACTAATTTTTTGTATTTTTAGTAGATATGAGGTTTTGCCATGTTGCCCCGGTTGGTCTTGAACTCCAGAGCTCAGGCAATCTGCCCATTGCAGCCTCCCAAAGTGCTAGGATTACAGGTGTGAGCTACCGAGCCCAGCCAAAACATAAAAAATTTAAAACAGTTTAAAAAAAAAGTTAAAAAGGTTTTTGTTTTGTTTTGTTTTGTTTTGTTTTTTTAAAGTAAAGCACCTCTTTAATTGGGCTGGGCATACATTTTGGTTTATGAGATTGGTCTTTTCAACTTCCAGTGACCAATTAAGATGAAACTGCCTTTCACCATTCACTCAGTTGATAATGGCAGCACAAACATGTACTAGGTCCCTGGCTCACATGGCCAAGGGTCACAACGGCTGCCCATGTTCTCCTGATGGAAACTTTTTTATGGCTTTACAAAGATTTGATGTGATTCTTTTTTCCGTGAAGGACTGGGGCTCTCGACACAACGCTATACAGTAACGCTGTAATCTTGGGGCTTAATCAAAACATATTCCAACAACCTATTCTGGTGCCACGAATGAATGTTTATTTTAAACAATTTGCTACGGCTTTTTTTTTTTTAAGAGAGAGAAAGAAGGGAATTTCTTGAAGCCAAATTTCTCCCTGCCCTTAAGCTTGTCTCTCCACTCGAAAGACTGTGTCAGACGCCCAAGTCGTAATTAACCACAGAGCTGTTTGGGAGAAAGGGAGACCGAGGGGGTATTTGACAAAGAATTAACAGATGTCATTTCGGCGGCGGCTGGCCCACTGCTGCTGGGCCATTTGTTGGATGGAAGCTGATTCGGCTGCTGTCGTAAACAGAGAGTAGTAATAATTATATCCAGGCTGCATTAAGCATAGCAGATTGGATGTATAACATTCTGTTAAAAACCAGCTCCTCTCCTGTTTCTCTCGAGACACAATGGAGACGACCCCCAGTCCCCAGTTTTGAAAGCCGTCTCCAAGGATCCTGACAGACTTTCCAATAGGGAAATAGGTCATGTTCTTTCGTGGCTAATTCTGCTGAGGTTCCTGGGATGGCAAAGGGATCTGCTGAAAAGCGAGTTCCAGGCACACTTCAGTAAACCAGCCACACCGCACACCGCAGAGCTGCCTTTTTCCATTTGAAAAATGAAAGAATTAAATTCAAAACAAACAACTTCAATTTAACACCAAACTACAGGATAACCAATCTTAAAAATGTCACAGCGTAATGGATCTTAATACCCATAGAAAACACAAAAACAACACCATTGTTCCCCAGCAAATGCAGAGCAACCTCGCAGAATTTCAGTGAAGGAGAAAGAAGGGAAAAACACCTTATTACTTCCAACCCCTGCGAGCCATTTTGGTCTCCAAAGGTTTTAGGCTGCCTGAGGCCGTGTGTCTGCAGTGTTTCGGGAAATGACTTGCCTTAGCACGAACGCTGCTCTGTTCTGCAGCGACGCTGCCTGCCCGGGAGCGGTGCCGCTCCATTTCTGGTTAACTCTTCCTTCCCGGGCCTGCCGCTCGCAGGAGCAGTGTGGGCAGGGCCCAGGGACGCCACTGCAACCCAGCTTCCTGCAGGGCAGCCGGACTGGCACCTCTAGGAGCAGCTTCTCCAAGAAAGTGGCTTCAGCAGAACAGCCAGCTACCCCCACCGCTCTGGAGAATCTGTTCTCAAACCAAGCTATAAAGCGACTGTCATCAAAAGGCACAACACAGCTGAAACCAGGGGACAGAATCGGGGCCTTGTGGGCCAATACTGGCCGATCCAGCCTCTCAGGGTGCCCTGCTGGGGACAGCTTCCCATCTCTGCCACAAAACCAGGAAGGACACTCTTCTGGTTAGCAGGGTACAAGCGGAGTCCAGCCGGATACTAGGGCACAACTTGGGCCTGAGGACATGGGGTGAGGGAAGCACAGGGACAGAAACGTTTTCGCCACATATCTGAGCTGAAAGATGACAGAGAACCACTTAGCACTTAAGAGGTTAATACAATTCCTAAGTGTTCAGCAATCATGGCAATTTAGTGCCATTTCGATTATTACACAATAAACAGACCATGTTGTCTGGAAGCAAATTTTTATGAGTATAGCTGAAGGGGCTGCAACTTATTTAGCTGTGGAAACTCGAAGGGAAAGAGACTTCCAAATGCTAACACCACGGAGCAGAAACACAGGTAGCAAAGAAAGGTTATTCTCAGGTCACCGCCCTGGCAAGTCACCACCATGACCTTCAAAATGAGTATATCCTTAGAGGGAAATCAAGTTCACCAAAGGGTTCTTTACACAGAACCATTTGACTGATAATATTGTTGAGTTTCAGCGCAAAAGATTTGGGAATTTCCAGAAACATGTTATGTTCGGCAAAAAAAAACATGATGTTAACATGGGATGGGGAATGTATACAGGGTTTTGGCCACTTGGAATATGCATTGAATACAAACACCTGCAAGACAGCTCATTCATAGACACAGGTCGCTGCTGTAGCTTATAGGTACTTGGGTACGATGATCACAAACCTGATCAAATTCCTAATACAACAAGAAAATCAAATATGTAAACAGAATTGTGGGAGATGCTGTAACTCTCAAAGGTTCTGCAAAATTTTATGGCACACTGAGCTCCAAGAGACACATTTTTCCTTTAAGGCACACAAAGGTTTGGATTTGGGGAGGAGGACAGCCTTGCCCCAGCTCCACCAATGGAGGAAGGAAATCACCCCAGAGGTACTTCAAGACTCAAGGTTAAAATGTGCATGTGTGCATCTATACCTTTATGTTTGTGCATTTTTAGGCTTGCACAAGGCACTCACATTCATGAGGTGTCTGGAACAACCAAGCTGCCCTCTGCTGAACAAAGCAAAGAGGTTGTTATTTTTACCCCCATTTTACAGATGAGCTAACTGAGGTTCCACTTAGGAACCTAGGGCCCCTTCCTGGGGGGAATTGGATAGTCTTGTAGTTAGCCTTTGTGCACAAACTGCAGACCCAAAGAGGTTGGAGGACTTTCTCCTCAAGGGTCCCTGGGACACATGGAGCTGGCTGTGGGTGGCAGTGGAGTGGAGGGTGGGGGCAAGATAAAGCTGCAAAGACGCACCCTGCTTCCAGGGTGTGAAGAGTAATCCTGCTTTGGGTAGAATTGGGTGGGGGCTGTGAGAGCATAGCCTCTGCCTGGTGGCATCCACCTACCCACCCATCCACCTACCCATCCATCCATCTACTCAATCATCCATCCATCTATCCATCCATCCATCCATCCACCCATCCATCCACATACCCACCCATCTACCTACCTACCCACACATTCACCCATCCATCCATCCACCCACCCATCCATCCACATACCCACCCATCTACCTACCTACCCACACATTCACCCATCCATCCATCCACCCACCCATCCATCCACATACCCACCCATCTACCTACCCACCCACCCATTCACCCATCCATCCATCCACCCATCCTCAACCTCATGTTGAGGAGGGCTGGGCTGGATCCTGGGGCTGCCATGGCTAATGCAGACAGCAAAAACGTCTCAGCTGCCAAGATCAAGTAAGACTTTCTACCCCATCTCCAATATACCAGCCTGCCTAACTCCTGAAAGCTTACCTGTAGAAAAGCAATGATCTCAAACAGTGGAATGCACAAGAGTTAACTGGGGTGCCTATTGAAAATGTACATTTCTGATTCAGTAGGTCTGCGGTGCTGGGGCAGAGCTCATGGACTCAAATGAATAGGGAACTCAGGTGATTCTCTCTCTCTCTCTCTCTTTTTATTTTTTTTATTTTGGAGACAGAGTCTTGCTCTGTCACCCAGGCTAAAGTGCAGTGGCATGATCTCGGCTCACTACAGCCTCTACCTCCCAGGTTCAAGCAATTATCTTTGCCTCAGCCTCCTAAGTAGCTGGGATTACAGGTGCCCACCACCACACCTGGCTAATTTTTGTATTTTTAGTAAAGACAAGGTTTCGCCATGTTGGCCAGGCTGGTCTCAAACTCCTGACCTCAGGTTATCCGCCTGCCTCAGCCTCCCAGAGTGTTAGGATTACAGACGTGAGCCACTGTGCCCAGCTTCAACTCAGGTGATTCTCAAAACAGGTAGTCAGAAGAGCACACCTTGAGAAACCTTGATTTTGGGTCACATTTCTCTGTGCAAAGTAGTCTTCTTAGGTCTTTCAAAAATGCTATGTTCCTCGGAGGTGCAGCATATTTAGTTCTTAACAGGAATTTATAAGATACTGGTGACCACCCTCCAGTCTGTTCATCCATCCACCCACCCATCCACCCATTCTTCCTCCCACCCACCTACCCACCCATCTACCTATCCATCCGTCCATTCGTCTATCCACCTACCCACCCACCCATCCATCCACCCATTCACATATCCACCCACCCATTCACCCACTGTATCAGTCCATTCTTATGCTGCAATGAAGAAATACCTGAGACTGGGTAATTTAAAAAGAAAAGAGATTTAATTGACTCACAGTTCTGCTTGGCTGGGAAGGCCTCAGGAAACTTACAATCATGGCGGGAGGGGAAGCAAATATGTCCTTCTTTACAAGGCAGCAGGAGAGAAAACTGCCAAGCAAGCAGGGGAAAAACCCTTATAAAACCATCAGATCCCGTGAGAACTCACTCACTATCACAAGAACAGCATGGGGGTAACCGCCCCCATGATTCAATTGCCTCCCATTGGGTCCCTCCCATGACAGGTGGGGATTATGGGAACTACAATTCAAAATGAGATTTGGGTGGGGACACAGCAAAACTATATTGCCCACCTACCCACCTGCCCACCCATCCACCCATTTACCTGTCCACTCATTCACTGCTCTATTTATCCATCCACCTACCCACCCATCCATCCACCCATTCACCCACCTACCCACCCACCCATCCATCCACTCATTTGCCCATCCAGTCATTCCACTGAACCACCCACTCACCCATCCACTCACCTACCCATCCATCCACCTACCCATCCATCCACCTACCCACCCATCCACCTACTCATCCATCCATCCATCCATCCATCCATCCACCCACCCATCCATCCATCCACCCACCCACCCATCCATCCACTCATTTGCCCATCCACCCATCCACTCAACCACCCACTCACCCATCCATTCACCTACCCATCCATCCACCTACCCACCCATCCACCTACTCATCCATCCATCCATCCATCCATCCGTCCATCCATCCACCCACCCATCCATCCATCCACCCATCCACCCATCCACCCACCCATCCATCCATCCTTCCATCCATCCACCCACCCATCCATCCATCCACCCATCCACCCATCCACCCACCCATCCACCCATTTATCCTCCTACCCATTTATCCATTCATCCATGCTTCTGTGCAACAGATCTTTCCTGGACACTGATTCCATGAAAAGCCATGTTCTAGGTGCCGGAATGGTAGAAGAGGTCCCAGCAGGCAGATGAAGGGGCAGACCCTAAAGGGAGCTGGTGACTCAGAGAGGGGACACCACTGTGGGATGCCCAGAGGTAGATGGCTTCATCACAGTGGTACACACTCCTGGCCATAGCCTTAGGGTCCCACAAGCAGATGTGACGGATGGCTTACAGCACATTTTGGGCCCTGAGGGCACGAATCATCTGAAAGGGCCAAATTCTTTTCCCCTCAGAAAGAAAAATATAACTCATGACTGCTACATGGTGAGAAAGAGGAAGAGGTCTGGACATGAAGGAAGAACAGAAATAGAAGGAGAATGACAATGGCAGCCACAAAGAGCATGCAGATAAAAACACCTGAGGCTTCTTTAGAGACCCAGGCAAGGCCTATTGAGAGCCCAGAGCCACCGGGCTTAGAGCTTTTGTGTCCCCATGCTCAGTCTTGATTTGGAATTCTCTTGGAAACATTGTTTATAATTGGCCATTCAGAACAACCTTAGTGCTTATAAAGCTGTCACCCATGTGGTCCAGTCTCAGGTCAGTGTCTCAGACAAAGAACCTGAATCCATCAGCTTAAATGTAATTTCAAAGTCAGACAAGTTCAATCCTGCCATTTCTCAAACACTCTGAAGGAGATACAAGATCACAAGTGCTGCATCTTAAACCTGTCCCTTCTCTCCTGCCTCTTGTCTGGAAGGCTGCAGTTGCTGGTCTTTTCAACACTCCGCAGCACTCTTCCCAGGTCTCTCCCTCTTGACCCTGACCTTCCCTCCCTCCCCTTTGTTTCCAATCCTGCTGCACACAAACCCCAAAAGGGCTGGCCTTGTTGGCCAAGGAGGGTAGTGACTGGGTGAGTGTGAGCCCCTTGGACTTCTTATCTGAAAAGTGGAGACTATACTATGACCTCATGGGTTTGTGATCCATTAAATGAAAGAATATAAATAAAACATTTAGCCTGTAATCCCAACACTTTGGGAGGCTGAGGAGAGAGGATGGTTTAAGCCCAGGAGTTTGAGACCAGCCTGGGCAACATGGCGAAACCATATCTCTACCAAAAATACAAAAATTAGCTGGGTATGGTGGCATGTGCCTGTAGTCCCAACTACTTGGGAGGCTGAGGTGGGAGGATGGCTTGAGCCCAGGAGAAGGAGGTTGCAGTGAGCTGAGATCATGCCATTGCACTCAAGCCTGGGTTACAGAACCAGACCCCGTCTCAAAAAAAAAAAAAGAAAAAGAAAAAAGAAAAGAAATTAATGAAGGCATCAGGCATCAGTACATGGTAGACAATTAATGAATATCACTGTTCTCACGGGAAAACCTAAAATAGGGAGGAAATCACAGATTTTATTATTTCAGAATTTATTATTTCATATGGGATGATTCTATATCTTACAAAAATAAATGTATAACTTTTGGAGAATGTTTGTCTAATTTACGGCAAGGAGAAGTGGAGTGTAAAGTTAGTATTATGCAACATTTTCCCCAGATAATTCCCGTATTGATATTCTAATGAAAATAGGCTCCCCAAATTCTGCATTTTTATCGTGTGTGTCTATGCTAGCATTTATGTTATATTCTGAATTAACAAACTTCAAACGCTAAAAAATTACATATGCAGAAAAATAGGGAAAAGGGATATGCATCTTTTGTAAGTCTCAGTGGAGCGCAGGCAAACCTCTAGCCCTATCTGATACTCCTAGCTTAAACCACATGGTAGTTTTGGAATGGGAGAACATTAATGACTACAAAACAATAAGAAGGCTGTTTAGACATGTGCAAAAAAAAAAAAAAAAAAGGAAATCTTTAAAATCAGGCTGTGTCTTTATCATTGAATGCCTACTAATGAATATCATTCTCAATAAAGAAACTTCTGGCTCTCTCATGTTCTGTTTGTTAAAATAGCATCCAAGACATTTTCTATAACGCAAACTTAATGCAAACCCAAAACAAAATAAAAAGGAAAGAATGTCAAAAGAACAAACTTTTAAAACTCTGCACTTTTTTTTTATTATTAGATGCTATTCCTGACTTGTTAAAATTGATCAAATAGAAAGCTGTGAAAAGAGAAAAAATTAAGCCAACTAGAAAAGTGTGACTTGGATTTAATATTTTATAATTGCCAAGGGACATACTGAGATCAATGAATTTTTGCCTGAAATGAACGTCAGAAAGAGATGTACTTCAGTCTTTTAGGGAACATTGGTCTATTTAATTCTTGTGTCTGATGCATGTGAAATAGGCCTGCCTCGGCCTTCTTTCTCTGCCGGGGGTGTTGCTGGCAGCGGACATTACCACTTTTAATAGGCCGCTGTCTGAGGAGTGGCAAGGGAGCCCATAACCCATCGACTCTAATGGATCAGCCTGTTTATTCACTTACACCTTTTTTTTTTCCCAGCTAATTTTAGTTTTGCATGCTGAGTTGTTTCGCTTTGAATTAAATGAATAGAAACAAAGGGAAAAGCCTGTGCAGCTAATAAACCATGATGATGTTCACGGCCCTCTCAACAGGCTTCTCCACATAGCAGGTATCCCATCTGAGAACAGATTCACTGTGGCATTTTCTCCACTTGTTGACGAAATTAACATTTTATACATGCTCACATTCAGAGGAAAAAAATTAAATTATTCAAATTGCTTGATCGAGAATGCACCGTTGTTTGGAGTAGACCTACGCGCCCAGCCTCAGGCCACCGACATCCTCAGATTTCAGACACCGGTCAGTGACTTTTTCTGCCTGGGGGGGTCATCCCACAGCTCTCCGTGGGGTCACACAAACAGGAAAAATGCCCCAGTGCTTTGCTTTGTCTAATGAAAAACCAGAGAGACACAAGGAGGCTATGTCAGCGTGCCCTTCAACAGAAATAACAGGAGTCAGTGGTTTAAAAACATCCCCCTCCCAAACTCCCTCTCTATGCCCAGAGAACTTGAAGAAGGTTCCAGAAACCTTTTAGGTCGATAGCTGCCAAGGGGTATGAGAGAGACAAGAATGTCCAATATAAGAGAGAGGGGAAAGGGGTCAGCTTCCCCTTATCTTCTGAATAGGACCCATTTTCCATTTGGGGTTTGGAATTGTCACAAAGACCCCAATGGCAGAGGAGGGGGCTGCACCCGCCTCTTCCCCATTGAGAACTCACACCGATTCCCTGTGGTCCCTGCAGGTTAGAGGGGCTACCATGTCCCCACCACCGGTAAAGCCTAGGAAGGGGGCTAGTGGCCTGAACTCCAGAAAAGGCATTCTCCACTTGTGGGAGAAACAATATTCCCCAAAAGACCACCCCAGGAGGTGGAGATGAGAGGATCGCTTGAACCCAGGCATTGGAGGCTGCAGTGAGCTGTGATCACCACTGTGCTCCAGCCTGGGCAACAGAGCAAGACCCAGTCTCGAAAAAAAAAAAAGAAAGAAAGAAAGAAAAAGAAAAAAAAGAACCACTCCAAAAGATTCACCCTCCAAACAGTTCAACTCCAAAGGTTACTGCCCTAAGGGTGGTGCCATACGGCATGGCTGTGTTGTCTCCTGGCAAAAAAAAAAAAAAAAAAAAATTAAATAAAGTTGTTGCTCAATCAGAAGCTAAGATAACTTGCAAAGTGATCTGGAAAATATTGAGAGAATTTAGACTAGCTGGGAGAAATAGAACATGCTCTGTCATTAAATCAAATAAAAATAAAAATAGGTCTCTCTGAGTATTAAGCAGAATGTCAACAACTCTCTGAATGAAATCTATTTTAGACACAACAATAGTATGATACCCTACTTTTGCCCTCATGCAATTAAAATAGGGTAATTTTTTAGACCATTTCTTGCAGCTATAATCTGTCACTAGGAGAAGAAAGCCCTTAGCACCCCAGCTGTATCCAGTTTCACACATGGCTTTTCTTTCCTTTCTACCCCACAAATCTCAATAAACCAGAAGTCAGTCAGCTCAAACTCCTCAGCCCTGCCTTTTTAGGACTCACATTCCTTAGCTGTGCTTTCTTCCCTCAAAACCCCAAGTCACCCAAATAGCATTTTCTCCATTCAGCAGCATTTTTTTTCTTTTCTTTTCCTTTTTTTTTTTTTTTTCTCTGAGACAGAGTTTTGCTCTTGTTGCCTGGGCTGGAGTGCAATGGCATGATCTCGGCTCACTGCAACCTCTGCCTCCTGGGTTCAAGCGATTCTCCTGTCTCAGCCTCCTGAGTAGCTGGATTACAGGTGCATGCCACCACACCCGACTAGTATTTGTATTTTTAGTAGAGATGAGTTTTCATCATATTGGTCAGGCTGGTCTCAAACTCCTGACCTCAGGTGATCTACTTGCCTTGGCCTCCCAAAGTGCTGGGATTACAGGTGTGAGCCACCGCACCCGACCATTCAGCAGCATTTCTTATACAAATATGCACTGACTCCTACCATGTGCAAAGCACTGAACCTGATGTTTAATCATTGGCATGGAGCTAAGTAATGCACATTTCTTTTTTCTTTTCTTTTTTTTTTCTTTTTTTTTTTTGAGACAGAGTCTCACTCTGTCACCCAGGCTATAGTGCAGTGGTGTGATCTTGACACACTGCAATCTCTACCTCCCAGATTCAAGGGATTCTCATGCCTCAGCCTCCTGAGTAGCTGGGATTACAGGCATGCACCACCACGCCAGGCTAGTTTTTGTATTTTTAGTAGAAGTGAGATTTCACTATGTTGGCCAGGATGGTCTCGAACTCCTGGCCTCAAGCGATCCACCCACCTTGGCCACCCAAAGTGCTGGGATTAGAGGTGTAAGCCACTGCGCCTGGCCACACATTTCTATTTGTTAAAGAATGAAGAAATGTAGTGGGTAGGGTCCCTAGCGGAACTCCCTGCACAGTGTCCTTCAACCCAGAGCCTAACAGGCTCTCTCTCATCAATACGCAAGTTACAATAAAATAATTGATGGGCCCACAATGCATGCCCACAGGATGGCCGTGAGCAAGAAACTCTCACCGTGCAAGAAACCATACAGTCACAGAATAATTCTGCTTCCCCTCGATTTGTGTGCCTGGACCCAGATCCCCGCTCTCAGACCCAGTGTGCAAAGCAGAGAGGGAACAACAGACTCGAGTTGGAAGTGATTTACTTCATTAGCTGGGATTACAAGTTTAACTTACAAACCAGAGGTCAAAATTTCTCATTAACAAGGGGGCCGTGAATCGCTGCAGGCTTTGGTTCAAGAGGAGACCACTCTTATTACTAACTACACATTTCAATCTGTCTTTGATGTTCTCCTTCTTCCCTCCTCCCTTTTATTTTTTGGCAGAGGAGCTGATTTTAATTGTGGCACTACAACCAGGCTCCCTCCATCCCAGGGAGCAGCCTCCCGTCTGCTGCTGCCTGGCGAGTGAGTTTGCAAGATTGGGTGCAGTCTATCGCTCAGGGCACATTTTAATGGCTCCCCTCTCCTACAAGGCTTGGATTGTTTTCCACGTGATTCTGGTTAATTTCGCTGCGGGAAAGGGCATTGGTTTTCCTTGTGAGCTTCTGATCAGTCTGCCTCAGAGAGGTGAAATAGATTAAAACAGAGAAGGAGGCGTTGTCATTCCAACTTTCCGGACGCGAGGACCAGACCCAGCACATCTCCAGCACTCAGAATAGAGAGAGGAGTTTGACAGAGACCGTTATGCTACAAAAAGCGCTCTTTTGAGAAATCAGCTTTGGTTGTTTACAAAATACTCAGGTTGCCTTCAAGTGCCCCTTCCCTTCAAAACCACCACCAAGGGTTAAAAGAAGCAACTCAAACGAGATAAAACTTCTGCAGGGTGCACTTATCCTGAGAATCTCAGAATCCCACACTGCAGAATCCTTTTCCAAATAAGAAGACCAGGAAATTGTAGCAGCAGTTATGTATTATTGTCCAGCACAAATAAAAGTGCTTAACACGCACTGTTCTAAAGACCAAGACCCGCGTGCAGGTCACAGTGGCACAATGACCAATGTCACTGAACCAGGGCTTCAAATGGAGTCACTGATGGAAAGGATTCCACTATCTAATTATTTAGAAGTATAGAGTATAGCCATTATTGAAAATAACTAAATTGTTATTCCGGTCTAGTCTGGGAAGAAGGTCACATTCAAACCGCATAAGCTCTAAATATTCCTCAGTTGCTATTCATGCGCTGTGAATGTTTGTTCTCCCTGAGAAATGTTTTCTTAGTTGCCGGGTGAAGAGCCCGTAGGTAGCACAGAGGCTGTGGATGGGGCTCAGTGCCTAGTGCCCATCAGAGAGCCTACTAAGCTGACCCCATTGCAGAGAGTAGAGGCAGCTTCCAGCAACCGGGCTGGCCTGCTCGGCTGCACGGGACTCCCAGCATGTTCCAGGTGTGGCAGCTTGCTGTGGAAGCCACGGTGCCAGGGGGACAAAAACTCCTTGTGCAGGACCAGCACAGTGGCTCATGCCTGTAATCCCAGCAGTTTGGGAGGCTGAGGCCAGAGGATCCCTTGAGCCCAGAAGTTCAAGACCAGCCTGGGAAACATAGGGGGACCCTGTCTTTACAAAAAATAAAAAACAAACAAACAAAAAATTGTCCAGGTGTGGTGGCGTGCACCTGTAGTCCCAGCTACTCAGGAAGCTGGAGTGGGAGGATTGCTTGAGCCCAGAAGGTCCAGGAGGTTGAGGCTACTATGAGCTGTGATCACACCACTGCCCTCCAGCCTGGGTGACAGAGCAAGGCCCTGTCTCAAAACAAAACAAAACAAAACAAAAAACCCAAAACCACAACTCCTCATGCAAAACAAGCAGGGGTGGCTGCAGTGTCCTGCCCAGTTCCCATCCGGAACCCCCAGGGGAAGCAGGGGGCTTCTCATCCATGGAGAAATTACTGCCTTCTTTGCTTTATTTTATTATTATTATTATTTTGCTGCTAATGTTTAGTTTTAGTTCCTTTTATGTCTCCAGTTCCCTTTAACAAAAACACTGATTAGAACTCAAGGAATCCATGTGACCTGGAGGTGAAGAGCAGTTCTCAGCTGGGGACAATCATCAGGCTCAGACCCAGGAAGCACCAGTGGCTCCGGGTCACAGGGGCCCGAGGCAACCCGGCCATCTGGGCCCTCAGCCACTTCCTGGCGCCACCCGAGGCACCCCAGGCCAAGCCAGGCAGTCACCTTGACCGGGCTGCTGGGGCGTCTCACCCGCGCACTGTCCCTCCCTGTTCCCACCCCCTCCCTGGCAGGCAGCTGTTCAGCTCCAACAGGGGCCTATCTTAACAACGAGACATTTTAGAAAGGTCCTTATTGCTGGTCTAATTTCAAACAGGCACCACAATGAAGAACTGTCTTTGTATGGGATTAATTTTAAAACCTCAGGATTTGATGTCAGTGGGAAAAACACAGTGTGGGGGTCAAACTGCTGCCTTCTCCTCCTTCTGGCCAGCCCAGGGGCTCATTTCTTAGGAGATGAAAACTCTGACAAGCCCTTCAGTCAAGCTGAAAGCAGGCAGCGGTCCAGCCACAGCCACAGGCCTCCCGGGCATCCTGTGACCCCTCCGAAAAGTCACATTCACTTTGCTCTTGAGAAAGGAAAAATCATGCTGGAGGCATTTTATTTGAAACCATGTGAAATAAGGAAATGTGAAGATGTGAAAATGAAGTGAAAAAAAAGTTAGAATTCATTTCCGTCCTTGCAATGGCTTAGAAGCCGAGCTGGTTCATTTTGAAAGCGTGTAAAAATCTGATCCATTCACCAGTAGGCAGAGACTACAAAATGCTTAAGGTAAAATATGTAAATATGTAAAATTATCTGTTGAAAACCATCTCCTTTTGTGCTTGAAAGAATTTTTTAAAGCATCTTTATTTCTATTCTGCATTAATATACTATTGAGCAGAAAAGTTTCTTTTGGCAAAACAACAAAAAACCAAGATGCCAGAAAATTTAGTGATTCTGAAATGAAGTCCATGGGAACAAAGGAAGGACAAAAAGGATTTCTATCTTCTCGTGCACTTGTATGGCACTTTTTTTGTGTGATAATTTAAAGCATATCATTAATATAACAAATTATAGAATTCATTTTTTAAAAGCATTGTTCACCTGAAAACTTGAAGCGAACCTCACCTTCAGGCCTCTGCTACTGTCTCTTTTGGAAGTGGGCTCCCTCTTCTCCCCGGGTGTCCCCTGCCTCACCTGACCCAGCCCCCGCTATCCTTGATAGATCCAGGGACCTCCCAGCAGTGTGTTTGGACCCATACCACAAATAATTGGTCACAAACAGTTTATCTTATTTCTAGATATTTCCAAATTAATTTTTTTGAAATATGGAAAAGAATGGCCGGATATATGCCTATAGCTATGTAATTATCATTCATTCAGTTGGATTTGAATCCATTGTATTGCAACAAACGTGGTTTCATCACACAACTTGCAACTTCCAGAAATAGGGGGGTTAGTGGTTGTTGTTTTTTCCTTTCCCCTAATCCAATTTCTTCTGGAGGGGGTTCAACCAATGAATGTTTTGTCTCATAAGCCAACACCTCGTAGGTAGATTGCTGTCATTTCTTGTCTCCTCCTGAGGGAGACCTATCACTGTGGACTGGGCCTCCAGCCCCACTGGCCAGGGTTGGAGGGATGAGCCTCAGATTGGGAAGGGGTGTGCCTGAAACCAAATCCACTGAGCTCTCAAGCCAGATGAACAAAACCCTCAGATCCTGGAGGGGAAGACAGTGTCTATACTTGGCCCTGTACGTATGGCAGCAGCATTGTTTGGGGAAGGTGAAGGTGCTTAAAACTGGAAAATTGTTCTTGGTTTTGCAAACCCTTGGGTGTTTTCTGAAAGATCAGACAATGGAAAGTAGAAAGCTTTCTCTAAAACAATTTTCAAATCTGTTTATTCTACTAGACACCCTCGTATTCCTAGCGCTTGTTTCTACGTTTTCTTTTGTTTAAATCTCTTATTGTCTCAAAAAGGTTATCAAAAAATAAAAATAAAAAAACGCATGTGCACACACACACACACACACACACACACACACACACACACAAGATTGTGTCCAGAAGACTTTCCAAGGGCTGGGAGTGGTAGCTCACACCTGTAATCCCAGCACTTTGGGAGGCAGAGGCAGGAGGATCGTTTGAAGTCAGCAGTTTGAGACCAGCTTGGCCCACATGGTGAAACCCCGTCTCTACTAAAAATACAAAAAAATTAGCTGGGCATGGTGATGTGCACCTGTAATCTCAGCTACTCAGGAGGCTGAGGCAGGAAAATCATTTGAGCCTGGGAGGCGGAGGTTGCAGTGAGCTGAGATCACACCACTGCACTCCAGCCTGGCTGACAGAGTAAGACTCCGTCTCAAAAAAAAAAAAAAAAAAAAAAGACAGTTTTCCCAGCTCATCCCCACAAAACCTACCTCCCAGCTCCCTTCCTGTAGACCTAGGCAGAGAGAGACCAGCTCTAGAGAACTCAGGAAAGGTAATGTTAGAAACCTGAGAACTGACAGGGTCAGGAAGATAGCCTGAGCAGCAAGAAGTATGGTCTAGTATGGTGAAATTTTGTTCATCTTAGATTTTTTTTTGCATTAGTTTTTATTTTTAAAATATTGCATTAAAATAGTATCTATTTATTACTGGGTTATTGGGCACCTCCTTAAAGCCTGCCCTCAGGCAAGTGCTTCACTGCCATCATCCTGGTCCTGGCCTTGCCCTGGGGAAGAGATGCCTGCTGACATCCGCTTCAGCTTCGCCAGGCTCCAGCCTGGACCAGCTAACATGGCTGTGGAGGAGCCACTTCTCTCAACACCCCTCTGTTAGGGAGGAGGAGACAACTTCTTTTATTTTGTTTTATTTATGTATTTATTTTTATTTTTTATTTTTTATTTTTATTTTTTGAGATGGAGTCTTACTCTGTCACCCAGGCTGGAGTGCAGTGGTACGATCTCAGCTCACTGCAAGCTCCGCCTCCCGGGTTCATGCCATTCTCCTGCCTCAGCCTCCGGAGTAGCTGGGACTACAGGCGCCTGCCACCACGTTCAGCTAATTTTTTGTATTTTTAGTAGAAACGGGGTTTCACCGTGTTAGCCAGGATGGTCTCGATCTTCTGACCTCGTGATCTCGTGATCCGCCTGCCTCGGCCTCCCAAAGTGCTGGGATTACAGGAGTGAGCCAGCGCGCCCGGCCTATTTATTTATTTATTTATTTTTTGAGAAGAGGGTCTTGCTATATTGCCCAGGTAGGTCTCAAACTCCTGGGCTCAAGCTATCCTCCTGCCTCTGCCTCCCTAGAAACAACTTCTTTACTGGCCATTGGCAAGCCAAGTTCATTGAAGTCTCCCTCCTAAACCTTTACAAAGATTTAGGAAACAGATTAACAATAAAACTTCAACAAACCCAGGATGGGAGAGTTACTGAATTAAATTAGAGCTTTTCTCGTACATCACGCTAAAGGTAAATTATTTTGTTTATTCGAAGCCACATTCATATTATAAAATGGTTTGCTTCTCTCTCTCTGTCTCTCTCAAAGAGATGAGGTCTCACTGTGTCACCCAGGCTGGAGTATAGTGGTATAATCACAGCTCACTGCAGCCTCCAACTCCTGGGCTCAAGAGAACCTCCCACTTCAGCCTCCTAAGCTGTTAGGACTACAGGTGCACATCACTACCTCTTGCTAATTTTTTTAATTTTTTGTTGAGACAGGATTCCGCTATGTTGCCCAGGCAGGTCTGGAACTCCTGGCCTCAAGCGATCCTCCCACCTTGACCTCCCAAAGCACTGGGATTACAGATGTGAGTCACCACACCCAGCTGGTTTGCTGTTCTGATAAAGGTCTTGAAAAGACAAGAGGAGATGTATTTTATTGGCATCATTATCACTAACTAGCACCATTGCTTACTGAATGCCATGCATGGAGCTGAGAGCTCTACAATATACATTATTTTGCTTAGTCTCCAGCAACTGCAATGGCAAATTTGAGGCTGCACAAAGATACACATGCTGGCCTCAGGGCTGAGCCGGGATGTGAAGTCAGATCAGACTCCAGAGCCCACATGCCATGGAGCCTTGGAGACAGGTTTGCTTTCACTCTGTTATCTTGCACAGGCCTAACTCTGGGCAGGGATGCTGAGCCCAGGGCTGAGGCTTGGCCAGGCGGCTGCAATCGCAGATCAACCCTGTAAGCCTGAGGACCCGCAGCTTCCGTGGGAAGGTACAGACCTCCTGCCCTGCTGCACAGCCCTGGGCAGAGCAGGCATGCCCAGGACCACACTCCACTTCCTCCGGATGGTGCCTTCAGTGGAGTCAGCGGCAGGACCACTGATTTTTCATTCTAGGTCCCTATGCAAAAATAATAAAGACTTCCTGTCTGAGCACTAGGGTAAACAGATCTTAGCTAAAGGGAGGAGGAGGGGTTGTGGGAAGAACCTCTGTTGTCCCAGCTGGAAACTTAAGCACCAGGAAATGCATTTCCGCGTGTTCCCAGCCTGCCGAAAAGTCAGGCACACCAAGGACAAAGCAATCTCCAATGCCTGGCCCAAATTTGGCTTTTCCCCTTCCCCGCCTGCTCCTCCAGGCTTCCTGGGTTTTTCACTCTCCTCCGTTTCCCCTCTGGGCAAGCCCAGAGGGTGTTTGTTTAAAGTACCTTTCGCTAACATTCCTTCCCAGCCATTCTCACAGCTTTTCACTTTGCATTACGCCCAGAGCCCCTAGATGCAGTCTCTTTACCCAGCCAACCCTCTTTCAAAAACTAACCTATATTTTACATGGAGAACTTTAACCCGTTTGCCTCCAAAAAACCCTGTAACATTACAGAGACGCTAAAGTCTCCTTGGACCTCTAAAAATCCATGGCTACCCACTTCAGCTCCCCAACAGGTAAGCACTGAAGCACTGACTTTGGAATTTTTTTTTCAGAAATGTTTCCTGTTTTTGCAACATACATTGGACTTCATTAAAACTATGGCATGTGAATTTTTTTATTTTTATTTTTATTTTTGAGACGGAGTCTCGCTCTGTCTCCCAGGCTGGGGTGCAGTGGTACGATCTCGGCTCACTGCAAGCTCCACCTCCCAGGTTCAAGCGATTCTCCCGCCTCCGACTCCTGACTAGCTAGGACGACAGGCACCCGCCACCATGCCCAGCTAATTTTTGTATTTTTAGTAGAGACGGGATTTCATCATGTTGGCCAGGCTGGTCTTGAACTCCTGGCCTCAAGAGATCTGCCCACCTCGGCCACCCAAAGTGCTCAGATTACAGGCGTGAGCCACTGTGCCCGGCCGAGGCATGCGAAATGTTATTGATGAGTTTGGTTACTTTTTTTACATATATACTGTTCTACGCATTTTTTTTTCACTCAACAATACCTCTTAAAGATCTATTTGCATACACACAGATCCAAGTCACTTAAAAAAATTTTTTGTATAAAGCCCCATGCTGTGAACTGCTTCTATCTACTGAGGCATTTTGATATTGATGGGCATTTAGGCTTCTGCTATTTCCAATGCTGCTTCAGAGACGCTTTCTTTGTGCACATATACATTTCTCGAGGGTAGATAACACAGAAGGGAAATTGCTGGGTTTCACGGTATGCACATTTCTAGCTCTGAGGGCATCCAAAGTGCAGCTGTACTGATACACGGGGCACCAGCATCCTCTGGGAGCAGCGCCCTTACAGGCCTGCTAGTACCTATCGGACTTTTAAATTGCTGCCCTTGTGATGGGTGACAAGTGTTGCTTAATTTGTATTTCCCTTAAGATTTGGTAGGGTCAAACTTTTTTTTTTGGTAATACATTTTACAAGTCCTTTTTCATACCTCTTCTGTGAATTGCCTGTTCATATTCTTTGCCCCTAAAAAAAAAATTGAGTAGTTTGTCTTTAAAAAAAAAAAAACACTTTATGGATCTATGATTGACATATAAAAAGCTGTACATACTGATGCATACAACTTGATGGGATACTATACACAGCCATGAAACCATCACCACTATCAAAGCCATAAATATATCCATCACCTCCCAAAGATTCTCCCATTCCCTTTATTTATTTATTTATTTATTTAGAGCCAGGGTCTTTTTTTGTCACCCAGGCTGGAGTGCAGTGGCACAATCACAGCTCATTGCAGCCTCAACCTCCTGGGCTCAATCAATCCTCCATCCTCAGCTTCCCAAGTAGCTGGGACTATTGCTTTTGAGACGGAGTCTTGCTCTGACGCCAGGCTGGAGTGCAGTGGTGTGATCTCAGCTCATTGCAACCTCCACCTCCTGGGTTCAAGTGATTCTCCTGCCTCAGCCTCCCAAGTAGCTGGGACTACAGGCGCACGCCACCACACCGAGCTAATTTTTGTATTTTTAATAGAGACGGGGTTTCCCATGTTGGCCAGGATGGTCTCGATCTCTTGACCTCATGATCCGCCCGCCTTGGCCTCCCAAAGTGCTGGGATTATAGGCATGAGCCTCCGCACCCGGCCAGGATCTCCTTTTTTAAGGCTGAATTGTATTCCATCGTGTATACACCACATTTTCTTTATTCATTCATCCATCAATGGACAGTTAGGTTGTTTCCATATCTTGGCTATTGTGAATTGTGCTGCAATGGACATGAGAGTGTAAGTATCTTTTTGAGATACTCAGCATTGCTGGATCATATAGTAGTTCTGTTTTTATTTGTTCCAGTAACCTTCACACTGGTTTCCATGATGGCTGCACCAATTTACATTCCCACCAACAGTGCACCAGTGTTCTTTTCTCCACATCCTTGCCAGCACTTATTGCCTTTTTTAAATTTATTTATTTAAATAATAGCGATCCGAGCCAGGTGCAGTGACTCATGCCTGTAATCGCAGCACTTTGGGAGTCTGAAGTGGATGGATCACCTGAGGTCAGATGTTCAAGACCAGCCTGGCCAACTTGGTGAAACCCCGTCTCTACTAAAAATACAAAAACTCGCCTGTTGTGGTGGCGCATGTCTGTAAACCCAGCTACTTGGGAGGCTGAGGCAGGAGAATCACTTGAACCGGGAGGCGGAGGTTGCAGTGAGCCGAGATCATGCCACTGTACTCCAGCCTGGGCGACAGAGTGGGACTCCATCTCAAATAATAATAATAATATCCATCCTAACAGGTGTGAGGAGATACCTCATTGTGGTTTTGATTTGCACTGCCTGGTGGTTAGTGATGTGTACTTTTTCATGCACCTATTGTATGTCTCGTTTCTCTTTTCAAACCATTGCTGCTTCCCTGCTTAGGCACACACAGGTGCTGGGGACATGTGGGATCTCAAACCACCTAATTCACTTTGGAGATGGGTGTAGGCTGCAGCAGCTGCAGGCTACCCTGTGAACGCACAGAGCTCTGCAGCCGCAAACGGGCTGGCCTCCTCACTGGCCTTGGCCTGACATGTGATGCTCTGAGGGACTCCACCTGCAGGAGCCTCCACAGTGAGTGCCTGCTTTACGCAAGTCCTAAACAAGCACAATTGCCACTTCCTTTAACCCCACGATGCTGACAGATGCCAACACCTGGTTCCAAGAGTTGCCCCAAACCTCCCAGTGGGGCCTTGGGAAGACTGGGATTTGAATTCAGATCAGCCTGTCTGCAGTGCCCATGACCCTGGCTGAGCTGAGCCGGGTTGCTCCCGGACGCTGAGGAGCGTGTGGGTGAGTGTGGGCAGGGCCTGGCCTCAGGGCCCTGTACCCTTAGGCAACACCCATGCTCTCCCTACCAGGTCGGTGCCCTGGTTCATCCCCTGAGCCTCTGGAGGCAGAGTACTAGGGAGCTGGGCTTCTCAGTGAGGGGAACCTTCCCATTCCCCCCTCCTCACAGCTCCCACCTCAGAGGATGCTGGGTAACAGGAGCACACACAGAGTGTCCCCCAACCCCCACCAGCTGAGAAAACCTTGGTGAAGGCCAGAGGCCCACGCACCCTGGGTGCTCCTGCCCCAAGAGGAGAGAGAGAGAGAGAGAGTTGGGGGAGGGATTCCTGCAGGTGAACAGATCAAATTTTGGTCAAATTCCAATAAATTCTCACTTAATTTTAACATTTAATGTTGAAAAATCCTAATGGTGACCTGATTCCCTCTTTTGAATTCCAGCCCTCCCAGATAACCTATCTCTCGAGGTGACAAGCCGGTGCCACCTGAATTCATTACTGCCTGATTAATTATGCTGCCTTTGTACCAGGGAAACAGGGACTTCAATCAGCCGTGGCCGCCATCCCCTGGCCGTCGCCTCAACAGGCCGGCCGCTGTCAGGGAGCCTGGCCCCTCGCCCAGCTCAGGGTTGGCCGAGAAGCTGGGCGCAGTGGCTGGTGAGATGTGGCTGCCTGCAATCAGAGGGCCTGGGATTTGGGGTCCTTTCTGGGCAGTCAAGGGAGAGAGGGGTGAGCCAGGTCAGAGGCTGCAGAGTGGAGATTTCTGCTCTGTCCCTGGAGAGGCCTGACTGGGAGGCCCTCCTTGGGGCCTTGAGCTGTCTGGACATACCAGACGTCACTAAAACTGGGCATTGTCCCTTCAGGAGGAGGCACCAGGTCTCAGAAGGAGCTATTTCAAGCACATGCATCCCGTGAGATACATGATTACTTTGGCAAAGGGGAAGGTTTTCTGGCCAGCTACCTAGACCCGTGTGTGGGCACAGCCCTCACAGACATCTCTGCGGAGCTTCAACATGGTGTCAGGGAGGGTCAACTCCAGGCACTGAGGCCAGGCAAGAACCAGCACCCTCAGCTCTGCTGGTTCATTAGCCTGACGGGGTATGGCTACAGTGGCCTTTGGTCCTGTGCATCCTGCATTTGTCAAGGTCCACAAACTTGTGAAACCCAGTCCCATCTGCAGAGTGGCAGATGATGTATTTTTTTCAAAGAAGAAGAAGATGAGATTGCTTTTAAAATGTGGGTTCTCTGCCCCTACTCTGAGCCTACACAGCATGGGGGGACCACAGAAGGGGTACCCCCTAGCCCAAGTGCCCCATGAGCCTTGGCCTCAGCAGGTCCGGCTTTGAATCCTACTCCGTCATGGATGTACTGTGTGACTATGGCCAAGTTACTCAACCTCTCTGAGTCTGGGTTTTCAGAGAGACATCACTATGTGTCCCACAGGGTGGTTATGAGAGAAAAATAAGGAAACACACACAAAGCCCTTTATGTTGCCCGGAGTGCCTTCTGACATGGGCCAGCTTCACACAGCTGCTGTGGTGACACTTTGTCTGGGGTGAACAGTCAAAAGGGCAGGGTTGGTTTCATTACTTGGCTGTGTGTGAACACATCATCTGGGACTGAACCCATCCTTGACCCCCGTCCCCCCGTGAAGCTTCAGCCCCTGGGAGAACATGTATTCTTGTGTTTTTTTGGTTCTTGGCGGAGGGTGGGAGGGTTGTTTTTCTGTTTTTTGGTTTGTCTTTTGTTTTTGTTTTTTTTTGAGGCGGAGTCTCACTCTGTTGCCAGGCTGGAGCGCAATGGCACCATCTCGGCTCACTGCAACCTCCACCTCCTGGGTTCAAGCGATTCTCCTGCCTCAGCCTCCCAGGTAGCTGGGACTACAAGCATGTGCCACCATGCCCGGCTAATTTTTTTTTTGTATTTTTGATAGAGATGGGGTTTCACTGTATTAGCCAGGATGGTCTTGATCTCCTGACCTCGTGAGCCACCCGCCTCAGCCTCCCAAAGTGCTGGGATTACAGGCGTGAGCCACTGCGCCATGTTCCCCCACCCCGCCCGCCTTTTTTTTTTTTGAGACCAAGTCTCACTCTGTTGTCACCCAGGCTGGAGTGCAGTCGTGTGATCTCAGCTTACTGCAACCTCCGCCTCCTGAGTTCAAGCAATTCTCCTGCCTCGGCCTCCCAAGCAGCTGGGATTACAGGTGTGCACCACCACGCCCAGCTAATTTTTGTATTTTAAGTAGAGACAGGGTTTGGCCAGGCCTGATCATGTTGGCCAGGCTGGTCTCAAACTCCTGACCTCAGGTGATCCACCTGCCTTGGCCTCCCGAAGTTCTGGGATTACAGGCACAAGCCTCCGCACCTAGTCGAGAACATGTATTTTTACTGAGCGATTTTGCAAAACCCCATTTCTAGGCCACAACAGGGCCATCCACACCACCAGCTCTGCTGCAGTGCCCCACCCAAGCGGCCCTTCCTCCAGGCTTGACTTGGCCTCCTTCTAAGCCACCTGGCAGGTGCGATCAGAGAGGCCTGTCCCACAGGGCAGGAAGGGAGAACACAGGTTCCAAGAAGGCCTAGGACAGTTGCTCGTGTTCTGGGGTGTAAGTGGGCAATGTGTGTGCAGAGGGAAGGCAGGGAAGCCATGGGGAGTCCGGCAGTGGTTCCTGGACACAGGTAAATGGGAGAGGGGACATTGCCAATCAGAAGTCAAGACCAGAGTTCAGTCAAGGGAAAAGTCTGAGTCCAGGCTGTTTGGAAATGGTCGTAAGTCCAGCACAAGAAATCTTCAGCCCATGGGAAGTCCTGGGGCTTGGGCTGGTGTCCATGGTGCAGATCCCGGGGTGCAGAAGCAGAGTCAGAGCAGGGCTGAGGCGTCTAAACCTCCATTCGGAGCCCTGACTTCACCTAGAGCACACAGGGTGAGGTCCTGCCAGACACTGGTGGCTGGGTCCCAGAAAGAAAGTTCTAGTTAGTACCTGAAGTCTCCTGAGGATAGGAGGGAGGTGGCTGGGGCAGGGAGGCTGAGGTACATATACCCAACAGAAAATGGGGCAATGGCGTCTGTAAAATCTCTTTAGCAGCTGAACCTACATGGTTCAAACTTTAGAGGTTTAAAAAGAAGCAAATTTGGAAGGCTATAAAAGATACACAGGCCACTTAATCAATGGCTTCACCTTCAAGTGGGGGCAGTAGCCACCTTCTTTGGATTCCAGGTGCCTAGTCCAAGTTCCTTGGAGGGGAATCTTCCCTCCCCACCCCCTACCCCACTGAGCTCCCTGGGGAAACAGCATGAAGCCCACTGGAGGGCCATTTTTCTCAGTAGGGGAGGTTAGCACTCTCCTGGTGCCCAGATGTGACTCTGCCAAAAGGCTTCTGAAAAAGACAGGACAAAAAGCAGACAGCGGGGCAGGGGCTCCTACTCACTACCCCTTTAAAGTCATAATATATGGCCAGGCGTGTTGGCTCATACCTGCAATCCCAGCACTTTAGAAGGCTGAGGCAGGTGGATCACTTGAGGTCAGGAGTTCAAGACCAGCCTGGCCAACATGGTGAAACCCCACATCTACTAAAGATACAAAAATTAGCTGAGTGTGGTGGTGCATGCTTGTAATCACAGCTACTCTGGATGCTGAGACAGAAGAATCGCTTGAACCTGGGAGACAGAGGTTGCTGTGAGCTGAGATCACAACACTACACTGCAGCCTAGGTGACAGAGCAACATCCTTTCTCAAAAAAAAAAAAAAAATTATAAGATGCCCATTACACTGGTAAGAGATTAAAGGATTTGCCCAAAGGCAAAAACCCAACTGCTATGTACTGAATTGTGTTCCCCTAAAATTCATACATTGAAGACCCCCCCAACCCCCAACATGATGGCATTTGGAGACAGAGATTTTGGGAGGTAATTAGGTTTGGATGAGGTCATGAGAGTGGGGCCTCATGATGGGATTAGTGCCCTTAGAAGAGGAAATACCAGAGAGCTCTCTGCCATGTGAGGATAAAGGAAGAAGGCAGCTGTCTGCATGCCCGGGAGGGAGCCCTCACCCGAATCTGACTGTGCTGCATTCTGATCTTGAACTTCCCAGCCTCTAGAACTTCTGTGATTTAAGCCACCCAGGCTTTGGTATTTTATTATGGCAGCCCAAGCCAACTAAGACACCAATGAGCCGTCTTCTCTTCTCTCTTCTCCCTGTGTAGCTGTGGAGTCACATTGTTGGCCAAGTGGATCAGGAGAATACCTTGCTCCAGCCAAAGAAGCCATTTTACATAGACACCAGTTCCTAATGAGTATGTGAACCTTCCAGAAACTGTCAAGGGAAAGCCAGGATCGTAATGGCCAGAGGATCCCCCACAAGGACCAAGGCCTTCTGCCACCTTCCCCTGCTCATCCTATCACCCGCCAGGAGATGAAAGGCTGGTGCCGAGTCTGCAGGCAGGGGGCCACAGGGTGAGCAAGGGGTGGGGCAGGCTCCAGCTTTGAACCCTACCTAGGCCATCTCTACCCATCAGGAGAGCAGACACAGAGCCTGAAATGTGTTCCCCTGGTCTCCCCAAATGCCACCCCCAAGCCCAGGAGCTCCACAAGTGGGGAAGAAGATCTCTAGGAAGCCCACCTCTCAGCTGCCTAGTATGCTGGGAAGAGCAGTAGGCCAAGAGTCAAAAGACATGGCATCTGTAGGTCACCTCCTCAATGTGTAAGCTGGGATCTCAGGGCAAGTTACTTCACCTCCTGGTGGCTTAATTTCTAATCTCTAGTGTATCAACACTCCCGAATTGGG
The DNA here is from genome assembly GCF_000001405.40 of Homo sapiens. Taxonomy (NCBI): domain Eukaryota; kingdom Metazoa; phylum Chordata; class Mammalia; order Primates; family Hominidae; genus Homo; species Homo sapiens. The sequence goes on from NC_000019.10 coordinate 33,892,265, forward strand.
TGATTATAGAGATCAATGAAATCAAAAATAATAGGGGCTTGGCTGGATGTGGTGGCTCATGCCTGTAATCCCAGCATTTTGGGAGGCAGAGATGGGTGGATCACTTGAGCTCAGGAGTTTGAGACCAGCCTGTCCAACGTAATGAAACCCCATCTCTACTAAAAATACAAAAATTAGCCAGGTGTGGTGGCTGGTGCCTGTAGTCCCAGCTACTCAGGAGGCTGAGGCAGGAGAATTGTTTGAACCCAGGGGGTGGAGGTTGCAGTGAGCCGAGATGGTGCCACTGCACTCCAGCCTGGGGGACAGAGCGAGACTCTGTCTAAATAATAATAATAATAATAATAATAGCTCTCTAAAGGTGCATTCCCTTTCCCCTTCCCTCTTTTTTCTTTCTTTCTTTCTTTTTCTTTTCTTTTTCTTTTTCTTTTTTTTTTTTTTTTTTTGAGACGGAGTATCACTCTGTCATCACCCAGGCTGGAGTGCAGTGGTATAATCATACCTCACTGTAGCCTTGAACTCCTGGGCTCAAGCCATTTTTCTGCCTCAGCCTCCCGAGTAGCTGGGACTACAGGTGTGTGCCACCATACCTGGCTAATTTTTAGCTTCTTGTAGAGATTGGGGTCACATCACATTGCCCAGGCTGGTCTTGAACTCCTGGCCTCAAGTGATCCTCCTTCCTCAGCCTCCCAAAGTCATGGGATTACAGGCGTGAGCCACCGCATGTGGCCTGTTAGCTCTTAATTTTGTAAGTATTTCACAAAGATCAATAACTAGGAAGAAAAATCTTCCCCACTCACTTTTTTTTTTTTTTAAGATGAATTAGTATTTTGGAAAGAATATGGGCCTAAAGTCAGGGGAAAAAAAACAAGCTAAGTAGAATAGTTCCTGCTACTACCTAAGATCTCAGGCAAGTGAACTGTTTTCTTCAAAGCTTCAATTTCTTCATCTAAAATATGAGGGAATGAATCCTACCTTGTAATGTGGCTGTGAAGAACAAGATGTTACTAGGTCAAGTGCTTTAAATAAGGGCCTGGAAGAGAATGGTAACAGTTACAGTAGCTTATTAAATGAATCTGCAGATGGAGATAAGAATGACGCCTAACTCTTGATGTTATAAAGATTCCCAGAGTTGTAAACTTGTAAACTGTTTAGCAGAGTCCCCTCTCATTTTCAACTGTTAAGCAGTTTTTCAAAGGAAAATAGAGTTTCAGCCATCCAGTTGTAGGGGTACTACTACTTTATAATTACATGAAAATCATATTTTTCATCTATGAGCAAGGGGTTTATCATCTGAAAATTTTAATGATGAAGGCATCTATTTTACAATCTCTGCAGAATTATCTGCTTTCTCTCCCAGTGTGCTAAAGATTACTCCATTAGTGAGATTCATGGCTAAGATTTCTCTTCTGAGTCAAACATCATAACTTCAAGGCAACAACAACAAAAAAACATTTCTCTGGACAAAAAGGTCTCTTTTGACTAAGGTAAGGTATGATGATGGTTTTGCTCTCAGGGGTTTGCTGGCCTTCCTCAGGAAGTTTTCTTTTCTTTTCTTTTCTTTTCTTTTTTTTCTTTTTTTAATGGAGTCTCCCTTTGTCACCCAGGCTGGAGTGCAGTGGTGCGATCTTGGCTCACTGCAACCTCTGCCTCCCGGGTTCAAGCGATTCTCATGCCTCAGCCTCCCGAGTAGCTGGGATTACAGGCACCCGTCACTGCACCCAGATAATTTTTATATTTTTAGTAGAAATGGGGTTTCACCATGTTGGCCAGGCTGGTCTCGAACTCCTGACCTCAGGTGATCCGCCCACCTTGGCCTCTCAAAGTGCTGGGATTACAGGCATGAGCCACCGTGCCCAGCCTCTTTTTTCTTTTTTTAAATAGATATGATATCTTGCTGTGTTGCCCAGGCTGATGTTGAACTCCTGGGCTCAAATGATCCTCTCACCTTAGCCCCCAAAGTGCTGGGATTATAGGTGTGAGCCACGGCCCCCAGCCTCTGCAGTAATTTTTTTAATCAGGAAGAAAATGAGGCTGTCCACAGCCTCTCAAAGACTCCTTCCCTGAGAGGGGAGAGGCAGTAGTGCAAGTTCATTCCTCAATGCTAAGCAAAGAGAGTCTTATTCCCGAATGTTATTTGATTCATGATTCAAGCTAAATGGGGTATGAAACTAAAGGTGGATCCTCTCCAAATACCCACAGGTGACATGGTCCAGGTACAGCCAACTCCTAGGGAAAGGTGTCTGGAAAAGGGATACCACACTGAGGTTCTCACACAGGCAGCTTCCTCAGCTGAGAGGGGACACAGAGGTGTTCAAGGGAAAGGCTACCTGCTGAAGAGGAAGAGAAGCCTTGGCAGGGGGCACCCCTGATCTCCCAGACAACAGATTCTGGTGTCACAGATTGTCACTCCCTGGCCGATTCCTGAACCAGGCCCAACGAACTGTCCTTACCTCTGCATCCACTCCCAGCGCCCCACTGCAATGCCGTGCACACGCTCTGCCCTTCTGCATCCACTCCCGTCTCCCCACTGCAATGCAATGCACATGCCCTGCCCTTCTGCATCCACTCCTGTCTCCCCACTGCAATGCCGTGCACACGCCCCTGCCCTTCTGCATCCACTCCTGGCACCCCCACTGCAATGCCATGCACACGCTCTGCCCTTTTGCATCCACTCCCGGTGCCCCACTGCAAAGCGATGCACATGCCCTGCCCTTCTGCATCCACTCCTGGCACCCCCACTGCAATGCTGTGCACACGCCCTGCCCGTCTGCATCCACCACAGGCTCCCCACTGCAATGCGATGCACACACCCTGCCCTTCTGCATCCACTCCTGGCACCCCCACTGCAATGCCGTGCACATGCCCCTGCCCTTTTGCATCCACTCCCGTCTCCCCACTGCAATGCCGTGCACACACCCTGCCCTTCTGCATCCACTCCCGGTGCCCCACTGCAATGCTGTGCATAAACTCTGCTCTTCTGCATCTGCAGCTCCCTTGCCAGAAATGCCTGGCTGTTTTCTATTCCTCTGCAGATACCTTTTCACATTCTTAGAGCTGGCTGAAATGTCACCAGCACCAGAAGGTGAGCTCCATGGTTTTGTCTTCTTCAGCATAGAACCCACTGTGCCTCAAACAACACCTGGCACAGAGTAGGTGCCCAATACATATTTGAGGAAGGCCAACAGGAAGGAGCAAACAGACTCTCCAGGAAGAGCAAGTCGCTCAGTGGTCAGGTTCCTGGGTCTTGGGGACAGTGCATGCTCATTGATTTGGGGTCCTCTCTGTGCATGTCTGCCTCTCTCTGGAGCTGTGAACTCCACCAGCTTCTGTTAGTATAGATGGCTCAGTGGACAAGAAGAGTGTGACCCTGTCTTTGAGCTGATATATGAAAATGAGTGGCTTCACAAGTATCCAGGACCTAGTTGATATGATTTAATGCAAGTCAGAAGAACACGTTTCTACTAACCACCACTGATAGTGGCCAATTCATGTGGTCACATTAGAAAGATCCATCCTTCTGCCACTCAAATATTTCTTTTGTCATTGTTGGCATGGCAGATCTTTTTCGATCTTTGTACTTTTTTTTTTTTTTTGAGAGACAGTCTCACTCTATTTATTGCCCATGCTGGAGTGCTGTGGTGCGATCTCGGCTCACTGCAACCTCCACTTCTCGGGTTCAAGCGAGTCTCCTGTCTCAGCCTCCCAAGCAGCTGGAATTACAGGCATGTGCCACCATGCCCGGCTAAGTTTTGTATTTTTAGTAGAGACGGGGTTTCACCATGTTGGTCAGGCTGGTCTCAAACTCCTGACCTCGAGTAATCGGCCCGCCTCAGTCTCCCAAAGTGCTGGGATTACAGGCGTGAGCCACCGCGCCCGGGCCATCTTTGTGCTTTCTACTTTTCTTCTTCTTATGCTTAAGGTGTGTCTCAACATCTAGTTGGATTTTGGTTATTTATGCAGTATGACAATTTTTGTAGTTTGATGGCAGTATTTAGTCTATTTACATTTCATCTAATTACTTATATATTTGAATTTAAATCTACAGTGTTTCTACTTCTTTTTCTATTTGTCTCACTTATTTTATGTTCCTTTTGTTCTATTTGCCTTTTTTTGCAAATAAGGTGAAGAAAAAGGAGGTGAAGAAAAACATTTTTTGGCCAGGCACAGTGGCTCATGCCTGTAATCCCAGCACTTTGGGAGCCCAAGGTGGGTGGATCACCCGAGGTCAGGAGTTTGAGACCAGCCTGACCAACATGGTGAAACCTTGTCTCTACTAAATACAAAAAAAAAAAAAAATTAGCCAAGAGTGGCGTTGCATGCCTGTAATCCCAGCTACTTGGGAGGCTCAGGCAGGAGAATTGCTTGATCCTGGGAGGTGGAGATTGCAGTGAGCTGAGATTGTGCCATTACACTCCAGCCTGGGTGACAAGAGTGAAAACTCCATCATAAAAAAAAGGAAGGAAGGAAGGAAAGAAAGAAAGAGAAAGAAAGAAAAATTTTTTAAATGTCATTTCCCCCTTTTTTAGCTTGTTAGTGATTATATATATATATATATAGTGATTATATATATAGTGATTATATATATATAATATATATATATTTATATATATTATATATATATAATATATATATATTTATATATATTATATATATATAATATATATATATATATATTTTTTTTTTTTTACCATTCCTTTACTAGTTATGCTATAGTTATGCTATGGACTGGACTGCATTCCCCCAAAATTCATATGTGAAGGCCTAATCCCCAGTGTGACTGTATTTGGAGATAAGGCCTTTATGGATGTCATTAAAGTTAAATGAGGTCACAAGGATAGGGCCCTGGTCCAATAGGATTAACGTCCTTATAAGAAGGGGCTCCAGAGAGCACGCTCTGTCCCGACCTTCATCTCCCCTCTCTCTGCCACATGAGGACACAGCAAGGAGGTGGACATCTGCAAGTCAGAACAAGAGCCCTCCCCAGAATCTGATCTTGCTGGGATTCACATCTTGGACTTCCCAGCCTCTAGAATTGTGAAAAGTAAATTTCTGTTGTTTAAGCCACCCAGTCTGTGGTATTTTGTTAATGCATCCCAAGAAAACTAAGATCATGAGATGCATCCTTAACTTATTAAAATCTAAAATTAATGAGTAATTTTTACCATTTAGTCAACAATGCAAGGACCTTAACATGGCTTATAACCCTCTATTTACTCCCTCTCACTTTTTTTTCTATTGTAATGCATTTTAATTCTTATGTACAGGCTAGGCACGGTGGCTTACACCTGTAATCCCAGCACTTTGGGAGGCCAAGGTGGGTGGATCACTTGATGTCAGGAGTTGGAAACCAGCCTGGCCAACATGGTAAAACCCTGTCTCTACTAAAAATACAAAAATTACCCAGATGTGATGGGTGTGCCTATAGTCCCAGCTACTCCAGCCGGATTTGGTGGGCACACCTGTAGTCCCACTGCACTCCAGCCTGAGTGACAGACCAAGACTTCACCTCAAAAAAAAAAAAAGGAAGAAAAATTGTATATTTGGTTAAAAATAAAACCGGAAAAAACATTATTTTTGTCAATCTTCATTAAGATTTATCCATTTATTTACCCTCTCTGCTGCATATTACATTCCATTCCTTCCTGCCTTTCTAAAGTTCCATCTGTCATTTTCTTTCTGCCTGAAATATTTCCTTTAGTATTTCTTTTAGTGCACAGTTACTAATGACAAGTGCTCTCATTTTTGTCCATTTAAAAATATCCTCATTTGACTTGCATTCTTAATAAGTATTTTTACTGGTTATAGAATTCTAGATTGGCTTTTCAACACTAAAATGTCATTCCACTGGCTTCTGGCTTCCATGGTTCCTGTTGAAAAGTTAGCTGTCAGTCTTATTGTAGTTCCAGTAAGGGTAATCTGTCATTTTAGTTGGATGCATTTAAGATTATCTCTCTCTTATTATTTTGTTTTCAATAGTTTTACTGTAATGTGCCTATGAGTGATTTTCTCTGTATTCATAATACTACAATACTGCAGGGCTTCTTGGATCTGTGATTCATGTCTTTCATCAATTTTGGGGAATTCCTGGCCATTATCTATTCAAATATTGCTTCTGTTTTATTATCTCTCTCCTTTTCCTCTTCTTCTGGGACTTCAATTATACTTATGATAGTATTATGTTCAATATGTGATATACCATTTCTGTATTTTCCATCTATTTGTCTCTGTTTTCAGTCCAAATAGTTTCTTCTGATGTATCTTTCAAATCACTAATTATCTCTTCATCTGTGTCTAAGATGCTTTAAATTCATCTAATGTGTCCTTAATTTCAGTTATATTTTTTGGTTATAGAACATCCATTGATTCTTTTTTATATATTTCCATTCTCAATTGAAATTCTCCACTTTGTCTTTTGTCTCCTTGAATTATCAATCAGAGGTTATTCTAAAGTTTGTGTCTGATACCTCCAATAACTAGGTTTCCTGTAGGTCAGTTGCTATTTTCTTTCTTTCTTTCTCTTTCTTTCTTTCTTTCTCTCTCTTTCCTTCTTTCTTTCTTTCTTCCTTCCTTTCTTTCTTCCTTTCTTTCCCTTTTCTTTCTTTCTTTTTCTTTCTTTTTTTTTTTTCAAGGTCTCACTTTGTTGCCTAGGCTGGAGTGCAGTGGTGCAATGACAGTTCACTGCAGCCTCCATCTCCCAGGCCCAAGTGATCCTCCCACCTCAGCTTCCCAAGTAGCACACCCAGACTACAGATGTGCACCACCACACACTGATTTTTTTTTAACTTTCTGTAGAGGTGGGGGTCTCACTATGTTGCCCAGGCTGGTCTCGAACTCCTGGCCTCTAGTGATCCTCCTACCTCACCTCTCAAAGTATTGGGATTATAGGTGTAAGCCACCATGCCAAGCCTGTTTTCTATTTATTCTCTTGGTTTTGAGTCATTTGGTCTTGTCTTCTGATATGCCTCATATATTTTGAACAAATGCTGCATGTTTTGTATGAAAAATTGTAGAACCAATGTGATGCTGTAGATGATGGTATCTTTCTCCAGAGAGTTTATTTTGCTTTTGTCAAGCAGTTAGTATAGAGGCAGAGCATCTTAATCTGATTTGAATAAAAGCTGAATCTTTTTTGAGAGTTGATCAGAGGCTGTAACCAAAAGCCTAGGGTATTACCAGAGCCTTTCTGAGACTGCCAAAGCTTTGCCCAGCTTCTTAGCCTTTAAATCACTGCTCCTAGAAGCAAATGCCTGGAGGGGAAGAACAGTGCCAAATGTTAGGCTCATCTTTCTAGGTTTCCCTTTCTCTAGGATCTTCCCCTCTCAAGTCCTCACTGTCTGGATAGCTCTCTGATTTTATTTATTTATTTTTTTCATGGCCAGGTCTCATTCTGTCGCCCAGGCTAGGGTGTAGTGGCACTATCTTGGCTCACTGCAACCTCTGCCTCCTGGATTCAAGCGATTCTCCTGCTTAAGCCTCCCAAGTAGCTGGAACTACAGGTACATGTCACCAGGTCTAGCTAATTTTTGTATTTTTAGTAGAGATGGGGTTTCAGCATGTTGCCCAGGCTGGTCTCAAACTCCTGGACTCAAATGATCCACCCCACTTGGCCTCCCAAAGTGTTGGGATTACAAGCATGAGCCACCATGCCTGGCCAGTCTCTGATATTTTAAAACAGATTTTTAAAATTATCTAACTGTTCCAGTTGTTTAAGGTGGGAAGTTTCATTTGATCCAGACTGGCGTTCCAGAGCCAGAAGAAGAGATCTCAACTGTTCCTTTAGCATAATTCCTCACCTATAATGATGGTTAGCATAAAAATTAAGGTTTAGGGTATTGGCTTTGAATTCATAAATTCCATCTGGGTGGGTTTAAAAAGTATAAGTTGGTTAAACTGGTTGGAAAGAGTGGAAAATTATAGTTCTCTGTTAAGATAAATTGTTCTAACTAAATTAGTATAAGAAGCGTTTGAGCAGTCACTGGAAACATACAATACATCCCAGTTAACTTTCCGGTACTTTTTCTCTTAGTGAAGTATACGTTTGTTTTATAGCAGCAAGAATTAGGGATGCTTCTAGCCTTCTCAGCCTTCTGTCAGGCTCTGGGTCATCTTGTAGTATGCTTGTTAGGTCCCTAAGAAGACACTGTGTTTGCCTCTCTGTTTATGCCTCAGGTAAACCCATTCAATAAACATATAGCAATCACATTTAAAGATTCTCATCTTACTTATCCAAAAGTTTCAGAAATTGTCCTTTTAAAGTACAAACATCCATAAAAACCGAGAAGATGGGCCGGGTGTGGTGGTTCACGCCTATAATCCCAGCACTTTGGGAGGCCGAGACGAGCAGATCACCTGAGGTCAGGACTTTGAGACCAGCCTGGCCAACATGGCAAAACCCTGTCTCTACTAAAAATACAAAAAAATTAGCCAGCCATGGTGGCGCATGCCTCTAATCCCAGCTACTTGGGAAGCTGAGGCAACAGAATCACTTGAACCGGGAAGTGAAGGTTGCAGTGAGCCAAGATCGTGCCACTGCGCTCCAACCTGGGTGACAGAGGGGGACTCTGTCTCAAAAAAAAAAAAAAAAAAAAATCCCTGAGAAGAAGAAAAGAATAAACAGAACACACACACAAATAATTTTGCACAGCAGAGTGGAGAGGTGATACAGCCAGCCACTTGTCAAATAACTACAGCTGTTGCAAGCTTGATCTTGGCAGGTTGTTCATGCCACATGGGGAAAAGGGCCTTCAAAGCACAAAGTTCGACCCATTCTGGCAGAGTATCAGGATGAACTAGTTAACCTGAAGGCCAGGCTGCATGCTGGACAAGAACAGCTGGGAAGGCTGAGGGCATCTACTGCAGGCACTCACGTTTTGAAGCACAAGTAGGTTTTATTACCAAGGCTGTGCATAGCCACCAGCGAAAGTATAGGTAAGGCTGCTTAGTGAACTGCTTTGGGAACTGAATGAGCAGAAACGAATCTGTGAGCCCTAGAGACTATCCTCTAAAAAGGCCATGGACTGATTGTATGATAATGTTTGGGCCTCTGAACACAAGTGGGAGATTCAAGACCAGCCACTCAAATCAGATTGCTTCAGTTAATAAAATAAGGGACAATGACAGGAAGTACATGGTGTGGGGGCTGGTCCTCTCAACTCCTTGGAGAGACACACAGAAGAAAAAAAATGGTTTTAGCTAGGCTATAATCACAGAATCTGTTAGGACTAAACGGATCCTCCTTGTAGATAGAGTCTAACGTTAACCACCTTATGTTACAGATGAACAGACACCATGCCGAAAACTCCTTTTCACCTGCCAGTCCTCATATCAAACACTCATTCTTCGGCAAAGGCTTCCCTGCTTCCATTTGGTGGCTCTATCCTTCATTCATTTATTTTCTTTATTTTTCTTCTTTTTTTGTTTTAGAGGGAGTCTTACTCTGTCGCCCAGGCTGGAGTGCAATGGCACGATCTCGGCTCACTGCAACCTCCACCTCCCCAGTTCAAGTGATTCTCCTGCCTCAGCCTCCCTAGTAGCTGGGATTACAGGCATCTGCTACCATGCCCAGCTAATTTTTGTGTTTTTTAGTAGAGATGGGGTTTCATCATGTTGGCCAGGCTGGTCTTGAACTCCTGACCTCAGGTGATCCACCCTCTTCAACCTCCCAAAGTGCTGGGATTACAAGCGTGAGCCATAGCGCCTGGCCTTCTTCATTATTTTCTAATCTCAAGTGTGAGCTCCATCATTTCAGGAGCTCAAGAAAACAAAAGGTCCTCAATATCATTTGCTGAAGGGACACATGAGAAGGGGTATCTGCAAAGTGCACTGAGTCTCCATTGTCCTGAGCCCCAGCCCAGGCAATTCAGCCAGACTCCAATAGCAGTTCAAAAGTTTCAGAACACTCTGAAAAAACAATTTAAACATGATATGAAATATAGAGAATAACAGAATGACCCACCATGTACACATTACTAATGCCCCATCATTTTCCCATCTATATCTTCACACACTTCCCTTGCCCCATCTAAAACTACTTACACACAAATCCCAGATATCCTATCATTCCCTCTAAATATTTTATCCTGTATTTTCAGAAGATAATTTTAAAAATACCACCATAATATTACCGTTTCTAAAAAATTTAAGAAGACTTTTAAAATATCAAATATCCCATCAGTATTGAAATTCACAAGTGTCCTAAAAACGTTAGTTTTTTTTTCTTTTTATCATTTGTTTGATTCAGAATCTAAATGTGATTATTTTCCTTGCAATTCATTATTGAAGAACTGGGTCGTTTATCCTGCGGTTTTACAAGAGCTGGATTGTTTTGATTATGTCCCCATAGTGCTGTTTAACATGTTCCCCTGCAGTTTTCATTTCATGTAAATTAGTACAGGAGTCCCCCCCCATCCTCCAGGATATATTCCAAGACCCCCAGTGGCTGCCTGAAATCATGGACAATAGCAAACCCTACATACTGTAGAGTATGTTTCTTCATATATATATATATATATATGAATGATAAAGTTTAATTTATAAACTAGGCACAGTAAAAGATTAACAACAGTAACTAGGCACAGCAAGAGATTAACAGCAATAACTAATAATAAAATAGAACAATTACAACAATGCACTGTAATAAGAGTTACGTGAATGTGGATGTAGTAACCCAGACGGGTATTGAGTGACTAATGGGCAGGTGGTATGGACAGTGTAGATACACAAGGGGATGATCGCATCAGGGTGGTGGAGTGGCTTCGTTGTCTGGGGTAAATACTTGAGGTTCATTGCCTCATACCAAGGAAATCAAGGATCCAGATGTATGTGAAATGAGGTTAACAGCGGAGGTTTAATAGGCAAAAGAAAGAGAAAAGAGAATAGCACTCTCTCCCACAAGAGACGGGGCGGGGGGGAAGGGGCGGGGCGGGGAGGGGCGGGGCGGGGCGGGGGGCCGGCCGGCAGCCCTGGAGGAGTGCACTGGATTTCATAGATAAGCTTGAGGAGGCGGTGTCCGATTTACATCGGGCCCAAAGATTGGTTGGACTAGGTGTGATGTTTACATAACTCGCAGGGAAGCCGGCTACCCCACCCTAATCTTTTTTTTTATTTTAGACAGAGTCTTGCTGTGTTGCCCAGGCTGGAGCGCAGTGGCGCAGTCTTGGCTCACTGCAACCTCCCAGGTTCAAGCAATTCTCCGGCCTCAGCCTCCCAGGTAGCTGGGATTACAGGCGACCACCACTAGGCCTGGCTAATTTTTGTATTTTTAATAGAGACGGGGTTTCACCACGTTGGCCAAGCTTGTCTTGAACTCCTGAATGCAGGCGACACCTCCTCCCCCGGCCCTCAGCTTCCCAAAGTGCTGGGATTATAGGCTTGAGCCACCTCGCCCAGCCCACCCCACCCTAATCTTATTATGTAAATGGGGTCTTTGCTTGGCCGGGGTTATGTTGCCTGCTCCTTGGTGTACACATGTCTGGCAAAGAGAAGGGAAGATTGAGCCGCCTTTTTGAACATGCCTAGTCCCAGGTAGCCTTTTCCTATTGGCACAGCTGCTGGCATTCACCCGTGCAAGCTTCTAGCTTGCTTGTCTATGTCTGCAGCTCGATTTTACAGGCTGCTCTTTGTTAGAAAAGAAAATGATTTGGGGGCTGCTTTCCATTAAAAGGAAAACCTTACCAAGGACTTCCTTACCCTCACTATCTGCCTAAATCATTTCTTCTTAACTCCCCTATCAGTGGGACAGAGCGGGCCAGCAGGAGATTTCATTGTGCTATTCAGAATGGCACGAAATTTAAAACTTACAAATTTTTTTTCTGTAATTTTCCATTTACTATTTTTAGACTGCGGTTGACTTGGGTAACTGAAATCAAAGCAAGACGGTGGGTAGGGGGGACCACTGTGGTTGATCTCAGTGGTCTAGACACCTTTTGGGACCCCTCAGAGCTCCATATATCAAACCTGAATCTGATCATTCATGGGGGTTCAGTGGGGCCCCAAGAGATGTCTAGACCACCTCATAGTTGATGCTGAGTTTTTTTATTTCAAGGCATATAATGTGGGGAAATGGAGTGATCTCTTTTTCTGATGTCAGCAGCCACTGCTAATCGTGCCTACATCCATTCATTCATCAGGGATGCAAAATAGTGATATTCTGTCTATTGATTCTTCCTCACTTAATAGCTGGAAATACTTTAGGAGAAATACCCATCTCAGATACCGTGTGGCCACCAAAGCCCAATTTTAACACAATTGTAACCAAGACAATGCTTTCTCTCCTTACAGTCCTCTGCAGGAGGTTGAGCGACTTTAAGCAAACCTTTTTTTTTTTTTTTTTGAGATAGAGTTTTGCTGCTGTAGCCCAGGCTGGAGTGCAATGGTGTGATGTCGGCTCACTACAACATCTGCCTCCAGCGTTCAAGCGATTCTCCTGCCTCAGCCTCCTATGTAGCTGGGATTACAGGCACGTGCCACTAAGCCCAGCTAATTTTTTGTATTTTTAGTAGAGACAGGGTTTCACCATGTTGGCCATGCTGGTCTTGAACACCTGACCTCAGGTCATCCGCCCACCTCGGCCTCCCAGAGTGCTGGGGTTACAGGCATGAGTCACTATTTATTTTCTAGCCAAGAACTGACTGGCAGAGGTGGGCCCGACAGCTGTGGGAAACACATTCTTGCCTGGTTCTCTCCCGGCCAGTCAGCTGAAGCAGAGGCCCTGCCTACCCAGAGATTTTCTCAAAGCAGCACGGCTCCAGGGCCTGCTCTAAAGGTCTGGCCTTTCTCTTTGAAAATGTTTTCTCCTGTAATTAAGGGATTTTCTAACTTGAGCAATAGATTAAAATTCATCAAAATTATATTTTCAGAAAGCCATAAACCTGAAGCTACTAAGGTCTGGCTCCAGGAAATCCTGAATCCAGGAAGGATGCTCAGCGGGACAGAATTGAAGACAATAGTTCATCATCTTTCCTTCCCAGGATCGAGAATATCCCAAGGAAATGCCAAGTAAAAAAGTAAAATCAGCGATTGATTTTGCGTTTGGAGAACTGACCACGTTTCTTGATCAAATGCCGATTGCAAGTCTGAGTCAAGGTTGAGCATATAAAGGAATCCTCCCGGGTACCTCCCCTTGGGGTCTTCACATGATGTGATTTTGAAAAACCAGACTCGGGCGATCAGAGACCTCACTGCGGAGGAAATGAAGGATGCCTCGCTTCCAATACCTGGCTCCCATGAACACTCCCTCGGGTCCCTGCTAGCGCCAGCCTGAGACAGAGAGCGCTTCCTGTCCTGCTGACTGCAGAAGTTAAACGGAATCTCCACTCCCGGATTGAGGAAAGAAAGGCGTCTTCCTGTTGATTTTCGCGAGGCTGCTGACCTTCGCGGCGCCCCGACTGGGCCCACCCCGCGGAGCTGTCGGGGCAGCAGGCGCCCAGGACTTCCTGAATCCCCGGCCCCTCTGGCCTAACCTAGATCTCCCAGGACTCAGGCCTGGGAAAATCACGGCGTCTGCCAGGCCCTCCTCGCAGGCTTTGCAGTTTGCTAACTCGCGGTGCGGCCTTGGGACAGTGCCTCAGTTTCCCCAAGTGTAGTGAAGTAGGGCTGGACCGTGATTCTCAGAATCACCCAAGAAGCTTTTCCAGCATCGCCTGCCAGGGTGTCCCTGGGGACCCACCGGATCGGAGAGGGGGTCGGGGGCGAAAAGCGCCAGGAGGCTGGCAGCCCGGGCTGGAACCCGGGACTCGGGCTCGCCCGCCTCGGCAGCTACTCCACGGTCTGCCTGGCCCCGGAGCTCGCCTTCGGCCTGGGCGGGGTCTTGCGCGTCTCCGGGCCGGTTCCGGGAGGCCGGGCGGGGCGGGGCGGGCCGGGCTGGGTTGTCCCACCGGAAAGACTCGTTTCAGCTGGAGCAGGCGGCGGCCGGGCGGAAACAGACTTGTCGCCCCCGCCTCGGGCACTCCCCGCTCCCCCACCCCACCACCCTCCCCCCCCGCCCTGCGCGGCCCGCCAGGGTCCGGGAATCGCTGGCCTGCAGCTGGGGCAGCCCCGGGTCACCCCCGCCCACGCCTTCCCCGCCCACAGGACGCGCCCCCTAGGCCACACCTGAGCTCGCCCTGCGGTCCCGGGCAGTGACTCCGCCGAGCCTCGGTGGGGGAGGGGACAGGGGAGAGAATAGGGAAGAGGGGCGCGATCTGTGTCTGGGACCCGTTGCCAAGAAACCCGACCCTCGGGCTCTGGCCATCAGCAGCCGCGGTGCAGCTGCCTCCCCCTGCCTCCAGGTCGCCCAGCAGAGCTTTCTAGAGCTGGGTGCTCAGAAGACCCCAGGCGGAGGCAAGAACCTTGGGCCGCGGCTCTGTGGGAAAAGCCCTCGGGGAAGCCAGACGGCGCGCTCCAGCTCCCCATCGCGGGCGTGGGCCCCGGGGTGGAGGCAGTTGGGTCGCGGCCCTGCCACCCCCATGCTGCACGGCCTCGGCCCAGTGCCACCACCTCTGTGGGCCGCCGTTTCAGCCTCCAGATGGGGTGGCGGCGGGCCCCAGCCCTTGCCCCAAGTCTCTAAGGAAGGGTCTGGCCTGGCCCGCCCAGATCCGAGCTGCTGCGTACGCGCGGGGCTGGGAGCTGCAAAAACGCCCGGGGCCCAGGGTGAGCGGCTGGGCCCTCGGGGGACCCGGCGCGCGCGGGGGCTCCAGCTCCGCCCTGTTGGGGGCCAGAGCAGGAGGGAGGCCGCCCCAGCTTGTTCTGGGCCGCAGCCCTGCCGACCGCACGGGACAGGCGCCGCGTCCTCTCTGGGCCTCCAAGACGCAGACTAGAAGCCCATAGCTGCTGGGAAGATGGGCACCCCAGGTCTCCGCGCACGGCCTTCCCAGGGCCACGGTGAAACATGGATGCGACACTCAGGCACCTTCCCGGCCCCCGGCGAAAACGCAAAGCCTGAGCCCATGATGGGCTCGGAAGCTCTGCGGGATTGAGTCATCAGAGGAATGCTGATCTAGAAGTACAATGGCTGGAAGACACCCGCAGAAACCGCGGGCACTGGAGAGCAAGTGCAGCTTTAATCTCCAGGCGTGATTTAGATGGAAAGCAGCCTGAAGACCAGTTAAGAGAACCGCGAGCAGAGCGCGCTGGACTAGCACCAACAGACGTGAGTTCGAGACCGTCCTGCCCCTTAATCCTGTGTGACCTTGGTCCATTTTTTAAGTCTGTGAGCCTCGCAGTGTTCTCATTCCTGAAAAGAGCCTGCCCCATCTCCGGACTGCAGTGAGAACAAAAGGAGACTATGAACATGACTTTTTGCCACTTTTGAAGCCCCACACTGAGGAAAGATTTTCCTAGCACTTGGGAGATTTTCTTTAGCACCAGCTGCCAAGAATGCTGGGAAGGAGACAGCCCCATCCCAGAAGGAAGACACCTTAAATCAGAACTTTATTTTTCCTCCTATGAAAATACAATCTAATACTGGAGAAGTGTAAAAATTAAGGAGTCATTAGAAGCCATTTGTTGTTGTTGTTGTTGTTATTGTTTTGAGACAGGATCTTACTCTGTCACCCAGGCTGGAGTGAGGTGGCACGATCATTGCTCACTGTAGCCTCCAACTCCTGGACTCAAACAATCCTCCCTTCTCGGCCTCCCAAGTACCTGGGACGAGAGGTGCACTGGGCGTGGTAGCACACATCTGTAGTCCCAGGTACTTTAGAAGCCGAGAAGGGAGGTCTCACTATTTTGCCCAGGCTGGTCTCCAACTCCTGGGATCAAGCCATCCTCTTGCCTCGGCTTCCCAAAGTGTTGGGATTATAGGTGTGAGCCACCACTCCCAGCCTGTTGTTTTAACTTTCTATCAAAGAAATGGATGGAGGGTGGACAGGGATGCTGGGTGCTTTAGATTAGACTTGAAAGAGTTAACAGCATAGGTTACAGAATCACACATACCCGAATTGGAATCTCATCTTGACCCTTTACTACCACTGTTTCGTTATGTTAGTGACTTAACCTCTCTGTGCTTCAGTTTCTTCATCTGTAAAATGAAGAAAATGGCACCAACCTGTGGGGTTGTTGAGAAGATGAAATGCAATAGTGAATGTAAAAGTGCCTGACAGGACCCAGCACGTGGTAATACATAATAAATGCTAGCTAGTTTTGGTTTCCATCCTTCCTTCCTACCAATTTTTATTGTAAAATATTTTTAAACATGCGGAAGAGTTGAAAGAATCATACAGTGAACACCCACGCATGTTCCACCTAGCTTCTGCATTAACATTTTTACTCTATTTGCTCTATCACATATCTGTCCATCTAGCTTTCTTTCCCTCTATCCATATATCAATCCATCTGTTCTGGTTACTACTGTTATGTAACAAATTCCTCAAAACTTCGTGACTTGAAAAAAACAGCCATTTTTGTCATGCTCATGGATTTCATGAGTTAGAAATTCAGACAGATTGGCTTGTTGCTGCTCTAGGACGTCTGGGGTCTCAGCTCGGAGGACTTGATGCCTGCAGGCTGGAATCGTCCTGAGGCATCTTCACGCACATGTCTGGGGGTTGCCAGCATCGTGCCTGCGTGTGATCTCATCATGAAGCTCAGACTTCCTCCCAGCATGGTAGCCTCAAGGTAGCTGAACTTCTCCCAGGGCGGCTCAGAGCTCCGAGAGTGTGTTCTGGCAAACAAGGCAGAAGTTGCAGTGCCTTTATAACCCAGCCTTGCAAGTTACATAGCATTGCTTCCTGTTGGTCAAAGCAGCCATAGATTCAAATAGGGGAGAATTAGGTTCCACCTCTTGCTGGTGATGTGGGAGGCTCATTTTGTAGATCTGTGGCACAGGAACTGTTGTGGCCATCTTTGGAGATGCCACATTTACCCCTTTGGTCACAATAATGCTTGTGCAATATGCACAAATTCTCATTCCATGAAATCATCAGGCTCAGAGTCCAAGATTCCTTTTTATTGTTGTTGTTGGCTTTTGTTTTTTAGAGATAGGGTCTTGCTCTGTTGTCCAGATTGGAGTGCAGTGGTGCCATCATAGCTCATTTGAGCCTGCAACTTCTGCTCCAGTGATCCTCCCACCTCAGCCTCCTGAATAGCTGGGACTGCACACATGCACCACCACACCCATCTAATTTGGTTTTTATTTTGCAGAGACAGGGGTCTCGCTATGTTGCCCGGGCTGGTTTTGAACATCTGGCCTCAAGCAACCTTCCCACCTTGACCTCCCAAAGTGCTGGGACTACAGATGTGAGCCAATAAACCACTTCAAAATAAACCTTTCTTGTCCGGGCGAGGTAGCTCACACTTGTAATCCCAGCACACCAGGAGGCCGAGGTGGGTGGATTACCTGAGGTTGAGCAACAAGGAGAAACCACGTCTGCACTAAAAATACAAAAATTAGCTGGGTGTGGTGGTGTGCGCCTGTAATCGCAGCTACTTGGGAGGCTGAAGCAGGAGAATCACTTGAACCTAGGAGGCAGAGTTTGCAATGAGCTGAGATCACGCCACTGCACTCCAGCCTGGGCAACAGAGCGAGACTCTGTCTCAAAAAAAACCCAAAAACTAAAATAAGCCTTTCTCTCTTTTGGGTTCCCCATGAAATTGCTGTGGGACAATGCCCTTAAGATTCCTAGAAGTTGGTTGGGCGCAGTGGCTCACGCTTGTAATCCCAGCACTTTGGGAGGCTGAGGTGGGTGGATCACCTGAGGTCAGGAGTTTGAGACCAACCCGGCCAACATGGTGAAACCCTGTCTCTACTGAAAATACAAAGAATTAGCTGGGCATCGGGGCAGATGCCTGTAATCCCAGTTACTCAGGAGGCTGAGGCAGGAGAATTGCTTGAACCTGGGAGGCAGAGGTTGCAGTGAACTGAGATCCCAGGCTATGCACTCCAGCCTGGGAGACAGAGCAAAACTTAGTCTCAAAAAAAAAAAAAAAAAAAAAGATTCTTAGAAGTCCTATTGTTTAACACAGAGGATCTACAAAGTATGCTGTTAGTTTCCTTAAGAGGCTTTTTGTCTGGTTGAAAGGGTCTACAAGGCACCACCATAAAATTTTCTCATATCTTAAAGAAGAACTTTACAGTGGGGCACTTGGTTCACCCTTACCCTGAGCTGCTTTCCTAACAGTGCCCTGGGTCTGATCTTTGCCCTTTTTGAATCTTCCACTGGGAGAAACGTGGAATGAGAAACAGTTTTTTGTTTTGTTTTGTTTTTTGAGACAGGGTCCCACTATGTCACCCAGGCTGGAGTGCAGTGGTGCAATCGTAGTTCGTTGCAGCCTCAACCTTCTGTGCTTAAGCGATCCTCCTGCCTCAGCCTCCCAAGTAGCTGGGACTACAAGTGCACGTCACCATGCCTAACTTTTTAAAAAATGTATTGTAAAGAACATTTTTTAAATTTTTATTTTTATTTTTTATTTTTTGTAGCTATGTTGCTCAAACTGGTCTCAAATGCCTGGGCTCAAGCAATCCACCCGCCTTGGCCTCCCAAAACGCTGGGATGACATATGTGAGATACTGTGCCCAGCTGAGAAATAGTTTTTGAATCCACCTGGTCCCGACTTCTAAATTCTGCCTGAAGCTGAATATTTCTTTCTCTTCCTCTACGATACAGAGCTAAGAGAAAACAAATGGTAGCTCAGGACTCTGCTTGGAAATCTAGAAATAGCTGGAGGCTGGGCTAGGACAACTTGAAAATTAAGACAAGCAAATGGAGGAATTTCATGTGGCTTATCAATGAAGTTGGCATCATGACTTCATGGTGCCTCAAGATAGTCAGACTTCTTACCGGATGGTTCAGGGCTCCAATCACAAGTGTTCCAGTGAGTAAAACGGAAGTGTCAGGAACTTTTCTGGCGCATGCTTATAAGGTACACAGTATCACTTCCATGTAACTCTGCTGGCAGTTGAGTGACTGTTCCACTCAACACTGATGGCAGTCACACGCCCATCTAGATTCAAGGAGAGGGGAATTAGACTCTATGTCTAGAAAGGGGAGTGTCACGATTACATTTAGCAGAACACGTGGGAACGGAGATGTTGTTGTAGTCATTTTTGGAAAATACAATCTGCCCCACTGTCCATGTTTTGATGCATTTCAGAGTACTTTATAGACATCATTACACTTCCCCAAAATTCACCAAAAATGTGTGAGAGTTTCGACTGCCCTCGTTCTCACCCGCAAATGGAGCTGAGGGCCATTTACATTTTAATCATTCTGGTTGGTGGGTAGCAGTATCTCATTGTGGTTTTAATTTGCATTTCCCAGATAACTAAAGATATTGAATAGTTTTTCATGTTCTTATACACCACTCATATCTTCCTTGGTGAAGTATCTTTTCAAATCTTTGGCCCATTTTTTGGACTTTATTTATTGATCTTTTTTTTTTTTTAGAGAGACACTCTTTGGCTCAAGTGATCCTCCCACCTCAGCCTCCTGAGTAGGTGGGACCACGGGCACATGCCACCATGCCCAGCTAAATTTTTTTTTATCTTTTGTAGAGATAGGGGCATCTGTATGTTGCCTAGGCTGGTCTTGAACTCCTGGTCTCAAGCGATCCTTCCACTCGGCCTCCCAAAGTGCTGGGATTACAAATGTAAGCCAAAATGCCCAGCTTGAGATTTTTTTTTTTTTTTCCAAATGGAAATCCAGTTGGTCCAGTACAATTTGTTCATGAGTTTCCTTTCCCTGTTGGATTGCATTATGTTTGTCAAAAATCAGATGGCTGGCCAGGCGCAGTGGCTCATGCCTGTAAATCCCAGTACTTTGAGAGGCCGAGGTGGGAGGATCCCTTGAGCCCAGGAGTTCAAGACCAGCGTGGGCAACATAGTAAGACCCCATCTTTTTTTTTTTAATAAAAAAAATCAAATGGCTGTATTCATAAATATGTGTTTCTGGGTTCTCTATGCTGTTCGTTGATCTATTTATTCCTCCTATTGCTGGTCCCACACTGTCTTGATTACTGTAATCTTACAGTAAATCTTGAAGTTCTCGTTCCTTTTTGAGTAAGATGATTCCTTTTTAATGGACAAAATATTGCTGACTTCTACATAGCTGTTGCATTTCTAGCATGTTGATTTAGCAAATAAAAGTAGTAAAAAGAACTTGTGAACACCTGAAAATGACCTTGGATCTTAGTGATCACAATGACAACTACAGATATCTAGAAATCTGTCACCTATGCACAGGTGGACATCACATGGGGATGTGTGATGGCCCTGAGGTGACCACGTATTCCTCAGCAGGAAAACGGGGTGTTTTTCTGCTGCTGGAATCACTGATAGCCATCAATTTAGGTGAGATTCCCAAAGCAGTGGATTTCTTTTCAACAGGAAGATAATCAGTTGAGTTTTCCAATTTGTCCATGTGAGGTTTCTTCCAGACTGAGCAAGATACACAGGGATGAGAGAAGGTACTCTATGGGATTTAGTCTTTCCCAGGAGACACTGGATTGGATGTCCCAAGAGGACCGTTATGAGTTGTGTGTCCCGCAAATTCATGTTTTAGTCCTCACCCCTACTGTCTCAGAATATAACCTCATTTGGAAATAAGGTGTGTCTGAGTCTGTTCTTGCACTGCTATAAAGAAATACCCGAGACTAGGTAATTTATAAAGAAAAGAGGTTTAATTGGCTCACAGTTCTGAAGGCTGAACAGGAAGCATGGCTGGGAAGGCCTTGGGAAACTTACAATCATGGCAGAAGGCAAAGGAGAAGCAGGCACATCTTCCACGGCAGGAGCAGGAGGAAGAGAGAATGAGGCGGGAGGTGCTACGCACTTTTACATAAACAGATGTCTTGAGAACTCACTGTACAGTACCAAGGGGGAGGGTGCTAAACTATTGGTGAGAACTCCACGCCCATGATCCAATCACTTCCCACCTGGCCCCACCTCCAACACTGGGGACTACAATTTAACGTGAGATTTGGAGGGAAACAGATCCAAACCATATCAAGGTGGTTGCAGATGTAAAATGAGGTCATGTGCACTGTGACCTTATGAAAAGAGGACACAGAGACAGACATGCATAGAGGGAAGATTCTATGAAGATATTTGGAGAACACCCTCTTCAAGCCAAGGAGGGCCTCAGACTGCAAGAAACAGGACAGAGGCATAGAAAAGAACTTTCCTCAGCCCTCAGAAGGAACCGCCTATTGTGCTGACACCTTGACTTCTGATTTCTGGTCTCCAGAATGGAAACAATACATTTCTGTTTTTTGTTTTGAAACAGGGTTTTGCTCTGTCGCCCAGGCTGGGGTGCAGTGGCATGATCTCGGCTCACTGCACCTCCACCTCCCAGGCTCAAATGATCCTCCCACCTCAGCCTCCCAAGTAGCTGGGACTACAGGCGCAGGCCACCAAGCACGGCTAATTTTTTATTTTTATTTTTGAAGAGACAGGGTTTCGCCATGTTGCCCAGCCTGGTCTCGAACTCCTGGGTTCAAGCGATCCTCCTGCCTCAGTCTCCCAAAGTGCTGGGGTTACATGTGTGAGACACCACACGTGGCCACATTTCTGTGTTTTAAGCAACTCATTCTGTGTTATGACAGCCCTCAGAAACAAATACAAGTCCCCAGCCGTCTGCTGTCCGCCACGCATGCCTGGCCTTCGATGGGCAACGAGGTCCCACTTTTCCCTCTGGGACCCACCTCTTTCCTATTGCATGTGGCTCGTGGGAAGTCAACCCCAGTGCCCACTGCCTGGCAAAGGGTTCAGCTCAATGCCCAGCTCCTGCTAGGAGTCTCGAGTTTTGAGTGGAGGGACCTGGGGTGTACAATGCTTTGTGCTGAGCCATTCTAATGGCAGTACCCCCAAATCCTGCTTGCACCCCCACATCCTCAGATCACCTTGGTTCCTAATCTACCCAAGGCTGACTGTCTAGCTTTTGTGTTGTCCCATGTCCTTTCAATAACAATAATGATTATTCTGATTTGCTAATGTTAGCCAGCGCTGGCTTCTGTTACCTGCAACAAAAATCCCCAGTTGACCCCGTCATGCCCTTGGCCTCGGCTCGGTTCTTCTTCTCTCCTGTCTAAAAGCCATTAGGTGGAGCCAAGGAAAACAGGCACTGTTGCAGGGTGGAGGTGGGCAGTGCCAGTGCCGGCAGCCTGGCACGGAACACCGGAGCCCAGCAGGGTAAAGGAAATTGGTGAAATCTGGTGTGGGATTCTGGAGCCCAGTGAGATGAGGAGGATGCACTGGGAGGTGGCAGGGGCGGGGCTGGGTAGCTGCCCCAGCCCAGCACAGGGCATTGCAACAAAAGCAGGAAGAGCGGGGAGTCCAGTGTGAAAAAGTAGTCTCAGTTGGATGAGGCGGTGACTGCACGGAGTGGAGTAGGGGTGGGAGGTGGTGCTGTGCGGGTTGTTTGATCCCAAAGGGGATATGACCCGAGAGACCAAAGTTGATGCCCCTTTATCAACTAAGACGGACCCTAAGGTTAAGGAAACAAAAGTTACCTATGGGTCGAGGGTTCAGGGCCTGGCTGACACGGCAAATTTCTAAATTCCTACCATTACAAGAAAAACCACACTCTTGCTACGCTCCTTAACGATAGGAGCTATCGGGCAAATTATCAGCTGATTTACAGATCAGATCACTACAACTCTGATTGGACAGAGGACCAGCCTTACAAACATTCTCTTCTGATAAGCAACTTCACCTTAGGCCAGTCTCAGCAGCTGATAGAGGCTGTGCACAAACTGTCTCGGCATCTTATAGTTCACTTTTTGATGTAAGGGGCTAAATTCCATCTCGTTTTAATCCTAAAACCCCATTTCAAAGTGAACATGGGATATATGTTACATACACATACCACATACTACATCATATACATACATACATACTTTTCTTCTTTTTTTTTTTTTTTTTTTTTTGAGACCAAGTCTCACTCTGTCGCCCAGGCTGGAGTGCAGTGGTGCGATGTCAGCTCACTGCAACCTCCGCGTCCCAGATTCAAGCAATTCTCCCTGCATCAGCCTCCTGAGTAGCTGGGATTACAGGCGCCCACCACCATGCCCGGATAATTTTTGTATTCTTTAGTAGAGATAGGGTTTTGCCATGTTGGCCAGGCTGGTCTTGAACTCCTGACCTCAGGTGATCCGCCCACCTCAGCCTCCCAAAGTACTGGGATTACAGGCGTGAGCTACCACGCCCAGCCCATAAATACTTTTCTAAGTGAAAGTTTACAGTGTGTTAGAAGAACATTTTTCTTTCCTCATTGGGCCCTCATAGTTCCATAGAAACATCCAACAATAAAAGGCAAATTGAATCATGTTTTCTTTCAAATGCATCATAAACTATTTTCCTTCAGTGAATGGAAGAGTTTGGCAGAGGAATTTTAAAGAAAACATTGAGAAGAAGTTATTAGAACATGTTTCTTTGTCCAATAGGTGCTGAAAGGCCCGTAGAGAAATCCACTCATAACCGAGTACAGTGGCTCACACATGTAATCCCAGCACTTTGGGAGGCTGAGGTGGGTGGATTGCTTGAGCCTAGGAATTCAAGACCAGCCTGGGCAACATAGTAAGATCCTATCTCTACCAAACAAACAAATAAAACAAAGTATTAGCCGGGTGTGGTGGCATGTGCATGTAGTCCCAGCTACTCAGGAGGCTGAGGTGGGAGGAACATTTGAGCCCAGGAGGCCGAGGCTCCATGTGAGACATGTTCGTGCCACTGCACTCTAGCCGGGGTGACAGAGTGAAAAAAAAAAAATGAGAGAAATCCATCTATTGCACATGAACTCAGCTCCCCTCAGAAATATATATCGTTTTTTCCTCCAGCTTGCTGAATACATAGGACTCTATTGTGTGATACAGACCCTGTGAGGCATAAAACCCAACCTGCCCCTTCCCTCATTAAAGAGAGGACACCTTCTGCACATGCCAGAGATGGTCTCTTCCCGGTTTGCAAACTGATACCATCAATAAAGCTCTCCTTTCTACATTTATTTATTTATTTATTTATTTATTTGAGACAGAGTCTTGCTCTGTCACCCAGGCTGGAGCACATTGGTGTGATCTTAGCTCACTGCAACCTCCGCCTCCCAGGTTCAAGTGGTTCTCCTGCCTCAGCCTCCTGCATAGCTGGGATTACAGGCACGTGCCACCACACCCGGCTAATTTTTGTATTTTTAGTGGAGACGGGGTTTCACCATGTTGGCCAGGCTGGTCTTGAACTCCTGACCTCAGGTGATCTACTGTCATCGGCCTCCCAAAGTGCTGGGATTACAGGCATGAGCCACAGCGCCCATCCTTCTTTCTACTCTTTAGCAATCCTGGTGGTCATTTGGACGACATGGATGAGGAGGGTATCTGTGTGGGAACAGGGGCAGCAATTGGTTGCATACAGAGGACTTCAATCTAATACATAAATATATGGGTGTAATGAGAGCTGGGTTTCTCACAGTTAAAAAGGGGAGTTTCAAATATAGAAAGGGAGGAAAACCCTAAAATGAAACCATTATGGGCTGAATTCTATCCTCCCAAAATTCATGTTGATGTCTTGACCCCAAGTATCTCAGAATGTGAGGGTATTTGGAGATAGAGCATTGAAAGGGGTGATTAGATTGAAATGAAATAATTAGGCAGGCCTTAATTCAATTTGACTGATATGCTTATAAGAAGAGAAGGTGAGGACAAACAGAGAGACCCCAGAGGCATGCATATACACAGGGACAACCACGTGAAGAGGTAGCAAGAGAGTGGCCATATGCCAGCCAAGGAGAGAGGCTTCAGGATAAACCAACCCTGCTGGTACCTTGATCTTGGACTTCCAGCCTCTGGAACTGTGAGAAGAGAAATGTCTGTTGTTTAAGCCATGCAGTCTGTGGCATTTTGTTATGGCAGCCCTAGCAAATTAACACAGAATCTTTTAGGATTAGATGAAAATTGGAGTTATCAGTGTAGATTCATGGTTTTCAATGTACATATAAATAGATGTAAAAATAAATGTAGATAGAAATGTGAATGTACATATATAAATGTATGCATTATGCATATTTGCATAAATATTATACACAAACATACACTCATGTATTTCCTACTTCTGTTCACTGAGAGCCCCTGGAAGCAGTGACTCCCCAAAAGCCATGAGCTCATCTAGTGTCCAAATCTTGTTTTCTTTCATTCTTTCCTTTTTTAAGAGACAGAGTCTTCCTTTGTCACCCAGACTGGAGTGTGTTGGCACCATCTTAGCTCACTGCAGCCTTGACCTCCAGGGGCTCAAGTGATCCTCCCATCTCAGCCTACCAAAGCACTGGGATGATAGGTGGTATAGTTTGGTTGTGCCCCCACCCAAATCTCATTTTGAATTTTAGCTCCCATAATCCCCAAGTGTCATGGGAGGGACGAGGCAGAGATAATTGAATCATGGGGGCAGTTTCCCCCATCCTGTTTCTGTAATAGTGAATTAGTTCTCACGTGTTCTGATGTTTTTATAAGGGGCTTCCCCCTTGGCTGGGCACTCATTCTGTCTCCTGCCGCCCTGTAGGGAGGTGCCTTCCGCCATGATTGTAAGTTTCTTGAGGTCTCCCCAGCCATGCAGAACTGTGAGTCAGTTAAACCTCTTTCCTTTATAAATTACCCAGTCTTGGATATGTCTTTATTAGCAGCATGAGAACGAACTAATACAATAGACATGAGCCACCATACCCAGACCAGATCTTGTTTTCTAAATATCAGTCTCCACTAAAAGAGCCGAGCAGGGATAGTAAAGATGAGCTTTAAACATCTTCTTGTAGAAGATTAAGAAAGTGCTTATAGGATGATGGAGGCATGTCAAAAGGACACAGAGCAGCTCCCACTGACCACATCTGGGGCAATTATAAACCACTAAGAAAAATACAAATCCATGAGTCCATACTCCTATAAATAAATAATTGTGGGGAGAAACAGCAGAATGCTTCCCTGCAGTAGAATGCCAAGTGTATAAGGAATCATGGGGTGAGAAAATCATCATCTCGTTACCTCCACAGCAATAACTAATTAATCCAAGAATCATCAATGTAGGCTTAAACTAGTGGGTAGAGGCTTGATGAGGAACAAGATATTTAGTCTCAAAGGCACCTCCTCACAAAATGTTTATTAATTACAAAGCTAAAAAGAGTGATTTGGTAGTAAAGAGGCTTGGCAGGTACAGATATGTCTTCATCAAGTTAACATCATCAGTAACAGGAGAAATTGGAAATGTGTGCCATCTGGTAAGAAGAGCAGAGCCTCACCTCTCGGATATTCCTGCCCAAAATACATAACCTGAATCTAAACACGAGGAGACATCAGTCAAACCAAACGAGGGACAAACAAACTGGCCGGTAATCTTCAAAATAACTACAAAATAACTACAAAAACTGGCTGGTAATCTACAAAATAACTGGCTGGTAATCTTCAAAAGTACCAAGGTCAAGGAGAGACTGAAAACAGTTCAGACTGAAAACTAAGAGATGTGACAATTCAATGCATCACGTTTTCCTAGACTCAATCCTTCTGCTCTTGAAACAACTAATTACATTGGAATGAGGTCTAAGGAGATGCTAGTTATGTATCAATGTTAATTTTCTAATTTTAGTCACGTATTGTGGTTATTTAGTATAATCTCCTTGTTTGTAAGAAATACACATTCAAATATTAGAAAGTGGGCCGGGCGCAGTGGCTCACCTGTAATCCCAGCCCTTTGGGAGGCCTAGGTGGGTGGATCACCTGAGGTCAGGAGTTCGAGACCAGCCTGGCCAACATGGTGAAACCCCATCTCTACTAAAAATACAAAAATTAGTTGGGCGTGGTGGTGGGCGCCTGTAATCCCAGCTACTCAGGAGGCTGAGGCAGGAGAATCACTTGAACCTGGCAGGTGGAGGTTGTAGTGAGCTGAGATAGTGCCACTGCACTTCAGCCTGGGTGACAGAGTGAGATTCGGTCTCAAAAAAAAAAAAAACCAGAAAAAAGCCAACAACTTATTCTCATACTTTTCAAGAATAAGGGGGTCTTTGTACTATATGTACTTGCAACTTTTATGTAGGTTTAAAATTATTTAAAAATAAAAATTATCTTTAAAATTATCTAAAAACTATCCTTAGAAGATACACAGATGGCAAATAAGCATATGAAAGGATGTTCAATGTCATTTGTCATTAGGGAAATGCAAATCAAAGCAATAATGCGATACTACTGCACACATATTAGAATGGCTAAAATCCAAAAAACTGACAATACCAATGGCTGGTGAGAGGGTGCAGAGCAATGGGAACTCATACATTGCTGGTGGGATTCCAAAATGATACAGCTATTTTGGAAGACAGATTGGCAGTTTCTTACAAAGCTAAGCACAGTTTTACCATATGATCTAGCAATCATGCTCTGATATGGCTTGGATGTTTATCCCCTCCAAGTCTCATGTTCAAATATAATCCTCAATGTTAGAGGTGGGGCCTGATGGGAGGTGTTTGGGTCATGGGGACAGATCCATCATGAATGGCTTGGTGCCATGCTTGCAGTAATGAGTGAGTTCTCACTCTGAGTTCATGTGAGATCTGGTTGTTTAAAAGAATGTGGCATCTCCTCCCTCTCTGTCTTGCTACTGCTCTTACCATGTGACACACCAGCTCCCCCTTTGCTTCCACCATGATTGTAAGCTTCCCGAGGCCCTCACCAGGAGCAGATACCAGCACCATGCTTCTCCTAGAGCCTGCAGAACCACGAGCCAATTAAACCTCTTTCTTTATACATTACCCAGCCTCAGGTATTTCTTTACAGCAACACAAGAATGGACTAACACAGGCTGCTCAGCATTTACCCAACTGATTTCAAAACATACGTCTGCACAAACGTCTGCATGTGAATATTTAGGGTAGATGTATTCATGATCACCCAAAATCATAAACAACTAAGATGTTCTTCAATAAGCGAAAGGATAAAGAAACAGTGGTCCGTCCATTCAGTGGGATACTACTTAGTGATTAAAAAAAAAGTGAGCCATGCAAAAAATATGGATGACTGTTATATGCATATTGCTAAGTGAAAGAAACCAATCCAAAAAGGCTATATGCTATAGGATTTCATTTGTATGACATTTTGCAAAAGGCAAAACTTTAGAGACAGTAAGCAGTTGCCAGGGGTTCTAGGAAGGAGGAGACTTGAATATGTGAAGCACAGGTGGTTTTTTAGGGTGGTGAAACTATTCTGGGTAATACTGTAATGGTGGATACATTACATTGCATTATCAAATCTGTAGACCTTTACGGCACAAAGAGGAACCCTTAATTATGCAAATTTTAAAAAATCATTTAGGAGGTTGGAGGATCCCAGGAAGAATGTAGATGGTAACAAAATAATCTACCTGTATTACAAGGGTATGAAATAACTTTACTGAAAAAGGTAGGGTGAAAATAGTGCTGACCTATGTAACTATGAAGATAAGTGAAGACTTAAGGCAAAATTTTCTGTTGGTCTACAAGTATCCTAAATGAAAGCATTGATTTAAGATTATCTTTAGCATTTGAAAAGATTTGGTATTCTAGTAGAGAAATCATCATCCTTTAGGCCCATCAGTTCCTCCGGTCACCGTGCTACACATTTGGGACGCTAGTAGAGGGTCTTGCTAGATGGCAGTTATATCAAAGAGACATGGGAACAAACTGAAAGAACTTCCAAAGGCAAAGATGAAACAATTTCATAAACCAAGTAAATGACATAGTGTTAGATTATAACTCAAAGTGTATTATAGATAGCCATGAGTCCATACTAATATAAGTAAATTATTGAATAAGTAACTAAATGGGAAATAGACAAATTTTTCATGCAGGATTCTTTTTTTTTTTTTTTTTGAGGCAGGGTCTCACTCTGTTGCCCAGGCTGGAATGCAGTAGTGCAGTCTCAGCTCACTGCAATCTTGTCCTCCTTGGCTCAAGTGCTCCTCCTGCCTGAGTCCCCCAAGTAACTGGAACCACAGGCACATACTACCATGCCTGACTAATTTTTGTATTTTTTATAGAGATAGGGATTTGCCATGTTGTCCAGGCTGGTCTCCTGGAGCTCAAGTGATCCACCCACCTCGGCCTCTCAAAGTGCTAGGATTAGCCCCTTGTGCGGAGGGGTGAAATGCACTTGGGAAGCTCTGCTAGTCAGTGAGACACTGCTGTTGCTGCTGCCCCTGGTCCTGAAGCTGTCCTTCCTCCCTGATGTACTTGACTAAGGCACAAGTATAATCTGCTCCTCCATCCCTGAATGTGGAGATGCAGTCATGGCTAAGACGCAGCCTCACTCAAGAAATCCCTCCAGCTTTGTGTGATGCCTGTAAAAAATGTTTTCTGGGTGCTTCAGAAGTAGACTTTAAGATTGCTGCCCTCATGTATTTTTTCCTAATATTTTGGCACGTATTTGTTGCTTTGCACAATCATCTCTGAAAATTTCATCTTTTAAACTCTACCTCTAGAGACGCAGCAAGGCAGCAGTGTCATTGGTTTTCTATGTAAGAAAATCATCTCTGTATTAAAAAAAATAAAATAGACCGGGTGTGGTGGCTCATGCCTGTAATCTCAGCACTTTGGGAGGCCAAGGCAGGAGCATTGCTGGAGCCCAGGAGTTCAAGACCATCCAGGGCAACATAGTGAGACCCTGTCTCTACAAAATAATAATAATTATTATTATTTAAAAAAATAAAGGCTGGGCACAGTGGCTCATGCCTATAATACCTAGCACTTTGGGAGCCCGAGGTGGGTGGATCACTTGAGGTCAGGAATTCACGACCAACCTGACCAACATGGTGAAACCCCATCTCTACTAAAAATACAAAAAATTAGCCAGTCATGGTGGTGGGCACCTGTAATCCCAGCTACTCAGGGGGCTGAGGCAGGAGAACTGCTTGAACCCGGGAGGCAGAGATGGCAGTGAGCCAAGATCACGCCGTTGCACTCCAGCCTGGGCAAGAAGAGTGAAACTCCGTCCCCAAATAAAATAAAATAAAATAAAATAAAATAAAATGGAGTTAGTAACCAACCAGTGTTTTCTTTGAGGAAATCCAGAGTAAGGCAGACACAACATCTGTTTCTGTCTCAGACCTGAGCTCCTACCTGGTCTCAGCATGGCTTGAGTCCTATGGATTGCCACTGGAAGAAGCTCCAGATAAAAATAGCAAAAGAATAAAGAAATGGCTCCCGACCTCTGGCCTTCTTCAAAAGCTGATGAGCTAATGGAGAAAAGCTCGGCAAACCAAAAACCTCCATGTGTGCCCAGTTAGAGAAGTGGAAGGCCACCTCTTGGCTTTAGTAGGAAGCTTGTGGTGGTTTCCAGTTCTTACAGAGGAGCCACATTACTCTCACAGCAGTATTCTTAGGAGTCAACCATGGCCAATGTCACCCTCTTTTTATAGGGGGGCTGAGATTGGGAGGGCAGACAACCTGCCCACTGCCAGGCACAGGCTATACGCTGCCACTACTACTATCACTATGACTGCTATTTCTGCTACTACTACACACTACGGAAAGGTGGCCTTATCTTCTATTTAGGTTTTTAGACTAGTCAAATGTACTCCCAGATGGATGGATTGATAGAAAGTTTATATTATTTATTTATTTATTTTTGTAGAGATGAGGTTTTGCTCTGTTGCCCAGGCTGGAGTGCAGTAGCACAATCATGGCTCACAGCAGCCTCGACCTCCTAGGCCCAAGCGATCCTCCCACCTCAGCCTCCCAAGTAGCCGGGACTACTGGTGCACACTACCACATCCAGCTAATTTTTAAGTTTTTTCTAGAGATGGAGTCTTGCTACGTTGCCCAGGCTGGTCTTGAACTCCTAGGCTCAAGCGATCCTCTCTCCTTGGCCTCCCAAAGTGCTGGGATCACAAGTGTGAACCACCACACCTGGCCAATTTTTTTAAAAAACGGGCTTTATTTTTTAGAGCAGTTTTGGGCTTGTAGATAAATTAAGTGGAAAATACATACAGTTCTCATATACTCCCTCACCCTCGCAGTTTCCCCTACTACTAACATACTGCAACAGTGGCTACATTTGTTGGAATTCATGAGCCAATATTGGTACATTGTTTACTTCATTTGTTAGAATTCACAGCTCATATTGATACATTGATATTAACAAAAATCCATAGTTTACATTAGGGTTGACTCTGTGTTGTACATTCTATGGGTTTTCACATGTATCCACCATTATAGTATCATACAGAATAGTTTCACTGCTCTAACCAGCCCCCTTCGTTTCTCCCTCACTCTCTCTTCCTGTGAACAACTGAAACATTGATCTTTTTACTGTCTCCATAGTTTTGCTTTTCCCAAAATGTCATGCAGTTGGAATCATACAATATGTACATTTTCAAGTTGGCTTCTGTATTAGTCCCTTCTCACACTGCTAATAAAGACATACCTGAGACTGGGTAATTTATAAAGGAAAGGGGTTTAATGGACTCACAATTCCACATGGCTGGGGAGGCCTCACAATCATGGTGAAAGGCAAAGGAGAGGCAAAGTCACATCTTACATGGCGCCAGGCAAGAGAGCATGTTCAGGGGAACTCCCATTTATAAAACCATCAGATCTCGTGAGAACTCATTCACTATCACGAGAAGAGGATGGGGAAAACTGCCTCCATGACTCAATTATCTCCACCTGGTCCCTCCCATGACATGTGGGGATTATGGGAACTACAATTCAAGATGAGATTTGAGTGGGGACACAGCCAAACCATATCAACTTCTTTCACTTAGAAATAGGCACTTAAGATTCCTCCATGTCTTTTCATGGCTCGATAGTTCATTTCTTTTTATTGCTATATAATATTCCATTGTGTGGTTATACCTCAGTTTGTTTAACCATTCAACCTATTGAAGGATACCTTGGTTGTATCTGAGTTCTCCCAATTATGAATGAAGCTACTATAAACATTCATGGGCAAGTTTTTGTGTGGATGTAAGTTTCCAACTCATTTGGATAAATTACAAGGAGCAAATTGCTGAATCCTGTGGTGAGAGTATATTTAGTTTGCATTCCCACCGGAAATGAATGAGAGTTCCATTGCTCCCCATTCTCATCAGCATTTGGTGTTGTTCGTGTCTTGTGTTTAGCCATCCTAATGGATGTGTAGTGTAGTGCACTGCTGTTTAGATGTGCAATTCTCTGATGACATGAGGTTGAGCATCTTTTTGATATCTTCTTTTGCTTTATTTTAACAAGATGTCTGTTAAGGTCTTTTATCCATTTTTAAATTGGGTTGTTTTCTTATTGTTATTTTTAAGAGGTTTTTTGGGGTGTGTGTGTGTGTATGTGTGTGTGTGTTTGTATTTTTTAATTTTTTTAGACAGAGTCTTACTCTGTTGCCCAGGCTGGAGTGCAGTGGTGCGATCTCGGCTCACTACAACCTCCACCTCCCACGTTCAAGCAATTCTCCTCCCTCAGCCTTCTGACTAGCTGGGATTACAGGTGTGAGACACCATGCCCAGCTAATTTTTGTATCTTTAGCAGAGATGGGGTTTCATCATTTTGGCCAGGCTGGTCTTGAACTGCTGACCTCAAGTGATCTGCCTTGGCCTCCCAAAGTGCTGGGATTACAGGCATGAGCCACCACACCCAGCATTTCTTTTTTTTTTTTTTTTTTTTTTGGAATTCTTTCTTTAAAAGATCACATTTTTGGTGTTGTATCTAAAAGGTCATTGCCAAACTCAAGGCACCTGATTTTCTTTTTCGTTATCTTCTAGTTTTACTGTCTTGCCTCTTACATTTAGGTTTTTTTAATTGCAAACCTCAAGGGTGGAACCAGACTATCAACATTTGGAATACTTGAAGTGAAAATAATAAATAATAATGGAAGGCTGGGGTTGAAAACACAAGCATGGCAGG
Source organism: Homo sapiens (assembly GCF_000001405.40). Taxonomy (NCBI): domain Eukaryota; kingdom Metazoa; phylum Chordata; class Mammalia; order Primates; family Hominidae; genus Homo; species Homo sapiens. The sequence continues at coordinate 33,925,066 of NC_000019.10, forward strand.
CGAGATCCAATTCTGCTGGGAAGATGGCAAGCTTCTCTTTTACAAGGAGATACCAGGGATTTCTCCCCTAAGGATACACTGCTTCCCCTCATCTTTCCTGATTCCTTTCCAGCCACACAGGGATCTGATCTTATCAAGGGGAGAGATAGGGACGGACATATTCCTGCTTGGGAGCTATGGGTCTCCATCATCAGAGCCATTTCCACCCTTACAAGGAAGGGCAAGTGAATAGATCTGGCCCCACAAGCAAGAAGGAAAATCCATTCTGCTGCTCAGGTCATAGATGGGGAGCTGAGAAGAAAATAAACGGTGAGTGAGAATTTGGAATTATTACTTCTTTTTGGTTAATTTTTTTTCTGCTGCTGTATTGTGTCTTTGCATCTGATTCCAAGAAAAGGATTGACCCCAAGGTGGAGGTGGGGCATCCATACAGATGACATCACTATCACTGCATGACTGCTTTGCTCAGAGCTGGGAGCTGGGAAAGGGATGCTGCCAAGTCTGGCAATGGAGGCTGGAGCTTCACAAGGGGAGTTTTCCTGGTGGATGTCAGCCTTGAGAAAAGCCCTCCTGGGGCTGGGGCTGGGTCTTTTCTTCTCCAAGTCAGTCCCAAATCCTTTTAGGAGAAAACACACCCTCCATTTGGAATGTACTGAGAAGTAGAATTGAAAGGTCTGGGTGAGGGATAGGAGGAAGGATGAATGGAGGAGGGCCAGGGAGGACTCCCGGGCTTCTGGCATCTCTCCAATGAGGAGGGGAATCCAGGGATCACTGTTTAAATGTGCAAAGTCTAGGCCAGGCATGGTGGCTTATACCTGTAATTCCAACGTTTTGTGAGGCTGAGGCAAGAGGATGGCTTGAGGCCAGGAGTTCGAGACCAGACTGGGCAACAAAGCGAGACCCCATCTGTACTAAAATAAAACAATAACAAAAAATTAGCCAAGCCTGGTTGCACACACCTGTAGTCCCAGCTACTCAGGAGGCTGAGGTGAGAGGATCACTTGAGCCCAGGAGGTGGAGGCTACAGTGCGCTATGATTGCATTACTGCACTCTAGACTGGGTAACAGAGCAAGACCCTGTCGCAAGATAAATACTTAAATAAATAAATGTGCTTAGTCTAAAGGGCTGCTGGGATGTCTGAAAAGCAATGGATGCCTTGTAGAGAGCCCACTAAATGGGCACAAGGGTTTTCTGTTTTCTGGGGGTACCCAGGGTTCTAGCTGGAAAGGGACAGGCTTGGAGATAAGTGGCCCTGCAAAGACTCTTCTCCTTTTCCAACCTTAGTATTAAAATCCCTTTGATGGTCCAGTGGGCCTTAGGCCAAAGGAAGAAAAGAGTTTATGAAAAACCATTCAAAGAACTAAAAATAACTTGCTCATTTCTCGGCTAGACTGGCTTTGTTCAAGTCTTAGAAAAGGCAAGGAAAAAAAAAAACTTGAGAGCAAAAAATCCATGGCAACAAGCATCTTCTGTTTATGGATAGCATCCCAGGGAAATTAAGTGTCTGGCTGCTAGAGAGTAGAAGCGAAGTCAAAGTCATCTGTATCTGTTTACTTTTCTCAGATTGAGCGAACTGAAAGCCCATACCTGTTCTATATCTCCACCAGAAGTAAATACTTGTATTTTTGTTTGACAAGACATAAGCCCAATTGTTTCAGGAGTTTTGAATAAAGATGATAACATATCATTATGATTGTTGGATGACAGACTGGCTTTCCATAGCATGGATTGCCAAGAAGGGAGGGCAAAATGAAATAAGTGGGTGTTGGTAGGTATAGGTTCTAATTTCTAGTAAAAATCACTATTGTGTTTTCATTTAAACTGTTGACTGTTTTTACTTCTTTGATTCTCTTTTTAAAATTTATAATTAATTTCAAACCCACAAAGTAAACTGAACCATCCTCAATTATCTCTAAATAAGGTAAACATTTTTATTTTATTTTATTTTATATTCATTTTAGAGATGAGGTCTCTCTATGTTGCCCAGCCTGGAATGCCATGTCTATTCTCAGAAGGAATCACACTTCCTTTTTTTTTTTTTTCCTTTCTTTTTTTTGAGACGGAGTCTCGCTCTGTTGCCCAGGCTGGAGTACAGCAGCACGATCTCGGCTCACAGCAGCCTCGGCCTCCAGGGTTCAAGCGATTCTCATGCCTCAGCCACCTGAGTAGATGGGACTACAGGCACCTGCCACCAAGCCCGGCTAATTTTTTGTAGTTTTAGTAGAGACGGGGTTTCACTGTGTTAGCCAGGATGGTCTCGATCTCCTGACCTCATGATCTGCACGCCTCTGCCTCCCAAAGTGCTGGGATTACAGGAGTGAGCCACCGCGCCCGGCCGAGCAATCACACTTCTGATCACCACAGGAGTTTTGACCTGCTCCTTTTCCAACCTGGGCCAGTTCACCCCTTCTTAGGCAACCTGGTGGCCCCCTGCTCCTGGGAGGTCCTATATTGATGCCAAACATAGCGCGCAACAGCCCAGAACTCCCGGACTTCAGCAATCCTTTTGTCTTAGCCTCCAAATAGCTGGGACTGCAGGTGTGCACCACAGCACCCAGCCATACTTATTTTAGAATTTATTTCATGTGTTCTATTATTTCAGTTCTTCAAATGCAAATTCTTCACTTGTTGCACACCCTCTCACACATGTTATTTATTACTGTGAAGTCAACTTCAGGAAGGGGTTTTCTGAGAGTCTTATGTGCTTGACCTGCAAAAGTCACATAACTGAAGCCCCTGCTGGTGGTTTATTCTCACCCAAGACTCTGGACCCAGCTCTCATCTCTAACCAGAATCACCCCCAGGATCCGGCACAGACACCATTTACAGGTGTGTATGTCAGAGCTCATCTCTCAGACAGGCTCAGGTCCAGAGAGAAAACCAACAAATACCGCAGGTGACCCCAGGTGTTTTTGAAGTCATTACCCCCTCCCTGAGCTCTGGTGCCTGTCCTGAAACTCCTTTTGCAAATGAAGACATTTACATTTCATGTCCTCTGCATCCTCCTGCCAGGGCCTTCGGCTGATCAATACTTTTAGCTGACAATATTCCCCACAAGCTAAAGAAATGGCTCTCTCACCATAGAGATGAACAGAGGCTTCTTCATGGGTTTACTGGTGATATCAAGTTTCCATTTTACAGCCTTGTGAAAGCATTTAGAAAACCATGATTCCTAAGTAGTGTGAATAGAAAGGAACCTATTTGTTATGCTGATGTATCCTCCTCTATAGACTCAGGGATAGCCTGACTTTAGCCATGCACACCACACTTTCTTTGCTGCCGTGTGTGGGACCCAGGTAAGAAGGCTAAAGAGATGGCTGACACAGAGGTGAAGGAGGGAAGAACCACTAGAAACCTCGGAGTTGGTGCAAGAGGCAAGATACAAAGAGAAGGAACCAGACCAGCCACCCAGGATTACTGAATGATGATTACAGAAGCCCAGAATAGGAAGGCACCCGGGAGGCTAGAGGACGGAATTTGGAGGCTGGGCACAAGGTTGTGGGCAGGTGTGCAGGTGTGTGGGTATGCAGGTGTGCAGTTGTGCAAATGTGCAGGCGTGTAGTTGTGGAGGTATGCAGGTGTGCAAGAGTGCAGGTGTGCAAGTGTGCAAGTGTGCAGTTAAGCAGGTGTGTAAATGTGCAGGTGTGCCGATGTGCAATTTTGCAAGTGTGCAGTTGAGGTGTGCAGGTGTGCAGTTGTGTGAATGTGCAGGTGTGTGAGCATGCAGGTATGCAATTGTGCAAGTGTGCAGGTGTGCGAGTGTGCAGGTATACAGGTGTGCAGGTGTACAAGGGGGAGCATGGGAGACAGGCTAACCTCTCTGAGGCCTCGTTATCTGACAAGGTCAAGGTTCCAGCATTGGCCAAGAGGTTGCCATCACTGCAGCCCCCTCATTGTGGGGAATCCTGGGGCTCTGGGACCACAGTTGGATCTCCATCAGCCCTGCTGATGGACTACATTGGCTGAAGGGAATGCCTGGAACTAGAAGACATTTCCAGGCTCTGCAATACAGCAGCCCAGGAAAACTAGAGGCTCCTCAATGAGGAGAAGCAGCTAAGCCCAGCCCTGCCAGGGTCCTGTGCCTGCTCTGCTCAGTGAGTGCCCCCTCTCAGGGATGATCTGGTCCTAACCTCTTGGGTCATTTTGGTGAAATGAGAGTTCATTCCTGCAGAGGTCAGGCCAGAAAAGAGAGGGGGAACAAAATTCCAGAGACAGGAAGAGTGGTGGAGTGACAAAGGGCCCTGTAAGACCCCACCACCCGAAAAGGACCCTGCCTGCTGCCAAACGGCAGATTGGTGAGCAAGTGGTTTCTTGCAGGGCATCTATAAGTCAGGAGCGGGTGACTGGAGGTGCACCTGACAAACACACCCAGCCTGAGATACCCAGATATGAGGATGTGAGGTAGGGCTTTCCTAACACCGGCTGCCTCTGAGCCCTCCAGGTCTAATCAGTTATCCAAATACCGAACCTGCTCAAATGGCATGGTTTCCACCTGGGCCAGGGGCCGCACGGGGTAAAGGCGTAGCATGTATCTGCTGTTCATTCTGTTATTCAACCAACATTTGCAGAGAGTCTTTCAAGGGGCGGCACAGTTCTATTAATTTTTTTATCTTTATTTATTTAGAGACAGGGCCTCCCTCTGTCACCCAGGCTGGAATGCAGTGGTGTAATCATAGCTCACTGCAGCCTCAAACTCCTGGTCTCAAGCAATCCTCTCAACTCAACCTCCTGAATAGCTGGGACTACAGGTGCACATCACCACATCTGGCTAATTTTTTTCATCTTTTGTAGAGATGAGCTTTCACCATGTTGCCCAGGCTAGTCTCAAGCTCCTGGCCTCAAGCAACTCTACTGTCTCAGCCTCCCAAAATGCTGGGATTACAGGCATGAGCCACTGCACCAGCAGGGCATGGTTCTGGGGTTCAGTGTGAATGAGACAGATTAAGACACCGACCCGTCCTCATGAAGCTTACATTCAGGCAGGAGAGACAATACAATAACAAATAAACAAGACCATTTCAGAGATCCTTCTGAATGCTAAAAAGAAAATAATAAATGTTATTAATAGTGGCATATAAAGTGACATGGGGGTGGAGGTGGGGCAGAGTTGGTAAATGGGAAAAGTGCCTCACACAAGGTGGTTTGGAGCTGTGATCTGAATGACAAGGAGAAGCCAACTGTGAAGATGAGAGGGAAGAAGTTTCCAGGTAGAGTCACAGCCCATGCAAAGGCCCTGAGGCAAGAAAGGGCTTGAGGAGTTCCAAGGACTGGCAGAGGCCAGGGTGGCTGCAGCCTTGGGGAAGGAGGAGGAGCGGGGATCTAAGAGCTGCCGAGGAGAGGAAGGCCTTGGGCTGTGGCTACAGCTCAAGCCTACTCTGGGTGCAGTGGGAAACCGTTAACCAGGTTTAAATTGGGAGTGATGTGATCAAGTCATCTTTTTAAAATTATTTTTTGTTTTATTATTATATATTTTTAGAGACAGGGTCTCACTTTGCCACACAGGCTGGAGTGCAGTGGTGCAATCATAGCTCACTGCAGCCTCCAACTCTTGGGCTCAACAGATCCTCCCTTCTCAGCCTCCGGCCTACAGACACACGCCACCACACCCGGATAATTTTTTAAAAAATTTTAAGAGACAGGGTCTCGCTGTGTTGCCCAAGCTGGTCTCAAACTCCTGAGCTCGGCTGGGCGTGGTGGCTCATGCCTGTAATCCCAGCACTCTGGAAGGCCGAGGCAGAAGGATCACAAGGTCGGGAGATCGAGACCATCCTGGCTAACACGATGAAACCCCATCTCTACTAACAATATAAAAAATTAGCCGGGCGTGGTGGTGGGCGACTGTCGTCCCAGCTACTCGGGAGGCTGAGGCAAGAGAATAGCGTGAACCTGGGAGGCGGAGCTTGCAGTGAGCCAAGATCATGCCACTGCACTCCAGCCTGGGCGACAGAGCGATGCTCTTGTCTCAAAAAAAAAAAAAAAAAAAAAATCAAACTCCTGAGCTTGAGCAATCCTCCCACCTCAACTTCCCAAGTTGCTGGGACACAGGTGTGAGCCACTGTGCCTGGCCATCAAATCATCTTTTAGGAAGTCCTCTCTGGCTTTGTATGAAGAGTGGGCTACAGGGGACGAGAGAATGGCAGGACACCAGGTACAGGGCACCAGGTGGGACTCTGTAGCGTTAGTCCAGGAGAAAGGGGATGCAGGCTGAGCTAGGATGGGAGGGACAGCTCGCATCCCTCTCCTGGAGTACTTCCCAAACTGATTTAATGACAGAACGCTTTCACCCTGGTGCTGCCTTCCAGCTGTCCCTGCAGCATGGCAAGAAGGAGTTTGCTCTGCTCACTTCAGCTAAATTCTTCTTCACAAAAGCATCTCCTTTGCTGGTCTTGCCTCTGCCAGTTGGTCTAGGCATAAGCCTATGTGCTGTGTTTACTTAATTACAGAAAACAATTATTCTGGAATCTTGGGACACTTAGGCACTGACTTTACCTTTCTTAACATAAGGACTCAGAAAAGAATTTAGAAAATGAACCAACCCCCTAATCAGATGCCTGACCAAATGTCCTGGAGGATGCTGGAAATGGGGATAACATTTTCTTTCCTTTTCTTTTCTTTTTTGAGACACAGTGTCACTCTGCCGCCCAGGCTGGAGTGTGGTGGCACGATCTTGGTTCACTGGGACCTCTGCTTCCCAGGTTCAAGTGATTCTCATGCTTCAGCTTCCTAAGTAGCTGGATTACAGGCAGCCGCCACCACGTCTGGCTAATTTTTTTTTTTTTTTTTTTTTTTTTTTTTAGTAGAGACGGGGTTTCACCATATCGGCCAGGCTGGTTCTCAAACTCCTGACCTCAAGTGACCCACCTGCCTCGGCCTCCCAAAGTGCTGGAATTACAGACATTAGCCACTGCACCTGACCAGGATAACATTTTCTGTCCATGAGCAGACCCTTGTTTTTTCTCTTGAGTCTTTTTTTGGGGGGTGGTGCGGGGAATATCATTAGGATGGGCAAAACTCTGTAAAAGTGATGTTAGCACAGAGATTCAATGGTGACTTTAAGTGCAAATTATATACTTTAAAAATACAAGCCATTATTCTAATCAAAATAATTGCTCATACTATATGTGTGAAGACAGGTGAAATTCAAGAGATACAGTTTGCCTGTGGTGGGATCAATTATCAGAACTCACTACGCTACAGTGCACTTCTTTTATTACCAGGAGCAATAGATTTTGCACTAAAGATTCTCACTTAAATCCTACTGCTATGCATCATCTGCAAAACATGACACTAATGTAAGCATCTTAGAAAACACTTACATGTACACACGTAAATAGTGGGAAAATCAACTAAACTGAAATCAGCAAAGTTGTTGCTCTTCAGGGAGTGAACAAAAGGTAGCTCTGCGAACAAAGGTACATTGGCACCTTCAACAGTTAAATGGCTTACCATCCCAAACTGAACGCAGGACTAATGTGGAATGATGTCACGGGGCCCCACAACCATGGCAGCTCCTTGGATTCTGGCTCCAGGCTCAGATCTGCTGCTGAGCCCAGGAATACATTTTATTTTATTTCATTTCATTTCATTTTCATTTCATTTCATTTGTTTTTAATTGAGGCATGGTCTCCCTCTGTCACACAGACTGGGGTGCAGTGGCAACATCTTACCTCACTGCAACCTCCACCTCCCACGTTCAAGCAATACTCCCACCTCAGCCACCCAAGTAGCTGGGACCACAGGCATGCCTCACCGCACCTGGCTAATTTTTTTTTCTTTTTTTGGTGGAGACAGGGTCTCACCATGTTGCCCAGGCTGGTCTCAAACTCCTGACTTCAAGTGATCCGCCTGCCTCGGCATCCCAAAGTGCTGGGATTACTGGCGTGAGCCACCGCGCCCGGCCCCAGGGACATGTTTTAGAGCCCATCTGACAGCACACAAAACATATCTCACACTTCCAGATTGAATGGAATTTGAGAGTTAAATCAATTGCCTTAAACTGTAATCCTGCAATGTACCATAACTGAAATATTGTGAAATAGGCTGTGCTTGAATAACTGAAGCCTGCTAGAATTTACACATTAAAACCCAATTATGACAACTGGAAAGGCCTGTCTACTACTTCAGCCCCGACCTGTGACAAATATAATCTCTTGTTCTATCAATAAAAGGAGAGGACAAAGGAGGCATGTGAGCATGTGGCACTTGGTTTTTCTGCTTGTTTTTTGTTGTTGTTGTTGTTGTTTTGTTGTTTTTTGTTTTTTGTTTTTAAGATAGAGTCTTGCTCCTTTGTCGCCCAGGTTAGAGTGCAGTGGCTCAATCATAGCTCACTGCAGCCTCCAGCTCCTGGGCTCAAGCAATCCTCCTGCTCAATCTCCTGAGCAGCTGGAACTATAGACATTCCACACCTCTGGTTAATTTTTTGATATTTTTGTTTCACCATGTGGCCCAGGCCAGTCTTGAACTGCTGAGCTCAAGTAATCCTCCCACTTTGGTCTCCCAAAGCATTGGGATTACAGGTGTAGGCCACCGTGCCCAGCCAGTTTTTGCTGTGTTTCTAAACACAGCATCTCCTGCTGCCAAACAGGAGATGATGTTTAGGCACAGGACCTAGAAGATATTGTGCATCCAGACAGGCACTCATCTTTCCACCCAGAAAAAAGAGCTCAAGTGAGTTCAGTTCACAGCCTTTCAAGGGAAGGAGGCTGTCGATGCTGTTTGGTTCTTCCTCTGTGCATCATCTGAGCCAGCTCTTGTTTCTGCATCTGTAGCAAAGAGAGAGAGTTGTCCTCTGAATTCCCTTTCCACATTGTTATGACTCTTCGCAAGCATGAGCCTATGACCCATGGGGAGAATGCAACCTTTGCCCACACTTTCCAGAGACTGCAAGCAGCATGCCAAGACAGTGCCCTGCTTGAGACTGTGTGTGTGATTTTAGATCTTAAACTCTTGATGATGGCTTTCATTTCTGGGTAAAACTGATGCTTTCCTAAGAATTCCAATAGCTGCAGCACCACAGAGAGATGTTCAACAGATAAAGAGCTGGTCAAAATGGGATAAGGCTTAGCTTGCTGGCTTATCTCACTTCATCCCTCGCCAGGTTTCCTCCTCTATTCCTGGGACTTCAGGTGTGTCCAGGAGCCACAGGGAACTCTCGTGGGTTGGCAGGGAGACATAATTTCCCTGGGGAACAGCACAGGGAGACTGTCTATAAGGGGATAGGCAGAAGCTCTGGAGCAGGGACAAGGTTAGTGCTGTCTGGGTTTTGAGCAGGTGCCTTTGCTGCTGAGACCAGGACAGAGGTGGGGTTGGACAGAGGTGGCCAAGGGAAGGTGGAGGGGTGATGGCAGGGTGTTCTGGGGCACTGCGTGGGTAGCAGCTTGTGCTCCAGCGTCGAGTAGGGTCAGTCCCAGTGAGACTGGCCTGGCTGGAAAGGGAAGAGGGGAGGTACAGAGAAAAACAGTGGGTGCCAAGGCTGGACTTAGGTATTCTCAAAGAACCCAAAGAGAGTGTTAGTAGAAGACAGCCCAAAGACCACTGCCCAGAAGGAAATATTTTTGCTGTTGTATAGAATACGGCTCTGGAAAAACAAGGCTGACAAGGATGTATTTGAATGGCATGATCACACCCTGACCACAGACAAAGATAACAAGCTAATTCCTAAGAGCTGCAGTTGGAGAAACTGAGGCAGGATCCATGGTCACAGCACGGGATGCTGTGCTGCACTCTACAGCTCTTAGTACTACATGGCCTTCTACTGCTGTCAGGTGGTGCATGTGTGATTCTGAGTGGGGCTAGGGGAAACAGCCTTCCCTACCCCTCACCCCTGAAATGAGGACTCCCGTGCTTCTCTGGGGGAGCTCTGCAGCAGGGTTCAGCAGCTGCCCTGAAGTGACACCAGGGTCCTAGTGGCTCAGACACACTGCAGCTGGCTCTACCCTGAATCAGAAAACCCAGCTCTGAGGATGACTTGAGCAGTTAAATGAAAGCTTATGTCAAGTCTCGGTCCCAACTTCTCCTGGAAGAATCTCCTGGAACTTCTCCTGGAAGAATTACCCTGCAGTTTTCTCAGGCTTCAGAATCTAAAGCTTCTCATTTGAGATCAAATCCAATGACTCCAAACAAATCAAAACCAAAGAAGTCTTCTTTCTGGCTAATAACAATTTTTGCGTGCAGGTCTAAAACTTCCTGGGAGCTTCTGAATTCAGCCTTCCCCTCCCTGGGCACCAATTCAGCAGGGGCAGGTATAGCGCTGTCAATGGGCTCCAAAGCAAACAGACACCCACAGGACCCAGGAATCAGACAAAAGAAAGGGGGCATGCGGGACATGCAGGGAATGTTCATGGGACAGGGAAGAAGTCCACAAGCCCTTTCTCTCCCGGCAGCTCGTTGTCGGATTTCACCTGGAATATCTTTGGCCTACATCCAGATTAAATGCCAGTTAGAAAGCTCTGCCCACCCGACTTTTCGGGGCAGACAGCAACGATGGTGAGCTCTAATCATTTACAAAGGTCATGATCCAGAGCGAGCCGCGGAGCAGTCATTTAAAATTCGATTGATCCCTATTTGTAGTCAGGGAAAGAAAATGGGCACTTGGACTGTATTGTAATTATGAGGCTTCCAGGCAACCATAAATAGATGTGCAATCTCAGTACTGGAAAATATCTGGAAGAAGAAATTATTACTCTGGCATGGTACGTTGCTAGGAAAGGTTGAAGACAAAATTGCGCATAAAAAAATCAATCATCTTTTAGCTAATTTGCTTCTCTCGCCACTCATCGGGGTTATCACAATTATCAGATGTCTGCCGAATATATTATGAGGAGGATCTGCTGGCTGAAAATGATCTTCAAGAAAGCAAAGGCCTCAAATTTGGTGGGGACTCTGGAGAGCTGGCATTTGGGGCTGGGTGGGCTCCAGGGGCCACGAGCATAAGGGAAGAGCCTTGGGGTGGCTCTTTTGGAGCCTCTTGCTAAGGGATAGGTTTCCAGAGTTCTTGAGAGCATCAGCCCTGTGTAGGCACTGCAAATACCATCTCGATGTCCACCCTGCTGGGGAAATCAGTCTGGGAAGAGGAGGATCTGCTCATTCTGTGAGTGGCAGAAGATCAAGTGGCCGGCACATCCTCTGCTGCTTAGTCCCATGGGGCTGGCCCTGGTACTTGACATTCATAACCTTAACCTTAACCACACCCCCGGGAATGAGTATTACCAACCCCCTATTACTGATGGGGAAACTGAGGAACAGCAAGATTCAGAAGTGTGCCCAAGATCACCTGGAGGCATGTGGCAGAGCTAAGCCCAGAGCCACCTGGAGGTGGGGACCAGGGGACCTGGAGGTCCCACCTTGTTCCAGGCAGGGCCACGCCAGTCCAGTGCTTTTAGAAGAGGCGAAGGCAGGGGTGCCCACTCTCCACCTCTGCCTCTGCCTCTCTTCCATGCCCCTGAAGAATCTCTCCCTTCGAATCCTTAGGAACCTTCAAGGCTCTAGGCAAAAACAATGCTTGCTGGATGGCAAATGTTCCCCACGGGGGCTGGCGAGCCTTCTGAGTCTACTTCCTGAGCCTGCCATAGTCCAGAGGGCTGGCCCTGGTTCTGTGTGGGGAGGATCTCTGACCCTGACTCCATGGGGTCACCCCACCTTCTGAGCTGGTGCTTCCAGCACCTTGACATCCCAGAAGCCCCATGATGGCCTCCAGTGGGATCAACAGAGCACTCTCAGGAATGATGCCAATTAAATCAAGGTCCCCTTTTCTCTACACGGAACCAGCCAACACCAGCCAGCAGTGCCAGACCGTGAGCTGGGCCAGGCAATCCCCAGCCAGGCAAGGGTGACAAAGAGGACAGCCCACCTGGGAATCACCTGCCACCACGGAACTAGCATCTAAAGGAGCGTAATATACTCATGTCATTCTTTTTAAATTTTTTCTTATTTTTTAAAAATAATTGAGATGGGGTCTTCCTGTGTTGCCCAGGCTGGTCTTGAACTCCTGGGCTCAAGTAATCCACCCGCCTTGGCCTCCCAAAGTGCTGGGATTACAGACGTGAACCACAGCAACTGCTCATACTGAAGTAATTCTACTTCTACAAATCTATCCCAGGGAAACAGGGTGTAGACAGAGATGTATGCATGGAGATGTTGATCCCAATGTCATTCAACAATGGCAAAGAATGTAAGTATTCACCACTGGGGACTGGTTGGATGAAGTAAGGCCTACGAATTGTGTAGATATTACACCACCATTGCAAGGCTTTATATAGAGTTTCTAGTGCTGCGAGAAATGTTTATGAAAGAAGGCTAAACAACTACCGCAACAACAAAAAAAAGGAATAAAATTATATGGAACCTTGTGGAGGATGAGTGAATGGATAACTATGAAGATTACTAGTGATGAGGTTCCACTTTCCTATTTTTTGGTTCTTTTCAAAATTGTCTGAAGTTCAAATCGAAACCACAATGCAATACCACTTTACTCCTGCAAGAATGGCCATAATAAAAAAAAATTAAAAAACAATAGATGTTGGCATGGATGTGGTGAACAGGGAACACGTCTGCACTGCTGGTGGGAATGTCAACTAGTACAACCACTGTGGAAGACAGCGTGGAGATTCCTTAAAGAACTAAAAGTAGAACTACCGTTTGATCCAGCAATCCTACTACTGGGTATCTACCCAGAGGAAAAGAAGGATCATACAAAAAAGATATTTGCACATACATGTTTATAGCAGCACAATTCGCAATTGCAAAAACGTGGAACGAACCCAAATGCCCATCAATTAATGAGTGGATAAATAAACTGTGGTATAAATATACAATGGAATACTACTCAGTCATAAAAAGGAATGAATTAATGGCATTCACAGCAACCTGGATGGGATTAGAGGCTATTATTCTAAGTGAAGTAATTCAGGAATGGAAAACCAAACATATGTTCTAAGTGGGAGCTAAACTATGAGGATGCAAATGTATAAGAATAACACAATAGACTTTAGGGACTCAGGGGGAAAGAGTGGGAAGGCGGTGAGGGATAAAACACTACAAATAAAGTTCAGTGTATACTGCTCAGGTGATGGGTGCACCAATATCTCACAAATCACCACTGAAGAACTTACTCATGTAGCCAAACACCACCTGTTCCCCCAAAACCTATGGAAATAAAATAAATAAAACATAAAAATAAATTTTTAAAAATTGTCTACAATTAGCTACCATCCTTCTCTTCCCAAATCTTGTGGCCTTGGAGTGGTGGCTGGGATCCTGGCCTGCCATCCTGGGTCATCCATGCCAACAGCAACTCAGGAACCCCAAATTTGGGTTTACCAGAAGGAGCTGGTCTTTTTTAAAAAAATTGTGACAAAATTTACCCTTTCAACCATTTTTAAGTGTAAAATCCGGTGGCACTAAGTATATTCGCAATGTTATGCAACCATCACCACTATCTATCTTCAAAACTTCATCTCCTTAACCAGAAACTCTGTGCTAGTTAAACAATAATGCTCTGTTCCCCCTCCCCAGCCCCAGGCACCCCCATTCTGCCTCCTGTCCCTGTGATTTGCCCAGTCCCGCACCTCCTACAAATGGAATCACACAGTCTTTGTCCTTCTGTGTCTGGCTCTTGCACATAGCATGGTGTCTCCAAGATTTGTCCCACCCCGTCCCTACCTCCATTTAATTCTCATTAAATTCAGGACGGGCAGGGCTGTTCCCACTTAACAGTGGGAGAAACTGAGGCTCACGAAGGTTGAGCCAGGACTTGTTCTCAGTTTGACCCTGAGTCCATCTCTTGCTGCAGCCGCGGAGACCTGCTGAGCACGTTCCAGAGTTAGGCGAGGAAGGAGCCGTGGTGGGTGTGGCCTCTCCAGTCGTGTCACCTGTGCCGAGCTGAGTGTTTGCACGTCCCTCCACCCCGACTCCTGAGAATAAACAGTCCATTCGCCCTAAAGCTTTCCTGAGGTCACAAAGGTCTTGGGCAAGACTCCCAGCTTTTCTGGGCAGCTGGGCCCCAGCTGGTTCCTTCCCAGAGCCCGGCTCTGACACCCTGCCCACTCAATCCTGCTTCCCACCCTCAGGGAGGCAGACGCGGGCAGACGTCCTTGCCCTCACATTGGCCCACTGCCCTCCCCATGTTCTTCCCTCTCTCAGCAGCATCTCGAGGCCCCTCGAAGGTGTCAGACCCAGATGGCTGACCTCCTGTACATGGGGAGGGCTGGGCTGCAGCCCTGGGGCCCCTCGACAGCCACCTTCACCCAAGGTTACCAAAGTGCTGTGCACACTCACCCAAGGGTCCCAGCCAGCCGCCATAGCAAGCAGAACAGCTTCTGTGCAGCCCCCGTCAGGAGCCACCTTGAATCTTCCTTCAAACCAGTCCTCCAAAGGGACCTGGTGACGCTGGGCCCCAGGGGCTCACTGTCCCCAGAAACAGGCCTTCTCCCAGTCCTGGCTGTTTCCACCCACCCTGGGAAGCACCCCCACTCTGAACACTCTATCATAGCAATGGGGGACTTTGTGAAAATTGTATCCCTAGTAAAGATACCTTCTCCACAACCGAATCAGAACAGTTCAGTAATGGGTAGAGTCCCCTTAAACAAGTATAATACCTGCTAACAATGCTCACCTCACATTACCTGTGAGGTAAGCAATTATCAATTTTCCACTCTATTTCCACAACACATTACATTACTACTGAGGCACATATACCTTAGAAATGATCATTTCCTCTTTCTCTCTCAGGTGTCTCTTTCTCTCTTTTATTATTATTATTATTTTAGAGACAGAGTCTCGCTGTGTTGCCCAGAGTGGTGTGCAGCAGTGCAATCACAGCTCACTGCAGCCTTGAATTCCTGGGCTCAAGTGATCCTCCCAGCTAAACCTCCCAAGTAGCTGGACTACAGGCGCTCGCCAGTAGGCCTTGCTAATTTTGTTTTTACTTTTGTAGAGATGGGGATCTCACTGTGTTGCCCAGGCTGGGCTTGAACTCCCAGCCTCAAGCGATCCTCCTGCCTCAGCCTCCCAAAATGCCAGGACTACAGGTGCACATCACCATGCCTAGCCTTGCATATCATTTTAGTCCTGTAGTGATTAAGCCAAAAATCCAGACAGGTGGTCCCTGTGATACTGTGATGCTTGCCTTTGCTCCAATCTCTCCCAGCATCCCCAGCTTGGACAGCCGCGGGAGTCTCTTCACCAGCCTCCCTGCCTTTCCCCTTGCCCCCTTTGAAAACTATCCCCCTCACAAAAGCCTCCCAAAGCGCTGGGATTACAGATGTGAGCCACTGCGCTCAGCCAGCTTTGTCCTTTGATAACCTCTGTATCTTCAGGGACTATGACAGATTAGGTGCTCAACAATGTTTGTTGACTGACTGATGGAATAGTTGTTTTTTTGTTGTTGTTTTTTTTTTTTGAGACGGAGTCTTGCTCTGTCACCCAGGCTGGAGTGCAGTGGCACGATCTTGGCTCACTGCAAGCTCCACCTCCCAGGTTCACGCCCTTCTCCTGCCTCAGCCCCCCAAGTAGCTGGGACTACAGGCACCTGCCACCACACCCAACTAATTTTTTGTATTTTTAGTAGAGACGGGTTTCACTGTGTTAGCCAGGATGGTCTCGATCTCCTGACCTTGTGATCCTCCCGCCTCGGCCTCCCAAAGTGCTGGGATTACAGGCGTGAGCCACTCCACCCAGCCTAGTCGGGGTTTTTTTAAGTCCACATTTTATCCAAGGCTCCCCTTGGCCTCTGCCCCATCCTTCTGCTCAAAGGAGTTGTCCTCACTATCTTAGTCCATTTTGTGTTGCTATAAAGGAACACCTGAGACTGGGTAATTTCTAAAGAAAAGAGGTTTATCTGGCTCACACTTCTGCAGACTGTACGAGAAGCATGGTGCTGACATCTGCTACCAGTGGGGCCTCAGGGTGCTTCCAATCATGGCAGAAGGGGAAGGGGAGCTGTGTGTCAACTGGTGAGAGAAGGAACACAAGAGAGAGAAGGTGCTAGGGTCTTTTTAACCATCAGATTTCGTGGTAACTAATAGAGTGAGAACTCACTCATTACCAAGCCATTCATGACAGATCCATGGCCATGGCCCAAACATCTTCCACCAGGCCCCACCTCCAACATTGCGGATTACGTCTCAACATGAGATTCAGAGAGGACAAAACATTCAAACCATGTCACTTATTGTCTTACCCGTTCTGAAGGCTCCCAAAGCTTCTGCTGTGTCCTGGGTCAACCTGCCCGGACCCCCCAGGGGATGCAAATACAACCCATTGCTGACTCAGCATTGTCTCTTGGGCCCCTGCTCTTGTCACTGGGTTTCTCCCCCAAGTACTTGCCCAAGCCAGAAACTCAGGAGCCTGAAGCAGGTGCAATTTTTTTTTCTTTTTCTTTGAGACAGGGTCTCGCTCTGTCACCCAGGCTGGAGTGTAGTGGTGCAATCACAGCTCACTGCAGCCTCAACCTTCCAAGCCCAAGCAGTCCTCCCACCTTGGCCTCCCAAGTAGCTGGGACCACAGGCACATGCCACCACACCTGGATAATTTTTGCTTTTATAGAGATGGGGTCTCCCTATGTTGCCCAGGCTGTTCTCAAACTCTTGAGCTCAAGCAACCCTCCTGCCCCAACCTCCCAAAATGCTGGGATGACAGGCATGAGTCACCGTGCCTGGTCTCAGATGCATTTTGTGTCCCCCGCTTCTTGTCCTTTCGAGAGACAATTTGGAGGCGTGTTTCACATGGAGTCCCCTGCAGGGCTGCAGGCTCCAGCGCAATTGCCCACCTTTACAGGGGTCTCTTCCCTGCCTTGCTCTCTCTGTGTTCTCTCTCTGGGCTCCCCTCCAACACCCGCAGTTGAGTCTCCGACTCACTTTCCAGGGCACCCACTGTGATGTCCCCCTGGATGCTTCCTTTCACCAGGCACAACCAGTTGGTCCCCAGTCTGGTGGATTCCACCCCTAAGTCTTTCTGACACTGTCTGAATTCATTTTCTGTGTCTGCTGTAACTAATTACCACCAACTCAATGGCTTAAGACAGCAGAAATGGACTCTCTCACAGTTCTGGAGGCCAAAAATTCAGTATCTGTGGGCTGGAATCAACACGTTGGCAGGCTCTGGAGGAGAATCTGTTCCGTGCCTTTTCCAGTTCTATATTCCTTGGCTGGTGGCCACATCACTCCTGTCTTTGCTTTCATGGTCACAGCGCCTTCTCCTCTTCTGTCCGCATCAAATCTCCCTCTGCCTCCTTAGAAGGACATGGGTGATTGCATTTAGCACTCATCTGCATGATCCAGGAGATGCTCCTCATCTCAAGAGCCTCAACTTCATCACATCTACAAAGTCCCTTTTTTTTTTTTTTTTCGCCCAGGCTGGAGTGCAGTGGTGTGATCTCGGCTCACTGCAAGCTCCGCCTCCCGGGTTCATGCCATTCTCCTGCCTCAGCCTCCCGAATAGCTGGGACTACAGGCACCCGCCACCACGCCCGGCTAATTTTTTTTGTATTTTTAGTAGAGACGGGGTTTCACTGTGTTAGCCAGGTTGGTCTCGATCTCCTGACCTCGTGATCCGCCCACTTTGGCCTCCCAAAGTGCTGGGATTACAGGCGTGAGCCACCGCACCTGGCTTTTTTTTTAATTTTTTTTTTTATTTTTTGAAATAGTCTCACTCCGTCACCCAGGCTGGAGTGCAGTGGTGCTATCTTGGCTCACTGTAACTTCTGTCTCCCGGGTTCAAGCGATTCTTCTGCCTCAGTCTCCTGAGTAACTGGGATTACAGGCATGCACCACCACACCCAGCTAATTTTTGTATTTTTAGTAGAGAGGGGGTTTCATCATGTTGGCCAGGCTGGTCTCGAACTCCTGACCTCAAGTGATCTACCTGCCTTGGCCTCCCAAAGTGCTGGAATTACAGGCATGAGCCACTGCACCTGGCCCTCCTTTTTTTTTTCTATATAAGGTAACCTTCATAGATTCCAAGGATTAGGACCTGATATCTTTGGGAAGCATTATTCGGCCGCCACATGTCCCACCGTCACTCCCCTGCCCCCAACTATCATGAACGACCTCCTGTTTGGCCCCATCAAATCCCAGCTATAATCAGAGACATCTTTCTGAAGGCAAATCTGCTCCAGTAGCTCCACACTCAAAGCCCTCGTCTGGCTTTCTGCTGCCTGCAGGACATGGAGCCCACGGCCTAGCCAGGCCCCACTCCCTCTCTGCACCAGCCTCTCCCACCACAGCTCCCAGTGCCTCGAGGGACCAGGAAGGCTCTGCTGCCCCGTGCATGTGCAAGGTGGGGGGCACAGCTCCAGCTGACTGCAATCAAGTGGGAATGCAGATGCAGGAGTTTTAAGAGAACCCAGAAATCCAGGTTTGGTTTGCTTTTAGTTTTAGTGTGAAAACTGTCTGTATTTATATTCTGACATCTAAAGAAGAAAATGTGACATAGCACAGGCCACACAAAGCAGTCTTCCATCTGCCCCTTTGCAACCTCTGCAGGAGCGTGTGGCTCCCTTCCGTCACTCAGCCTCTGCCTGCTCTCACCCCTTGCTAGAAACACCCCCTGGCCCTGTCCTCTACCCCCTAATATGCCCCTTGCCTAATGAGCCCTAACTCTCCCTTGTCCTCTGCGTGGATGCCATCTTCCTGAAGACTGACCAAGGTATTCTCATGGGCTGACTCCCATCCTGGCTCACATCACCCCGAAGAGATGACACCTACCCAGGGTCTCTGTCTCCCACAAGACCGGGAGCACCTGCAGGGCAAGGATCTATGCCCCCACAGCCTGGTACAGATATTTGCAGAATTATGAATATAGTTCTCTCCCTTAGGAAAACACCAAACATTTTATTTTCAGGGTGTAGCCACAAAGTTACCAAATTTGGAAGCAAAAACATGAGTTAAAGTTCTTCCAAAATGAATTCTTAAACTTAGACTTAAGAACTGTTGGCTACTCTTGCAAAAGACCAATAGGAAAGATGAGAGTCTGCCTGCACTTTTTGGGCAGAGTCGCTATTCACTGACTGTCAGGATTTGCTGCCAGCACTTGGAAGGCCCACCAAGCCTTCCGTAGTTTGGATATCTGCATCCGTTTGCACTCCGCTGTACAGCCCCATGAAGAATAGAGTCCAGCAGCACCACTGCTCTTGGGCTCTTGGGTTGACAGACTCTTATCCAAGTCTTTTTTTTTTTTGTAGATGGAGTCCGGCTCTATTGCCCAGGTTGGAGTGCAGTGGCACAATCTCGGCTCACTGCAACCTCCGCATCCCAGGTTCAAGTGATTCTCCCGGCTCAGCTCCCCCGAGTAGCTGGGACTACAGGCATGCACCAGCACGCCCGGCTAATTTTTGTATTTTTAGTACAGGCAGGGTTTCACCATGTTGGCCAGCTGGTCTCAAACTCCTGACCTCAAGTGATGCACCTATCTTGGCCTCCCAAAGTGCTGGGATTACAGGCATGAGCCACTGCACCCAGCCAACTCTTATCCAAGTCTATCAACACCATGGTAGCCAACATTAACCATTCTTATGAGTGTAAATGACACTTATCTGCCTTGTGTGCAATACCTTGAACCTACCTGGCATCATGGCATCCCAACCCACCTATTGCAGAGGAGGTGAACATCACCACCTTAGGAGAAGCAAGCAGCTAGAAGTTTACAACACTGGTATTCATTATGACTGCAAAGGAATACCATCAAATTTAGAATGCTTCCTGACTCCCCATCCCCCAAAACTTCCATTGAAAGAGTTAATTTTACAATAACCATCACAAAGGACTGAAGCAGAAGTCCAGCAATTAAAGTATAAAATCAATTAGCATAGAAGCAGAGCCTGGTATAGGTGAATTTGGAGGCACAAATTTGACCAAAACAAGCGGGAACAGTTGCTTTGGAAAGAGTCTGACAACTTTGCACTTTCCACATTGTCTGCCATTAACATGCAGTACCTTTATAATCAAGCAAATGGTGAAATATTTAAGTGTCTGGAGAAACAGTTATTCAGTTAGCAGAAGCCTCCCAACAGCCCACGGAGCTGCTGGACTCCGGGAGCAGCAGAGGGATGGGGCGAGCCTTTGCCCTGCAGGGGGCACAGCGCGGACTTGGGAGGCAAAAGCACCAATGTGTGGTGCTTAGATACCTCCCACCCCAGAGGCAGCTGGTGGTGTGAGGACCGTCTGGGGCGGGGCCATAAGCACAGCTCCAGGTCCAGAGACGGATATGGGGGTGGGGGTGTCGGAGAGGGCCTCATTTCTAGGAGTAAATCTTGAGAGGCTTTCAGTTGCTTGCTTGCTTTATTTATTTATTTATTTATTTATTTATTTATTTATTTATTTTGAGACAGAGTCTCGCTCTGTTGACCAGGCTGGTGTGCAGTGGCACGATCTCAACTCACTGCAACCTCAGCCTCCCACATTGAAGCGACTCTCGTGCTTTAGCCTCCCGAAGAGCTGGGATTACAGGCACCCGCCACCACACCTGGCTAATTTTTGTATTTTTAGCAGAGACAGGGTTTTGTCATGTTGCCCAGGGCGGTCTCGAACTCCCGAGCTCAAGATATCCGCCCACCTTGGCCTCCCAAAGTGCTGGGATTATAGGCGTGAGGCACCGCGCCCAGCCATCAGCTGCTATTTTAATACCGCTTTTATTTCACTGTGGTTTTTTTTTTTTTCATTTCACCTCTTCACTTTCTTGTAACTCATGCTACTGAAGCAAATTACTTGCTAAAGAAACACAGCCTAGCATCGAGGCATTCTTTAAATGCAGCGAGACACAGGTTTTAGGCTGAGTACCAATCCCCTGGAAGAGGCCCCAGCCACATGACCCTTCTGGAGGTGCTTCTCTGAGGTGCCCTGGGGCTGTGAGTGATCGTGTCAGTGCCCGGCATGCTGCCTGGCATACATAGGTGATGGCTGAATGAATCTTGAAGGATTAGAGATGCTACATTTTGGGTATTTGACCTTCCAAACCTCATGTTGAAATGTGATCCCCAATGCTGGAGGTGGGGCCTGGAGGGAGGTGTTTGGGTCATGGGGGCAGACCCCTCATGGATAGATGAATGCGCTCCCAGAGTGGTGAGCGAGTTCTCACTCTTCTTAGTTCCTGAGAGAGCTGGGATCATTTGAGGTCAGGAGTTCAAGACCAGCCCGGCCTACTAAAAATACAAAAATTAGCTGGGCATGGTGGCAGGCGCCTGTAATCCCAGCTACTTGGGAGACTAAGGCAGGAGAATCACTTGAACGCAGGAGGCAGAGATTGCAGTGAGCCGAGATCACACCACTGCACTTCAGCCTGGGCAACAGAGCGAGACTCCATCCCCCCAAAGAAACCTCAAAACAAACAAACAAACAAAAAATACTAACATCTTTCCCCTCTCTCTCCCTTCTTCTCTTGCCCTATGATCTCTGCACACCAGCTCCTCTTTCCCTTCCACCATGGGTGGAAGCTTCTTAAAGGCCTCACCAGAAGCAAATGCTGGCACCATGCTTCTTATACAAGCTGCAGAACCGTGAGTCAAATAAACCTCTTTTTTTTTTTTTTTTTTTTTTAAGAGACAGTGTCTTGCTCTTTTGCCCCAGCTAGAGTACAGTAGCGGGATCATAGCTCATTGTAGCTTCCACCTCCTGGGCTCAAGCAATCCTCCTGCCTCAGCCTCCCAACTAGCTGAGCCTACGGGTGTGCACCACCATGCCCAGCTAATTTTGTTTTTACTTTTGTAGAGATGGGGGTCCTGCTATGTTGCCCAGGCTGGTCTGGAATTCCTGGCCTCAAGCGATCCTCCTGACTTGGCCTGGAAAAGTGCTGGGATTATAGGCGTGAGCCACCACACCCAGCTCTCTTTTCTTTAAAAATGACCCAAACTCAGATATTTGTTTATAGCAACATAAACAGACTAAGACAACAGATTATATCCAAGCTTCTTCTCTAACTGAAAACAGCAAAGCTTAATGCTGGTTGTGACCACCATGGAGACAGAGTAGAGCCTTGACCTCTCTCGACCTTTCCCAGGGAGAAGAGACTAAGCAGATTATTTGAGGGCTGCTGGCATCCACTAAGTCAATATTTAGACATCATATTGAGCCTCTCTGTGTGATCTGGAAAGCTCCCTCCACAGACAGGACTTGTCTGAAAAGGAGAAGGTGGTTTCACTCCCATGGAGGTGCCCCAGGGGTCCCTGAGTTAGAAAGGGGCCTGGCTCTGTGTCCCTGGCAGCCTCTCCCTCATGCCTGGTACAAGCTGGACCAGTCACCATAACAAAGAGGGACTTGCTTTAAAAAAAGAAAAAAAAAAAGGTGGGAGACACACCATATGAAATTGATGGGGATGCCACAGTTTGCAACTGCCATTTCACAACCACTTTAGAAGAAGCAGTGTGTTCTGGTGGTAATGAATTCATCATCGTATTCAGCACCACTTGGACAGTGGGTGGGAATGTGGCTGGATTTTCCATTTCCATGGCTGTAAACCAGTAAGCTGTGAAGCAGGAAGTCTCACATAGCTACAAGATGCAACTGCTAGACTCTAGAATAGAAGGGTATTAATTCACTATTATGCTGTCTCCTGAGCTGGAAGCTTCCTCGTGGATAGCCCTCACCTCTCACCACTCAGAGACCTCAGAATCTTCCCTCAGGCTGTGCTGGTTCAGGCCCTGGTGAGATCTTGCCTGGTTGGTAAAATAGCCTCTACCATGGCATTGCACAAAGCCTTAGAAAATAATGTGAAAAGCGCCCCTAGCGTTGTACAGCTGCAGTCAGCAGAAGTCTCTTTTATAAATGCAAATCCAAACCTGTTTATACTTGGCCCTAAATGCTGCAGTCCTCATTGCCCTGGGCCCTAACGCACACCCTCCAGGCTCATTCTCTGGGTCAGAACCTTAGTGAGTCCCTGAACACACCATGCACATTCACCTGGCCTTGCTCTTGAACTTGCTGCTCTTCGTCCAGAGAACCCTTGCCCTCCATTCTGGTCTAATAAGCCCCTATTCATTCTGTAAAACTCAGTGCCAGTGCCACGTTTCTCCACGATGCCCCCTGCTCCTGGCTGCCGCTTTCACACTTAACAATGAGTTATCTACCTTTGCAAATATGCATTGCTTCTGCCTGGCTCTTGCAAGCTTCTTACAGGCAGGAGATGGTGTCTTTTTCACCTTTGTATCCCTGGTTATTTGCACCAACTCTAGCAAAGAGCAGGTGCCAGATCATGTCGGAGGAGCTGAACTAGGTGTTTGGAAGTGCTGCATGAGGGTCTGTGCTTACAACCTGGATCTTCGGTAAAATTCTCGAGGTCAGACAGGTTGAGGCTCTAACAGAGGTGGCTGCTTTTGTCTGTGAGATTCCTGGCGGGTCAGTATCTATCCATCATCACCCTCCTGTTTTTTTTTTTTTTTTTTTTTAGACAAAGTCTTGCTCTGTCGCCCAGGCTGTAGTGCAGTGGCGCAATCTCAGCTCACTGCAACTACTGCCTCCAGGGTTGAAGCGATCCTCCCACCTCAGCCTCCCAAGTAGCTGGGACTACAGGCATGCACCACCACAGCCAGCTAATATTTGTATTTTTAGTAAAGACGGGGTTTTTATTGGCCAGGCTGGTCTCCAACTCCTGACCTCAGGTGATCCGCCTGCCTCAGCCTCCCAAAGTGCTGGGATTACAGGTATAAACCACTGTGCCTGGTGGCCTCCCTTCTTTACTCCCTATATCTGCTGGTTCCTGCACTCAGAGCTGGAACTGTGCAGAGGGCAAATGTGTCAAAGAAATCCCACACACTCCTGCATCCTCCTAAGGTGTCCCACAGACCTGCCTGGGTTCCTGCTGAGCCAAAAAGTCCATCTGGGGTGCCCACACGTTGACCCCTCTGCCCATCCAGCCAGAGCTCAACAGTGCACATGCTAAGTACTTCTGCACCCAGAAGCACGACCAGGTCACATTTGGAGGCTGGAATGGCAGCCCTTTGGGACTTGACCCTATCTCCCTGCCTTTGCAGCCATCTCTTCTCTCACTCACCCATTCTCTGGCCTTCCCAAGCTACTCACACTCCCGAATGGACCATGCATTCCCACCGACTGTACCCCCATCCTGCAAGGCCTTCTGCACCTGGCAAGCTCTGCCCATTCCCCAGGAGCCCTCACAAGTGTCCCTCCCTCTGTGACTTCTGTCCTGACTCGCCTCCCCTCTGCTGACTTAAGGGCTTTGGAGCACTCACCACCGTATGCTAGTGATTTGCTGCTTCTCCATTGCACGGGGCCCATGAGGCCCTGAGGACAGGAATGGTCTCTGTGTCCTGGGTTTCCCTCCAGGCTGGGGTGGTGTTCTGCATGCAGCCTGCGCTCAATTTGTGCTCGTGGGCACCAAATCAGATGCTCAGAATGGTGGAAAGAACATTCTAGAAAACAGCTACTCTGGTCCATCCACACCCTTCCCAGGAAAAGAAGATATTGATATAAAATCTTTTCCTTTCTCTAAAGAAATATTTGCAAATCTTTTGCCAAAATCTCTGTGAGTGAGCATGTACAATTGCTGCAAACTGCAATGAATGAGCAAAAAGGTTAATTTTCACTCCCCTGTCTGATAACAGGGTTATTGAATCAGACTCCTCAGCAGAGACCCTCAGACCACCGGGCTGAGCCCCTCAGCTTTTTTTTTTTTTTTTTAAATGGGAAAACCACACGTTTAAGGACCATCCTTCTTTTCACCAATGAGAAATCTTGAGCCTCTTCCTAGTCTTGTTTCACTAAAACACTTTATTTTAATCAAGTACTTGGAGAGAAAGCTGCTGAAACTTATTCAAATGCAACACTTAATTTTAATCAAGTAGTTGGGGAGAAAGCCAATGAAACTATTTCCAGAGTATCCTATACAGATAGGAAAGAAGGTAACATGCTGTTCAGAGGCACTGCTGTTTCTGTGACTGGGTCCGTAGTCTAATACAGCCAAAATATTATTATTTAAAATTAAGATGTTTTTTAAAAAAGACACAAAACATCTAAAGCCTCCATTCCAAAAAGTGGGGATCTCTATTACAAAAGAATACCTCAATCAAAGTTACCTGCTATGCCCTGTCTCTTCTCGAGCAGACAGGCCCCTGGGGGAAGCTGGGGAGAAGGAGATTGTTCCAGAGGCCTGGCTTCCAGAAGCTTCCCCCTCTCTCCATGCAAGCAAACAACACACCACTGGACCAGGCTCCAGCAGCTAAAATAAAACAGCTGTGTTTCTCACTCAACACCCTCTTTTACCAGATGAAGGGCACTGATTCATGGAAAGGAGACAAATATTTCAGGCCATTTTTTCAGACACTGACAAGGAGTAAATTAGGAAATCATGTAAGTACAATGCGCGCGTCATCGCTTCCTATTGATCACATGTAATTTACATCTTACAAAGATGTGAATTCTTGCATTCTCACTCCACAAGGAAAATCTCGATGATTTATTCATTTCAAATGAAAAATAGAAGGTAGATGAGAAGAATGACTTCACAGACTGCATCGTTCTCGGGGCACTGGTGCGAGGCTTTCTCATACACTGCCCGAAGGGCTCCGTGTGCAAGTCCCTCTAATTAACAAGGTGAATCACGCTGCAGCTCTCTAATTAGTGAGCCTGACAAGCCAGCGGAAACAGCCAGGCAGACTGGTATACATCGCTGGCCGACAAAGGCACGGCACATTCCAAGTGAAAAATGCAGATTTCTCCGAAATAACTATAAAAAGTAAGATGGTTGGGGAAAAAAAAGACCCACCTAATTTTAATTCTCATGTTTCATGTGCAGTTCTTATTTGCTCTCATGCGTAACCAGCTCCTTGGTAAGATGAGATTTGCCTACGCTCTTTGAACCACCTTTCCAGGGAAACTATCCTTTAAAACAGATGCATTTTTAATGTTATTTTATTGTGGTAAGAACACTCAACATGAGATCTACCCTCTTAACACATTTTTTAAGTGGACAATACAGGATTTTTTACTACAGAGCTCTAGAGCTTATTCATCTTGCTTAACTAAAACTTTGCGCTGCTCATGCCTGTAATCCCAGCATTTTGGGAGGCTGAGGCAGGAGGATCGCCTGAGGCCAGGAGTTCGAGACCAGCCTCGGTAAGATAGCAAGACCACGTCTCTACAAAAAAATTAAATAAAATAATTAGCTGGGTGTGATTGCATGCACATGTAGTCCCAGTTACTTGGGAGGCTGAGGCAGGAGGATCTCTTGAGCCCAGGAGTTGGAGGCTGCAGGGAGCTATGATTGCGCCACTGCACTCCAGCCTGGGAGACAGAGTGAGACTCTGTCTCAAACAAACAACTCTGTGCCTGTTGATTAGTGACTGCCTGTTTCTCCCTCCCCTCAGGCCTGGAAAACACCCCTGCACATTTTGATTCTATGAATCTGACAATTTTAGATACCTCATGCAAGTGGAATTATGAAGTATTTGTCTTTCTGAAAACACAGGTATTTTGGCTTGATATAAGAATCAGTGTCTCAGTTGGAAATTCATGATCTTCTGTATGTATTTTTGTCCAACATGCAGTACCTTCTAGAATTATTCCTACTTCTGCCAAAACCAGAGATGTCTGATGTCAAACCTCTTTGTGATTTACTTGGTGCCATTCAGTCAGTCCCACAGCACACCCTACAAGGAGCCCTCAAAAGCCAGGAAAGGGTAGAAACTTCTACTCTCCAAAGAGGGGTGGTACCCATGGTTCCTGAGTCACCAGCCTGGCTCACAGGTCCCACTGGAGACAGGCCTGGTGCACTGGCCATTTGCCCTGATTTTAATTGTCTTTGCTCATCTGCCAACCGGAGGCTCTCCTTCTGTATTAGTCAGGGTTCTCTAGCGGGACAGGACTAATAGTATATATATGTATACTATTATATATATATGTATATATATACACACACACACATATACATATATACATATATATATATAGGAGCTTATTAGGTAGTATTAACTCACATGATCACAAGGTCTCACAATAGGCCGTCTGCAAGCTGAGGAGCAAGGAAGCCATTCCAAGTCCCCAAACTCAAGAACTTGAAGTCTGATGTTCAAGGGCAGGAAGCATCCAGCATGGGAGAAAGATGTAGCCCAGGAGGCTAGTCCAGTCTACTCTTTTCACGTTCTTCTGCCAGCTTTTATACTAGCTGTGCTGGTAGCTTATTAGATGGTGCCCTCCCAGATTGAGGGTGGGTCTGCCTTTCCCAGCCCACTGACTCAAACATTAATCTCCTTTGGCAACATCCTCACAGACACACCCAGGATCAATAGTTTGCATCCTTCAATCCAATCAAGTTGACACTCAGTATTAACCACGACACCTTCCATGATCATTAGCTAGGCTTTCTGAGTGGGCCCAGCAGCTTGGGAGGTGTCCTGGGGGCAGCTGCCAGGTGACCTCTGATATGGTTTGGCTGTGTCCCCACCCAAATCTCATCTCGAATCGTAATCCCCACATGTCGAGGGAGGGATCCGGTGGGAGGTGACTGGATCATGGGGACGATTTCCCCCATGCTGTTCTTGTAATAGTGAGTGAGTTCTCATGAGAGAGCTGATAGTTTCTAAGTGGCAGCTTCCCCTGCACTCTCTCTCTCCTGCCACCATGTGAAGAAGGTCCTTGCTTCCCCTTCACCTTCCACCATGATTGTAAGTTTCCTGAGGCCTCCCCAGCCATGCAGAACTGTGAATCAATTAAACTTTTTTCTTTCACAAATTACCTGGTCTCGGGTAGTATCTTTTTTTTTCTTTTTTTTTTTTTTTGAGATGGAGGCTCACTCTGTCACCCAGGCTGGAGTGCAGCAGTGCAATCTCTTCTCACTACAACCTCCGATTCCCAGGTTCAAGAGATTCTCGTGCCTCAGCCTCCTGAGTAGCTGGGATTGCAAGCATTAGCCACCACACCTGGCTAATTTTTGTATTTTTAGTAGAGGCAGGGATTCACCATGTTGGCCAGGCTGTTCTTGAACTCCTGACCTCAAGTGATCTGCCTGCCTTGGCCTCCCAAAGTGCTGGGATTACAGACGTGAGCCACCGCACCTGGCCATTGGTAGTATCTTTATAGCAGTGTGAAAACGGACTAATACAAGCTCTCTCCCTGCATCAGCCAAGTTTCGCAGGCGTGGCCTGCAGTCACCCACAGCACAGGGATGTGCTAAGAGCTCACCACAGCCCACAACAGTGGGGAAACCACCGCTCATGTTCACCTCCGGTCAATTGCTCCAGAGGACATGGCCACAGCTGCTCCCTTGCAGGCTGGTGGGCTTGACCTCACTGAGAACTGGGAATGACCTCTGCGTCCTTCACATTCCAGCAGCTTCCAGTGGAGCTTGGAAGGTATTTTCTTTTAGCATTGGAGACCAGTTCTTTAATGGATGGAAAAAAAAAAAAAGTCTTGTGAAGGGAAGACTTAGATTCAGATTCAATGCACTTTTATTGAACCCTCCATGCCAGACACCATGCTGGGAATTTTCTCTGGAGTAGGCATTGATGTTGCTACTGTTTTATAGGCAGAGACATTAGGTGTCGGGAGTGTTTAAAATTGTGCCCAGAGCAGTTAGGAAATGAAGAGAAGAGAAGCAGAATATGAACTCTGGGGTTTAGAACCCAGTCTGCACCCGCACCTCCCTCTTTGTTTTAAGACTCGTGTTCCCTGGCTCTAGACTTACAAACCGTAGGTTGTCACTTCACAAAATTCACTGCTCTTCTCAGCCAAGACCAGTCACAGCAGCACACTCTAATGCCAGTGAGCAAATCAGCAGTTCTTTGCAATGAATGGTCTTCCTGCCTCTCTCTGGGGAGAAATAGGAATGACAGGTTTAGAAATGTGGGGACCCTTTTAAGGACAGCCTTATGCCTGCAGCATGACTCTCCCTGAAAGACTGAAACTGGCAAAACATTATTTCAAGGCAAATATATGTGAAAAAGATCTGAGAAGCGTCACCAAAAGGAGGACCAGTCAAAAGAAGAAGCCAAAGGGAAGCTATGGCTACGTGGGAGGCCACATTTGCTCCCACTCTGCCACCACCTGGGGCTCTGCCCTCCTGCTGCAAGCCATGCGGCTCCCAGGTTTAAATTTTCTATGAGTTTTTCTCTGCATCCAAGCAAGATCGCCACACACCTTCTCTTCCCTCGAACTCTCCATTCAGAATCATACAGTATCTCATTTTCAGCACAAACTTAACATTTAAGAGTTTCCAGGCCAGGTGTGGTGGCTCACACCTGTAATCCCAGCACTTTGGGAGGCCAAGGCAGGAGGATTGCTTGAGGCCAGGAGTTTAAGATCAGCCTGGGAAACATGGCAAAACCCCATCTCTACACAAAATACAAAAATTAGGCAGGCGTGGTGGTGCACGCCTGTAGTCTCAGCTACTTGGGAGGCTGAGGTGGGAGGATGGCTTGAGCCTGGGAGGTTGAGGCTGTAGTGAGCCATGACAGCACCAGTGCCTCCAGTCTGGATGACACGAGTGAGACCTCATCTCAAAAATAAATAAAATAAAAGTTTCCAAGCCAGAGGGGTGGCTCACACACGTAATCTCAGCACTTTTTGAGGTTGAGGTGGGAAGATTGCTTAAGGCCAGGAGTTTGAGACAACCTAGTGAGAGCCTGCCTCTACAAAAAATTAAAAAATTAGCTGGGCATGGTGGCATGCACCTGTAGTTCCAGCTACTTGGGAGGCTGAAGCAGGAGGATTGCTTGAGACCAGGGGGTTGAGGCTGCAGTGAGCCACGATCACACCACTGCACTCCAGCTGGGGAAATGGAGCAAGACCCTGTCTCAAGAAAAAAAAGTTTCCAGCACACACTGGCCCACAAGAGCAGCTGTCACTGAGGGGAGATCAAGGGCAAGAATGTCACCTGTGTTTCTCTGTAGCCTTCACACACTTGCTCTACCAGCTCTGCCTGCAGAAGCCTTCCTGGCCGACTTCCACTGTCCAGTCTTCCATGAAGCTGTCCCCTGGTCACCCTTATTGCCAACTCCCTGCCAGAGCAACTTCTCCTTCTTCTGGATCCTGTAGATTTTCAATGGCTCTTTCTTGAGACATTTACCACATTGGCTTTATACTGTTGTATTAGTCTGTTCTCACACGGCTGATAAAGACATACCTGAGACTGGGTAAATCATGAAGAAAAAGAGGTTTAATGTACTCACGGTTCCACGTGGCTGGAGAGGCCTCATAATCATGGCAGAAAGCAAAAGGCATGTCTTACATGGCAGCAGACAAGAGAGAATGAGGACCAAGCGAAAAGGGTTTCCCCTTATAAAACCATCAGATCTCGTGAGACTTATTCACTACCAGGAGAACAGTATGGGAGAAACTGCACCCATGAATCAATTATTGCCCACAGGGTCCCTCCCACAACACATGAGAATTATGGGAATTACAATTCAAGGTGAGATTTGGGTGAGGACACAGCCAAACCATATCAACCATCATCCGTGTAACAGATCAAAGATGTACTTTCAGACAGCCAGATTGAGCTCAGATTCTACCTCTGTCAATTTCTAGCCATGGGACCTTAGTCACAGCCTTGGGTTTCTGTTTTCTTATCTGGGAAAACTAGAAATAACCCTCCTACCTGGAAAAGCTATGAAAAGGATTAAATGAGAAAAAGCTATGAACAAGCTTCATGTGATGTCTGGCAGAGAGAGGTGGGTGCTAAGGAATAATTTAACATTTTTTTCCTTATTTCTTTCCTTCCTTCCTTTCTCTTTATTTTGAGATAAGGCCCCTCTCCTTGTCACCCAGGCTGGAGTGTAGTGGCTCAATCATAGTTCATTGCAGCCTCGGACTCCTGAGCTCAAGCGACCTTCCCACCTCAGCCTCCCAAGTAGCTGGGACTACAGGCATGTGCTACCACACCCAGCTAATTTTTTCTATTGTTTTTTATGCCATGGGGTCTCTCTGTGTTGTCCAGGCTGGTCTCAAACTCCTGGGCTCAAGCAGTGCCCCCTCCTCAGCCTCCCAAAGTGCTGGGATTACAGGCTTGAGTCACCACATCCAGCTAAATATTAATTTCATTTTTGGAATTGCATGGCGATATGGTTTGGCTGTTGTCCACCCAAATCTCATCTTGAATTGTAGCTCCCACAATTCCCACATGTCGTGAGAGGAACCTGGTGGGAGGTAATTGAATCATGGGGCTGGATCTTTCTCTGCTGTTCTCGTGATAGTGAATAAGTCTCACAAGATCTGATGGTTTTATAAGTGGGAGTTTCCCTGCACAAATTCTCTCTTGTCTGCCACCATGCAAGATGTGCCTTTTGCCTTCTGCCATGATTGTGAGGCCTCCCCAGCCACGTGGAACTGTGACTGGGGAGTTCACAATATAAAGTTATAATTAACTTTATAAATTACCCAGTCTCATGTATGTCTTTATCAGCAGTGTAAAAATGGACTCATACACATGGTGTAACGAAAAGGTGATATATTGAAACTTCAATTATGTCCGATACCAAACCCGCGTCAGTCATAAACCAGCTGTTGGCCTAGTACAGGACACTAAGCCCATCTGAGCCTCAGCTTTCTCATCCAGAAATAGGGCTAACCATACCCAATCCACAGATGTGCTTTCCTGAAGTAGCAGGTGCCAGAGCCTTTAGCACAGGGGACATCCAATAAATGTCAGTCAGAAGCAAGGACTCTCGGCTGGGTGCAATGGCTCATGCCTGTCATCCCAGCACTTTGGGAAGCCAAGGCAGGCGGATCACATGAGGTCAGGAGTTGGAGGCCAGCCTGGCCAACATGGTGAAACCCCGTCTCTACTAAAAATACAAAAGTTAGCCGGGCATGGTGGTGGGCACCTGCAGTCCCAGCTACTCAGGAGGCTGAAGCAGAAGAATCATTTGAACCTGGGAGGCGGAGGCTGCAATAAGCGGAGATTGCACCACTGCACTCCAGCCTGGGTGACAGAGCAAGACCCTGTCTCAAATAAATAAATAAGCACAAGACAATACTCATTCAGCCTGCAGAATATCTGTCCTTGCAGGTAGAAATTCCCCAGGGCCTGAAAGTCACCTCAGGCCACGCCAACTCTGCCCAAGGACAGTTCATATTCTTAGGACAGTGCTTTTCTGGTGCTGTTAGGGACCACGTCAGTTGCAATCAACCTCTTGAATGCAGCATTCCCTGGTGGAAAGCCTGGCACGGGGTGTGTTTGCTTCCTAGGGCTCAAAGACCCACAGACTGGGCAACTTGAACAACAGAAAGTATTGCCTCATGGTTTGGCGGCTAGGTAGGTAGCTGCAAGTCCAAGACCAAGTTGTCGGAAGGGTGGGTTCCTTCTGAGAGCTGTGAGAAGATCTCGCATGCCTGTCTCCTTGCTCCTGGTAGCCTCAGGTGTTCCATGGCTTGTAGATGGCTTTCTTCCTGGTCTTTAAGTGGTCTTCCCTGTGTACCTGACTGTGTCTTCATGTCCAAACTTCCCCTTTGTTTTCTTTCTTTCTCTTTTTTTTAAAGACACGGTCTCGATCTGTCACCCAGGCTGGAGTACAGTGGTATGATCAAAGCTCACTGTAGCCTCAAGCTCCTAGGCTCAAGTGATCCTCCCACCTCAGCCTCCCAAGTAGCTGGGACTACAGGTGCATGCCACCTTGCCTGGCTACTTTTATTTTTATTTTTTTGTAGAGACAGGATGTTGCTATGTTGCCCAGGCTGTCCTAGAACTCCTGTGCTCAAGCAATCTTCCTTCCTCAGCCTCCCCAAATGCTGGGGTTATAAGCATCAGCCCCAGCATCTGGCCAAAATTTCCCCTTTCTATAAGGAAAGCAATCAAATTGACTTAGGACCCACCCTAATGAGCTCATCTTAACTTGATCATCTGCAAAGACCCTATTTCCAAACAAGGTCACCTTCACAGGTATTAGGGGTTAGGACTTCAATATCTTTTGGAAGACACAGTTCAACCCATAATACAAGGAAAACTCTGCCCATAGTCATTTGTTTAGAAGCAAACTCTCCAAGGCTCTGGCTGGGCAGGGAGCTGCCCTGCTCAGGGTGACCGAAGTGTGTGACTGGCATGCTGTCACCACCCACCCACCCTCCTTCTCTCTGATTTTCCCACACACATAATAAAAAATAGTCTTAGTCCATGATCAATAACACACATCTCTATTTAAATAAATTATCTCGGGATAAGAAAGTATTAATTGCATTGATTGTGCTCCAAAATCAGCATTCAAAATGGGGAGTGGAGACCATGGAAATAAATAACTGCAAATTTCTTACTAAATAGGAAATGATCCCCCGAATCTAACCTCTGTTTACTCCATGTCTTAATAAGAGGGAACATTTTGATCTTTACCGTCTTGCTGAATACAATTAGCACCTGATTCCCACTTTGGAGTTAAGACTAATTTCCCATTTCTACCTCTGACACCTCCCTCAGCCTAGTTGACTTGTCTGACACATTCACCAGATACTAGAAGGACTGCCAAAGAGGAATTTGCTACCCTTATCTTTTGGGGACAGTAATAGGTTTTTCATGAGGCTTGACATGGGTTTAGAATCTTTGGCAAAAAAAAGAGAGGTGAAAAGTCCTCAAAACAGAATTATCGCTAGTTTTAATTAAATATCTTTTTTTTTTTTTTTCAGACAGGGTCTTGCTCTGTCACCCAGTCTGGAGTGCAGTGGCACAATCTCACCTTACTGCAGCCTCTGCCTCCCGGGTTCAAGGGATTCTCATGCCTCAGCCTCCTGAGTAGCTGGGATTACAGACGTGCATGACCACGCCCAGCTAATTTTTGTATTTTTAGTAGAGACAGGGTTTTCCCATGTTGGCCAGGCTTGTCTCGAACTCCTGACCTCAAGTGATCCACTCGCCTCAGCCTCCCAAAGTGGTGGGATTACAGGTATAAGCCACCACACCCAGCCAAAAAGGAATATCTTAAGATCCCCCAGATATTGGTACATTTGAAGGTTTAAAAAAGTGTGTCTGTGATGTTTGTGTGGAACAGCAGAAACTGCACAGAAGATAAAGATCCTTTCATCCTGCCCCACATAAAGAATGCCATGACCAAGACAAAAGATTCAGAGCTAAGCATTAGCCTCAGCAATGAGAATTGAGAATCCAGGGGGATTCCACTTGCAAAGGGGCCAACGAAGGACTCTGAAATCAACCAAAAGGCCTGGGCAGAGGTTAAGAGAACGGGGCTTGCGAGTCACGCAGCCCTGGGTGTGAACTCCAGCGTCTGCCTTCCCCAGTTAGTGCTCCCTAATTACTTTCAACTTCAGTTTTCTCATCTGCAAAATGGGATTGATGATAGTGCTAGTGGAGGAATTAAATGAGGTGATACATCTGGAGTGCTCAGTGTGGTGCCTGGCCCAGAGTAAACGTTCAAAAGTCTTTGGCCACCATCAATTGCATCATGAAATACGTTAATATGTTCTGTTTGTCTGTAACGGTCGAAGTCAACTGCAGTTGGCAAATCCCAGGACACTGGCCTGGGTCTTGTTCTCTGGCTGTGGGGCCCAAGACTCAGGCCAGCGGGGCCTTGTCTCTATGTGAATGTTTTAATTTTTTTTTTTTTTTGAGATGAGGTCTCACTCTGTCGCCCAGACTGGAGTGCAGTGGCATGATCTTGGCTCACTGTGACCTCTACCTCCTGAGTTCAAGCGATCCTCCCACCTCAGCCTCCCAAGTAGCTGGGATTACAGGTACCCACCACCATACCTGGCTAATTTTTACATTTGTATAGAGACAGTGTTTCACCATGCTGCCCAGGGTGGTCTTGAACTCCTGAGCTCAAGGGATCCACACGCCTCGGCCTCCCAAAGTGCTGGGATTACAGGTGTAAGCCAACATGCCTGGCCAATTTTTAAAATTAATTTATTTTATATATGCGTGCACCCAGGAGTGCAATGGCACAATCATGGCTCACTGCAGCCTCCAACTCCTGGGCTCAAGCGATCCTCCTGCCTCAGCCTCCCAAAGTGTTGGGATTATAGACATGAGCCACCAGCCACTGTGTGAACTTTTAAATCTTCTCTGTCTTTCCTGCTTCTCTGACTTTCTCATATCCCTCCATTCTGTTATGTAAATGCTACATTCCTACCCACATCTCCATTGCATGTGTAATAGTCAAGTCAAAATGAACAGGTCTGAGGCCAAGCCCCTGAAAATTCTCTCTCTAACCTTTCCCTGCTCACAGCTTCTCCATTTCAGTTAAAGGCAGCTCTCTTCTTCTGGATGCTCAGTTGGAAAAGCTTGGAGCCACTCTTAACTCTTCTTTACCTAACACTCCACGTCCATCAACAAACACTGTCCACTTGGCCTTCAAAATATATCCAGAATCCTGGCCGGGCATGGTGGCTCACGCCTGTAATCCCAGCACTTTGGGAGGCCCAGGTGGGTGGATCGCTTGAGGTCAGGAGTTCGAGACCAGCCTGCCCAACATGGTGAAACCCCCATCTGTACTAAAAATACAAAAATTAGCCGGGTATGGTGACACTCACCTAGAGTCCCAGCTACTCAGGAGGCTGAGGCAGGAGAATAATTGCTAGAATGTGGGAGGCGGAGGTTGCAGTGAGCTGAGATCGCACCATTTGCACTCCAGCCTGGGTGACAGAGTGAGGCTCCATCTCAAAACAAAGCAAACCAAAACAAAAATCTGGAATTCGACCACTTCTCCCTCCACTGCACTACTTCCACCTGGTGCAGGCTGCCAGCTTCTGCCCCCAGGTAAATGCAGTGGCCCCTGATCAGCCTCTCAGCTTCTACCCTGACCTCTATGATCTGTTCCCCACGCAGCAGCCTAAACGGGCTGGTGATCAAGTGGGTCAGGTCTTGACCGCCCTATGGCTCAGACCCTCCAGTGATTCCCCATCCTACTCAGAGTAAAATCTGTCCACGTCCAAGTCTTAGATGTGTTTTTTATGTTGTTATTGTTTTCAGTTCTCTGCTGTGTTTTGTGAGAGGTGGCTTGGACGGAATGGCAGTGGTAAGGATGGAGAGGGGATGAAACAGGAAAAGGGGAAAAAAGCATGCAGTCACATCTAACACAAATTTTCATTCTAATAGTTTTTCCACCACTTCTTAGCTTAGAAAGTCTTCCCTTCTCTAGAGATCTGATGCATAGCCAGTTAAAATTTTCATGTGCTTCTTTCTTATAGAGTGAACTTTTTTTTTTTTTTTTGCCTGATGTTATCATCCCTAAGCTGCAAAGATCTTAGGAACTTTTGCTTCTGTTGAACCAAATGGCTTTGGAGAGGACAGGAGAGCAAGAATGAGTGCAGGTCATTTCCCCCCCTCCTTTTTTTCCTTTTTTTTTTAAGATAGGATCTCACTCTGTCACCCAGGCTGGAGTGTAGTGGCACAATCTCAATTCACTGCAACCTCCACCTCTCAGGTTCAAGCGATTCTCCTGCCTCAGCCTTCTGAGTAGCTGGGACTACAGGCGTGTGCCACCACGCCCGGCTAATTTTTGTATTTTTAGTAGAGACAGGCTTTCACTGTGTTGGCCAGGCTGGTCTCGAACGCCTGTCCTCAAATGATCCACCTGCCTCAGCCTCCCAAAGTGCTGGGATTACAGGTGTGAGCCACCACATCCGGCCTCATTTCCCCTTTCTGATGCCAATTCACTTTCATGTGCTCAAATAAACCTTAATACACTATCAACTGGCTTTTTCTTTACATTTATACAGAATCAAAAAACTACAATTAGTGAATGTTTATTAATCAATAGAATTATCTTCCTTTAGCCAGAGTCAAGATTAACACTCTATAACTATCAATGACTTTTAGAAAGATAATCAACAATATTCAAATTTATCAGTTCATTTTGAACATCACCAGTATCTGATCACTAGAAAGACTGATCATATTTTAACTACTTTATAAGTCTCACAGAAAAATCCTAATTTAGTGTAGTAGACCCTCTCAAATATGTAAGAAAAAATTCCCTTCCAACTCTCATAAGTTACAAACTCACTCACTGTAAGAGAGACAGCTTTAGGAGAAAATTGAACATGGTGTTTACATTAAGAATGGAAATAATGGCACTCATTTCTGTTTAAGAAATGTAACTAGGCCAGGTGTGGTGGCTCATGCCTGTAATCCCAACATTTTGGAAGGCTG
Source organism: Homo sapiens (assembly GCF_000001405.40). NCBI lineage: Eukaryota > Metazoa > Chordata > Mammalia > Primates > Hominidae > Homo > Homo sapiens. Next base: position 33,962,096 of record NC_000019.10, read on the forward strand.
AGGCAGGCGAATCACTTGAGGTCAGGAGTTCAAGACCACCCTGGCCAACATGGCAAAATCCCGTCTCTACTAAAAATACAAAAATTAGCCAGGCATGGTGGTGTGTACCTGTAATCCACCTACTTGGGAGGCTGAGGCATAAGAATCGCTTGAACCCTGGAGGCAGAGGCTGCAGTGAGCCAAGACTACACTACTGCACTCCAGCCTGGGCAAAGAAGGAAGGAAGGAAGGAAAGAAGGAAGGAAGGAAGGAAGGAAGAAAAGAAGGAAGGAAGGAAGACAGGAAGGAGAGGGGGAGAGAGAGAGAGAGAGAGAGATCACTGGAGGGGTAATGTGGTTTGGCTCTGTGTCCCTGCCTAAATCTCATATCGAATTGTAATCTCCAGTGTTGGAGGAGGGTCCTGGTGGGAGGTGATTGGATCATGAGGGTAGACTTTCCCCTTGCTGATCTCATGATAGTGAGTGAGTTCTCAGGAGATCTGCTTGTTTAAATGTGTGTAGCGCTTTCCCACTCCACTTTCTCTCTCCTGCTCAGCTGTGAAGACGTGCCTGCTTCCCCTTTGCCTTCTGCCATGATTGTAAGTTTCCTGAGGCCTCCCAAGCCATGCTTCCTGTGCAGCCTGTGGAAATGAGTCAATGAAACCTCTTTTATTCATCAATTACCCAGTCTCAGGTAGTTCCTTATAGCAATGCGAGAACAGACTAACACAAGAGGGGGAACACATTTTTAAACAACAGCATGCTAAGCAACATCTCATTATTCAATTGCGATGACATCCTTGTAAATCAGAAAGCTCTTTAATAAGCTGAAAGATAAGGTATTTCCCATGCAAATAGGAAGTTAAAAATAGATCTTCAAACAAGGCTTCTTTAGTCACCGGGACACCAATTAATGACACACTGCTTAATTTACACAAAAGCCAAGTTTAGGGAGGATGGCTATATCTTCCTTAGCATTAGGTTTTTTGATACTTTGGAAAAATGGGAATTTTTACATCTCTTTGTATGACTGGCTATGGGGATGGCAAATGGTGCCCTAGATGTGAGCTTGCTCTGCCCTCTCCCTGAGAGGAAGGGAGTAACTGAGTCAGACTCAAGCCCACAGGGAGGCCTAAGCAGGGGTTCTCGGTCAGGCATGGGTTTATCCAGACGGGACTCATCCAACCAAGCTCAGGGGTCAAGGCTAAATCCCAAAGTCTTCTCAAGGTAAATACAATCTTTTTGACAAGTTTTTGTCTTTCAGTGGGCACCACCAAAGTAAAGACAGAAGTTTAAAACGTCTTGTACAACGTGGAGTTTTTTCCTCTATCCTAGATTTTTCTGTCTTAAATATTGATTTATTTATTTTTTTGAGACCTGGTCTCACTGTCACCCAAGCTTCAGTGCAGTGGTGCAATCACAGCTCACTGCAGCCTCAACTTCCCGGGCTCCAGCAATCCTTCTAAGTAGCTGGGACCACAGGCCTATACCACCATACCTGGCTAATTTGTGTATTTTTAGTAGAGACGGGGTTTCACTGTGTTGGTCAGGCTGGTCTCGAACTCTTGGCCTCAAGTGACCTGCTTGCCTTAGCCTCCCAAAGTGCTGGGATTACAGGTTTGAGCCGCTGCATCCAGCAGCCTCTCTTAAATATTAATATTCTGTTTTCAAGGAACATGAACTTTGGCAGCACAGGTTCAGGACCCCTCATCAGATGCCCTTGCAGCTTTGCCTTGTCTGTTCCAGACCTGCCACGCAAGCTGTCCTCCCTCAGTATCTGCCAAATGCAAGTCGCCCCTCAGCTAGCGCTCTCAGCTTGGTCCTTGATGGCACACCAGCCCAGGACAACTGATAACAGCCAGACCTGCATCCCTTTGGTGGGCCAGCATCACTCAGACCCCACTTGGGAGAGTTCAGGTGACCCCCTCTTGCCCACCTATTCTTGGCCTTCTCCACAACCCAGTGAAACCAGCCTGTAATCTCACACCTGTGAAGGGCTTGGCATCCTTTTCAAGCCTAGTGTCGTGTGCTCTGTGACCTCCAGATTATGGATAAAGATGTCCAACAAGGGTGACTCTACTGTAGTTCCAAAGAATCTAACATGAGTAAGGTTCCAGGTCATTCATCTCTATCCTGAAGCTTCTTTCAGCCATCTTTGCACACATGCCAAGACATCATCCCCCACCCACAATGGAGCTAGTTTTTAAAAAGCATCCTCCATATGAAGTGTTGTCAGTGTCCCCACTGTTAGCCCTGCAGATGCTTATGACACTTAGGGACATCACTGGGTCTGATTTCTTCTTTTCCTCCACTGCTCAATCCCTCTTCTTTTTTTTTTTTTCAATGCTTTTTATGCATTGGGAACTATTATATAGTTTATTTTATTATTTTATTTTATTTTATTTTGAGACAAGGTCTTGCTCTGACACCTAGGCTGGAGTGCAGTGGCACAATCTCAGCTCACTGCAGCCTCAATCTCCCAGGCTTAAGCAATCCTTCCACCTCAGCCTCCTGAGTTACTGGGACCACAGGCATGCACCACGGTGCCCAGGTAATTTTTTTGTATTTGCAGAGATGGAGTCTCATTATGTTGCCCAGGCTGGTCTCAAGCTCCTGAGCTTAAATGATCTGCCCGCCTTGGCCTCCCAAAGTGCTGGAATTATAGGAGTGTGCCACTGCACCCAGCTTCTTATATGCTTTGTTTAATTAATTTTTTAACTTAACAAAAATATTAACATTATTCCATATTTGTTTTAGGTTTATCTTTTGCTTTTGTTGTGTAAGAAATAAAACATTACCACCAGAGGTGAAGACCCCATTTCTTTCCTCTGTCCCACCACTTACCCCCTAGAGGTAACTGGAAGTTGGTGTGTGTCCTTTCCATTAAGATGTTGTTATATCTTTAAAGCCTCTGTATGCATCTTAAAATAAGTAATAGTATTGTTTTCCTTAGTTTTAAACTTTGGACCAGGCACAGTGACTCACACCTGTAATCCCAGCACTTTGGGAGACCAAGGCAGACAGATGACTTGAGCTTAGGAGTTCGAGACCAGCCTGGCCAACATGGTGAAACCCTGTCTCTACAAAAATACAAAAAATTAGCTGGGCATGGTAGCACGTGCCTGTGGTCCCAGCTACTTGGGAGGCTGAGGTGGGAGGATCACCTGACCTCAGGAGGGAGGTTGCAGTGAGCCAAAATTGTGCCCCTGCACTCCAGCCTGAGTAACAGAGCAAAACCCTGTCTCAAAAAAAAAACAACCTCTACAACTTTGCATTATGTCATACTGTACGTGTCACCACTCAACATGTTCTTTCTCCATTAATATGGCCTCAAGATTTATCCATGTTGATGCACATAGATCTAGTTCAATAATTTTTGCTGCTTTATGTTAATTCATTATATAAATATATCTCAATTGTCTTAATCCATTTTCCTATTGATGGACACACAGGTTGTTTCTCATTTTTTATCATCACTATAGTGCTGTAATAAAGACTCTTTAGAAGTCTCCTTTGTACACATTCAAGAGTATCCCAAGGATATAAAAGTAAGTTTGGGATGATTGGATCAAAAAGAATGCATATAGTCAACTTTCAGTAGATATTGCCATCTGAAACACGATTGGCTGTTCTGACTTACACTGTGGCTTACATGGTGACTTCCTGTTTCTCCAATCTGTTTCAAACACTTGTCAGATTTTTTTTTTTAATTTTGGCAATATAATGGGCATGAAACATATCACTGTTTTAATTTTGAGTTCCCTAACTTCTAGAGAGTTGGGCATCTTTTCATATGCTTATTGGTTACTAAAACATCCTCTTCATATCATTGTCTGTATCTTTAGTCATTTTTATTGAGTTGTTTGTGTATTATGTTTGTTCATTTCTCTTTTTTCTTTTTTTTTGTTTATCTGGATGCAAATATTTGGTCAATTATGGATATTTTTGAAAAATCTTTTCCCAAATAGGCTTACATTTTAATTTTAATTTTAATTTTGATGACTATTGTTGTTAAGAAGTTTTATATTCTATTCTGGCCTAATTTATCAATTATTTCCTCTAAATATGCTGTCTGACTACTTCTATCTTAAGAATGTCAAGATAGGATATTCTATTTTCTTACAAAATTTTCTTATTTTAGCCTTTAATTTATGTGGAATATATTATTGTATATGAAGCAGGTAGCAATTCAATTTTCTTTTTTCAAGACAAGTCAATTTTGGAAAAACAAGAATAAAACAAGCACTTCTACTTTGAGTAATGCAGAACCAGTTTCCACAATTAGATAATCTGAAAAAAAGTAAAATCTGCTTGGAAACACCAGAGAGGTCCACCATGATAGTGAAGAATTACCAGGCTAGGATCTGGGAAAGAATGGAGACCCCAGGTGTAGAGAATAGCATTTGGGGCCACTTTCCCCAAGAAGGTATCTGCCAATTCTGAGGTGGGAAGTCTGAGAAGCCAAAAGGTTAAGCTACAATGTTGACATCCTTGAGGGTGAAAGGGATTGGTATTCAGGCCTTCCAAATAGGGAGATGACTAGTGAGTCCCCAACAATTTGCATAGAGCCACAAGTCTGTATCCTGGGAGTAAGGAACCACAGGGAGGCTCTTGCAGGAACTGCAACTCAGTTACAAATCATCTCAAGCTCCAACATTGGATTAAAGTAGTCCCAGATGGCTAATGTCCTCAGCTGCTTGGCAGAAGCAAAAAATAAATCTATTCTCCAGGAGGCTAACATGATCCCAGGCCTCAAAACTTTCTATGAACAATATTGTACATACAATGTCCAAGGCACAATAAAAACCAACCAGTCCACCAGAAAATATGAATTAAAATCAACAGAAATAACAGTCAATAGACACATACACACAGGGGCACCAGACATTGAAGCTATAAGACACATACTTTAAAACAACTATACTTGCTGTGCTCAAGGAGATGAAAGATAAGATTGGGGAATTTCAGCACTGATCTGGAAACTAAAAACATAAAGAAATAAAACCCAACTAGGTGGAAATTCAAGAAGTGAAAAAAATCAATCACCCAAATTAAGATCTCAGGGCATTTTTTTTTCCAGCAGGCTATACACAGATGAAAAGATAATTATTAATACACTGGAAGATAAAGCAGAAGAAAATATTCAAAAGTAAGATGAAGTGATAACAGGCTGGAAAATTTTGAAAAGAGGATTAGAGATATGGAAAATATAGAAAGAAGGTCTAACATACCAGTGATTGAAGTCCCAGAAGAAAAGAGAGAAAATGATGACAGTGACTGAGAATTTATCAAATTGTTGAAAAACATCCACCCATCAACTCTGTGTCACTTCAACCCGGGAGGTGGAGGTTGCCGTGAACCAAGATTGCACCACTGCACTCCAGCCTGGGTAACAGAGCAAGATTCCATCTCAAAAAAAAAAAGGATACATTTAAAGCAAATTTTAACAGACATCAAACAACAGAAATCAAAGATGTTTTCTGATTACAGTGTAATCAGGCTATTAATAAGAAGAACTAATAAATTCCTATATGTTTGAAAATTAAAAACCCATGAGTTGTAGAAGAAATTACATTGTAAATTATAAAATCTTTTAATTAATGAAAATATTACACACCAATGTAGTGGGATGCACAGGAAACCATGTTTAGAAGGAAATTTTTGTTTAAATGCATGTATTAAAGAAATAATATCTAAAAGTCAATGAACTAAGCATTCACTTCAAGAAGACAGAAAAAATTAAACTAAAAAAAGTCAAAGGAAATAAACAATAAGAAAAAGGGTAGAAAATACAGAACCAACATGCAATAAAGAAAATCAACAAAGGTAAAAGTTGTTATTTGAAAAGATTAACAAAATGGAAAATCCCTAACAAGACAATAAAGAGGGAAAGTGAATGAAAACGGCATGTCACTATAGATCTTACATTTTAAAGAGGTTATTAATACAATATGAACAATTAAATTTCTTTAATTATGGAAATTCTTCTAGTTATCCTTTTAAAAAATTGAATTCTAGCTTAATCACACTGTGTCTCTAAATGAAGTGAATCCTTTGAAATTTATGGTCAAGTTTCAACATATTCCAAGTATGCTTGAAAAGAATGGTTATTCTGTAGATGCTAGGTGCAAGGTTTTATATAGGCCAATTAGGTCAAGTGTATCAATCCTATTTCATGTTGTTGTTGATATTTTTGTTTACTGTTCTATTAGATACTAAGAAAGATACCATAAAATCTCCCCCTATGAATTAGGATTTATATATTTGTACTTGTAGTTTTGTCAATTTTTGCTTTATAGATTTTAAGTCTATATTATTAGGTACATATATATTAGAATTGTCGTGTCTTGATGAATTAAAACTTTTGTCACTGGGAAGTGGTGCTCTTTGGCTCTGTTTCCTTAAAGTCTACTTTATCTGATGTTAATATACGGCTGTGCTTGCTTTCTTTTAGTGTTGTATGGCATTTTTTAAAATCCAGTGTTTGTATGGCATTTTTAATCCATCTTTTGGATTAATGTAAAAAATATAAAAACATTTTTTCATAATTTTTTGTTAATACATAAAGCTTGTACATATTTCTCAGGCACATGTGATATTTTGATACATGCATACAGTGTGTAGTGATCAAATCAGGGTGATTGAGCTATTCATCACTTCAAACATTTATCATTTCTTTATATTGGGAACATTCCAAATCTTTCTTATAGCTATTTTGAAACACACAATAAGCTCTTGAGTATAGTCACAGTAGGGTGACTATACTTAATAACCAATAGCTAATGAGCACTAAAACTTACTCCTTCTAACTGGATTTTTGTACTCATTAACCAACCCCTCTACATCTCCTCCTTGCTACCCCTCCAGCCTCTGGTAATCACCATTCTACTCTCTACCTCCATGAGCTCAACTTTTTTAGCTCCCACATATATGAGTAAGAACATGCAATATTCATCATTCTGTGCCTGGTTTATTTCACTTAACATAATGTCCTCTGGAGTCATCCATGTTGCTGCAAATGACAAGATTTTATTCTCTTTTGTGACTGAATAATATTCCATTGTGTATATATACCACATTTTCTTTATCAATGCATTCATTGATGGGCACTTAGGTTGATTCCATATCTTGACTATTATGAATAGTGCTGCAATAAACATGTGAGTGTCAATATCTCTTTGATATATCGATTTCCTTTCTTTTGGATATATACTCAGCAGTGGTATTGCTGGATCATATTGCCGGTAGTTCTGTTTTTAGTTTTTTGAGGAACCTCCATACTGTTTTCCATAGTGGCTGTAGTAATTTACACTCCCACCAGCAGTGTATGAGGGTTCACCTTTTTCCACATCCTCACAAGCATCTGTTTTTTGTTTTATTTTGTTTTGTTTTTGTTGTTGTTGTTGTCTTTTTGATAAGAGCCATTTTAGCTTGGATAAGATAATATCTTATTGTGGTTTTAATTTACATTTCCCTGTCATTCTATTTTTATGTTCCTTTATATTTTAAACATGTATTTAAACATGTATTTGTATTTACCATATAGATAGATTTTAAAATCCATTCTCACAGCATTTGGATTTTAGTTGGAACACACTTCATTAACATTTAGTGTATTTATTGATACATTTGGGCTTAAATCTAAAATGGAATATTTGGCTCACGTGTTCTATATTCTTTCCTTTCTTGCCTTCATTTGAATTGACACACACACATACACACACACACTTTTTTCTTTCTTTTATTAGCTTAAAAATTGTACAGTCTTAAAACTCTTTTAACGATTACCCTAGAGATCAAGATAATCATCCTTAATTTATCAAGGTCTATATTAATTTATATTAAATTAGCACTTTTACTTCTTTCCATATAATTCAAGAACCTTGGAAAACTTTAACTGTCTTTATCCTTCTCTAGACTTATATGTTATTCTTGACATGTATGTTATTTCTCTTTATATTTTAAACCTTAGGAGACATTATTATACTTGCTTAATACAGGTAAAGTTTATTTATATTTACTCTTATATTAATCGCTTTTTGTTGTTCTTCACTACTTCCTGAATGACCAAGCTTCCATCTAGGGCAATTTTTTCCTTTAGCATGTCCTTTAGTGAAAATCTGCCAGTATTTAATTCTCTCCATTTTTTGTTTATGTAAAAACATCTTCAATTAATCTTTATTCTTGAAGGATATTCTAACTGTGTACAAAATTCCAGGTTGACAGTTTTTTTTTCTCCCCAGTATTTCGAGGATATCATTCTAGCCCAGTTCAATTTTTTTTCATTCCATGGTTGACAAGTCAACCATTAGTCTAAGTGTCACTTCTTTGAAGGTAATCTTTATTTTTTCTACAGCTGCTTTTAAGATTTTCTCTGTCTTTAGTTTTTAACAGATTAGATAGATAGATAGATAGATAGATAGATAGATAGATAGATAGATAAATTAGAGGGTGTAGTTTTAGTCATATTTACCCTTCTTGAAGTTTCAGACTTCATGAATCTGTGGCTTGATGTCTTTTTGACCAATTCTTAGCTATTATCTTTTCATATATTATTTCTATCATATTATTTCTCTCCTTTCCTTGGAATCTAATTACATATATGTTGAGCTTTCTTACTATATCCACATTATCTCTTACCCTTTCTTCTGTCTTTCCTATTCTCTTATTTTTATAATTCATTTTGGATATTTTCTCCTGGCTTAACTTCTAGCATCTTGCTATTCAGATGGTCTATGACAATATTGGCATATCTGGGAGCTTGTTTGAAAGGCAGCATCCTAGCCCCACCAAAGCCTACTGAATCTTTGATAAAGGAATATTAAAGTCTCCTACTGTAATTGCAGATTTTGTCTATTTCTTCTTGCAGTTCTATCAGTTTATGCTTCATGTATTTTGAAGCTTTGTTATTGGGTGCATAAACACTTAGAATAGTTATTTCTTCTATCATATTTATCACTGATAAATGAAAATGATAATGATAATCCCTGTTTTTCTAAAATCTATTTAACCTGATATTAATATAACAACCCTAACTTTCTTTTGACTAAAGTTAGCATAGTATATCTTTTTCCATTCTTTTACTGTTAACCCATTTGTGTCTTTATATTTATAGTGTGTTTTTAGTAAACAGCATATAGTCAGGTCTTGCTTTTTTAGCCAATCTAGGAATCTCTGCCTTTTAATTGAGGTATATAGACCATTTACATTTAATGTCATAATTGATATGGTTAGATTTAAGTCTATTATCCTGCTACTTGTTTTTCACTTGTTCCTTCTGTTCTTTGTTCCTCTTTTTCTAACTTCTTTTACATTAATTGAATTTTTATTCCTTTTTTTGGCTTATTAGACACGACTTTTATTATTTTCATGGTTGTTTTTGAGTTTATAATACATCTTTAACATATTACAATCTACATTTAAATAATATTGTACCACTTCACATATAGTATAAGAGTCCTACAATAGTATATTCCCATTTCTCCCATCAAGGCCTTTATGATGTTGTTGTCATACATTTTACATAAGTTTACACTACTCTGTAATATTTGCTTCTCTTATTCTGCTATGTATTTTTCTGCTGGCTCTTTCTCTTGATGCTTTGACTGTGTATGTATTTTTTTGTATGTTTTTATTTATTCCTTTTTACCCATGTGCTCATTTTTTTAGAACTTTATCCAGGCAAATTCTTGAGATTGTAGTGAAGGTGGATTCCTCTAGAAAGAGAATTTGTGTTTGTTTCTGTCTATTGCACTGGAGTACTACCAGTATGGCAATACTTTATACTAAAACTTCAGATTAAGATTTTTTTGGACCATCTAGACAGTGTGAGTTTTGGGTGCAAACTAGCATGAGAATCTGTTTGTTATGGCAAATTTTCAAGGGAGACTGAACCCTGCCCCAATCCTATACTAGCACCATTCATATTTTTTCATAAAATTCCCTGAGGATAGCAGGACTGGTTTATTTCTAGTTTGTCCTTGCTTTAAGGATATAATCTTGAAGTCTCAGCTTTATGATGGATGTCTTCCATTAGACGCTCTGTTTTGGATAGGCCCCAAGCTTTGTGTCCTGCATTCCACAGCCCAAAAGGAAATAAAACCCAACTTCAAGTTCATCTTATCTAGTAAATGTTCTCAAGGTAAAGAAGCAGCATCTATGCTCTTTTCTGAATTCCAATCTTCAGTTGATTTTTGGTTTGAGTGCTTCTTACTTTCTTGCCAGATCATTGATTCATTTAATAATTTGTTAAAAAATTTTTTTCTTCATCTGGCATTTCTAGTTGTTTTCCACTGGGGATGTTGGCCAGGGTCCCTCATCCACTGAACTGCCAATAATGGAAGTCTTTCATAGCAATGTTTCTGAGACGCCAACCAGATCACTTAATTTTACTCCTTACACATCTTTAGCAGCTCCCAACTGCTCTTGCAATCACACGGAAACTCCTTAGCTTGACATCCGAAACTTTCTGATCTGGCCTCTGCTTGCTTCTCTAGCCTCTCTGAAAGGTCATTATGAGATACATTGTACCCTGCACTGCATTCTCACACCTCGTTGCCTTTGTGTGCATACTCTTTTCTCTACTCCAACTTTATGGCTCAGCTTAGGTACCATTCCTCAAGGAATCTACCCACAACTCAGTCTGGGTTTATGTAGTCATGGTCTGTTCACAGACATTACCATGCTTACCCTTACTGCACTGTAAACCAACTAAGTGCTAGATCAGTCCCTACAGAAACCACATAGGCTAGTCCATAATAGGTGTTGCTCTATTTTGAAGGTTTGTCCCCTAAACCTCATGTGGAAATTTGATCCCCAGTGTTGAAGGTGGGGTAATGGAAGGTGTTTGGGTCATGGGGGCAGATTCTTCACAAATGACTTGGTGCCATCTGCGTGGCAGTGACTGAGTTCTCACTGTATTAGCTCCCATGGGAGCTGGCTGTTTAAAAGAGCCTAGGACCTCCCTCCCCCTCTCCTGTTTGTCCCCTCTCTCTTGCTTCTCTCACCGTGTGGTCTCTGCACACACTGTCTCCCCTTCCTCTTCCACTACAAGTGCAAGCAGCCTGAGGCCTCACCAGGAGCAGATGCTGGAACCGTGCTTCTTCTACAGCCTGCAGAACTGTGAACCAAAGAAACCTATTTTCTATCTCAATTACCCAGTCTCTGGTTTTCCTTTTAGCAACACAAACAGACTAAGACAGATATTTAACAAATATTTCTTGAATGAATGAAGAAATGAATGAATGAATGAGCAAACCGTTATTGCCATGGTGCACATGTTACTGAGAGTTAGAGTGGACAAAGAAGAGTTTATAAAGGATAGGGGATTTGAGCCAGAAAATTTTATAATATTTAAACTTAAAGAAGCTTCAGGTAACCTTAACTGAATACTAATTTTTAAAGAAGTTCGAAGTCTTAAAATTTCTCACCAGTCATATGTTTTGAACCTCTTCTGCAGGAAAACCTTAGTCAGTTAAATTGAAGAAGGATTGTCTTCACAGGCTGGCATCTTCCTACCAAAATTCTGAGCAGCACAGGATGCCCGTTTCTGACTTGCTTAAGAAAACAACACAGTCAGGTCAGGTCTTACCAAGCACAGCAAAAATGAAGCAAGAATTGTTGTTGGTGAATAGGGTGGAATTGGGACAAGTAGGAGGAGGTTTTACCCTTTTTCATAAATAAGGTGGTTGATTTTGTACTGGAGCTGACCTGAATATAATGCAGTTGGTAGTGTTGATCTTTACTTACATTGGCTGCAGAGAACTGTCCTTGCTCTTTCTTTCCCCTTCCAAGACTGTCTACCAGCTGGACTTTTACCATCCAAAACAGTCCAATCTGAAATACAAACCCAGGACACGTGAAAACACCAACTGGGACAAGAAATCATATGCAAAGACATTAATTTTCACTTTTATTGTTCCAGCTGTTTTACTGTTAATTGATACAACCTATTTATTCATAAATAAATGTATTCACAGCAAAAATGTGGATAATCAAACCTGATATAACCATCTGCCTAAAGATTTAAATTTCTTCAACCTTAGAAAATTCTTAAATGCAATGATTATTCAGTGGCTGGAAAGGACTCTTCTTAACTTATAGTACTTTCTGCAGTTTGGTGAAGATAAGATTTCTTAATTTGGTAATTTGGGGTAGATTAGAGTGTTTTCATAATGTCAAGCTGAAGGGTCAAAAATAATTAAGGATACAAAGTATTATTCAATTATTATGCTAATACATGTATCTGGTGACCACTATGAAGCAAAAAAAAAAAAAAATTCCATACATTTGATGGCATTTGCAATTTTGTATATTAAAGCTTATGGTTACTATATTGCTACTTACTAAAAACCAATAGCAAATAAAGCAATATCAATATTCAAGAAATGAGCATGATAAAATGATGTGATTAAAGCCAAATGGAGGCCAGGCACAGTGGCTTACGCCTGTAATCCCAGCACTTTGGGAGGCCAAGGTGGGCGGATCACCTGAGGTCAGGAGTTTGAGACCAGCCTGGCTAGCATGGAGAAACCCTGTCTCTACTGAAAATACAAAAATTAGCTGGGCCTGGTGGTGCACATCTGTAATCCCAGCTACTTGGAAGACTGAGGCAGGGGAATTGCTTGAACCCGGAAGGCAGAGATTGCAGTGAGCCAACATCGTGCCACTGTACTCCAGCCTGGGTGACAGAGCGAGATTCCGTCTCAAAAAAAAGAAATTCACAAGTGAGTAGAAACTCACAAATGAGTAGAAACTTACAAATGTATAAAATAAATGTTAGTTAAATGCTCCAGTTCTGTTTGGTTGCATAACAAATTACCCCAAAATTTAGGAGATTAAAACAGCAAACATTTGTTATCTCCTACAGGTTCTGAGGTTCAAGACCCTAGAAGCAGCTTAGCTGGGCAGTTCCAGCTCAGAGTTTCTCATGAGGTTGCACTCAAGCTGTTGCCTGGGGCTGCAGTCATCCTGAGGCTTGACTGGGGCTGGAGAATCCAATTCCGAGCTCACTCACATGCTGTTGTTATACCTCAGTTTCTCACTGGCTGTTGGCTAGAGGCTTCTTCTCAGCATAATACTCTGCTTAGGACTGCCCACAACATGGCAACTGGCTTCCTTTGGCCTGAGCCAAGAGAGAGCCCCCAAGGTGAAACCCACAGTGTCTTCTATGAACTAATGTTGGAGGTGATACAACATCACTCCACCATATGTCATTGGTCACATGGACTAATGCCAGTACAGTATGAGAGAGGACTACACAGGGTGTGAATACTGGGAGTAGGGGTCATTAGGAACCATCTTGGAGGCTATCACATCAAATGAATAAACACATCCTTTAGGAAACTTGTGTAGCCTATTTATCTGGTTTCCCTGAGGAATTTACCCCCAAGATACTCCTGGCCCCTTACCCCCTTCTCCCACCCTTTACTACTCAAGGGGTACCTGGATAGTGGGTCATAGCACTGGTCCACATTTCTTGCCTGGATGGAGGTCATCTATTAAAATTTATGAGTAAAACTACCTTCTTCTCTCTGAGCTAGTTCACGACAGAAATCTTGGTTAAGTGAATCCACTTTGCAGACCAAACTTGCCTTCAGATGGAGAGTTCCAAGGTCTAAACTGGCTACAGAGAGTCAGAGAAGCCACTGGCCAGGATGTCTGGCCACTCTTTTCAATATATTGTTGTGATGGAGATGATGGAGATGATATTTAATCTCCATTCATCTGATTCTCATTTCTTCCCTTGGTTGGTTCTGAACTCAGCTAGGGAACAAAGGCATTCTTTATCAGCAACTCAGACCCCAACTAGAAGGAATGCCTTGACAGAATGAGAAAACATCATCCAATGGCACTGGGGCATTTTATATAATTTCAGCTGACTAGATCCAATCATCAGCTTAGGAATTTCATTCATTGATTGTCCTCACTGACATGGAAGAAATTTTTAATATATTAATTAGGCTATTTTTTTTTTCCTGGAGGTTCAAACTCTTAAAATTGTCCTTTATTTTTGTAGTGGTGCTTTCTCCCTATGGGATGCAAAATTGGAAATGAAGCCATGGCATTGTAATGCATGCAGAGTTTTAGTTATTGGCACTCCAATTGCCACGGAATAATCAAGAGATGCAAAAGGATTGTTACTTTCTAATGTTCAGTCACTTCTGCTTCTGTTTTTGCATAACACTGGACTCCAGCTGAACCTACCTTTGTGATCTGATTCATGGGTTCCTGTAAGATATTAATGTAATTCCTCAATTTTAAGATACATTTCCTCCCACCTCTTAATGTTTCTGGGATCAAGATGTCAAAAGAAACTTGCCAGTGCTTTCTTTCGCTATTAAAGGTAGGATGCATTCTAAAACTAGTGATGTTTTGGAATCAAAGAAATGTAAATGTAAGGCACCTGGGCTGATGGCAATCTTGCAGCTTGAACTGCCTAAGTGAGAGTTGTTCAACAATAACATTTGGTATGTTTTATCTGACGGTTTTTGATATGTAACGTGGCTGTGTCTCCTGGCAATCTTGATTGGTTTTTATTTCTAGGAGGGTTGACGGTTTCTTGGGAGATTTGGAGAATACTAAATCAAGAACTTGTCTAGCTGGATAGGCCATTCTCACAGACATGGGTGGGAAATTCACTGGAGGACACCTGATACCCTTGGTTCCTAGGCTGTCCTTAATTCCTGCAGGGGCTATCTAAAGAGTGAGCCTTTCATGTTGTGTCTCTGAGCCCTCAAACTTGACCTTACTGTACTTCCTGCTAAGTGACATGGAACCAGGACCCCCAGAGAACTGTTAGAGGGAAGAAGTTGCTTAGGATATCTAAAGCCTAGAAACACAGCCTGGAGGAGGGCCTTTGGTTGGAAGAGTGGAATATGCTGTAATATGTCTAAGAAAGCAGCAGTGAGTGATACTACCTGTGAAAGAGGATGGAAGATGACAAGTTGCAGCCCTTAGGAATTAAGAATAGTATGTATGTCAGAGGCATTTGAACCAGAGCAACTCCATCTTGAATAGGAGCTGGGTAAAATGAGGCTGAGACCTACTGGACTGCATTCCCAGACGATTAGGCATTCTAAGGCACAGGATGAGGTGGAAGGTCGGCACAAGATACAGGTCATAAAGACCTTGCTGATAAAACAGTTTGCAGTAAAGAAGCTGGCCAAAACCCCAAGATGGCTGCAAGAGTGACCTCTGGTCATCTTCACTGCTACACTCCCACTAGCACCACGACAGTTTACAAATGCCATGGCAACATCAGGAAGTTACCCTATATGGTCTAAAACGGGGAGGCACGAATAATTCACTCCTTATTTAGCATATCTTCAAGAAATAATGGTAAAAATGGGCAACAGCAGCCCTCAAGGCTGCTGTATCTATGGAGTAGCCATTCTTTTATTCCTTTACTTTCTTAATAAACTTGCTTTCACTTTATTCTATGGGCTCGCCCTGAATTCTTTTTTGTGCGAGATCCAAGAACCCTCTCTTGGGGTCTGGATTGGGACCCCTTTCTTGTAACACATATATGTTTGTGTATAAAATAGGGAATGAGGTCAGCAAGCAGCTGACATTCCCAACTACACCAAGCATCACTACACCAATGCAAGAAAAAGAAAGAGTCAGAAAAGAAAAAAGGTGGGGGAGAAGATTGGATTCACCCTGGAAGAGCAGTATTCATGGCTTAATGTTGCTGGCTAGGAAATATGCTCCCCTCACTGGAAAGTATTTATATTCAAAAGAATTTCTGCATTGGATTTATCTAGAAGCCCAGGCAGAGGTGAAGGTGAATATAAATTAGAGACAAAGAGTCTGCTATAAGCCATAACATGACCCAAGGCAGAGCAAAGGATTCACTAGCAATAAGACAGCACCACCCAGCTCAGGAAAGGGCACAGCTCCAGGCCAAATAGTCTCATGGCAATTTACAGAAGCTTTAATTTGGATGTGCAATGTAAGGGCAGTTATTCTGAGCAATTCTATTGTTGCGTGTGTAAAATGATCCCTTATGTGGCCTGTGTAGATTTATGTTATTCCTGCATAATCAGATAGCATAAAGAAAATGCCCATTCCATCTTTTGGGGTGTTACCCACACCCAATATAAAGGTGATTCCCTACCAGCCATGTTTGTACCACATGACCAGGCTCTCTGGCCATAGCTGGCTAGATCAGGAGCAGACAAGTGTCTGGCTGAGCCAGTCTGACACTGAGAATGAGGATCTGTGATATAGAAGAAAACAACTAATGTGCTTTTTTTTTTCTTATTCTCATACTCAACAATCAACACAGGATATTTTTGTGGCTGGGTACAGGGGTGTACTTCCCCACACACCAAGCAGCCAATTTTGCAGTTTCTCCAGGAGACATCAGCTGGTTGTCCTCTAATTCAATTCAATTCCATCCCGACTCTATCTACCTAGAGATAGCATCAGATCCTACAGGGTGAGGACTCAGTCCCACATGACAGTCACAGCCAGGCAGATACTAGTCGCAAGCACAGGCTGTGACCTGTTCTTCTCACCAACGAGCTGTAAGTCAGAGCTCCCACAACTCTCTTATGGGGTTTGATTAATGTGCTAGAGTGGCCCAACAAACTCAGAGAAACACCTTCCTTACTTTAACCAGTTGATTAATAAAGGACACAGGTGAACAGCCAGATGGATAATGCCTTTCCATAAGGCAAGGTATGGAAGGACAGACATGGGGCTTCTATGTCCTCTCCAGATGTACCACCCTCCAGGAGCCTCCAGGTGTTCCACCATCTGCAAGCCCATCTGAACCCTGTCCTTTTAGGGTTGTATGGAGGCTTTATTACATAGGCATGATTGATCACATTGTTGGCCATTGGTGATTAACTCAACAACCTTCACCCCCTCTCCCATCCCCAGAGGCAGGGGGAGGGGCTGAAAGTCACAACTTTCTAATCGTGCCTTGGCCTACCCAGCGACCAGCCGCCATCCTGAAGTTGCCTAGTGGCCCCCGGCCACCTATCTTCACATTAGCATACAGAAGATACTCTTATCATGCTGGAGATTCCATGAGTCTTAGGAACCCTCTGTCAGGAAACGGGAAGAAGACCAATATATATAGATTGTATAATTCCCAGTATCCCACAGAGGAACCACTTCTACCTGGATTGTCTCCTTAAATGACAAGACATGAGACCAGGTGTGGTGGCTCATGCCTGTAATCCCAGCACTTTGGGAGGCCGAGGTGGGAGGATCACTTGAGGCCAGGACTTTGAGACCAGCCTGGACATCATAGCAGACCCCATCGCTACAAAAAAATTTTTTTTTAATTAGCAGGGCATGGTGGCGCACACCTGTGGTCCCAGCTACTCTGGAGGCTGAGATGGGAAGATTACTTAAGCCCAGGAGGTGAAGGCTGCACCGAGCCATGATCGCACCACTGCACTCCAGCCTGGGTGACAGATCGAGACCCTGTCTCAAAAAAACAACAAAAAAGGCAAGACATAAACCTGGAACTTGGGGTGTGTCTATCACAGCCTCTGCGGCAGGAAGAGAGGAATGAGCACACTCCCCAGGGGAAGTAGAGGCTAGGGACCTAGAGAGAGGGAAAGAACATAGGTATGAAGGGTCCTGGTGGATCCTGGCTCCAGTCCTTTCTGAAGCTGCATGGCCATCTCTGGACTCTCTTAGATGACCTCACAACTGTACAATGGATGTAGTTCCCCCATTTACTTATGCTAGCTTTAACTAGTCTATGTTACTTGCCACCAAGAGACTAAGATTCTTAACTAAGACAGGCCACAGGACTTACTATAACTTAATATACCTCACATTCTCCTTGCCTAACTTCGATCCACATGTTCCTTCCTCCCTTCCCCTTAGACCTCTCCTAGTCCAGAGTGGGTCAGCAGGATGAAAGAACGGGAGAGGCAGTGTTAATATAGAAATGGATCTTGTAGGCCAGGCGGTGGCTCATGCCTGTAATCCCAGCACTTTAGGAGGCTGAGGCACGCGGCTCACCTGAGGCCAGGAGTTCAAGACCAGCCTGGCCAACATGATGAAACCCTGTCTTTACTAAAAATACAAAAATTAGCCAGATGTGGTGGTGTGCACCTGTAATCCCAGCTATTTGGGAGGCTGAGGCATGAGAATTGCTTGAACTTAGGAGGCAGAGGTTGCAGTAAGCCAAGATCACGCCATTGCACTACAGCCTGGGTGACAGAGTGAGACCTTGTCTCAAAAAAAAAAAAAATGGATCTTGTAGTAAAAAAGAAAGATAACTTTCAATATAAGAGAAAACTATTATGACCTTAATTCCTGCTAGCTATATTTCAGCTTCAGAGCAGTGACTTATACATGGTGGTACTACTCAATATTTATTCAACTGAATTTAATGTGACTGAATTTAATGTCTCAAACTAATGTCCAAAGCTGAGCATCATATTTCATAGGATAGCATTAGAGGCATTCTCAGTGAATAAGGAAAGAGAAAAGAATAGTCATTATTCCTGTTATTTAATGTTGTCCCAGAAATACCATTTAGTATACTAAGCAAGGAAAAGATTTGAAATAAAATGCTTTGTAAAGTTTCAGAAGGATGGAGTAGATGTACTTTTCCTTACTTCTTCAGCTAAGTACAACTTAAAACCCTTGACATTATATATAAAATGAACAGAAGAAAACCCCGAAAGGTGGAGAGAGAAAAAATAGACTCTCTAGGGACCTCAGGACCCAAGGAACAATATAGTAATGTGTTCTTTGGATTTTGTTTTACCTTAAATATCCTAGACATGTAGCTAAAGAACTCACAATCCAGAAACACCAAAATGCACAGACAAAAAACAAAAATGTTCCAACAAGACATCTGCTTTTTCTAGCCAAAGGACCAGGAAAGAGACAGGCTAGCAAGACAGAAAACTTTTAGACAAAAGCCGCTTTACTCCAGCCACATACCACAGAAAAAGCCTCACCCTGCCAGACCAGCAAAGGGTGAAGAAGAGCCTAGACCTCCACCACCACCAGGCTGTAATGGGGTGCCCCAAACCACCTGCCAGGGCGATGTCAAAGAAGAACGAGTAGGGAGCTGATATTTTCATCCCCATCTGGCAGTAATGAGGCACTTCTTACTCTCCCCACTGGAGTGGTATCAGACAAGACCTAAAGAAGAGTCAAGACTTTCACGACTGCCCAGCAGTAATGAGGCCACCTCAACCTTTCCCCCATGGTGTCAGAAGAGGTCACATGGAGAGCAGTAATGAGACACCTTTATCCCTTCCCAGCTCATGGGAAACTTGAACTCTCATCCCCAACCAACAGTAATGAGGAGTCTCTCTATCCTTGGATGTCAACAGAGGTCACATAGAAACCTGCACTTTGACCAACTTTTGGTAGTAATGAGGCAGCATCCCCTTTCTCCTGCTGGAGTGTTGTCAAAAGGGACTGTCTAAAATAGAAGGTTTAAATAAGACCCAGATTCTCATAACATAGTACCCAAAATGTGCAGGTCTCAATCAAAAATCACTCTTATCAAGAACCAGGAAAATCTCAACTTAATGGTAAAAAGACAATACGTAGATGCCAGCACTGAGAGGACGGATGTTAAAATTATTTGACAAACCTTTTAAAGCAGCCATCATAAAATGTTTCAACAGGCAATTATGAACAAGTTTGAAATAAATGAGAAAATAGAAAATCTCAACAAATAAATAGAAGATATAAAGAAGCAGCAAATGGAAATTTTAGAACTGAAAAATACAATAATTGAAATTTAAAAAATTCAATGGATGGTCTCAACATGAAGGGGACAG
Source organism: Homo sapiens (assembly GCF_000001405.40). Lineage (NCBI taxonomy): Eukaryota > Metazoa > Chordata > Mammalia > Primates > Hominidae > Homo > Homo sapiens. The sequence goes on from NC_000019.10 coordinate 33,981,849, forward strand.
AGGAAGAGGGATACAGGAAGGAATCAGTAAACTTGAAGTTAGAACAACACAAATTACCCACTCTAAACAATGGAGAGAAAACAGACCAAAAGAAGAAAAAAAGAAAAAAGACCAGAGACTTAGGGACTTTTGGGACCCTAACAAAGATATAACATTCATGTCATCAGACTCTCGAAAGGAGGGGAGAAAGAGGGTGAGACTAAAAAGTATTCAAATAAATAATGGCCAAAAATTCCAAATTTGGCAAATGCTATATGCCTATAAATTCAAGAAGCTGAGCGAACACCAAACAGAATAAACTCAAAGAAATCCACACCAAGATACATAATAGTCAAACTTCTGAAAGCAAAATGCAAAGAATGTATCTTCAAAGCAGTGAGAAAGGACAACTTACCTATAGGGGAAGAACAATTTGAATGACTGCAGATTTCTCCTCAGAAACAATGGAGGTCAAAAGAAAATAACATGACAAATTTCAAGTGCTGAAAGACAAGGACTGTCAACTCAGAATTCTATATCTAGTGAAAATATCCTTTAGGAATGAAGGGGAAATCTGGACATTTTCAGATGAGGAAAAGCTCAGAGGATGTTTTGCTAGCAGGCTAATATAAAAGAGTGGCTAAAGAAAACTCTCCAAGTAGAAATGATATGATAAAATAATGAGTCTTGGAATATCAAGAAGGAATAAAGAAAAAAGGAAAGAGTGAAAATTTGGATCAATACAGTACATTTCCCTCACCTCTTGAGTTTTCTAAATTCTGTTTGATGGTCAAATAAGAAATTACAACATTTTCTAATGTTATAATTGAGATGAGAGTTCCAGTTCCCCACTAGTTTTAAATGTGTGTACAGGAATATTTAAGACAATTACAAATAGGGGAGGGCAAAGGGGCATAAAAGGAGGTAAGGTTTCTATGCTTCACTTGAACTGTTAAAATGTCAACACCAGTAGTTCTGTCTATATAATGTCTATATAATAAGTTATATCTATATAATGTAATACCTCAAGCAACCACTAAGAAAGCTACACAAAGAGACATCCTGAAAAAAAACTATAGATGAATCAAAATGAAATTCAAAAAAAATCCACAGGAATACAGGGGGAAAAAAAGAGAGAAAGAAAAAACAGAAGGAACAAACAGAAATTAAAATAGCAGACTTAAGTTCTAATATGTCAATAATTACAATTAATGTAAGTGGCCTAAACATGCCAATGAAAAGAAAGAGATCAGCAGAATGGGTTGAAAAATATGGCCCAACTATATGCTGTCTACTAGAAACTGACTTCAAGTATAATTTAGGTAGGTTGAAAGTAAAAGGACCTAAAAAGGTATATAACATGCAAACATTACTTAAAAGAAAAAAGGAATGGGTATAATCATATCAGAAAAAGTAGACTTCAGAGCAAAGAAAATAACCAGAGACAGAGAGGTACATTACCTCTCTGTTGATAAAAGGGTCAATTCACCAAAAGGACATAGCAATCATGATTGTGTATGCACCACACAAAAGAGCTGCAAAATATGTGAAGCAAGAATTTATAGAACTGAAAGGAGAGATACAAAAATTCCCAATTATAGTTGGAGACTTCAGCACTTCCCTCTCAACAATTGATAGAAAAACGAGACAGAAAATCAGCAAGGATATGGGAGAACTGAAAAATACAACCAACCAACAGAACCCAGCCAACATTTACAGAACACCCAACAACAGCAGGATGCACATTCTCTTCAAGTATCCGTGGAACATATTCCAAGATAGACCATATCTTGGACCACAGAACAAACTTGAACAAATTTAAAAGAACTGAAATCTTACAGAGTATAGTTTCTGACCACGATGGGATCAAACTAGAAATTAACAGCAGAAAGATAATAGGAAAATCTTCAAACATTTGGAAACTAAACAACAAACTTCTAAATGATCAGTGGGTCAAAGAAGAAGTCTCAAGAGCAATCAGAATCCACTAAAAAAACTGTTAGAACTGATAACAAAGGCCAGGTGTGGTGGCTCATGCATGTAATCCTAGCACTGTAGGAGATCAAGGCAGGCAGATCACTTGAGGTCAGGAGTTCAAGACCAGCCTGGCCAATATGGTGAAACCCTGTCTCTACTAAAAATACAAAAATTAGCCAGGCATGGTGGGGGGGCGCCTGTAATCCCAGCTACTCAGGAGGCTGAGGCAGCAGAATTGCTTGAACCTGGGAGGCAGAGGTTGCAGTGAGCCAAGGTCGTGCCACTGTACTCCAGCCTGGGCAACAGAGCGAGACTTCATTTCAAAAAAAAAAAAAAAGAAAGAACTGATAACAAAATTTTGCAAGGTAATCAGTTACAAAATAAATACATAAAAAGTGATGGTTCACGCCTGTAATCCCAGCACTTTGGGAGGCCAAGGTGGGTGGATCACTTGAGGTCAGAAGTTTGAGACCAGCCTGGCTAACATGGTGAAACCTCGTCTCTACTAAAAATACAAAAAAATTAGCCAGGTGTGGTGGTGCACACCTGTAATCTCAGCTACTCAGGAGGCTGAGGCAGGAGAATCGCTGGAACATGGGAGAATCACTGGAACCCGGGAGGCAGAGGTTGCAGCGAGCAGAGATGGCACCACTACACTGCAGCCTGGGAGACAGAGCGAGACTCAGTCTCAAAAAAAAAAAAAAACATGAAGGCAAGATAATCCTAGTCACAACTTCTGTATAGCTATAGTAACCAAGTTTGTATAGTATTTTCTATATTCTTGAATAAGTAGATGTAATATGGGAAGAAATCCATTAATCCTCAGATAAATCTGTAAATATAAAGCAATTCCAATTAAATCCTTATGGAATTCGCCTGGAAAAGAAACACCTGACTCAGGCGTGAACATTATGCAAAATGGGGTGAGAGTCACCATAACAGATATAGACATGACTTATAAAGTTTCAATAATTAAAGTATTTTACAGAGAGAGGCCAGTGTAACAGATTAGAAAACCTAGAATCAGGTCCAAGTGTATGTACGAATTTAGTATAAGTACATAAATGTTTTATATATTTTGACTGGTTTTCTAATTATTCATGGCAGAAGGGTAAATCGGGCCTCTTTATCTCCCTTAGGCCAGAAACAGACATCCCTGGCTGCTTTCAGAGAGTAGACTGCAGAGGGTCTAGGACATAAAGGGGAGACCCACTCTGGGGTCTGTGGGGATCCAGGTGAGAGTTGACCATAGTTTGGAACAGGAGAGTAACAGATCTCTACAAAATGTGCTTTGATTCCAAATGAGTTTGGAAGACAAAAAAGACAGCTTGCTGATGAATTACATAGATATGGGGGTGAGAGAGAAACCATGGGTTCCAGGATGACACAGCTACTGGAAGAATAGAGGCGTCCAGTCCTGAGATGGGCAAGTCTTAGGGTGATTCAGGCCAGCACCTATTAGACATCCAAACGAAGATGTGGGGTATGCAGAAAACACAGAACATGCAGATGAGCAGGCACATCTGTTTTTCCAACTTTCCATCATGCATTATTCTACTTTTATATGATTTTATTACCTGAAAAAGTTACTGAAAAAGCCATTGTCTATATTTCATTGAATTCAGAACTTCAGGATTATCCTCATTTCTCAAGTTAGCAGATTTGCCCTTTAACAGTTCAAAAGAGATTGAGAGTGGCTCATGCCTGTAATACCAGCACTTTGGGAAGCTGAGGCGGGTAGATTGCCCGAGCTCAGGAGTTCAAGTCCAGCCTGGGGAACATGGCGAAACTCCACCTCTATGAAAAATACAAAAGATTAGCCGGGCATGGTGGCAGGCACCTGTAATCCCAGCTACTCGGGAGGCTGAGGTGAGAAGATCACTTGAACCCAAAAGGTGGAGGTTGCAGTGAGCCGAGATCATGCCACTGCACTCCAGCCTGGGTGACAAAGCCAGACTCCGTCTCCAGAGAGAGAGAGAAAAATGCATGTGAATGTATGTGAGGAGGCAGACTCAGAATTTAGAGTCCTGGAGAAACCCTCCCCAGGAGGAAGTGGGGACCACACAGCACAGCTGACAGGCCCACACTCCCACTGAGGAAGACCCCCACCCTCCCAAGTTTTCCTTTTTCTCCTTTTTTAAGTGCAGAACCCAAAGAGGGAGAAAGACTTTCCCTCACTCTGCTCACAAAGACAAAATGGCAGCTTAAACATGGGAGAGACCTGGTTAGACCAAACATTCCAGACAAGGAAGTGGGTTGAATGTCATAAACATTTATTGAGCCCTTGCTACTTGCCAGGTATAGGCAAGTACAAGCTACAAATAGGAATATAACAAGGAATTTGTAATGCGGTAGGGAGAAAAATTAAAATCATGAGCAAGAAGGGGAAAGGATTTGCAACTTTATCAAATGTGTAGCTTTTAACTATCGCCACTATCGAGAACCAAAACTTTTTCATTAACAAGTTTATCTCATGCCACCCCTTTAGAGCCACATCCTAACCCTTGATAACCACTAAGCTGTTCTGTTATTTCAAGAATGTTACAAGAATAGAATGATACCGTATGTAACCTTCTGAGATTGGATCTTTACATTTACCATAGTTCCCTTGACATCCACCCAAGTTCCAAGTTGTTGCATTAACAATGGTTTCTTTTTTAAAAAATTTCAACCTTTATTTTGGATACAGGGTACATGTGCAAGTTTGTCACTTGGCTATATTGTGTGATGCTGAGGTTTAGGGTACAGATCCCATCACTCAAGTAGTAAATATAGTACCCAATAGGTAGTTTTTCATCCGATGCTCTAGTGGTCCCCAGTGTCTATCATTCCCATGTTTACGTCCATGTATGCTCAATGTTCAGCTCCCACTTACAAGTGAGTGCATATGGTATTTGGTTTTCTGTTCTGCATTAATTCACTTAGGATAATGGCCTCCAGGTGCATCCATGTTGCTGCAAAGGACATAATTTTGTCCTTTTTCCGGGCTGCATGGGATTCCATGGTGTATGGATGCCATATTTTCTTTATCCAATCCACCATTGATGGGCATCTGCATTGATTCATGTCTTTGCTATTGTGAATAGCACAGGGATGAACATACGAGCACATGTCTCTTTGGCAGAATGCCTGTGTCTTTTAATTGCTGAGTCTCTCACTCTGCTTTATGCCCCTCAAATGAATTCTTTCCTTCAAGGAGGCAAGAATCAAGTTGCTACAGACCTGTATGGATTTGCTGCTGCTCACAGTATGAGTATGCCTGGATAATTCAGGTCTAACTCAGGGCTAACTACAGCATCTCATATTGGGAACCTTGCTCTCTAAAGGCCTCTAAGCTCACAAATATTGTGAAATTGTAGGGAAACTCCAAGATCCCCTAAATAACGGTGAAGCAGAGTGGCAATAGAGGATTAGGACCTAAAAGTTTCACATGAGCTGCAAAAGACACAAACAGTCTACATGAAAAAAAACCATGTGCTTTAAGAACTACCTAAGATTCCTGGGCCCAATATAGTGGACCAGGCAGTTATGATTTATGTTCTCTTTGCCTTAGCCAGAGACCCAACAGGAAATAGAAAGATACTCAAATTGAATCGCTCAAGGAGAGTTTAATAAAGGGATTACTTACAAACATGTGGGCAGGGTATGGAGAAACACAAAGCATGGGCAGTACCCCGGGGCCAGAAAAAGCAGGGGTCCTTTGCCGTGACTGGCTTGGAAAGGTGAGGCTCCTGCCATCTCAAGCCAGAAGGCTGTGTCAAGAGGCCACCATGAAAAAGCTGTGGCCCTTAGTAAGGGACTCAGCCAGCCTGAGACAACCTCACAGGGAGGTTGTTGAAGGCATAAATGCCCTGGCCTCACTTTTTCCTCTTTCTGACCTTCTGCTGGGACTCCCCATTGGCTGAATCCAACCAGAAGGCAAAGGGAAGGAAGCTGGTTAATGTGTCTATATGGTCAGCCTCTTCAAACAAAGATAACGGTGGGAAAGGATGAAGATGAGATGGGAGGACTGGCAAATGGAAGACACCTGGCATACCCTTCCTCCTGACACCCAGGGGAAGTGATGGTAAAAGAACAGAAAAGATTCACTCTCACACTATGAGAACAGGAGAGGGATCACTGGTGGGTCACTGAGTTTCCCCAAAGATTTAGTTGAAAGGTATAGACAGATGTGAATTAGCTGGAGAGGGAAGGCAGAGAAAGCCACAGCTTGAACACAGGTCGGGGGGGTCTGTGTCTGAGAGTAGGAAACTGCCCATGAGAAGTTCTAGTTTCAGAAGTGTCAAGCTTGACAACCAAAAAGTGAGCAGTGGGGCTGGCAATAGGGGAAATAATTAAAGGGTCTGTATTCTGAATAATCAACCCTGCCGTATGCCTCCTCAATTCCAAATGCTAAAAAGGCCAGCAGCCAGGTAATAATTCTGCCCTTGGCAGATGGGCATAACATCAATCTTCAAGGTAACAGGAGCTCTCAACAAAGGGGGGCAAGCTGAATGTAGAAGGCCCAACCTGAATTCACCATTGTAAAATTTCAGAATACCAAGAAAAGACTTCTGAAAGAAGAAGTCAGCTATGCAAAATAAAAGAATCAGAGTCAGGTTACTTTTCCTGTGAGCAATACTAGATGCTAGAGGACAATGCGGTGTGACTTTCAGATTTCTGAAGGAATTTATTTTATACCCAGAATTCTATACCCAGCCAAATTATCCACCAAGTTCAAGGTAAAAATAAAGGTAGTTTTCAGACATGCCAATACTCGGAAAGTTTCTCTCCCACATACCTCTTCTGGGGAAGTTACTTAAGGATTTAGTCTTGCCTCAGAAAGGTCTAGCTGACATGGAAGAAGACAAGGAACTTGGAGAGCAGGAAGGAATCCAAATGTCAGTTGTATGGCAGCCAGAGGAGCCACCATCCCTGCCTGGAGCATCAAAACAACAGGCTTCAGATGGGAGATGTCCAAGGGAAAAAGTGAGTGAATTCCATGGGAGCCTATGACTAGGCTTTGTAACGGTCGAGAATGTGAAAAATGCATAGAATGCAAGGCAAGAAAAAAAAAAAGACAGCTAGAGTCTCTAGGAAAACCTAACAGATGCGTAATAAAGTCATAACAAAATATTATGAAATCAGGACAGATTTGAGCAGAAGTCAGTGGAGTTAGAATACAATAAATTATATGGAATTTATTGGTAATAGGAAAAAAACCTGGAAGTTATTAGTGATACAATGAAAAAAACACGTTTCTTCCCTCATCAAGAGCAAAGAAGGGTGACCAGCAAAGGGGATGGGGGAAATTATACAAGAAAGGTGTCATCTAAACATAATGTAGAAAATATGTCATGAATGTGAGCAATTAATCAGGTGTAAGAACAAATTCTTTTGGACATTCTTCTGTGAGTAGCACAGAAGTGGGAATATTAAGATAGCTGGGAAGAATGTAGTCATCGATTCTTCTTGGCTCTGGAGCAAACAATACTGTTTATAACATACATGTACTTCAGTGGCCCACCTGTGATCCCTCTCCTGTTATCGAAGTGTGAGAGTGAATCTTTTCTATTCTTTTACCATCATTTCCCTGGGATGTCAGGAGGAAGGGTATGCCACATATCTTCCATTTGCTGCTCCTCCCATCTTCTCTTCATCCCTTCCCACCATTATCCTTGTTCCAGGAGGCTGACCGTATAGACAGACATATTAACCAGCTTCCTTGCTGTGTGCCTTCTGGTTGGATTCAGCCAATGGGGAGCCCCGGCAGATGATTAGAGAGAGAAAAGAGTGAGGCCAGGGCATTTACTTGCTGCCTGGGACTCTCCCCAGATATTCTCATGGCTTATTCCCTTACCTCCTTCAGGGTTTTCCTCAAATATCACCTTTTAGAGAGAGCTTTTCTGACTATTCTATCTAAATTGTGACACACACACATATTCCCTATACACCTTATAGCTTAATGTTTTTCTAAGCACAGCCAGCATACTACATATTTTGCTTCTTCATCTTGTTTTTTATCTCCCACATTAGAAAGTAGGTTCCATGAGGACAGAGATTTTCTACTCTTATGTTTATTGTGGTTTCTCCACCACCAGGGGCAGGGACTTGCTCAGGGTAGGAACTGAATAAATATTTGTTGAATTAATAAATGTTGAATAAAGTTGTAGGCAAGTCACTTAAGGAATATTTGGGTTTGTGTGACAGAAAGTAAACGTCATTACACTTGGCAATGTAAAGGTAAAAGCATAGGCCAGGCAAGGTGGCTCACACATGTAATCCCAGCACTTTGGAGTCCAAGGTGGGCGGATCACCTGAGGGCAGGAGTTCAAGACCAGCCTGGGCAACATGGTGAAACCCCGTCTCTACTAAAAGTACAAAAATTAGCCAGGCATGGAGGTGCACACCCATAGTTCCAGCTACTCGGGAGGCTGAGGCACAAGAATCACTTGAACTCAGGAAGCAGAGGTTGCAGTGAGCCAAGATCATGCCACTGCACTCAAGCCTGGGCAACAGAGTGAGATTCTGTCTCAAAAAAATAAGATAAAATAAAATAAAATAAAGGCACAGCTCACAGAAGTTGGGGGCTGGGAAGGCAAAAAAATGCAGAAGGAAGAAGAAGGTTAGGAGTGCTAATATTCTCAATTTATTATGTGGACAATCAAGATACTATTGATAAAATAAAAAGTAAAGGTTTAATAAGGTTACTTAACCTTATTAATAACCTTATAAAGGTAGCAATTAAAATATTCAAACATAATAATGTAATCATATTGGTATGAGTGAGCCAGAGAAGGTGAAAGACATAGATTGAGTTAAATTTCATCCAAATTTCAATTCAACATAGCAAAAAGCTACTATAGTTTTTAAGTTGAGACATCCAGAAGTATAAGCATAAGAGTAGTATTTAGAGTATGGCAATGAACTTAACAACCTTATACTAGAAATAGTTAAACACAGTGGCTGTGATATGGTGGTTTCAATAATGAAAGACTACATTTTATCAAACTAATACTTCTATAGATAATAATTATAGACTCTGGACAAAATGTAAAGAAACTATCTGAAGGCATTAGAAAGTGACCCAAAGCACACATACAAATGGCAACTGCAATAGGTAAGATCAATGTCCTTAAATTTTCCCTGAAGGCACTCTCTAGTCTGCAAGAGGTAGAGAAGCTAAAAATGAAACAGAAAGCCTGAACAGCAAGAGAGGCTGAAAATTGAGGGGGAGAAAACCCAGGGGAAAAAAAAAGAATCCAAATAAAGAGTCCTTAAATTTGCATATAAACTCCTCTCAAATCCTTAGCTGAACTGTGCACATTCAGGGAAACTCTAGGAAGCCTTCTGAAAGGCAACAGCTGGGAGACTGAAAAGCTTGAGCAGAGATTTCAACTGTCACCCACTACAGGAGAGACAGTTTGGATTTGGAATCCTACCAAGTTAGAGGGACTTAGCAAACACTCAGGCTTTCCATCAAAACCACAGAAGGGCTGTGATTTAGAAGGTAGAATATGCCCCAAGACTGAGGGGTTACCCTGAGACTAAGAGGAAAACTGAAACACACTTACCTAACGAAGTCTGAAATGAAGAATCCTCAAGTTCATGGTGACAGGCCACTAATTAGACTGCTTGATAGAACAAAAAGAAACAAACTTCAGAGACGTATAAAAGAATCTAGAGTTTCTACAGTGTGTCATGCAAAATATCCAGTATACAATTAAAAAAAAAAGACATACAAAAACAGGAAAATGTGGTCAATAGTCAGAAAAACCTTACTCAATAAAAGTAGATAATCTTGTTAAAATTGGTAGACAAAGATGTTAAAGCGAAGATGTTAAATATTCAAAGAATTAAAGGAAATTTCAGCAGAGAAATGCAAACTACAGAAATTTTAGAACTGAAAAGTAAAGTATCTGAAATAAAAAATGTACTGGATAATTTTAACAATAAATTAGATACTGCAGAAGTGAGAGTAAGTATAGTTTAAGATGGATCAACAGAAATTACCCAGTATGAAAAACAGAAATAAAAAGTTGAAAGAAGAAAAAACACTAAAGTCTCAATGAATTCTGAGAGAATATCAAGTGGTCTGACAACATGTGCAATTCAAGTCCAAGAAGGAAAGGGCAAGGAGCAAAGAAAATTTGAAAAAATAATGCCCCAAATCTCTCAAATTTGGTAAAACAAAAAACAAACACACAAGCAAAGCTTATACATTCAAGAAGCTCAGTATGTACCAAAAAGAGCAGATACAAAGAAAATCACACTTAGTCACATCATAACCAAACCACCCAAGCTAAATATAAAAAGAAAATGTTGAAAGCAGCCAGAGAGGGAAAAAAGACACATTACACACAGGGTACAAAGATAAGAATAATCACTGGTGCCTCATAAGAAATAATGAAGTCCAATTGACAATGGAATGACATCTCCAAAGTGTTGAAGAAAAATGTCAACACTGAGTTCTATATTCAGTGCAACAGAGATGGAATAAAGTCATCTGAAAATATCTTTATTCCATCCCCAAAATGAGATTGAGTAAAGATATTTTCAGATAAACACAAGCTAAAAGAATTTGTCACCACTAGACTTGTACTACAAGAAATGCTAAAGGAAGTTCTTCAGGCTAAAGGAAAATGATACCAGATGGGAACTTGAATCTACAGGAATAAAGAGCGCTAAAAATGGTAAACAACTAGGTAAACATACCCAGGCTTTTTTCCTCCCATAACTTGCTTTTAAAAATGATTATTTAAAGCCAAATAATAGCACTATAAGGTGGGGCTTACATAGTACGTGGAAATAAAGGACATGACAAGAGCATAAAAGATGGCATAAGAGACTAGATAAATAAAATGAATCTATTGTAATGTTACTGTATTTGTGAAGTGTGAGATATGAACTCTAAAGTGGGAACGGTAAGGTATGAAATGAGAGGTGGTAGCTGTGAAATTTTCAGTGAGAAATGATACAATATAAATCTAAATAGGCTTTGACAAGAATGCACGTTGCTAGTTTTAGAGTAACTATTAAAAAATAAAAACAGCTTTAAAAACTGTAGCTAAAAAAACAGTAAAGGAAATAAAATTCAATTCAGAAAACATTCAATTAATCTAAAAGAAGGAAGACTAAAATGATCAAAGACAGAGGAAGAAAACAAAACAAATAACAAGATGCTAGACTTACACTCAACTACCCCAGTAATTGCATTAAATGTAAATGATATATTTATTTCAATTAAAAGGCAAAGAATGTCAGATTGTATACAAAAGCAGTATCCAATTAAAGCTACCTATATAAGATGAACTTTAAATATAAAAATAAAGTGTGGTTAAAAGTGTGGAAAAATACATTCCATGTACACAGTAAACATTAAAAGGCTGCCATGCCTATTTTAACATCAAAAAAGTAGACTTCAAGACAATAAGCATTACTAGAGACAAAGTGGCATATTTCATAATGATAAAAGAGTAATTCATTAAGATAGTATAATTGTACTAATCGTGTGTGTACCTAATAACAGAACTTCAAAACAGATGAAGTAAAACCTATCAGAAGTAAAGGGGAAATCAATGTATCGAAGAGATATTTGCACTCCCATGGTTGTTGCAGCACTGTTCACAATAGCCAAGATTTGGAATATTTTAAGTGTTCATCAACAGAAGAATAGATAAAGAAAATGTGGATATATACGATGGAGTACTATTCAGTCATAAAAAAGAGTGAGATCCTGTCATTTGCAACGACATGAATGATACTAGAGATCATTATGTTAAGTGAAATAAGCCAGGCACAGAAATGTTATATTGGGTAGCTAGTCTGGTATTAGCAGGGAAGGAGGGGCCTCCCCACAAAACACACACACACCAGCAGTGTCAAGCAACTATCGGGTGATGGTCAGGTGGTTGTTAACTGGTCTCTCTAAAGTAATAATTGGTCACAGACAGTGCCAGGGACAGGCAGTCTCCTAATAGATTAAAAAAAAAAAACACCTGAAAGATGATCAGCAGCTTCCCGATAAGATCTCAGGAGTTGGGCGAGTGGGGAGAAGTAACATAAGACTCTAGAGGAATGCCAATGTATAAAGTCAAAAGGTTGAGCTGCACACTTGCCTTTCAAGTTGCCCACTGGCCTTCTTCCAAGTAGCCAAGTACTTCTCTTCCTTTCATTCCTGTTTGAAAGCTTTTAATAAACTTTCACTCCTGCTCCAAAATTTGCCTTGGTCTCTCCTTCTGCCTTATGCTCCTCAAATTCTTTCTTCTGAGGAGGCAAGAACTGAGGTTGCTGCAGAACCTCACGGATATGGATTCACCACCGGTAACATATTTTGGTGCTGTGTGATTCAGATACCTTCCACCAGTAACATAAAGACAAACATCACATATTTTCATTTATTTGTGGGAGCTAAAAATCAAAACAATTGAACTCATGGACACAATGTAAAAGGTTGGTTACCAGAGGCTGGGAACGTAGTGGGGCAGAGTGGGAAGGAAGTGGGGATGGTTAGTAGGTATAAAAAAAGAAATAGAAAGAAGGAATAAGACCTATGATTTGTTAGCACAACAGGATGACTATAGTCAATAATAACTTGTTTGTACATTTTAAAATAACCAAAAGAGTGTAACTGGATTGTTTGTAACACAAAAAATAAATGCTGAGAAGATGGATACCTCATTGTATGAGTCCATTTTTACACAGCTGATAAAGACATACCCAAGACTGGGTAATTTGTAAAGAAAAAGAGATTTGATGGACTAAGAGTTCCATGTGGCTGGGGAGGCCTCACAGTCATGGTGGAAGGTGAAAGGCACATCTTACATGGCTGCAGGCAAGAGAGAATGAGAGCCAAGCAAAAGGGGTTTCCCCTTATGAAACCATCAGATCTCGTGAGACTTATTCACTACCCCTCCCCATGAGGAAACCGCCCCCATGATTCAATTATCTCCCACCGGGTGCCTCCCACAACACATGGGAATTATGGGAGCTACAATTCAAGATGAGATTTGGGTGGGGACACAGCCAAACCATATCACTCATTCTCCGTGATATGATTATTACGTAGTGCTTGCCTGTATCAAAACATCTCATGTACCCCATAAATATACACACCTACCATAAACCCACAAAAATTGAAAACTAAAAAAAATCTTGAGAAAAGAAGTAAAGGGTCAAGTCAACAGCCTCTCACAATCACAGTTGGCTATATTAACACCCTTCTCTCAGTAACTGATAGAACACATAAACTGAAAATCTAAAGAACACTATCAAATAATTTTATCTAATTAACATTTACTGACCACCATTCTTACCAAATTCAGAATGTACACTGTTTTCAAATTCATGTGCAACATTCACCAAGATAGGACCATATGCTGGGCCTTAAAATAAGTCTCAATGAATGTCAAAAGAGAGGATGGTCTTACCACACAATATACAATTACGTCTTACAATTACGTCAATAATTGTAAGATATCTAGGAAATCTCCAAATGTTTAAACAGGGTACTTCCAAACAAACTACAGCTCAAAGAATAAACACAATGGAAATTATAAAGTATTTAAAAGTGAGTGATAATTCAAACAACACACAAAGTTAGAAAACATAGTTAAAGCTGTGCTTAGAGAGCAATTTACAATGTAAATGTCTATGTTAGGAAAGAACGAATTAAAATCAACATTTAAAGTTAATATTTTAAGAAGCCAGTTAAAGAAAAACAAATACAAAACAGACAAAAAGAAAAAAATAACAAATCCAAAATGTAGTTCCCTGAAGTGATTAATAAATTGATAAAAATAAGTAGGACTAATCAAGAAAAAAAGAGAGAAGACACAAATTACCAACATCAGAAATGAAAGAGAAAGGTCAGGTATGGTGGCACATGCCTGTAATCCCAGCACTTCCGGAGGCTGAGGTAGGAGGATTGCTTGAGCCCAGGAGTTTAAGACCAGCCTGGGCAATATAGTGAGACATCATTTCTTATTAAAAAAAAAAAAAAAGTTAAATTAGCTTGTCATGGTGGCCCATGCCTGTAGTCCCAGCTACTTCGGAGGCTGAGATGGGAAGATGGCTCCAGCCCAATTAAGTAAAAGGACAATTAAGTAGTGGTTAAATTTCTTGAAAAACACAATTTACCAAAGGACATTTAAGAAGAAATGGAAAATCTGAATTGACTTCTATCTATAAAGGAAATTGAGCTCATAATCAAAAATCTTCCCACAAAACAACTCCAGGCCCATGTTATTTCACTGGTAAATTTTATCAATAACTTTAAAGGAAAAAATAATACCAATTTTATAGAAACCTTTTCAGAAAATGGAGAAGGAAAGAATGCTTTCAAACTCACTTTATGAGGCCAGCATAACTTTTATATATTTGTAGCCCTGGTAAGTATAAGTTCATTTTTCAATAAAGATGCAAATGTTATTCAATGAAGTAAAGAATAATCTTTTCAATAAATGATAAGAAACAACTGGATTTCTATATCTACATGTCTTTTTATATATAAATATGGTTATGGATTTTTTTTTTTTTTAAGACAGACTCTTGCTCTGTGGCTCAGGCTAGAGTACAGTGGCTCAATTTCGGCTCACTGCAACCTCCACCTCCCGGGTTCAAGCAATTCTCCCTGCCTCAGCTTCCGGAGTAGCTGGGACTACAGGCGCCCGCCACGCCTGGCTAACTTTTGTATTTTTCAGTAGAGATGGGGTTTCACCATGTTGGCCAGGCTGGTCTCCAACACCTGATCTCAGGTGATCCACCAACCTCAGCCTCCCAAAGTGCTGGGATTACAGGCATGAGCCACTGCACCCAGCCGGTTATGGATTTTTAAAGAGAACCTCACTTAGTTCCTCACACATATGCAAAAATTAATTTGAAATGTATCATAGACCTAAACTTATAAGATAAATCACATAACATATAAAAATTTTTCATAATCTTGAAGTAGGCAAAGATTTCTTAGAACACAAAAAACACTAACTGTAAGAGAAAAAAAATTGGAAGTTGAACTTCATCAAAATTTTAAACCTCGGCTAAGCAAAAGATTGCCAACAAGACAAAGATGCCTACTTTTATAACTTCTCTTCAATGTTGTACTGGAGGTTCTGGCCAGGGAAGTTAGGCAAGCAAAAGAAACACAAGACACCCAGACTCGAAAGTCTGAAATAGAACTATCTTTATTTTCAGACAACATAATCTCATATACAGAAAATCCTTTAAAAAATCTATTTTTAAAAAATGACTAATAAATGAATTCAGCAAGGCGGCAGGATAAATCAACATAGAGAAATCAATTGTATGTCTATACGTTAACAATGGCAATCTAAAATGAAATTAAGAAAGCAGTTCCATTCACAATATGGAATCAAAAAGAATAAAATATTTAGGGACAAATTTAACAAAAGAAGTGCAAAGCTTACACTCTGAAAACTACAAAACTTTGTTGAAAGAAATTAAGAAGATCTAAATAAATGGAGAGAGACATTACATTTTCAAAGGCTGGAAGACTTGGTATTATTAGGATGACAATTCTCCACAAATTGATCTAAGACTCAATGCAATCCTTATTAAAACCTCAGTTGGATATTTTTGTAGAAATTGACAAACTGATCTAAAGTTCATATAGAAATGCAAAATCCACAGAATAGCAAAAACAATCTGGAAATGAAAAACAAAGTTGGAGGACTTATTCACCCTGATTTCAAAGCTTAATACAAAACTCCTATACTCAAGACAGTGTGGTGCTGACATAAGGAGAGACATTTAGATCAATGGAAGAGAATTCAGAGTCCAGAAATAACCCTTTACAGTCATTATCAATTGCTTTTCAACAAGGGTACCCAAACAATCCAATGGGGGAAAGAATAATCTTTTCAACGAATGTTGCTGGGACAATTGTACAGCCACATGTAAAAGTATGTGTGGACCCTTCCCTCACACCATACACAAAATTAAACTTGAAATGGATCATGGACTATAATGTAAGAGCTAAAACTGTGAAACTCTTAGAAGAAAGCATGAGTAAATCAGTGATCTTAGGTTTCTTGAAGAATGATATCAAAAACACGAGATAAAATAAAAAATTGATCAATTGGACTTTATTACTCCCTCTAGTGGATCCAAAATATAACCATATTTATAACTATTTCATCTTTTAAAAACAATAGTAAAAGATATTTCCATAACAATTCTTCTACTCAGTGGTCATTTTCATGGTCATTATGGTGAATTACTTTTGCTTTCCTGTATAGCATGGCCAAGGGGCGTGAAGGTATTTTCAGGGGTGATAGAAATGATGTGTGTCTTGAACGTGGCGGTAGTTACACCACTGCACCAATTTTTATCAAAACCACTTGGCTTGAAGACTTAAAGTCTGTGTACGTATTTCACCATATGTAAATTTTACCTCAATAAAAATTTCATTTTACAAAGTGATCGCTCTGAGGAGCAGAAGACGAGCTTTTCACTGCAAGCCTTTCAGTACTTCTTAAAATTTTTAAAAGCGTGTGTATAAATTACTTTAAGCTCTTTAAGTTTTGAAAAATAAAACATGTTCCAATTTGAAGCTTCTTATTATCCTTGCTTCATAGAAAACAGAAGATGAGAAGAACTCTCTTGTTTGAGAGGGTATCATTTAGCATCAATAACAAGGTTTTCCTCTCTTCCTTCCCTGGCGTTCCCCCAGAGTCACAGCACCAGTCCAGGGAGACCACGGGGAGGTCCGGGAGCAGGTTCTGAGTCAGAAGAAGGCTTGCTTTTAAAAGCTGTGATGGAAACGAAGTTGTAATCATTTATTCCCTGTCGTGGAGCTACTGTACCAAACACAGAATCTCTAGGAAATGAAAGTCAGAATCTCAAAAGCTTCAGTTTTTGAATGCTAAAGCTTATTTGCATATCAATATTGCCTCAGGACAATACGCAGAATTAGAAAATTAAGGAACTACATTAGAAGAGAGAGAAAGAAATAGGACAAATGCGTGGAAGTATAGAGCTCCCCTCTGTCATCTAGTAAAAGTCATAAATAAAAAGCCACACTCAACTCCATGGCTGGTGAATTTTGATAATACTGTTACCAAAATTTTATTTACAAACTCAGTAACAAACAAATTTTTTTCATTAAAAAATACACATCTGTACAGCATTACTCCCTCTAGTGGATCTAAAAAAATAACCATATTGATAAGAATTTCATCCATCTTTTGGGGAACAATAGTAAAAGAAATTTTCATAATAATCATCATGCTGATCAGTGTTTATTTTAATGGTTAATCTGAATTAATTTTTCTTTTCTGTGTAGTATACTTTTTCTTTCCATACACTCTCCTGTAAAAAAAGGTACTTAACATTTACCAGAATAATTAATTACTCATAAATTAGAAAATGACAGACATTTCAAACATTACTTACAAGGATAAAAATTCAAAAACTATTGAAGGTAGTATTATACTCAACATAAATCGTAAATATTCAATGAGTTTCGCAGTCACTTTAAAGTAATGTGCAACTGAGAGGGTCATTGTAATAGTCTATTCACCCACGAACTGTTTAAAATTGGGTTAGTGATCATTTTTAACCCATTTATGCTGGAGGTTGCAATTTTTTGAATTTTTGCATAAGTGAAAAATCAGACCTTGGCGCTGACCTTGAGCAGTAGGATATAAATAACTCCCACAGGCTTGGTGTTCCAATAGTGGAACACTAGGCATAAAATAATAAGTAATCATTCAAGTTTCATGTCTACTTATTTTATAAAGTAAATTTTCGAATATAATGCAAGTATTCATTAGATCCTCAAATCTCATTTGTTGCTTAGAGGGTTTTTGTGAACATTTTTTCATGCCATCACTGTGTCTTATATTTGGGAGCAGAGAGGTAACATATAAATAAAAAGATGACACGTGTGTGTTGGCTTAACTTTTGAGTTTGTCACAACTCAGTCACAGATGTTGCTACTAGGGAACAGACACCTAAAAAGGGGTAAAAAAAAAAATAATGATGTTCAGTTGAGCTGATCTCTGTAGCCTAATCCAAGTGAAATTTTAATAATTAGACAGCAATCCCTGCTATTAGATGATCTGGGACTGGTTTTACTATCGCAAATAACTGAATGGAGTTTCACGTATCTTTTTAGAATGAAGAATTTGAAATGACAACACCACCTTAGAGGTGTGGGGCTCTTGCAGAAGTGAATTTAGGTAAAAGACTGATGACAAGGTTTCGTTTTGTCTGAGAAGTAACATTTAACGGCAGGCAAAGAGATACATTTCCCACCAAAATCGAATGCCACTACCATCTGCAACCCCACAGAGGCTCAGCTACCTAAAATGGAAATGAAAATATAATGTATGGAAATATTCTCTTAGAAAAACTCCTTAAGGCTTCACATGTATTAATGTATTAGTTTGCAAACATTAAGATCAAAGCCAAAGCAACAAATACATCCTAAAAAGTTTTTCGTCAGATTTTTATTAACGATATACAAGTAGCAGGGCATAAAAAATTAATAGGCCCAAGCGTTGAAATGTCAAACCCAATGATCTCTTCCATGCTCACCTCTTTTGCTTTTTTGTTTCAGTCTTGCTGGCACCGGGTCTTCTTGCCTTGAGCAACTCTACACGGTTAAGAAAAGGAGAAAGAAAGGTTAACAGATGGTTTAAGAGCCCCTCATCTGTTGCAGTAAGTTAAAAAATAGCAAAGGAAGGAGAATAGGATCCAAGGTGTCAAAAACGCAAGGCCTAAATTCATAGACGTGTAATTTCAAGCCTTTGGGCTTACCCAATAAACCGTTAAATATTCAGTTTTAAATAAAATCTACTGTAGGTTTCTTTAAAAAAAAAAACCAATTTGCTTATAATATTGCTAACTCAAGTTTAAAATACAGTTTCTCTTCCTTTTTAAGTCTTTAAAATGCTGTACATTGTCCTTCTACCCTCATTAGCCTCTCTATATAATTCCATGCACCCAAATCTTTTATTTCCAAGAAGCCTAACTAATCTGATGGAGCAGCCACCACAAAGCAGAGATAGAAATGTGGTACTCACTCCTGTAGTCCCAGCACTTTGGGAGGCCGAGGTGGGCGGATCACTTGAGCCCAGGAGTTCGAGACCAGCCTGGCCAACATGGTGAAACCCCATCTCTACTAAAAATACAAAAAAAATTAGCCAGGCATGGTGGCACATGCCTGTAATCTGAGCTACTCGGGGGGCTGAGGCAGGAGAATGGCTTGAACCCGGGAGGCGGAGGTTGCAGTGAGCCATGATCGTACCACTACACTCCAGCCTGGGCGACAGAGCGAGACTCCGTCTCCAAAAAAAAAAAAAGAAAAAAGAAAAAAGAAATGTGCCTAACACACACTTCTCACATATCCCATGGTGCCAAACTTTTAGACCCCAAATCACTTCGACAATGAAATCAAACCTGAATTGCTAACAGTTATTTGCACAACATCTGTCTCAGATATAAGCCAGCAACACAAGGCCGGACATCCTCCTTCCATGCTGTTTAGCATGTGCTGATATAGGAAAGGCCTAAAGAACTATGTGAATGCTGGGTGTGGTGGCTCAGCCTATAATCCCAGCACTTTGGGAGGCCAAGGCAGCTGGATCACTTGAGGTCTGGAGTTCGAGACCAGCCTGGGCAACATGGTGAAACCCCCATCTCTACTAAAAATATAAAAATTAGCCAGGCATGATGGTGCATGCCTATAGTCCCAGCTACTCAGGAGGCTGAGGCAGAAGAATCACTTGAATCCGGGAGGCAGAGATCACACCACTGCACTCCAGCCTGGGTGACAGAGCAAGACTCCATCTCAAAATAAATAAATAAATTTTGACTTGAAATTCCAAAAGAAAAATTTTGCCTGTTTCTAATCTATATTGATTAGCAATATATTGTAAACAGAACAAATGAAGAATGACCATACTAAAGCTGAAACACTCTGCTTAAAGAGAGAACAATGGCAGACACCATCATCAGAGGGACCTGGAAGAGGACACTGACCCCAGCAGGGAGTTGTGATGGAAGAGGAGACAGCTTCACTGTGTACAGAAGAATAAGCTTCCTACTACTGGACTGGGGGTGGCTCCCATCCCCGGGACCAGTGTCTGTCTCCAGTCCTGAGCGAGTCAAGGTAGAGACACTGAGTATGCCTAGGATTGGATGGTCTGAATAATTCCAGCTGTTTCTGGGCTATAGGAAAGATCTCTGGTTGTCCTGTACCTGGCCCTGGGGTGACTTAGTACATGGGGAATATTGGCTTGGTGTGTGAGAATTTGATAAAGGAGATGGTTGTGGGTTGGGCTCTGGATTGGTTGGTTTGTATGTTAAAGGCATGCTTGCAGGGGAGTCCTTGGCTATCTCTAGGAATTATCTCTAGTGCTGGAAGGGGCAGTCTCTCCAGGATCAAGGCCCGCAAATGCTTGAGCATGAAGAATCTAGAAAATGAGAAAACAGAGTCAATACAGAGTAGAAATGGTAAGTCTATCTAACTCTTGAGAAATTTTGCCATAAAGGGGAGCAGGGAAACGTGGTTATAGACGGGGCAGACATGATACAAGAAGTGCTTTTTTTTTTTTGAGATGGAGTCTCACCCTGTCATCCAGGCTGGAGTGCAGTGGCATGATCTCAGCTCACTGCCACCTCTACCTCCCAGGTTCAAGCAATTCTCCTGCCTTGGCCTCCCGAGTAGCTGGAATTACAGGCATGCACCACCACTCCCCACTAATGTTTGTATTTTTAATAGAGACAAGGTTTCTCCATGTTGGCCAGGCTGATCTCAAACTCCTGATCTTAAGTGATCCGCCCACCTCGTCCTCTCAAAGTGCTGGGATTATAGGTGTGAACCACTGCCCCTGCCAAGAAGTGCTTTTAATAAGAGAGAGAGTATAACATGCTTTTATGCTGCTGGGAAGCAAGGAGTTGAGAGAAAAAGCAATGAGTGGGAGAATGAAGAGATGAGCCACTGAGCGGGAGGAGAGATGGGGCGCAGTGTGTGAGTAGGGGCTGCTTACAGCCCCAGGAGAGCCAGGGTGGGAACAGAGGCGGGGAGGCTGGTGTTTTTGATTTCATGGCTGGATGATGAGACAGTTCTCATTTTACTGCTTCTTGTTTCTCAGTGAAACAGACAAGGTCATCTACTGAAACATGAGGAAGGGAAAGGGTGTTGATGATTGAAGGAGAAGGCATGAAACACCAGTTTTGGAGAGTGGCAGAGTGAGCCAACTGGAGAGATGGATTTGTGTTGCTGAGCCGTGCTACAGGCCCACTTGTGGTTTGTGGTCCTTAAGTTAAAGTTGGGCTAAGTTAGGATGGTATTGGTTGAGGGAGTTCTGAGTATTTATTCTAAGAAGAGGGTATAGCTCCGAGTATTCTAAAAAGAGAGTGTAACTATCTACACACATATAGATAGTTGTATTTCTGGCTACCTAAAGAGGACCGGAATGATTTAGCTCAAATGAGAAAAGAAATTGTCTCCGTGAAGTGAAGTTATGGGTAGTCTTTCTTAACCTCTTTCCATGTTTCAGAATTTTCATAAGATGTTCCAAACAGTATGTATTTCAATATATAAACAGATGAAAACAATAAAGCTATTTCAGAAATCGGGGAAAAAAATTAAAAACCCAACAAAATGAGGTTTTGCTGGGAAAGAAAGCAGCTAACCTAATTTCCTGTAGAAAAACTGCTATCCTAAATGTGAATGCTTTCTTGACTATTAATTTGGATATAATTATAACCCTCTACAACAGGAGAAAGACTAATGAATCACAGGGGAAAAAATGAAGGAAAAGCACAATACTGCAAAAACATACCAAAGACAAAACTGCAAAGCTACTGAAAACATAAAAGGATGTCTTAACAGGATACTCATGTCCTCTTGGGAGACTTCCAGGTGAAATGATTGAAGATGATTTTCCAGCCGTTCCTGGAAGGTGGGGTAAAGAAAGAGGAAAAATTTCCTGGCACGTCAGTCTATGAAATAATATAATGCAATATGAGGGGAATCTTGGACGGGCTGATACGAAGTCAGAAACCCATGCAAGGGTTGCAATCTGTTTCCTGTTTCTCTGCAGTCCTACTCTGTTCTGTGATGGCTGGGACAGATGGGGCCCCACAGCCCCTTCCTTGTCACATGGCAGACTGAGCAAAGGGGACTGATTTGGGAGGGAATGGGGCGCCTCCAGCTTTCTGGGCACTGCAGGCCAGCGGGTTATGGAAGGTCCCGCTTGCCCTGGGCAGCCATGCCAGCTGGTGGCTGGTGCTTTGGAAAGGTCCTCACTGTCAGCCACAGTTGCTTAATCTAAAAACCCAATCTTCTGAAAGTGTCAGTGCTGTTGGAGCTCAACGTCTGTAAGCTTGGCCAAATATGTCAAGAAGGACCGACCTGTGGGCTTAGGGGGAAAAAAGCAAATGAATGCCAAGTTTACACAGATAGGCCACATTTTAGTTTACTTTTACTAAATCTTAGCCTTTCATTTTGTTGGAAGACATGGAGAAGGCACACGATGGAAAGACCCTTCACCTCCTCCCACTTTAAATTTTAGGGATGATAAATTACCGTGAAATTAATTTAGTTTTGCTATTACACTTTTACCGTGAGTCCCGAGCCAAGGACATTTTTATGTTAAAGTCTTTGTAGATGTCATGTTTTTGTATGCCTGAAATACCTCTGTGTATAATATTGATATTGGAAAAAAATCTATTAATATTTTGTAAAATGATATGTCTGGTATGGCATTTGACTTCTTCTGGGGGAAAAGAACATAATTGTGCAAAATGTTAGAAATTCTACTATCGAGACTGCACAAGTATGACAGATACACTAATTCCAGTAAGTATAGGTAGAGATCTTCATGAATGGGGAACTACATTTGAAAAGATCATTTCTGATATAATTGGAAATCGGGGGGATTCTTAAGACTCTCCAAAAAAACCCACTTTTCCTGAGTACTTTGCTTTTTAGGCAGAAAAAGAATTAACTCCTAAAGCCATCCCACTGGCACAAAGAGAGTCAGGGGTTCTCTCTGGAATTTTGTTATAATAGGGCTCAGCACATTCTAGCGTGATTGTTAGTTTCAGACACTTGCCACCTGTGTGCAGTTGGTGAAAGTAAGAGGAATGCTACTTTGCCTGACCTCGTTTAAGAACAAGAACAAACATTCTTTTAGAGTTTAAAACTCAGGACTCATGCTTTAATCTTTCAAACTCCCATCTTCCCAGGGCGCCCTCAGCTTTCATCAGTGCTTTTCTCATAGTCATGCCTCTTATAGTTTTATAATTTTTTAAAAGGCAATACTAGATGAGTTTAAGGCGCTGGTATCCATTTTCCATTAAATAAAGTGTCAAAACTTCTGATACTATACTGTAGAGTCACCACCATGCCAACAGTTTTAATTTCAAACACATTTTCCCCATTCTGATGATATTAGAACTTCACCCATGGCACTACTACCTTATAACTTTTATTTTTAATTAAAGAAGTTAAATTGGCAACAGAAAACACTTTGCTTTCACATTAGCTTTGTTAATAAAAAGTGAACGTTTAAAGCAGTGTACCTGTGGATGAAATCAAGTTCCAAGCTCCAGTTTCCCCTTTATCTCATGAAGGCATCAAGCTAAAGGTCTATGCTTATGACAATCTTAAAACAAAAGGAACAAGGAAAGATGAAAATATTTAAAACCCAACTATTTTCAGCTGATGGCAAGTCAAAAAACTACACGAGATATTTTAATACAGCAAAGATTCCATCCTTCTAGATGCTTTGCAAAATGATATTAGATAACTAATCATGAGAGGCAGCGAAAACCTCAAAGCAAGTGAAATAAAAATAATTATAATTAAAGACTGGGTGTAGCAGCTCACGTCTGTATTCCCAGCATTTTGGGAGGCTGAGGCAGGCACATTACTTCAGGTCAGGAGTTTGAGACCAGCCTGGCCAATATGGTAAAACCCTGTCTCTACTAAAAATACAAAAATTATCCAGATGTGGTGGCAGGCGCCTGCAGTCCCAGCTACTCAGGAGGTTGAGGCACCAAAATCGCTTGAACCCGGGAGGCAGAGGTTGTAGTGAGCCGAGACCGTGCCACTACACTTCAGTCTGTGTGACAGAGCAAGACTCTGTCTCAAAATAATAATAATAATAATTATTATTATTATTAAAGGGAAACATGGTAGATATTGATACATAAGAAGGAAAACCTACAATTATCATATAATTAAAGAAGTAACATTGAGGCAATATAGAACAATATACAGAGGTAAAGCGTTTCCACTATCATAGTAGAAACAAATTAAAATACTTTTGATTTGGTTAACATAAAGGGAGGAAAACAATCTGGATGTCTTTTTTACCAGTTTATTATTATTAAAGCATGAATACTTGGGGTTTATGTAAACTGGTAAAGAAGATATTCAGATTCTCTCTATATATGTCTAAAGATATATATATGTATAATATATTACATATATTCATTATATATTATCTTACATTTCTATCACTTACATATTATGTAAATATTCATTCATTCTAAAATTGGAAAAATGCTCTATTTCTAATCAGGCTGGAAAAACAAAATACCAGATTTCAAATTATTCCTCTAAACTTCTTCCACTTTTAAAAATAGATACCCTTGTTTATTAAAAAAAACAAACAAAAAGCCTTAAAGCTTGAAGTGATACTAAAAACTCAACCATCATAATAACCAAGAAAAATAGTCAAAATTATCTTAAGACACAATTTTATTAGACTTCGTGAAGGAAAACTGGAGGAGTGACCATGTGGTCACCTCCCCTCTCTCTCTCCCTCTTAAAACCATGCTAAAATTGTAAGGAACTCTAAACAAACGTGTAATTTCATGAAGATGAAGAGAACTGAAAAGAAATACATACACATGTAGATAGATGTGTCAAGTGTGGGCCGGATGTGGTGGTTCATGCCTGTAATCCCAGTGCTTTCGAGGCCAAGGACCTCTTGAGTCCCAGCGTTTAAGACCAGCCTGGGCAACTAACAAGACCCCATCTCTTTAGAAATTAGTTGGGTGGGGTGGCATGTGCCTGTAGTCCCAGCTACTCAGGAGGCTGAGGCTGGAGGATGGAAACATGGTAGAAGTAGATGCAGAAGGAAAATCTACAATTAGGCTGAACTACAATTAGGGTGAGCCTCCCAGGCTTGAGCCCAGGAGTTGGAGACTGCAATGAACTATGATCACACCACTGTACTCTAGCCTGGGTGACAGAGGAAGATCCTATCTTTAAAAAAAAAAAAAAAAGAGAGAGAGAGAGAAAGAAAAAAAAGTGGATGAAGGAGTTCCAGTTCTACTGCTGAGATGGAGAAAGAACACTCTAGCCTATCTCTCCCACTGAACGGAGCTATAAAACATACACAGCATGCATGGATTAGTTCTTTGAGGATTCCAAAGGGAACATGATAAATTAAAGAAAAATAACATAATTTGAAGTATCACCAAACCTTTTTTTTTTCCCCTCCAGTATCCCCCAGCCTGGATGAGACACAGCTGGAGCCTGGAATGGACATGGAGCAGACAGAGAGCTTCAGGACACACCCGCTCATTCTGGCTTGAGGAGCAGGAAAGGCATCTGCCAACACTCCGAGTTAAGTAGAAATATTACCCACACCCCATCATCAAATTTTTGTCATTCATTCCCTCACACCTCAGCCCAGAGCTACCCACAGGTGCCTAAAATTCTGAGGGAGAGGAAATTTCCTCTCTAATCAGGGGATGTCCCCCAACAGGAAGGGACAAATCTTGTGTCTACTTGCTCTTCCTTCCTTCTCTCCTTCTGTCTTCCCCTCTGTCTCTCTTTCTCTCTCCTCTCCCAACTCTTGGCCATGGGAAGTGCATGGCAGAGCATGATAAATAAAGCCTCCGCTTTCTGACCTGAGAACTGAAAATGGAGCACCCAGAGAACATAAAAGTACCTGAGAGATGGTGAAGAAATACGAGTTGGAGAAGACCACCCCATAAAGTCATTTATGAACTCCTGGGCAAGCTTCCGAGCTGCACATGCATGGATCTAATCCCAAACCACTCACCATAGACGTCGTGAACTGAACAACAGAATAAAGCATAGCCCAGATCCCAGACTGACCATTGGTGGAGCACATCTGGGACAGATCTGATAGCACTGCAAAGACTTTGAAAATCCAATTCACATTGACCTACAACCTTTACATCTGGTTAGAACATGCAGCCTGAATCCAACTAGGTAGGTAGAGGTTTGATATTTAAAAATAACTATAACGTAAAGGGCGGGGGCAAGGAAAGTAATAGTAGGACCTATGTGGTGGTTAGTTTTCTTCTACATTGCTTCTGGCATAGTAAAATATTGATTCTAAATAGACAGAAAAGTTAAGCATGTTTATTGTTATCCCTGGAGCAATGAAACCATACTAAGAAATAGATATCAAAAACAAAATAGATACATTAAAATGGAATATTTAAAACCTTTAGATATTACACCAATATTTGTAGCAATTTTATTTTTAATAGCCAAAAACTGGAATCAGCCTAGATGTTCTTAAATAGGTGAATGGATATCTTAGTCCATTTTGTACTACTATTACGGAAGACTTGAGATCAGGTAATTTATAACAAACAGAAATGTTTCTCACAATTCTGGAGACTGAGAAGTCCAAGATCAAGGGGCCAGCATCTGGCGATCTGGTGAAGGCCTTTTTGCTGCATCATCTCATGGCCGAAGGGCAAAGAGAGAGAGAGAAAGAGAGGAAGAGGGAGCAAAACTTGTACTTTTATGAGAAACCCACTCCCTCGATAAAAGCATTAATGCATTCATGAGGGTGGTGTCCCCATGACTGAAACATCTTTCATTAGGCCTCACCTCCCAACAACACCACATTGGAGATCGAGTTTCCAACATGTGAACTTTGGGGGACACGTTTAAACCAGTTCAAGGGGTAAGCAATCTGTGGTCCATATATACCATAAAATATTACCCAGCAATAAAAAGAAACAAACTACTGATACACACAACTTAAATGAATCTTGAGAAATTATGCTGAGTGCAAAAAGCCTATCCCAAAAGATTACAAAATATATTATTTCACTTATATAACATTTTTGTTTGTTTCGTTTTTCATTTATTTATTTCTTTACTTATTTTAGAGACAGGGTTTCACTCTGTCACCCAGGCTAAAGTGCAGTGGCATGATCATAGCTCACTGCAACCTTGTACTCCTGGGCTCAAGTGATCCTCCAGCCTCAGCCTCCCAAGTAGTTGAGACTAGAGGTGCACACCATCATGCCTAGTAGAGACATGGTCTCTCTATGTTGCCCAGGCTGGTCTTGAACTCCTGGCCTCAAGGGATGCTCTTGCCTTGGCCTCCTAAAATGCTGAGATTACAGGTGTAAGCTACCATACCTGGCCAACATTTTTGAAATGAGAAAATTTTAGGAAAGGAATGAAAGATTAATGGTTGCCAGCAGTTCAGAATGGGGAAGCCAGAAGAAGGTTGGTATGGTTTTAAAAAGAAAACACAAGAGCTTCTCAGGTTCTTTGTAGTATTGGAACTGTTCAGAATCTTGAGAGGGTGATGGGAACACAAACATATACAGGTGATTAAATTGTATAGAACTGAATGCACACAAATAAACACAAGTAAAACTGGGAAAATCTGAATAAGATTAGTGGATTGTACCAATGTTGAATTCCTGGCTGTGATGTTATATTATAGTTTTCCAAACTGTTATCACTGAGGAAAACTGAGAAAACTGTACAAGAGATGTCTTTGAATTATTTGTTACATCTTCATGTGAAACTATAATTTAATAAAATGTTCAAATAAAAAATTTACAAATGTTTCAAAAGCCCAAAAGAAAGCAGGAATAGGTAAACAGAGGAAATAAAAACAGAGGGAATGAACCGAAAAAAAATTAAATGGTGGGCCAGTTAACATATATTTATAATTGATTAAATGTAAACAGTTTAGATACACCAATTAAAAGACAGATATCGCAGAATAGATAAGAGTGGTCTAACTATATGCTGTTTACAAGAAACTTACTTTAAATATAATAGCATAGGTAAAAGTAAAAGGATGGAAAACAATATACCATGGTAATACTACAAAAGAAAGCTCAAGTAACTATATCAAAATTAGACAAAGTAGATATTAGGCCAAAAAGTTGGTCCAAAAAACAGAAAGGCATTACTTTTTTTTTTTTTTTTTTGAAACAATTTCTCTGTGTCACCTAGGCTGGAGTGCAGTGGTCCAATCTTGGCTCACTGCAACACCTGCCCAGAAAGACATTACTTAATGATTAAAGGATCAATTTACCAAGAAAATATAGCGATCCAAAATATGTATGGAACTAACAATAGAGCTTCAAAATACATGAAGCAAAAACCGAACTATTGGAAATTTAAAATATAATGATTAAAATAAAAAATTCAATCTGTCCCAAAATCTGGAAGTTCAAATCAAAGAAGTTTGATATACTTACAGAAAAATGAAGGAAGGGAGGAAAGAAATTAAAAGAAAGAAAATAGGAGAGAAATTTTAAAAGAATTAGATCAACTAGGGTTGGAAACTATCAAAAAAACAATGCAAGAACAAATTCCAAAACTAAAGACAATGATGAGTTGCCAAGCCAAAATGTCTCCCTGAGAAACCAGCACAATTAATGAAACAATACTTACTCCAAGGTTCATCTCTATAAAATTTCAGAACTCCAAGGATTAAAAGAAAATTCTAAGAAAAACAGGTCACATAGACAGAAAAAGCCAAATGGTATTGGACTTCTTAATAGCACCATTGGCTTCCATTATTGCTATTGAGAAGTCAGCTGTCCGTCTAAATTCTGTTGTTTTTATGCAATCTGCCTTTACTCCCTGGATATTTTTAAGGTTTTACAGATCTCTTCATATTGAATTATCTGTTATTTCATCATGAAGGATCTCAAGTGGAGTTTTATTTTGTTTTGTCCTGTTCTCTATCCTACTTGGGATTCATTATGATTCCTGAATGTGAAGTTTCATTTTTTTTCATGAGTTCTAGAAAATTCTAGTATATAGCTCTGCCATTTTTCTTTTGGATACTGCTTCTTTTTCATTCTATTTATTCTCTTTTTCTAGAATTCCAATGAAATGTATATTAGGCATTCTTACCCTATCCTTTATGTCTTTTAGCCTGTGCTTCATATTTCCTATCTCCTTGTTTCTCTATACTGGATTCTGGATAGCTGAGCTCTGCTTTCCTGTTTGCTAGTTCTCTCTTCAGCTATGTCTAATCCGCTGTTTAACCATAAGGTTCTTATTTCAATGTGTTTTTTTTTTCATTTTTAGAAGTTCTATTTGAATATTTTTCAAAACTACCTGATTTTTTTTCTTAGTTTACAATTCTGTTTTCTTTTTTTATTTCTTTCAACATGAAAGCACATTTATTTTATATTCTATGTCTTAAAATTTATAGTATCTGAAGTCTTTAGGGAACTAATTTCTACTCTTTGTTGTTTCTGCTAATTTTCATTTGCAATGGCATGTTTGCTTGTGTTTTTCTTGATTTTTCAATATCAGCTTATGTTCATCAGGACTTTTCTGTGGGGATTTCATGAGGCCTGGCTTGGGAGTGCATTCCTCCAGAGAAGATCTGCATTTGCTTCTTTTAGGTACCTGAAGATATTCCCAATCCAGGACCACTTTACATTAATTTCTTGGCTTGAGGGTTATGTACTGTGCCAGTGCCATAAATTAGAATGTCACACCTTATGAAGGCTGGTCTGAATTCTAAATTATCAGGGGAAGTTTCTTTTTCTAATTCTGCCCAGGGTCCAAGCTGAAAAAACCACATTTCCTTACTGGATCATCTCTTTTAACTGCACAGATGTGTCTCTAGATCAACACTGTTCAAACCTTTCAACTTTCACAGGCCAAGGCCCTTGCACCCCGCAGGTAAAACTCAAGACTCCAGGTGGTGGGAAATTACCAGGCAACCTTAGATAGCCACTTTGTGACAAAAAGGTTTTGGGATATCTAGTCTATCATATTGTCAGAAATGGAAATAACCAATCCTTCTTTTCACTTCCTCTAGATTTTGAGTGTAGAACTGCTGAGTGAATCTAAGTGAGACAAAATCCTTTTCCCACACAGGAAAATACAATTTGGTGTTTGGAAAAAGGAAATTGGGCCACCATCTTTTTCTTAGATTAGAGGAATCTAATTAAACTACTATCTCTTGTAATCAAGAAACATTTACCTGAAGTTCAACAATTTCTACCATTTCATTTTGTTATATTTTGAACATTACATTCAAGCAAAATTACATAATGTTTAATAAACTTTATTTTCTAGAACAGTTCTACATTCATAGCAAAATTGAGAGGAAGGTACAGAGATTTCCTATATACCCTCTACCCCCACACACACACAGCCTCCTCTATTGTCAACATCTCCTACCAGTGTGGTACATTTGCTATAACTGACGAACCCACATTGAAACAGTATTGTTGCCTGGAGTCCATAGTTTACATTAGGGTTCATTGTTGATCTTGTACATTCTATAAATTTGGGCAAATGTGTAATGACATACATCCACAATTGTAGTATTATACTAAATAGTTCCATTGCCCTAAAAATCCTCTGTGCTCTGCCTATTCATCTTTCTGTCCTTACTAACCCCTGGAAACCACTGACTTGTTTACTGTCTCCATAGTTTTGCCCTTTTCAAAATGTCATGTAGTTGGAATCATGTAGTATGTAGCCTTTTCAGATTGGCTTATTTTACTTAGTAATATGCATTTAAGCTTCCTCCAGGTCTATTCATGGCTTGGTAGCTCATTTCTTTTTAGTGCTGAATAATATTCCATTCTCTGGATGTGCCAATCTATAAAGACTGAAAGAGGTGCCTACTTCTTCAAATGCACAGACACCAACACAAGGCCACAAGGAGCATGAGTAATCAGGGAAACATAACACCACCAAAGGAACAACATAAAGCACCAGTAACCAATCCTTTAAAAATGGAGATCTATGAACTGCCTGATAAACAATTCAAAATAATCACTTAAAGAAACTCAGTAAGCTGCAGATAATACAGATAGATAACTAAACGAAATCAGAAAAACAGACTTAGAAGCTTAACAAATAGAATAGAAGCCATAGAAAAGAACCAGTAAGAAATTCTGGGCCTAAAGAACACATGACTGAACTGAAAAATTTCATATAGAGTTTCAACAGCAGACTTGGTCAAGTAGAAGAATATATGCAAATCAATAAATGTAATATACACATTAACAGAATAAAGGATGAAATCACATGATTATCTCAAAAGATGCAGAAAAAGCATCTGGCAAAATTCAACATCACTTCATAATTAAAAACTCTTAACAGATTAGGTGAAGAAGGAATATACCTCAACATGATAAAAGCCATATGTGCCAAGCCCACAGCTAACAACATACTCGATGGCGAAAAGCTAAAAGGTTTTCTTCTAAGATCTGGAATAAGACAATGATGCCAATTCAATTTAATAAAGGCATTCAAATAAGAAAGGAAGAAGAAAAACTGGCTCTGTTTGAAGAGGTTGCATACAGAAAATTCTAAAGACTCCACCAAAACATGTTTAGGGCTAATAAATGAATTCAGTGAGGTTGTGGGATACAAAATAAACACAGAACAATCAGTAGTATTTATATACACTAACATCAAACTATCCAAAAAGAAATCAAGAAATGATCCCATTTATAATAGCAATAAAAACATAAGATTCTTTTTTTTTTTTTTTTTTTTTGAGATGGAGTCTTGCTCTGTCGTCCAGGCTGGAGTACAGTGGCACAATCTCGGCTCACCAAAACCTCTGCCTCCCGAGTTCAAGCAATTCTCCTGCCTCAGCCTCCTGAGTAGCTGGGATTACAGGCATGAGCCACCATGCCCAGCTAATTTTTATATTTTTAGTAGAGACGGGGTTTCACCATGTTGGCCAGGCTGGTGTCAAACTCCTGACCTCAGGTGATCCACTGCCGCAGTCTCCCAAAGTGCTAGGATTACAAGCGTGAGCCACTGTGCCCGGCCAAAAAACATAAGATTCTTAAGAATAAGTTTAACCAGGGAGGTGAAACATCTGTACACTGAAAATGATAAAACATTGATTAAAGAAATTGAAGAGGAAACAAGCAAGTGAAAAGATATCCTATGTTCAATAATTGGAACAATTAATATTGTTACAATGTCCATAATACCAAAGCTGTCTACAGATTCAGTGCAATTCCTATCAAAATTCCACTGGCAATTTTCAAAGAGAAAAAAATATTAAAATTCATATAGAACTGCAAAAGACCCCAAATAGACAAAGCAATCTTGAGGTAAAAAGAACAGAGCTAGAGCAAGAACACTACCTGACTTCAAAATATACTACAAAGCTACAGTAATTAAAACAGCATGGTAGTGGCATAAAAACAGACACACAGACACAGAGGAACAGAATAGAGAGCCCAGAAGTAAACTTACACATTTATGGTCAATGGATTTTTGACAAAGATACCAAGAACACATAATGGAGAAAGGGCAGTCTCTTCAACAAATGGTGCTAGAAAACTGAATATCTACATGCAGAAGAATAAAACTGAACCCTCATCTCACACAATTACAAAAATCAACTCAAAATGGACTAAAGATTTAAACATAGACCTGAAACTGTAACACTACTAGAAGAAACATAGGGAGAAATATCCTTGACGTTGGTGTGGGCAATGATTTCCTGGATATGATCCCCAAAACAAAGGCAACAAAAGCAAAAAATAGACAAACAAGATGACATCAAACTAAACACTTCTGCACAGAAGAGGAAATAGTCAAAGAGTGAAGCAACATCCTACAAATGAGGAGAAAATATTTGCAAACCACACATCTGATAAGGAGTTGATATCCACGCTATATAAGGAACTCAAATAACTCAAAAGCAATAAAACAAATAACCTGATTAAAAAATGGGCAAAGGATCTGAATAGATATTTCTCAGAAGAAGACATACAATGGCCAACAAGTGTATGAAAAATGCTCAACACAACTAATCGTCAGGGAAGTGCAAATTAAAAGCACAACGAGATATCACCTTAACATCTGCTAGAATGGCTGCTATCAAAAGACAAAAGATAATGAGTGTTGGTGAGGACGTGGAGAAAGGAAACTCTTGCACACTGTTGGTAGGAATGTAAATTAGTACAGACATGACGGAAAACAGGATGGACAGTCCTCAAAAACTTAAAATAAGAGTTGTTGTATGATCCAGCTATCCTACTACTGGGTATATATCCAAAGGAAATGAAATCCGTATGTCAAAGAGATATCACACACTGCCATGTTTACTGCAGCATTATTCACAAAAGCCGAGATATGGAATCAATCTAAGTGTCCCTCAAAAGATAAATGGATAAAGAAAATGCGGGTGTGTGTGTGTGTGTGTGTGTGTGTATACATACAATGAAATTCTATTCAGCCTTTAAAAGGAAAAAAATCATGCCATTTGCAACATTGTGGATAACCTGGAGGACATTATGCCAAGTGAAATAAGCCAGGCACAGAAAGGCAAACACTACATGATCCCACTTATACATGTGGAACTCATAAAAGCAGAGGATAGAATGGTGGTTCCCGGGGTGGGGTGGGGCAGGGGGATGAGGACATGTCAGTCAAAGAGTACAAAGTTTCAGCTAGACAGGACGAATAACCCCTGGAGAGTTAATGCAAAAATGGTGACTATAGTTAACAGTAATGGATTGTATACTTGAAAATCATTAAGAGCATAGATCTTCAATGTTTTCACCACAAAAAAAATTGCATGATAACTAAGTGAAGAATGAATATGTTAATTAGCTAATTGTGTTAATCATTTCTCAATGTGTGTATATATACTTATTTATATATAGCAAAATATCATGTTGTATACTGTAAATATATACAATTTTTATTTATCAATTATACCTCAACAAGCTGGAAGAAACAAATGAAGTTAATTCTCTTAAAAAATAACATCTCCTCTTGCCAGGCATGGTAGTTCACACCTGCAATCCTAGCATTTTGGGAGTCCAAGGCAGGAGGATCGCTTGAGACCAGGAGTTCGAGACCAGCCTGGGCAACATGGCAAAACCCTGTCTCTACAAAAAATACAAAAATTAGCCAGGTATGGTGTTGCACTCCTGTTGTCCTAGCTACTCAGGAGGTTGAGGTGGGAGGATTGCCTGAGCCCAGGAGACAGAGGATGCAATGAGCCGAGATCGCACCACTGCATTCCAGCCTGGGCGATAGAGCAAGACGCTCTCTCAAAAAAAAAAAAATCCTCTTAAAAAGATAGTTTTATGTATCTACCTATGTATGTATGTATGTACCTATGTATTTACCTTCACTTTCTTCCTAAACCTCACTAAAATTATAGTAAAGTTATTTTCTCAAAAAAATAAAGAAATATCACCATAAACCTCAAGAAGAGAAAAAAATAACAACACATTTTTAGAAACTGGAAAGCAAATGAAGAATGACTTTGCAGATACAAGAATCCAAATCTTGACCC
Organism: Homo sapiens; assembly: GCF_000001405.40. Lineage (NCBI taxonomy): Eukaryota > Metazoa > Chordata > Mammalia > Primates > Hominidae > Homo > Homo sapiens. The sequence continues at coordinate 34,016,324 of NC_000019.10, forward strand.
GAGAACTTACCTAATGTACACCACACTGCCCTCCAAATCCTTCCATCTGTGCAAATCCCATTCATGAAGGCTTCCTTCTTTTCAACATTAGCAAGATTCCAGCCCGCCCTCAATTCATTTTAAAATCCTGCCTCTATGACCCCAATAATAATAACAAACCTTTACCTATAGAACATTTGCAAAGTTCCCCCATGTAATGACAAGACTTTTTAAAAAACAAAAAAACACAAAAACAGGATCTCACTGTGTTGCCCAGGCTGGAGTGCAGTGGCATGATCTCAGCTGACTGCAACCTCTGCCTCCTGGGCTCAAGCGATCCTCCCATGTCAGTTTCCTGAGTAGCTAGGACTACAGGTGCATGCCACCATGCCCAGTTATTTTTTTTTTTTTTTAAGAGACAGGGTTTTGCCATTTTGGCCAAGCTGGTCTTGAACTCCTGGGCTCAAGTGATCCTCCCTCCTTGGCCACCAAAAGTGCTGGGATTACAGGTGTGAGCCACCATGCCTAGCCATCAATCCTTATTTTAATGGATTGGCTTTAGCATTTGATGGTTCTCAGACAAGATCAGGCGCATTCAGGGTGGTATGGCCATAGACTATTTGATGGTTCTCAAATTGTTTCTTATTGTTCAATATTATTTCTCCAGTTTGAGTGTAAATGTCTTAAGAAATGAATTTCCATTTTATCCAGCACTAAACTTTTTCACAGCAACAGACTACAAAGAGGTAATCAGTAAGTACCCGCAGTTCCTAGAAGATGCACCTACTGATAATCATTACAGCCAACTAACTAGTGTCCAATTAGCAGTCAAAAATAACAGTAGCAAGTCTCTGTAGCCATTTTTAAGCCTTGCCTCCAAAAAATATGCCATTTGTCCTGTATGACAGCAGGTGGCATATCAGAGACCCATCTTTCCACGTACTGCAGGGTGACCTGCCTGGTTTAGCATTTAGCAATCAGACTTTTTTATAGCAATAAACCCCATGCTGAGTAGGCAACAGATGAAAAAAAAAAAAAGATGCCTTTTATGGCACTTCATGATAATGGCTTTATTGCCAAAAGCCGTATTAGCAGAAGATGAAAGATTCAATTTATAATCTCCTGAATGTCTGGATGTTCAGCCTGTTTCTGCCCAAGAAGAGATCAGTGCCCGTGGAAGATGTATTTGAAGGACAATCCACAGTCTATTCCGCTCTGCCGAGAAAGAGTCCACATTCTTTTCCCTTTCAAGCCAAAAGGAGGCAAAAACAACCAAATGAATGAGTTCATGCCGCTCTGAACTTCAGCGCCAGAGTGAAGCGTTGAGATTTAGGGCCACCCGACTCCTTGTGACGATCTAAAAGTCGCTTAGAACAATTCACAGCAATGTCAGAAAAAACTTCCTGCTTTTTGAGACAACAAAACCAGATGGAAAACTGCTAAAATGGCTCAAGTATGTGGCACTTTTATAATGTTTATGTGGCTCTTGTAAAAAAGCAGCTTTAATTGACTTTTTTGCTTCCCATGTCCTAGTTCTGTCAAAATCTCTTCTGGTTTTGGGGGGGGACTTAAATGAGAGAACACACCATTCAGAATATACTGTTAATTACTATAATTCAGAAACAATGTCCTCCTTCTCTGGTCCTTGCCAAAAAGCCAAGGGAGAAAGGCAGCAGAAGGGAAAATTTAAAATAAAGCACATTTCTAAAGACGGCATTGAAAACAAAGCAAACAGTGGAATTGCACTGGCAAGAAATTTCACTGGGCCGGGCACGGTGGCTCATGCCTGTAATCCCAGCACTTTGTGAGGCCAAGGCAGGCAGATTGGCTTGAATCCAGGAGTTCAAGACCAGCCTGGGCAACATGGTGAGACCTAGTCTCTATAAAAAATACAAAAAATTTAGCCAGGTATGGTGGCTCATGCCTGTGGTCCCAGCTACTCAAGAGGCTGAGGTGGGAAGATGGCTTAATCCAGGGAGTTCAAGGCTGCAGTGAGCTGAGATTGTGGCACTGCACTCCAGCCTGGGCAACAGAGCAAGACCTCATCTCAAAAAAAAAAAAAAGGAAAAGAAAGAAAGAAAATTTCACTGGGAGCACCCACCCCTTTGTGTGACCTACAGAATACCACTAAATATCTCTGTTTCATATCATCTTCATATAAATAAGGAAGTTAATACACTTCTACCTCAAATACCAAATATCAGTGCTGAAGGAGAACTTGATACCTTATTTACTTACCTTATTCTCTACATGAAGTATCTCAAAAGGTGTTTTGCAAATAAGTGCTATTCTTCTCATCCTTAGAAGGTATAGGTAATGGATTTAAAAAACACACAAAGAGATAAAAACTCTTTCACTTTCTTTATGAACAAATTTGACCTAGGGTTAACTTTTTAATCCTGTTCCCCTGGAAACCTGATAAAGGTGGAATGTCGGCTGTGTCACCAGGCTGTCCTTAGATGACAGAAGGAGGTAAAGAGATGAGCCCATGGAAGACTGAGTAAGTAGTGCTAAGTATGGCTGATATGGGGCCATGGGTCTGGCTAGACCTCAGAAAACCCCCAAGATGGAAGCTTAATAGAACAAAATCAGTATATAGATTTAAATTATGGGTGTATTTTAGTCATTTAATCATTACTGTTTTCTCTTTTTTCACCTTTTTTATTTAAAAAAAATTATTTAAAAGTCACCACCACCAAAGTCAAGAAACAAATAAGACAGGCATGGTGGCTCCCATCTATAATCCCAGCACTTTGGGAGGCCGAGCGGGGAGGATCGCTTGAGCCCAGGAATTTGACACCAGCCTGGGCAATATGGTGAAACCACGTCTCTACAAAAAAAATACAAACATTACCCAGTGGCTGTAGTCCCAGCTACCCAGGAGGCTGAGGTGGGAGAATCACTTGAGCCCAGGAAGTCGAGGCTGCAGTGAGCCAAGATTGCACCACTGCACTCCAGCCTGGGCAATGGAGTGAGACTCTGTTAAAAAAAAAAAAAAAAAAAAAAGATAGAAAGAAGAAAAAAAGAAAGAAAGAAAGAAAGAGAGAGAGAGAGAGAGAAAGAAAGAGTTAAACCAGCCCACCCCAAAATCCCTCCATGTTCCTTATCCCAATGTCAACCCCTCCCACTCCACTAAAGGAATGAAAGAAATGACCATCCTGGCTTTTTGTAATGATCACTTCCTCGCTTTTTTGAGGGAGAAGGGGGTGATTTTATCCTTAGGTATGCACCCTAGACACTATAGTCTTGCCATTTTTTAAAATGTTGATGTGTATTTTAGGTGTCTCCTCATTTTGCAGAATCCCTCCATCCCTTTGTTTTTACTGTAATTTATCTGTTGAAAACCCTGGGGCCTTTGACTCGTAGTTTTTCACAGTATGGCTTTGCTGATTGATACTGTTGGTATAATTCAACATATTCCTCTGTATTTCTTGCAAATTGGCAGCTGGTTCTAGAGGTTGGATCAGACTCAGGTTCAGTCCCTTTAGAAATACCATAGGTGGTGGTGAGTTCTTTCATTAGGAAACAAATAAAATCCGACGATTTTTCTTTTTGTGACGTGAGCAGCTGTTAATGCACAATGCCTAAATCCATTAAAATGTGATATTCTAATTCTGCCATTTCTTTTTTATTCATTAGTTAGAATATTTTTATAATTAAATACACTCCCTCTTCTACCTCTGGTTGCTATTGGACCAGATCACCTAGGAAAGACAGGATGAATGCTTGAATCTTTCCCTTTATTTACTAATTTTAAGATCATGGAGGCTCACACCTGTAATCCCAGAACTTTGGGAGGCCAAGGTGGGCAGATCACTTGAGCCCAGGAGTAGAGGACCAGCCTAAGCAACATGGTGAAACCCCGTCTCTACAAAAAATACTAAAGTTAGCCAGGTGTGGTGGTACACGCACATAGTCCCGGCTACTCGGGAGGCTGAGGTGGGAGAATCCCTTGAGCCCATGAGGCGAAGGCTGCAATGAGCTGAGATCGCACCACTGCACTTCAGCCTGGGTGACAGAGTGAGACCCCGCCTCAAAAAAAAGATCATGTATTGGATTCCTGTTGTCCTCCGAAGGAGAGTAATCCGGTTTTATTTTAAAATCATAATAATCTGTGAATTTAAACATATTTTGATGTTTTGATATATTATAAATATTTCTCTTATTTTAGCTCACATGGTCCCAAATTTGGCAATAGAGATCTTTTTCAAATTAACTCCTGAGTCCTTTTGACATGATCTTAAATTCTCTGCTAACTTCCTCACTATTTACTATAATAAAATGTTCCTGTTTTATTTTGTGCATCTGCTTTCTTTCTTTCTTTCTTTCTTTCTTTCTTTCTTTCTTTTCTTTCTTTCTTCTTTCTTTCTTTCTTTCATTTTTTGTTTTTGTTTTTGCTTTTTTTTTAGACAGGATCTCACTTTGTCATCCAGGCTGGAGTGCAGTGGTGTTATCATAGCTCACTGCAGCCTCGACCCACTGGGCTCAAGACATCCTCCCACCTCAGCCTCAGATCTTCTTTGCCTATCTGCAAAACATTTGTAACTTCTTCTAGAATTTCATCTCTTTCCTCCTTTATTTTCCACATTTTTCTCCTTTCAACTATTTTAAAGACATTATCTGTTGTTCTATTTGCATGTATATTCCTCCTAATTTAGTCTTTATTTCTGATTTTTTTTTCTTCTGTTTTTAGGGGTTTTTCTCAGTTCCATAAGCTTTCCTGCTGGTCTAATTCTGACTTATGTTGTTCTTGCATGTCTTATAGTAGCTGGGACTATATAGTCCTGAGTAGCTGGGACTACAAGGCACATGCCATCACTCCTGGCTAATCTTCTTTTTTTTGTTTTTTCTGTAGAGATGGGGTCTCTCTGTGTTGCCCAGGCTGGTCTCAAACTCCTGGGCTCAAGGGATCCTCCTGCCCCAGCCTCCCAAAGTGCTGGGATCACAGGTGTGAGCCACCCTGACCGGCCCCATTTTGGACATTTTCTACCCCAGATCTGGAATCAGCCATTTATCCAAGAGCTCTGATTTCTTTTAGTGGGAAATGGTATTTTAAAACTAAAATCTGGGCACGAGAGATGCGCATTGCTAGGTCTTTTCATTAGTCAGAACAAGAAATATACATACACATACATACACATAATATTTTTTAAATAAAATACCTCGAGTTATATTGATAACTTCTCATTTAAATCAAAGTTTTTTAACATCTCTTCTGAATTACATCTATGTTTCTTTTCTGCCATACTGGGAACCCCAGTTCTTTAAAACACAAAAGATAATATAGTTGGAATATCTCATAATTTTCTGGGATGCAACAGTTTAATGGTATTAATACAGCCACCTCCAACCTTAAGGGGGTGCTAACCTGGGAAGAACTGGTGTTATCACCGACAGAAAGAGGCACCCTGGATGTTTTGACGTGGTTCACGTGAAAGATGCCAACAGCAACAGCTTTGCCACCCAGCTTTCCAACCTTTTTGTTATTGGCAAGGGCAGCAAACCATGGATTTCTCTTCCCCGAGGAAAGGGTGTCCGCCATTCAACCCATTGCTAAAGGGAGAGACGAGACTGTGGCCAGAGCAGTGGGTGAAATGGTCTCTGGGTGACATGTTAGATCTTTGTACATAATTAAAAATAACATGGCATGATTAATTTTTTAAAAGGCTTTAACTGAAAACAGTTAAAAATGTTTTTGCATATGACTGCTCCTGTCTCCCCCTATTTTTTTAAAGCTGTGCTAAATTTACAGTGTCAGAACATATAGCCAACATACAGCCATTACAAGCCATACTCTTTCTTTTTTCCTCTCATTTAGTCCAAGGTCTATAAGTAACTTATTCTGTTGTCTATCTAGTCTTTTGGGTTGTCTGAAGATTTTTTTTCTTGTAGATTCCTCAAGAAAGGTTCATGGAAGCACTATTTTCTGAGTTCCTGCAGATTGATAATAGTAATCTTTATACTTAAAAATCAGTTTTCCTGGATATGACATCTTTGCCTCTCATTTTATTTCCTTGAGTATCTTAAACATATTTCTCCATTTTTTTCTGGCATAAAATATTGCTGTGAAAAAAATCTGAAAATAATTTAATTGACTTTCTCTTCTAAGTCACTTGCTCATCTTGCTGCAATAAGCAAATGATTTTTTTTTCTTTCTAGTTCAATTATTTGACTAGAATATGTCTAAGTGTTGATCATTTTGAGTTATCCATTCCAGGATCGATATTCTCAAGTACATGGTGAGCTCTTTCTTTTTTTTTTCATTAATCATTCCATGTTATTTTTAATTACATGCAAAGATCTAGCATGTTACCCAGAGACCACTTCACCATTGCTCTGTTTTACCCACTGTTTCACCCACCATTTCACCCACCACCAGTCTCTTGTCTCTCCCTTCAGCAATGGTGAGGCGGATACCCTTTCCTCGGGGAAGAGAAATCCATGGTTTGTTGCACTTGCCAGTAACAAAAATGTTGGAAAGCCAAGGGGCAAATCTGTTGCCATTGGCATCTTTCACATGAACCACATCAAAAGATCCACGGTGCTTCTTTCTGTTGGTGATCACACCAATTCTTCCCAGGTTAGTATCTCCAATCACCATACACAGGTTACCAGTGTCAAACTTGATGAAATCAGTGATCTTGCCAGTCTAAACAGTGTCATTCACCTTGACGAAGGAGTCAAGGTAGTGGATGGTGTGAGCATCGTGGAACCAGGTGAGGGATTCCTTTTGTGCCCACAAAGATTTTTCTTACTTTGCACAACTTGTACTTGGCCTCCTCCAGTGTAATACAATGTACAGCAAAGCGACCATTGATGCCACAGATGAGACAGAAATTCTCTCCCGTCTTGTGAATGCTGATGACATCCGTGAATCCAGCAGGGTAGGTTATATCAATTTGGACCTTGCCATCCATCTTAATGAACGGCTGCATGCAAATCTTTACTTTGTCTCCTATGAGGGCATACTTAAGTCTGTTCCTTAGGAAAATATTAGGAGAGACACTCTCTCAGCTTGTGGGGACTGGTGGTTGGACAAGGAGCAAACACACTAGTCAATTCATCCAGCATCCAATGCTGTGGAGCTGCTACCCGCTTCAGATGCTTCCTAAGACCACGAGCCACGACTGTATTAGGCACGGAAAGAGCATGGTGAGCTCTTTCAACATGCAATTCCAAATATTTTTCACTTCAGGAAACTTTTCTGAAAGTATAGTTTTCAGTGTTTGTTTTCTATCCTTGCCTTGGTTTTCTTCTTCAGGGACTCTTATTACGTAGGTGTTGGATCTTCTTTGCCTATCTGCAAAACATTTGCAACTTCTTCCAGAATTTCATCTCTTTCCTCCTTTATTTTTCACATTTTTCTCCTTTCAACTATTTTAAAGACATTATCTGTTGTTCTATTTGCATGTATATTCCTCCTAGTTTAGTCTTTATTTCTGAATTTTTTTTCTTCTATTTTTAGGGGTTTTTCTCAGTTCCATAACCTTTCCTGCTGGTCTAATTCTGACTTATGTTGTTCTTGCATGTCTTATATAATTTTCTCAGTGTCTTTTACCTTCTTTTGAATGAGAAGATTACAGTGTTGATTTGGTTTGTGAGCTTGTCTTTCTACATATTTTCTCTGTCTGAAAAAGTGTTATTCTGCTCTTTAATCTCTTTTTAAAAATAATAACTTGGTATAGGATTTGACCTCAATTGCTTGCTCATTTTTATGTAAAATTAATTTTCCTGAAATTTTAGAAGAAGGAGTGCCTCCAGGTAGCTTTTCTTATTTCACAGAACCCCCGCTTCACTTATGCTGTCTCCTCCAAAATTTGGAGGTTTGCTTTTTGAGATGTGCTGGCTCTGTGCCCCTCCAGCTTTTTCATCTGGACCTTCTCCTTCCTTCATCTTTATTGGCCCTGCTCTGCTCAATTCAATTTCTATTCCCAGCAGTTGCTTCTCAGTGTGGGAGCCTATCCTGAAAGGTACAATTTCAGAGCATCCATGGGAGTCTCCTCCAGGCCCTTGAGACCTTACCCCAGGCAGCCTGTGCTCGTCCATGATAAGAGAGGACAAAACCCCTCCCGATTTCAGTGACTGTTCCCAGATTGGTCTGCTGCACTTTCCAGTTAACACCTGTTTGCTCTTTGAGGATGCTCCTATTCTCTAGTCTGTCAAATACCCCATTAGTTCCCTCTGCATTCTTCCACATAGACACTGATACTCTAAAGGTCTTGTGGCTGTTGTTGGTTTGTCTTTGCCATTTTTGTTTTGAGGTTTCTGGGAATACCTTGTAATTAGTTTTGTTGTAAATGTCATCCATGTGTTTTTGGTTGGCCACTAGTGCTCTATTTTGTTTACAAATTTGTAAAAGGTAGAAAGCTCTGCCACCATCTTCCCAGAATTCCTTATTTTTATTTTTAATTTAATATGATCATGCAAACGCTAATAAGAACACCAGATAACAGGATGGACACTTAGCATTGTGTTACAATTGCTTACAGTATTCAGTGCAGTAACAGCCTGTACAGATTTGTAGCCTAGGAGAATAGACTAAACCATATAGCCTAGGTATGTAGTAGGCTGTACCACCTAGGTTAGTGTAAGTATGCTCTATGATGTTCACCCAATGACAAAATTTATGGTACCATAAATTTATGCATTTATGGTGTCAACACAAGAAGTTGGAGTGAACCTAAAATCCCCAGGTATTATAATAGGTATCTAAAAACTGTTCTGACAATCTTATAAAAAACTCAATGTGTGTTTTTTCATGCATTTAATTTCTAGATTTGCTTCAGTGTCCCTGTGAGAGGCTCACATTTATCTTTCCTTTATGCCTTAACTCCATTGCCTGTGTAATGAGGATAATATTTTTAATATTAGAAAGATACAATTTTTATTCCCTTGTAGTCATATTCCACCAAATAGGTAAAGCTGTGATTCAGAGTACCAGGCAAGGAATCAGTCACAGCCAAGAACAGATGGATCCCTATTCAGCTTTCCATCTCAAAACTGGCTTTTTGGGAGGCCACGACAAGACCAATGCCCTGAAGGCTGAGTTTTCTTGAAAAAGAAAGGCCCCTCCCATCTCCAAACCCAAAGTTCCTCTATAAATATTTATAATCCAAGCTGGGAGGACTTACCCTAGAGAAGACTACTTCTTGCGACAGAGAAGACTCAACCTGTGACACAAGGGACATTTCCACTGGATAAGAAAGAAAGAATTCTTGGCACTAGGGATATAAGAGAAATTCAGAAGGGACCCATCTTGATCCAGGTTCACATGAATGCACGGCCTGTGGCAGGTGTTCATCTATGATCACAGCTGGCAGATGTGCAGGCAGGTTGGCCACCAGCTCAGATGCATGTGGCTCAATCCTATGGGACCACCCAAGGAGCTTGATGATATGTGGAACCACATCACCACCACCACAGGGAAGAAAGGGGTGGCGTTTACCCATCAGCCTCCATGAGTTAAGGGTTTCCCTAGGGGTATTACCTCCCCTACATTTCCAGGTTGCACATGTGTGAGTGCTGAATGGGGACACATGGGAATCCCATGTCCCAGCATCAGAGGTTCCAAGGCAGGAATCAGGAGGCTGCAGGGAGGTACTGACAGGTTTCACCTGTGCAGTACTGGTCACTGCTGCAGCAATGTCTAAAAGAAGAGTTGAGTACACAGGCAGTGCCCAATATAGGACCCAGTGAAGTTCTTATAATAGAGAAAGCAAATATTTTAATCAGATGTTCTACCTTTCATTACAATGTGATTGTGACGGTCAATATTGAGAGTCAACTTGATTGGATTGAAAGATGCAAAGTATTGTTCCTGGGTGTGTCTATGAGGGTGTTGCCAAAGGAGATGAACATTTTTGTCAGTGGACTGGGAAAGGCAGACACACCCCCTATCTGGGTGGGCACAATCTAATCAGCTGCCAGCATGGCCAGAATAAAAAGCAGGTGGAAGAACATGGAAAGACTAAACTGGCTGAGTCTTCTGGCCTCCATCTTTCTCCCATGCTGGATGCTTCCTGCCCTCAAGCATCAGACTCCAAGTCCTTCAGCTTCTAGTCTCTTGGACCATCGACCACAGATTGAAGGCTGCACTGTCGGCTTCCCTACTTTCGAGGTTTTGGGACTTGGACTGGCTTCCTTACTCCTCAGTTGGCAGATGGCCTATTGTGGGACCTCATTTTGTGATCATGTGAGTCAATACTCTTTAATAAACTCCCCATTATATACACATCTATCCTATTAGTTCTGTCCCTCTAGAGAACCCTGACTAATACAGTGATTAATCACTTTCTGCAAGAAGTGAAGGTATGTACAGAGTCTGACACTAGATTTTCATTCATTACACATGCAACAAAGAACACATAAAGTCCTATAGACTTTATAAATTTCCTTTATAAATTATCCAGTCTCAGGTATGCCTTTAACAGCAGCGTGAAAAAGGACTAATACAGTTATCTTTTGGTAACTGCACATTTAAGGTGTTAATTTCATCCTTCAATTGACAGTCTGGGGTCTTCGGCTTGGTTGATCATTGCTCCAAGTCATCACTGGGCTTGGGGTCAGGAGGCTCATGCCAGGCTCTAAATGTCAAGTACTTACTGGGTACTGGACAGAGCTCTATGTCCTTGATGTGTTTAACTCATTTAATGCCCCTATCAACCCTATGAGGTAGGTACAATTACTATCTCCATTGTCCAGATGAGGAAATTGGGTAAGTTAAACAACATTAAGCAGCTTACTCAGGTCCCACAGCTAAAGTGGTGTCTTTATTTCCAGCACTTAAAATGTTTCTTGGCCATTCTTGCTCTTAAGGCTGAATGACATGTCTGCCATAACACTTTGTGCTTCTCTTTAATGCTGTCTTCTTTCCTCCCTAAACTTCCCATGGTTTCTAACATTCCCCTTTCCACAACAGACCCTGACTCCTATCTGAGAAATTACAGCCATTAAACAAAAATAACTACTGTTCTTGCTAATTTGGCCAAGGATGTGTCCCATTGCCTCATGCAAAGCGTGGTACCTTCCAGGTCCGTGGAGGTGCTGGGCTGGTATTGGGTGCTCACGGCCACTCCTGAGCTCTCACCGAATGCAAAGCATGGTGCTCTGCACCAGGTGCTCTGGGAGCTTGGGAAGAAACCATAAACACATGAACACACAGATAATACCAGCCCACAAATGAGCATGCCAGCAGAGTTCAGGAAGGGAGAAAGCACTGAACTGAATGGGAGGGCTTTCTAGATAACATTTGCACAGATGGGAAAGAGAGGAGACGGCATTTCCAGCAGGGAGACCAACTTCAGAAGAGGCACAGAAGTGGGAATGCAACTGCAATTGCTATTCTGATTCTAGGCTTGGTGGGAAAAAAAAAATGCTGGCAGAGACTGCCACTAGTGCTAGGAAAAATACGCAACAGTGTACGCCATCAATCAGCAAAGTGTGGCCTTCATGTTGCTTTTTTCTTGAATATAGTTTTTTCTTTAACTACCATGTCTATTCATTTTCAGTCTTCTGTGACTGCCATTAAATAAGACCTAAGAGAGGCATTGTTTTGGACTGAACCCCAACAGAGGCCCCAACCAGACCAAACCAAAATGGAGTCACTTGTGCTAAGTGCCACATCATCAAACTGAAACTTTAAGGAAGCAGGATAATTCCCAAACAGACCAGTTTTCCCTGAAGAACGGGAGATTTGCAGCAACCAATCAGAAAGGGCAGTTAACTCTGCCCTTTAACTCTGCTTTAATCCTTACAAGGAAAGTAAACTTAAAGTAACACTGTCTTGGCCGGGTGCGGTGGCTCACGCCTATAATCCCAGCACTTTGGGAGGCCAAGACAGGCAGAACGAGGTCAGGAGATTGAGACCATCCTGGCTAACACAGTGAAACCTCGTCTCTATTAAAAATACAAAATATTAGCTGGGCGTGGTGGCGGGCGCCTGTATTCCCAGCTACTCAGGAGGCTGAGGCAGGAGAATGGCATGAACCCGGGAGGCAGAGCTTGCAGTGAGCTGAGATCGCACCACTGCACTCCAGCCTGGGTGACAGAGCGAGATTCCGCCTCAAAAAAAAAAAAAAAAAAAAGTAACCCTGTCTTTTTTTTTTTTTGAAACAGAATCTCGCTCTGTCACCCAGGCTGGAGTGCAATGGTGCGATCTCCACTCACTGCAACCTCCGCCTCCTGGGTTCAAGCGATTCTCCTGCTTCAGCCTCCCGAGTAACTGGGACTAGAGGCTCACGCCATCACATCCAGCTAATTTTTTTGTTTTTAGTAGAGACAGGGTTTCACCATGTTAGCCAGATTGGTCTCAAACTACTGACCTCAAGTGATCCACCCAGCTCGGCCTCCCAAAGTGCTGGGATTACAGGTGTGAGCCACTATGCCTGGCCCCTGTCTTATTTTTTGTATTAAGCTGTTCCCTTGTTCCTGCTCAAGCTACTTTACAAAAATAAATTGTCCTGCCACACCTAATGCAGCACCTTTCTATTTTTAAATGGGATGCTGCCCAATTCGTGAATTGATAGTAAAAGCCAATTAGATCATTAAAATCAATTTAATAAAGTTTTTTATTGACACTGCTTTCCCATTACTACAGGAGAGCTGAGTGAGAGACCATATGGCCCCCAAAGTCTACCTAGCCTTACAGAAAAGGCTTGCTGGCTCCTGGTCTAGAATATCAACCTTCCGAAAGAAAAGCTGCCAAAGCCAACCAGTTGGCACTATGGGTGTAAAATACTCACACCCATTTATCCTAAGTTTACATGAAATTCAAGATACCCAAGCTAATTGCATTCTCAAAAAAAGGTATCAAAGAAGGTAAACTGTAAAAAAAACCTGATACTACAGATTCAAATGTAACTGCTTTCCATGTTTCAAAAGATTCTGGAGCACACTCTAATCTGGACAGATTCTATAGATAGGGACTGAGACTCCCAAAGGAGTTGGGATTTTAATAAGCAAATTCTCTCCTTCATTCATAGCAATAAACACAAAAATGTTCAAAGATCATCTGTATTGTATTTGTTAAGAATATGTTAAATAAAAGAAAATATACACAATCCATTAATGTGAAATAACTTGAAACAAAAATTCAGTTAAAGAATTGGTTTTACAAGGATAAAGATCACCAAGTTAAAATGCATTAATTCCAAGATCATTTTACCAAAAGTATCACTGAGCAAGATGATTCCCCATCTCCCAAAATGATAATTAAAGGAGAATGTGGATGTCCATGTATGCTTAGATATTTATAGGAATGGGGGAAAGACATGGTGGACACACAGATCAGAGGCATGGTAGGAAAAGCCCAGCATTGAAAGACACAGGCCTTGGCCGGGCTCAGTGACTCATACCTGTAATCCCAGCATTTGGGGAGGCCGAGACAGGCAGATCACCTGGGTCAGGAGTTTGAGACTAACCTGGCCAACATGGTGAAATCCCATCTCTTCTTAAAATACAAAAATTAGCTGGGCGTGGTGGCGTGAGCCTGCAATCCCAGCTACTCAGGAGGCTGAGGCAGGAGAATTGCTTGAACTGTAGAGACTGTAGTGAGCTGAGATCACACTACTGCACTCCAGCCTGGGCAACAGATAGAGACTCCACCTCAAAAAAAAAAAAAAAAAAAGGAAAGAAAGAAAGAAAGAAAAAGAAAGACACAGCCTTAGTCATAACTCTGCTGGGAATGAGTCGTGTGTCCAAACACAAGACACTTAGCCACCCTGGGACTCCCCTGCTTCAATGAAGGAATCCTGCTAGATTATCTCTAGGGGCTTTTTCCATTTTGAGATTCATAAAAATTAACAGAACGTAAGAGTCTGTTTTTGAGCAAGGGAAAATTGATTAATTTAATGAATGTAAACAAATAGAATCCTTTCTCAGCTTTCTGATATCTTGTGTTTACAGTATTTAAATAGACTTTGTATACTTGAAAGAATATGATTACTTCATGTAAGACCTAATACTATCTAGGCTTCTAAGAACCTTAATGTGTTGGACGTCTCAGATCAGAAAGAAAACTGTAGAGAACAAGCAAGGAATAAACACAGAAATCCCCTGAGAAGAGTAACGCGGTTAAGAAACAGCCTGTGGCCTTGAGCAGCTGTGTGATCACCCACTAACGGTGCTCACTTTAAGAGTGTGGCACAGAAATGAGGGGACCGCACACATCAACACCCCCTTCCAGCGCTCATCAACAGCAGTAATGAAGGCCGCCCTCCAGGGAGAATTAGAATGAGATTTGGGAAATGGCATCAGACACATAAGAAAAGAACAGGAAACATGTTCAAGAACAGCTCAATGTTGCCAAAAGAGCAAAGATCATAAAATGGGGGTGGGGAGTGGAGAGGGAAGACTGTTTCCTGACTTTCTCCTGACAGAGGAAAACATTCTGGGGGCACAGATCCTGGGGAGTAACAGGAACAAAAACACCCGGGGCTGGTGAGTGTGCGAGGAAGGCGATGGACCCCATGGGTGTTCAGCCAGAAAGCTGGGAGTATGTTCCTACGTGGCCACAAAGCAGGGCCGGGAATCAGACCCTTCCAGGGGCCGTCGGAGAGAGCGATCAGGCTCGGAGATGTGGATAGGCAGCCGAACGCATAGGAGCGGGTGCGGGAGATCACCCAGAGAGAAGGTGAAGGGTGGGGCCTGGCTGCCTTGAGGGAGGAGAGGCTGCCAAAGATCACCGGGAGAACAAACGCCAGGCCTGGGAGTGACATAGGAGGCAGGACTGGACTCAGGAGACGGGGCTCAGACATCTAACCAAATGGAAGACTAGCTAAAACAGGGCTGTGTGCAGAAGCACCTTTCCGTAAGACACACCCACCAGCGCACCATGTCGGTTTATCATTGTCAGGGCAACACTCGGGAGTTACTGCCCCTGTCCATGGCAACAGCCCACTGACTCAGAAGTTACCACCCTATTTCTAGGAATTTCTGCATAATCCACCCCTCAATTTGCATATAATTAAAAGTACATATAGCCGGGTGCGGTGGCTCACGCCTGTAATCCCAGCACTTTGGGAGGCCGAGGTGGGTGGATCACGAGGTCAGAAGATCGCGACCATCCTGGCTAACACGGTGAAACCCCGTCTCTACCAAAGATACAAAAAATTAGCCGGGCGTGGTGGCGGGCGCCTGTAGTCCCAGCTACTCGGGAGGCTGAGGCAGGAGAATGGCAAGAACCTGGGAGGCGGAGCTTGCAGTGAGCCGAGATCACTGCCACTGCAGTCCAGCCTGGGCGACAGAGCGACAGAGTGAGACTCTGTCTCAAAAAAAAAAAAATTAAATGGAATAAATAGGAAATAGAATACCACAGAACACAATAGAAGATGTAAGAGAACATCCAAATAATAAGTATTGCTTCCAGAAACATGAAAGATAAGTGTGTGTGACCTGGAATGCAATAGGAAAAGAGGGTCTCAATTTCACTAGGAAATTGAATGATGAAGTGCATCAAAAAGTGGGGAAGTCGCCGGGCGTGGTGGCTCACGCCTGTAATCCCAGCACTTTGGGAGGCCGAGGCGGGCGGATCACGAGGTCAGGAGATCCAGACCATCCTGGCTAACACAGTGAAACTCCGTCTCTACTAAAAAATACAAAAAATTAGCCAGGGGTGGTGGCTGGTGCCTGTAGTCCCAGCCACGCGGGAGGCTGAGGCAGGAGAATGGTCTGAACCCGGGAGGCCGAGCTTGCAGAGAGCCGAGATCGCACCACTGCACTCCAACCTGGGCGACAGACCGAGACTCTGTCTCAAAAAAAAAAAAAAAAGTGAGGAAGTCACAGACATAAAGGAGAGGCTGGAGAGGATACAGGAGGCAGGGCTGGGGTATGGGTGAAAGAGAGTCAGAGAGAGCAACAGGAACAAAGGAGGAGAGGATAGGGTATTCTTATGGGGTCTTGCTATGTTGACCAGGCTGAATGCTGCTCAAGCAATCCTTCCACGTAGCTGAGACTATAGGCATGCCACCGCTGGCCAGGATGGCGCATTCTGATAAGCAATGAGTCCCTCCTTTTTTTTTTTTTTTTTTTTTTGGGAGTGGGGACAGATTCTCTCTCTGTCACCCAGGCTGGAATGCTGGAATGCAGTGGAATGCACCCGGCTAATTTTTGTAATTATAGTAGAGACAGGGTTTTGCCATGATGGCTAGGCTGCTCTCGAACTCCCGACCTCAAGTGATCCACCTGTCTTGGCCTCCCAAAGTGCTAGGATTACAGGTGCAAGCCACAGCACCTGGCCTCAGTCCCTACTCTCTTTCTCTTCCTCTCTCACTCCCTCTCCCTTACATCTGCTCCATCACGAAGGCTTGGCCACGAGGCTGCAAGTTAGGAAGATACAATTCAGAATACAAAGTAGAAAGTCAAACATTAGCCCCTTCTAGTTCCAAGGAATTTGAGGGTGAGGGTATGGGAAGGAAAGGAGGGGACTGAAAGATGAGGAGAAAGCAGGGCAGTCAATGGCCTGGAGGATGCAATCAAGGAATGATACTGGGAGGGGCAACTTCACCAGAAGGGCGTGAGGATGCATGCAGGATGCAACGTCCGAATAAGTCAGCAGGTGCCAGTGATGACCGAGCTAAGATGCATTGGCTGAAGTAGGTATGGGACAGGTCCATTGGCTAATGTAAATAAGGGACAAGGTCAATGGAACTTCAAGGTCAAGGTGCTAGACAGATTGTACATGTGGGTCCCAAAGTCCTCCAAGGTGGTTGCAAGGCTAGATGTGCAGAGAGATCATGAACCAAGTCCTGGGTGAACAAGGCTCTCAGTGGTCATCTCCCTGATAACAAAATTGCTGCCCTCTGCTGATACAGAACGGGGGCAGGCCTCCAGGAGTGCAGAGGCAGGCTGAGGGTCTGGGGCTCTAACTGGCCCTTAGACAGCCTTTCACATAATTTTCCTATTTTTAGACCCACCTTCAACTTCAGTCTGCCTATTCCTAAGTCTTTTGGGGATTTTGTCAAATAAATTGGGATGCTTTATGGCTTTTCTCCCAGCAGCTTGGAATACAGCTTTCTTGTGTCTGCCAAGTCAGCTACCTCTCACTCAAGTGCTTTCTAGCTTCCAAAATGTTGTCACTATTTTTCTTCTTTCTTGTCCTTTTTGTTCTAATGGATTTTTCTTTTTAAAAGATCCTTTTACTCTTGCTTTGGTTGGGTTTCAGGAAGGACCAAAAGTAAACACATGTTGAATCTACCATCTTTACCCCTGAGCTACTTTTATGACTGTAAAAAACAATAGTGCTGTATTCAGGCTGGGCACGAGGCTCACGCCTATAATCCCAAGCACTTTGGGAAGCCAAAATGGGCAGATTGCTTGCAACCAGGAGTTTGAGCTTGAGCAACAGGGTGAAACATTATCTCCACAAAATACCAAAAAATTAGCCGGACATGATAGCATGCTCCTGTAGTCCTAGGTACTTAGGGGGCTAAGAGGATCACTTGAGCTCGGAGAGGTTGAGGCTGCAGTGAGCTGTGATTGTGCCATTGTACTCCAGCCTGGGCAACAGAGCAAGACCCTGTCTCACACACATACACACACACACACACACAACCAATAATACTATATTCATTTTCACCCACAAAAATATGTGCTCCCTTTGATGTGTGAACAAGGTACCCCAGCCTCCTGCCTCAGGGCAGCCTGATGGAGTTGGCTAAGAGGTGTTCAGTCACACAGGCACTTTCCCCTGAGCCAAGCACATCCTCCCAGCCAGACCGCCACCACCCATGGGACTGTGTCTCTCAATGACAGTTACCACCCCACTGGGAAGAAACTCACCAAACTGTTCTATGAGCCTTGGGGCAGGGTGGAATCCTCATCCATGTAAATCAAAAGTTTTAAAACATCCCTTCACTGTAATGTACACATATGGAACCCAGATACATGATTTAAGAAAATCGTTTCGTAAGAAAATATAATTTCTTCATGATTAAATACAATGCCATCTAGTTACTCCTTCCTAAAGCTTTGATTGCAAAGAGTAGTTTCAGATGTTTCACCATTATATTCAGAAACCAGGAGTGAATTAAGACAGGCAATCACAGAATTGAAGGGCTTCAGAGGTAGAAAGAGCCTTAGCTACATGGTCAAACAGCCAGCTCTAACCAGGAAAACATGCCACCCAAGGCTTTATAGAAATATGTGTGTTGGGGCCATGCCCAGATCTTGGGGACCGACACACCAAGGACAGGGCCCAGGCATGTACACATTTATGAAACTGCCTAGATGGCTCTGCCAGGTACCAGGCACCCCCAAGAAACCACGCCTCCTCTGTCCTCATAATATCCCTCCATGTACAGGGGCAGAACACTGGCTCTGAGAATTTGTGCAATGCACCAGGTAGGCCTGGCAGAAGAGACACTGAAAGCCAGGCTGACACATGTTCTGGGTATTTTTACAACCTGCTTTATTCTTTCATTTGTTTATTTATTCTTTCAACAGCAATGTGTCAGGATCTTCTATGTCCTAATGATAGCAATATTTATTGAGTGCTTACAGTCTGCCTGGCACAGTTACCACTTTACAGGGGTTATCTCATTTAATCCTCATATTACCAGAAAGGGGTCCCAATCCAGACCTCAAGAGAGGGTTCTCAGATCTTGCCTAAGAAAGAATTCAGGGCGAGTCCATAGAGTAAAGTGAAAGCAAGTTTATTAAGAAAGTAAAGGAATAAAGAATAGCTACTCTAGAGACAGAGCAGCCCCGAGGGCTTCTGGTTGCCCATTTTTATGGTTATTTCTTGATTATATGCTAAATAAAGGGTGGATTATTCATGCCTTCCCTTTTTAGACCATATAGGGTAACTTCCTGACGTTGCCATGGCATTTCTAAACTGACATGGCGCTGGAGGTAGTGCAGCAGTGAAGACGACCAGACGTCACTCTCATCACCATCTTGGTTTTGGCTGGCTTCTTTACTGTAACCTGTTTTATCAGCAAGGTCTTTAAGACCTGTATTTTGTGCCAACCTCCTATCTCATCCTGTGACTTAGAATGCCTTAACTGTCTGGGAATGCACCCTGGTAGGTCTCAGCCTCATTTTACTCAGCCGCTATTCAAGATGGAGTTGCTCTGGTTCAAATGCCCCTGACACTCGCAACAGTATTATGAGGTAGGTACTTTTAATATCCCCACTTTACAGTTGAAGAAGAAAGCACAGAGATGTTAGGCAGTATGCTAAGGATGTGTAACCACCCAGCGGGTTCATCTTGCCTGCTGCCCAGATAGAGCTGATTTATCAAACAGGGGAATTGCTATAGAGAAACAATTTAATTCATGCAGCGCTGGCTGAATGGGAGTCCCGAGTTTTATTATTACTCAAACCAGCCTACCTGAAAATTCAGAGGGTAGGGTTTTTCAACTTTGGCAGGCAAGGGAAAGGGCACTGCTGATTGGCTGGGGATGTAATTAGAGGGGTGTGGAAAATGTGTACTGAGTCTGCTTCTGGGTGGGGCCACAGGACTGGTTGGCTGGTCCAGGTCAGAAGGGCAAAAATCTCAAAAAGCCAGTCTTAGGTTCTACAACAGGGATGTTATCTGCAGGAGTAATTGGGAAAGTTGCTATCTTGTGACCTCTGGAATAATGGCTGGTCATCGTTTATGCCTACACCTCAGCTGATCTCGGATTCCTCTCATCCTCCTAACCTGGTGGGCTTTACAGAGGTAGTTTAGTTTTGGGGAAGGGCTATTGCTATTAAACTATAAACTAAATTTCTCCCAAAGTTCGCTTGACCCAAGCCCAGGAATTGCCTAAGGGCAGTTTGGAGGCTGAAGGCAAGATAGGGGTTGGTTAGATCAGATCTCTTTCACTGTCATAATTTTCTCACTGTTATCATTTTTGCAAAGGCAGTTTCAAACACACAGCTAGTAAATGGTGGTGCTCAAAGACAGCTCCAGAACCTGGGCTCCCTCCTAACTGCTAGGATCAACTGCCTCTCAGGTGCTCTGTTTCCAGGTATCACATTTGTTATCAGGTGCTCTGTTTCCAGGTATCACATTTGTTAAGAGGCGTAGAGAGAAGGAGAGATGGGTGAGCAGTATTACAACCCAACCTTCAGTAGGGCAGAGGTGGTCACCCAGGAGCCATCAGAAGATAGAGGGGTGTTCTTGCCCCAGAGGTTGGGCCAGTGAGCTGAGTCTTGAATGACAGGAAGTAGGAGGGGATGAGGGTGAGGGAGGAGTCCGGGCAGCAGAAATCACAGAAGAATACCATTGGGAATACCACAGTAGTGTAACAGATCCAAATTTCAGTGCCTACACTCAGGTAGCAAGACGTACCATTTCCTCTTTTCTTTGAGACCTTAATGTCTATTAGGATCCCCCATTCCTTTGGGTGTCAGAAATAGTTTAATTCAGAGGCAGGGTCCACCTTTGCCCTCAAACCATGTCTTCAACTGGGGGCTCCATGGAGCCATGGTACAAATCTATCCTTACTCATCATCTAGCCACAATGTTCCTACTGAGGCTGCCCACACGGGGTCCTTGACCAAGAGGTCTGTGGTTTTTCCCGTCAGAATACCTTCTTGCCTTAGTGAACTCTAGCCCTCCTGTCCTTCTCTAGCAAGAGTCCTCACTCTCTCTTCCTTCACTGATACGCTTCTCCAAAGATTCTCATCACCAGGTCTCCATGTCTTCACCTCTCAGCCTTCATTCACTACTCAATACATGGTCAGAAGGATTCTGTTCCCACAACCCATCCACATTGTTCCGCTAAGATCACCTATGGGCACCATGTTGCTAAATCCAGCAGTAGCTCTTCTCTTCGTCTTGGCTGACTTCTCACTCTCATTCCATGATAGCACAGTCTCCTGCATTCCCTGCTACTACTTTAACCACACCTGAGCATAACCTTGATTTTTCTCGTATTGTCTTGATTTTACCTCCAGCCTCCCCCAGGACCAAATGTTTAATCCATCAACACGTTCTATCAATTCTATTGTCAACAAATATAGGTCAAGTCCATGGACTTCTCTTCGGTGCCATTGTTAATACCCTGACATAAGCTCCTCTTCTCTCTCACCTGGATTCATGAAACAGCCTCTTTACTTGGTCTCTCTGCTTCTACGAAATGCAGTCCCCACAAAGCAGTCACAGTGATCTTCACACACACACACACACACACACACACACACACACACATCTGATTATGGCCAGGTGCGGTGGGGTATGCCTGTAATCCCAGCACTTTGGGAGGCCAAGGCAGGTGGATAACTTGAGCCCAGGAGTTCAAGACCAGGCTGGGCAACATGGTGAAACCCTATCTCCACAAAAAAACACAAAAATGAGCCAGGCATGGTGGCACGCACCTGTAGTCCCAGCTACTCGGAAGGCTGAGGAGGGAGGATTGCTTGAGCCCAGGAGGTCAAGGCTACAGTGAGCCATGATTGCACCACTGCACTCCAGCCTGAGTGACAGAGCAAGACTCTGTCTTTAAAAAAAAAAAAAAAGAAAGAAAGAAGGAAAAAAAAGAGTCAGTATAATGTTTCATCACACTTGAATACTTTACTGTACGGTTCCTAAAAAAAAGCTTATTCTCATATAAAACCACAGGACAAATATCAAAGACAGAAAATTAACACTGATATATTATTCCCATTAAATCCTTAGACCTCATTCAAGCTTTGTCCAATAATATCCCTTGTAACAAATAACTTCAGAATTACCTGTTGTACCAGGTTGTCATGTCTCCTTAGCCTCCTGCAACTTGGATTGGTTCCTTAGTCTTCCTTTGACATCCATGAAGATTACAGGCAAAGCCAAGGAGGGAGGATCCCTTGAGCCCAGGAATTCAAAATCGGCCTGGGCAACATAGCAAGACCTCGTCTCTACCAGTAATAACAAAAAATTAGGTTGGGTACCGTGGCTCACGCCTATAATCCCAACACTTTGGGAGGCCGAGGTGGGTGGATCACCTGAGGTCAGGAGTTCGGGACCAGCCTGGCCAACATGGTGAAACCCAGTCTCTACTAAAAATACAAAAAATTAGCTGGGCATGTTGGTGCACGCCCGTAATCCCAGCTACTCAGGAGGCTGAGGCAGGAAGATCTCTTTAACCCGGGAGGCGGAGGTTGCAGTGAGCTGAGATTGTGCCATTGCACTCCAGCCTGGGTGACAGAGCAAGACTCTGTCTCAAAAAAAAAAAAAAAAAATTAGCTGGGTGTGGTGGCATGCACCTTCGGTCCCAGTTACTCAGGAGGCTGAGATGGGAGAATCACTGGAGCCCAGGCAGTTGAGGCTGCAGTGAGCTGAGATTGCACCCCTGCACTCCAGCCTAGACAACAGAGCAAGACCCCATCTCAAAAAAAAAAAAAAGATTACAGGCAAGTTAAACTGTAGGCTGTCCATCAATTTGGGTTTGGCTTTTTAGATTCAGGTAATGCATCCTTGGCATACAGTTATTTCATTGCATCTTATTAAGTAATACATAATTTCAGTTTTCATTGCATCTTATTAAGTAATACATAATTTCGGTTTGCCCGTTTGTTGATGATGTTCAGTTTGGTCACTTGATTAAGGGATGGGGTGGGGGGAGGTCTTCTGGACTTCTGTACTGTAAAGAGACTTTTTCTCTTTATAATTATTGAGTATTTTCATAATTCATTCATTCATTTGTGAATGAATGAATAATTCATAAGTGAATAAATTCATTCATTCATTCACTTATTCATTTAACCAACGTGATCCATGGATTTCTATCTTTTTCAGTCCATTATTCTCATTAATCTGATGCTTCAATTGTCCCAGTTTGGGCCGATGGAAACCATTTCAAGATGGCTTCTGTGTCTTTTTATTTGTCTCCATCCTTCTTGGATCCCACACTTACCTTCTGGAATATGATGTTCTAGGTTCCTCAGGTTCCTCTTGTACTCTCCTAGCCCAGTCATACTTCTTTTTAAACAAGATGTTTTTGAAGAGACAGGGGTCTGCTCTGTTGCCCAGGTTGAAGTGCAGTGGCACAATCACAGCTCACGGCAGCCTCGCACTCCTGGACTCAAGCGATCCTCCCACCTCAGCCTCCCGAGTAGCCAGGACTACAGGCATGCACCACTACCTGGCTAATTTTTTAAAAAAAATATGTAGCTATGTTGCACAGGCTGCTCTTGAACTCCTGGCCTCAAGCAATCCTTTCCCCTTGGCCTCCCAAAATGTGGGGATTACAGGTGGAAGCCACCATGCCCATGCCCAGCCCCCAGCCATCCTTCTGCCACTCATATTTTGACACACCATGCCAGGTAGCACTTCCACCCCCATATTCACTCTGTCCAGGATCTAACACCCCCACCCCGCATACCAGGCCACCCACCATGGTAGAACTCCAACACCCCATGCCAGGCAGCGCTCCTAGGTGGATGCCTGCCTCACCTTGCTTGAATTTTTTTTTTTTTTTGAGGTAGATTCTCACTCTGTCACCCAGGCTGGAATGCAGTGGCACAATCTTGGCTCACTGCAACCTCTGCCTCCCAGGCTCAAGTGATTCTCCCACTTCAGCCTCCCGAGTAGCTAGGACTCCAGGTGCCCGCCACCACTCCCAGCTAATTTTTGTATTTTTAGTACAGACAGGGTTTCACCATGTTGGCCAGGCTGGTCACGAACTCCTGACCTCAAGTGATCCACCCGCCTCAGCCTCCCAAAGTGCTGGGATTACAGGCGTGAGCCACAGAGCCTGACCTCTTGCTTGAATTCTGATACCCGCTGCATGGATGCTCTCACCTGGGAGATGTCTGATGCCTCACATAGGGCTGCCCTCTTATGCGGAGCACTTCTTTACCCCACTCATGATCAGACACCCCACACTGGGCTGTCATCCTACACAAATGCTTTCCACACTCCAATGCTCCGATGCTCCAAGCTGGGCCGGCCTTCAGCAGGGAGGCCTTCTTATCCGACTCAGGTTCCAATGCTCTGCATCAGCCACCAAACCTCACCCTGGCTATCTCTGACAGCCCAGGCTAGGCCATCCCCACCCCTCCCATGTGGATACCCTCCTCACCTGCTTCAGGATGGTAGGGCTTCCCTGCTGCTCTGTATGGATGTCCACCTTGCTTGGTCCCACCTAATGACTTTTAAAAGGATTTGTTCAGGAAGAGAAAGAAACGGAAGAAGTGGGAAAGAGAAAGAAATAAGCAAGGCTTTTATTTTAGAATCAAGGGGTGCACGTGCAGGTTTGTTACAAGTCTTCCATGATGCTACAGTTTGAGGTATGAATGGTCCCGTCATCCATGTAGTAAGTAGGGTACCCAATAGGTAGTTTCTCAGCCCTTGCCTCACCACCTCTCTCCCCTCTCTATTAGTTTGCATTGTCTATTTTTCCCATCTTTATGTCCATGTGTACCAAATGCTTAGCTCCCACTTATAAGTGAGAACAGGCAGTATTTGGTTTTCTCTTTCTTTGTCAGTTGGCTTAGGATAATGTCCTCCAGCTGCCTCCATGTTGCTGCAAAGGGCATGATATCATCATTTTTTTTATGCTGCATGGTATTCCATGGTGTATATGTACCACATTTTCTTTTTGTTTGTTTGTTTTTTGTTTTTTGTTTTGAGACGGAGTCTCCCTCTGTCGTGCAGGCTGGAGTGCGGTGGCATGATCCCAGCTCACTGCAAGCTCCGCCTCCCGGGTTCACACCATTCTCCCGCCTCAGCCTCCCAAGTAGCTGGGGCTACAGGCGCCCATCACTAAGCCCGGCTAATTTTTTTTTTTTTTTTTTTTTTGTATTTTTAGTAGAGACAGGGTTTCACCGTGTTAGCCAGGATGGTCTCGATCTCCTGACCTCGTGATCCACCCGACTCGGCCTCCCAAAGTGCTGGGATTACAGGCGTGAGCCACCTCATTTTCTTTATCCAGCCCACCACTGATGGGCACCTGGAAAAGCCCATTCTCTTGTAAACCCATTCTAATCAGACTTTTGTCCCATCCTTCCACAGAAACTGCTCCCAACAAGTTAACCATGACCTCCACAATGGTTGATTCTCACAGCTCACTCAACAGAGCTCTTCCTCCTTCTGGGTATGCCTGGTTCACTTGGGTTTGAGGATACACATTCTCCTGGTTTCCTTCCTGCCTCGTGGAAATGCCAAAGTAGAGAAGCCACCTGCCCGTGAACCTAAGACACTAAAATCCTGAAGTGTGTGGACTGCATTCCTGAATTAAAGGCTACCAAAAATGTCACTGTCATGACATACCCACCCCAGATATATACAAAGCAGTTAGACGGGAACAAAATTAAGGGGATAATTATTCATTACAAAACTACTACCTTCACCAGAGGCCAAGGTTAAAATAATAATCTAAACACTAATCTTGTTCTTAGTTTTAATTAATTTTCTTTAAGATGCTCATCACCATTGAGAAACCTGCACAAATGAATGCTAATTCATTTCACTGAAGTGAAAGAGAAAGGGGCTTTTTTGTTTTAAATGCTTTTCTGATTTTTTTTTAAATTAACACTGCTAACCTATTTCATGTTTAAAATCTTCTCTGCCGAGGCTCAAGTTAGGTTTCCCAATGGAAGAAGAATACAGCTCCTGGGAATTAGGGCAAAATGGCTTGTTAAATGAATGAAGACAGAGGCTGAAATACAAATATTTTGTGAAGTGTTCATATTTTATCAGCCAAAATGAGCTATAGCAAATCATCACATGTCTAAAAAATGTAGAGAATACTGGGAGCTGCTCGTTTTACATCGAGTCGACCTTCTGTTGCTTTAATGACCTGATCTGAAATAACCTGGCAGGCTCAGCATCACCCCCAAGGTCCGTGTCAGCAAAGGGACCCACTGTGTCCATCACTGACATGACGCACGCGCCTGGCTGCCACTCACCAGCAGGGGGCACTGCGCCGGGGCCTTTCTGTAGGCAAAACCACTCAAAAGCTAAGGATTGAGAAACATGTATTCCGGGAGACAGAAAAATGTGCGTCAGTGTCACCATCTCAGACAAACTCATTGCCACACCATCGACAGGACATCTTCATGTGTGTCTTCATAACAATATCCACTGTAGGGTGTTCTGAGGCCCAGAGCCTATCCCAGAATTACAAATAAAATAGTAGTGAAGCCAAAAATACCAAGTCTATCTGAAACCCTTTCAGTGAGCATGATTTTTATTTTATTTTATATTTTGAGATAGGGTCTCTCTCGGTCACTCAGCCGGGAGTGCAGTGACACAATGATAACTCACTGCAGACTTGAATTCCCGGGACTCAAGTGGTCCTCCCACCTCAGCCTCCTCAGTAGCTAGGACTATGGCATGCACCACCATGCTCAGCTGAATTTTTTTTTATTTTTTGTAGAGACAGGTTCTCACTTTGTTGCCTATGCTGGTCTGGAACTCCTGGCCTCAAGCAATCCTCCCACCTCGGCCTCCCAAAGTGCTGGGATTACAGGTATGAGTCACCGCTCCTGGTCAACATCTACATTTTATATTTGGGGAAAGTGGGGCCCATAAATTATGTATTTTGTGATATATGAGAGACAAAATAAGAGTTTTAATTGCATTTAATATTTAAAAGACTGTAATGGCTGACCCATAAAACAGGATTTTATCCATGATTTCCTCTCTAGTGAATCATTCCTATCAGCACAAATTTTTCCCATGTTAAAAAAAAAATAAGTTTTGGCTAGGTGCAGTGGCTCATGCCTGTAATCCCAGCAGTTTGGGAGGCCAAGGTAGGAGGATCACCTGAGGCCAAGACTTGAAGACTTATCTGAGCAACATAATGAGACTGCTGTCTCTACCAAAAAAAAAAAAAAAATTAAAAATTAGCTGGACATGGTGGCATGCACCTGTAGTCCCAGCTACTCGGGAGGCTAAAGGGGGAGGACCCCTTGAGCCCAGGAGTTTGAGGCTGCAATGAGTGGTGATTGCACCACATCACTCCACTCCACTCCACTCCCTGTCTCCAAAAAAAGAAAAAAAAAAAAAAAAAGTTTTGGCCTTTCTTTCCCTTCTCATTACTGCCCCCATTTCTCTCTTTCCCTTTATAGGGAAGTTGTGTGGTAAACACACTCTACGATGAGTATTCACATCCTTGAATAAACTCCTCCCCTTGAAGGAGGACATAGTTTGCTTGAGTGTGAGCAAAGCTGTGACTTGCTTCTAACCAACTGTATACAGCAAAATCAATAGGATGTCACTCCCAAGATTACATACTATTAAGACTCCATCTTGCTATCAAACTCACTCTAACACTCTCTCTCAAGATAGTTCTGAAGAAATAAGCAGCCAGGATAGGAGGCCAATCTATCAAGAAGCTAAAGACAACCTCTAAGAGCTGAAAGCCACCAAGAAGCCAGGACTCTAAGTCCCACAACCACAAGGAAATGAGTTCTATCACCAACCTGAGTGAGCTTGAAAGCACCTTCTTCCCCAGTT
Source organism: Homo sapiens (assembly GCF_000001405.40). Lineage (NCBI taxonomy): Eukaryota > Metazoa > Chordata > Mammalia > Primates > Hominidae > Homo > Homo sapiens. The sequence goes on from NC_000019.10 coordinate 34,043,667, forward strand.
GAGCCTCCAGATTAGAACACAGTCAAGCTAATCCCTTGATGGCAGCCCTGTGAGACCCTAAGAAGAGGACCCAGTTAATCTGTGCCCAGACTCTTGTGAGATAATAAATGCATGTTTTCTTTTAAGTCACTAAGTTTGTGGTAATTTTTTATGCAGCTGTGTTCAAGGATTTCCCAACACCACTCTCAGCTTCAATGATCACTAGAAGGACTCGCAGAATTCAGCAGAGCCATTACACTCACAGTTACAGTTTATCACAGTGAGCAGATACAGATTAAAATCATCAATGAAAAAAGATGCATAGGGAAGAATCAGGAGAGACCAGGCATCAGTTTCCAGTTGTTCTCTCACCATGGAGTCATGTAGACAGCACTTAATTCTCCCAGCAATGATGAATGACAGCTCCCACAGAGTATTACCAAACAGGGAAACTCACTGAAGCCTTTCTGTCCAGGGCTTTTATTGAAGGTTGGTTACCTAGGCATGGCTGACTGCCTGCATGGCTGACTCGAGTCTCCAGCACCTCCAGAGATTGAGATCATACTGGGTAGTACAAGGCCCCCGCCATCAATCACATTGTTAACATGAACTATCTTACATGGCCCAAGGCCTCAGATAAACAAAGACATTGTTAACAGACAGGAGATTCCAGGAGATTAGAGGTTGTCTCCCAGTAGCCAGGAAAGGACCAAACCTTTCTTTGGAATGTGGAAGAATCAGACTACCTAAACCTGCTGAATCCTTTATAGCACAGCAGAAATAGATAACTAATAAAGATTCTGGTACCTAGAAGTAGGGTGCTGCTGTAGAAGTGGCTTTGGAATAAGGTAATGGGTGGAGGCTGGAAGAATTGTGATGAGCATCATAGAAAAAGTATAAATTGCTTTAAACAAGCCATTAATAGAAATCTGGACTTGGAGAATGGTACCGGTGATAGCTCAGAAGGAAGTGAGGACCATGTTATTAGAAAATGAAGGAAGGAAAGGCTGGGTGCAGTGGCTCATGACTGTAATCCCAGTACTTTGGGAGGCCAAGGTGAGTGGATCACTTGAGGTCAGAAGTTCGAGACCAGCCTGGGCAAAATGATGAAACCCCATCTCTACCAAGAAGAAGAAGAAGAAGAAGAAGAAGAAGAAGAAGAAGAAGAAGAAGGAGAAGGAGAAGGAGAAGGAGAAGGAGAAGGAGAAGGAGAGGAGGAGGAGGAGGAGGAGGAGGAGGAGGAAGAGGAAGAGGAAGAGGAAGAAGAAGAAGAAGAAGAAGAGGAAAGAAAAAATACAAAAATTAGCTAGGCATGGTGGCGGGCATCTATAATCCCAGCTACTCAGGAGGCTGAGCCAAAAGAATCATATGAACCTGGGAGGTGGAGGTTGCAGTGAGCCAAAATCATGCCACTGCACTCCAGCCTGAGTGATGGAGTGAAACTCTGTCAGGAAAGAAAAAGACAGAAGAAAGAAAAAGAAAGAAAGAAGGAGAAAGAAAAGAAAAAGAGAGAAAGAAAGAAAAAGAAAGAAAGAAAGAAAGAAAGAAAGAAAGAAAGAAAGAGGAAGAGAGGGAGAGAGGGAAGGAGGGAGGAAGGAAGGAAGAAAGAAAAAGGAAAGGAAGGGAAGGAAAGAAGGAAGGAAGAGAGAGAGAGAAGAAGGAAGGAACAGGGACAGTAAATAAGGTAGAAATCAGGAGACATTCATGGGACTGGGGCCAATCAGACATCAACATGGTGGATTAGCATCCAAGATGGAGTAATGTTTGTCTCCACAGGAAGAGACGTGAATCACTGGGGATTAGACTGTGGTGGACAGACTGTAAGATCATCCTTTATAATCCTCAAATTCTAGTATTAATGCACTTTTAGAATCCCCTTCCCTTGAGTATGGGCAGGATCCATAACTCGCCTTAACCAATAGAACAGGACAAAGGTGATGTGACATCATTCCCAGTAGCATGTTACATTATGCTATGGTACCATGTTACGTTAAATAAGATTCCATCTTGCTAGCAGACTCACCCTTGGAACTCTCTCCCTTGCTAGCCATGAGGACTATGTTAGAGAATCGTTAAGTTTCAAGAAACTGCAGGTGTCTTCTACTGGCTGAGGATGCCTCACAGTGTCCAGATGTTTAGTCAAACTTTGTTCTGGTTGTTTCTATGAAGGTGTTTTGTGTGAGATTAACATTTAAATCAGTGGACTTTGAGCAAAGCAGATTGCCCTCCATAATGTGAGTGGGCCTCATCCAATCAGTAGAAGGCCTAAATAGAACAAAAATACTGACCTCCCCCAAGCAAGAAGGAATTCTGCAGCAGATGCCTTGACTTGAATTGCAGTGTTAGCTCCCTCTAGGGCAGGGGTGTCCAATCTTTTGGTTTCCCTGGGACACATTGAAAGAACAATTGTCTTGGGCCACATATAAAATACACGGATGCTAATGACAACTGATGAGACAAAAATAAATATCACAAAAAAACTCATAATGTTTTAAGAAAGTTTATGAATTTGTGTTGGGCCTCATTCGAAGCCATCCTGGGTCACATGCCCCATGGGCTGTGGATTGGACAAGCTTGCTCTAGGGTCACTGTCCTGATGATCTTTGGATCTGAACTACAGCACTAACTCTTCTCTGGGTCTCCATGCTACTGGCCCACCCTGCAATTTTTGGACTTGTCAGCCTCTGTAATCATGTGAGCTAATTCCTTAAAATAAATTTCTCTCTCTCTCTCTCTCTCTTTCTATATATATATATATATATATATATATATATATATATATATATACACACACACACACACACATATACAAATATATACATATACATACACACACATGTACACACACACATATATATACACATACACACACACACGCATCCTATTGATTCTGTTTCTCTGGAGAACCTGAGTAGTAGAGTAAGGGAACAATGAATTGAATGATTGTGAATTTCCCATCAGGTACCATAGAGGCCAGAGGGCAGTGGAAAAACATTTCTAAACTGCTGAAAAAGGCCAGGGATAGTGGCTCACGCCTGTAATCCCAGCACTTTGGGAGGCCGAGGTGGGCGGATCACTTGAGGCCAGTAGTTTGAGACTGGCCTGGGCAACATGGCAAAACCCCATCTCTACTAAAAATACATAAATTAGCCGGGCATGGTGGTGCATGCCTGTAATCCCAGCTACTCAGGAGGCTGAGGCACAAGAATTGCTTGAACTCAGGAGGTAGAGGTTGCAGTGAGCTGAGATCGTGCCATTGCACTCCAGCCTGGGCAACAGAGTGAGACTCTGTCTCAAAAAAAAAAAGTGCTGAAAGAAAAGAACTGTTAACATAGAATTTCATATCCAAATAAAATGCCCTTCACTAATGAAGGTACAATAAAAACATTCTCGGCCGGGCGCGGTGACTCAAAGCCTGTAATCCCAGCACTTTGGGAGGCCGAGGCGGGTGGATCACGAGGTCAGGAGATCGAGACCATCCTGGCTAACACGGTGAAACCCCGTCTCTACTAAAAATACAAAAAATTAGCCGGGCGCGGTGGCGGGCGCCTGTAGTCCCAGCTACTCGTAAGGCTGAGGCAGGAGAATGGTGTGAACCCGGGAGGCGGAGCTTGCAGTGAGCCGAGATAGCGCCACTGCACTCAGGCCTGGGCAAAAGAGCGAGACTCCGTCTCAAAAAAAAAAAAAAAAAATTCTCAGATGAAGGAAAATGAAGAGAATTTGTCACCAGCAAACCTGCTCCAAAGAAATGCTGAAATAAATTCTGGCAGAAGGGAAATCAAACCAGTGTGTAACTTGGAGCTTGAGGAATGAGGAAGAGCAACATAAATGGAAAATATCTGGATAAATATAGTAGGTTATTTTTCTCCCTTTAAGTTTCAAAAAAATATGTGTGGTGGCTAGAAGCAAAAATTATAACATAATCTGGTGGGGTTTTAAAATTGTATGTAGATACAATGCACACGGCAACTACAACATAAATGAGGGCAAGGGGTCCTATCTGGGAATAAGGTTTCTCTGTCCTCCACACTGAATTGGTAGAAGGTGTTATCAGTGAAAACGGCAGAGTGAGAACATCCAAAGAGCCTCTCCTCTATAGAAGCAGTGAGAACATGGGTGAAATTTTTTTTTTAGACGGAGTCTCGGTCTGTCACCCAGGCTGGAATGCAGTGGCGCGATCTCGGCTCACTGCAAGCTCCGCCTCCCGGGTTCACGCCATTCTCCTGCCTCTGCCTCACGAGTAGCTGGGACTACAGGCGCCCGCCACCACGCCCGGCTTTTTTTTTTTTTTTGGATTTTTAGTAGACACGGGGTTTCACCGTGGTCTCGATCTCCTGACCTTGTGATCCGCCCGCCTCGGCCTCCCAAAGTGCTGTGATCACAGGCATGAGCCACCGCGCCCGGCCCATGGGTGAAATTTTTTAGAATCTACTTTTTCAGGACTGTGGAGACTTGCTGAGCATTTATTTTAGAAAAATGGCTGAATCTCAGAGAGAACAGTGAGTTTTGTGGTGATTTAATTTGCCCTATTCTCATCCCCCTGCCCTCACTCCATGGTAACCTTGAAAACCAGCAGATTGCTATCATGGTGAAAACCAGCACACTGGCAGTCACTGGAGGGGGCAAATGGAATTGGAGCTCCTTCAAAGTCCCCTTCTCAGAGAATTTTCATTATTTGACCTATCTCTGGCTCCTTAAAAGACTCCAGTCATAGGCTATCTTTATTTGACTTGACTCAGATCCCAGGGCAAATAGTCCTCTTGCTATGTCACCAGGCTGGTCTCGAACTCCCAGGCTCAAGTGATTCTCCTGCCTCAGCTTCCCAAAGTGCTGGAATTACAGGCATGAGCCACCATGCCTGGCCAGAATTTGCATCTTGAACTGGTTTAGATAGGGATCAAATGCCTTTGCTATCTATTGAGATGATCAAATGGTTTTGCTCCTTTAGTGTGTCTATATGATGAAGTACACTGATTGGTTTTCGAATGGTAAACTAACTTCGTACTCCTGGCGTAAATTCTACTTGATCAGATGCATTGGACTAAAGGCTGTTTTTTCCCTCGTGCTTCTTGTACTCCATTAAGCCTCATTTCTTCTATTTCTGATTCGCTTTTTCCACCCACATAATTGGGACACGTCAAAATTAAGTGAGTTATGCAAAGTACAGTAAACATGATAAAGTATTTTGGGGATTAAACTTATGCTTTTACAAAAAGAAATAATTTAGGTAAATAATACAAGGATTATATGTTATCATACTTTATAAGATACTGATGATTTCTTAAAGATATTTGAGAACTACACCCTTTACTGCCACAGCCAAATAAGTGGCACTTGTCAAGTAAACTGAGATATTTGAAGCAGACTCTGACTACAGCACCCCACAAAATACAAAACTATGACCCACATTCACTCTAAAGCTATTTCTGGGCCAGACGTGGTGGCTCACCCCTATAATCCCAGCACTTTGGGAGGCCAAGGTGGGTGGATCATTTGAGGTCAGAAGTTCAAGACCAGCCTGGCCAACATGGTGAAACCCGTCTCCACTAAAAATACAAAAATTAGCCAGGCATGGTGGCGTGCGCCTGTAATCTCAGCTATTTGGGAGGCTGAGGGAGGAGAATAGCTTGAATCCAGGAGGCAGAGGTTGCAGTGAGCTGAGATCATGCCACTGCACTCCAGCCTGGGTGACTCCAGGAAGGAAGGAAAGAAGGAAGGGAGGGAGGGAGGGAGGGAAGGGGGGAAGGAGGGAAAGAAAGAAATAAAGCAACAAAGCAAGAAAAGAAAAGAAAGAAAGAAAAAAGAAAGAAAGAAAGAGGATGGAAGGAAGGAGACGGAGGGAGGAGAAGGGAAGGGAGGGGAAGAAGGGAGGGGAACGGAAAGGGGAAAGAAAGGGAAGGGAAGGGGAAGAGAGGAAGGAGCTACTTCTGAACTCAAGCCCAGAACAAAATCTGTGTACCAGGTGATTCTAGATCATGATGCTACTAAAAGTATCACTGTTAATTAATAAAACAAAACTAAAATAAAATAAAGTTATAAATGTGTAAGAGGGAAAAGGGTGGAAACATGAAGAAAGAAGCAGGTTGCTTGTTTTAAATATGAATATGCAGCACCAAATCAGGATTTTTAGTAGTAAAACACTGCAACATGATCACCCCGAAACAAAACACACATGAAAATTAATGTGCCTTATCAGATTCTGAAAGTCCTATTTGCTTACCATTTTCCTCATAAGAAAGCTGAGAACTCACTGCTCACTGATGTGACTTTCTGCTCTGCGCACACCTAAGGCATGAACAAGAGCCAAGAATCTATTCCTTTCGAATAAGAGGAGTCTCGTTCCTATAGAACATGGGTCTTGAAAGGGCTCTTTGAAGCCCTAACCAAAAAGTACACAAAGATGGAAAGAGTCTAGGCTGGGGAATAGGCAAAAATAAGAAACAAGTAAAATGAAAGTGATGACGGCACAGTTTTGTAATCTCCTCCAATCCCCTCATAAAACAGGGAGATCAATTAGGATAGCAAAAGATAAAACCCACAGAGAATGCCATCAACCAAATGCATGCAGTCAACCAGCATATGAAAAGAAGCTCAACATCACTGATCACTAGAGAAATGCAAATCAAAATCACAATGAGATACCATCTCACACCAGTCAGAATGGCTGTTACCAAAAGGTCAAAAAATAACAGGTGCTGGTGAGGTTGTAGCGAAAAGGGAACACTTATACGCTGTTGGTGGGAGTGTAAATTAGTTCAACCATTGTAGAAAGCAGTGGGACAATTCCTCAAAGACGTAAAAACAGAACTACCATTCAACCCAGCAATCCCATTGCTGGGTATACACCCAAATGAATATAAATCATTCTACCTTAAAGACACATGCATGTGTACATTCACTGAAGCACTAGTTACAATAGCACAGGCATGGAATCAATGTAGGTGACCATCAACAACAGACTGGATAAAGAAAATGTGGTACATATACACCATGGAATACTATGCAGCCATCAAAAAGAACGAGGGCCAGGTGTGGTGGCTCATGCCTGTAATCCCAGCATTTTGGGAGTCCAAGGTGGGCAGATTACTTCAGGTCAGGAATTTGAGACTAGCCTGCCCAACATGGCAAAACCCCATCTTTACTGAAAATACAAAAATTAGCTGAACGTGGTGGCACATGCCTGTAGTCCCAGCTACTTGGGAGGCTGAGGCAGGAGACTGGCTTGAAACCAGGAGGCGGAAGTTGCAGTGAGCCAATATCGCACCACTGCACTCCAGCCTTGGTGACAGAGTGAGATCCTGACTCAAAAAACAACAACAAAAATGAGATCAGGTCCTTTGTGGGAAAATGGCTGGAACTGGAGGCCATTAGCCTTGGCAAACTAATGCAGGAACAGAAAATCAAATAATGTATGTTCTCACTAATAAGTGGAATGAGAACACATGGACAGATAGAGGGGAACAACACACACTGGGGGGCCTGCTTGAGGGTGGAGGGTGGAAGGAGGGAGAGGACCAGAAAAAATAACTGTTGGGTGCTAGTATCTGGGTCACAAAATAATCTGTACAACAAACCCCCATGACACAAGTTTACCTATATAACACACCTGCACATGTACCCCTGAACTTAGAAGTTTTAAAAAACACACATATATAAAACTATAATCACACACACACACACACACACACACACAAACCACAGACAGCAGTCAGACCCACAGGGAATGACATCAGGCCAGGGGCAGAGGGAAATGAGGGTCTTAAGTGCTGGGGAGCTAAGACTGCCAACAGGTGGTCAGCCCCACAGGAGGGGCTCCCACCCAGACGCAGATCTAGGCACAGCAGGCAAAACTGGGCAGGGCTTTGCTGCAAAAAGGCAGTTGACCATCAAGATGCTCAGGAAGCAGGTGCAGTGGCCCACACCTGTAATCCCAGCACTTTGGGAAGCTGCGGTAGGAGGATTGCTTGAGGCCAGGTGTTCGAGACCAGCCTGGGCAACATAGTGAAACACCTATCTGCAAAAAAATTTCAAAAAATCAGCTTATTCTGGCCTGTAGTCCCAGCTACTCAGAAGGCTGAGGCAGGAGGATCACTTGAGCCCAGGAGTTCGAGGTTTCAGCAAGCTTGACGGCACCACTGCACTCCAGCCTGGGCAACAGAGTGAGACCCTGTCTCAAAAAAAAAAGACTCTCAGAAGCACCCAGTGGCCTCCCTCCCCTTCTGGAGTTGGAGAGCTCACACTGAGGAGAAATCGTTGCAAGGAGACCCCAACTTGATCAGGGCTGGGCACCTGGGCATAAAAAAAAAAATTTAGATGCTAGTCAGAGAGGGGACCAGAGAAAGCAAATAGCAGAAAGCACTGAAGAGATGACTGCACATATTTTCTAAGACTTTCTGATAAAATGGGAAATGAGAGAAAGACACTCTGGCCCATCCTCAATATAGAAATTTCCTTCTAAAAATACAACTTCAACAACAGAAAAAGATTATGGTCAATCCTCACTCAAAAATAGAATAAAGAAAGAAAAATAATCCAAATAACATATATTTAGAGGATAATATTCACCAGAAAAAAATAAAACTACGGGGTATATGAAAACATTAAGCTAATATTTCAAAATGAATTACAGAAAATTAAGAAAATAGGAGAAGCTATGAAAGAAAGGCATAAACACAAACTAGAAAACTCAGAAATGAGATGGCCAGACAATAGGCAGATGTGAGAACAGTTTACAGAGCTCAGAAACAATTGGCAGAAACAAGAAAAAAAGGAAGAAAATAAAACAGAAATGAAGAAAAGGATAGAAAGCATTAAAATAAAAATGATAAAAGTAAAAAATAAGAGGCCAGGCATAGGGGCTCCCACCCATAGTCCCAGCACTTCGGGAGGCCGAGGCAGGAGGATTGCTTGAGCCCAGGAGTTCCAGAACAGCCTGAGACACGTAGCAATACCCCGTCTCTACAAAACTTAAACAAAATTAGCCAGGTGTGGTGGCTCATGCCTGCGGTCTCAGCTACTCGGGGAGGCTGAGGCAGGAGAATCACTTGAGCCAGGGAATTCAAGGCTGCAGTGAGCCGTGTTCACACCACTGCATTCCAGCCTGGGTCCCAGAGAAAGATCCTGTCTCAAGAGAAAAATAAAAAAATGTAAACAAAAGACAGCCAATGTATGTACAGAAAAAATTAGAGCCTTCATCTTTGCCAATCAACATCCTGGCACATTGGTTTGTTGTTTCCAACTTTTTATTCCCAACAGCCATTCTGAATGGTTTTTTGGTTTTTGGTTTTTGGTTTTTGTTTGTTGGAGACAGAGTCTTGCTCTGTCACCCAGGCTGGAGTGCAATGGCATGATCTCAGCTCACTGCAACCTCCGCCTCCTGGGTTCAAGTGATTCTCCTGCCTCAGCCTCCCGAGTACCTGGGATTACAGGTGTGTGCCACCATGCCTGGCTAATTTTTATATTTTTGGTAGAGACAGGGTTTTGCCATGCTGGCCAGGCTGCTCTCCAACTCCTGACCTCAGGTGATCCACCCACCTCGGCCTCCCAAAGTGCTGGGATTATAGGTGTGAGCCACCGCACCGGCCCTGAATGGTTTTTGAATGATCTCACACAGAGTATATGATTTGGACACTAGTGCAGTAGAGTCTTACAATGAAACAGAGTATAGGGTTACCAAAGGAAAGAAGGCAGAAGATGGAATTTGAGGTAATCAGCATGAGAGAAAGACATATCTGCAACTAACCTGAGTACAGCTGAAATCATCCCTTTCCTATGGAGTGCCTTAGTCTATGTCTTAACTGCAAATTGTAGGAGATGATCATTTCAAGAAGGCAAAGGTTTGTCATCTGTGTTTTTAATCCCAAGATGGTGCCTACCATCAGTGATGACCTGCTGCGGTATCCTCATTCCAGTAATCACTCCCTCAGCAGTGCGATTGTGATGACCGAAAGGAAGCCTCTGCTATTGTTTCTACCACCAGCTTTATCAAAACCAAGACATGGACCAGGGGCAGTGGCTCACACCTGTAATCCCAGCTACTCAGGAGGCTGAGGCACAAGAATCGCCTGAATCCAGGGGGTGGAGCTTGCAGTGAGCCGAGATTGTGCCAGTGCACTCCAGTCTGGGTGACAGAGTCAGACTCTGTCTCAAAAATGAAAAAAAAGTAAGTCATGGTCTTCATAATCTACAGAGACTCCTCACTTGCGTATGTTGCAGGGAACACTCCTTGCAGATCAGAAAAACTAGACTGACATAGCTCATTTTTGGAAACTGCCCTTGAGAATGTCATCGAGGCCAGGAGTGGTGGCTCACACCTGTAATTCCAGCACTTTGGGAGGCCAAGGAGGGTGGATCACCTGAGGTCAGGAGTTTGAGACCAGCCTGGCCAACATGTGAAACCCCATCTCTACTAAAAATACAAAATTTAGCAGGGCGTAGTGGCGCATACCTACAGTCCCAGCTACTCAGGAGGCTGAGGCAGGAGAATTGCTTGGACCCAGGAGGCAGAGGCTGCAGTGAGCTGAGACTGTGCACTCCAGCCTGGGTAACAGAGTGAGACTCCGCCTCAAAAAAAAAAAGTCATCGAAGTGAATTTTAACTAGGCACGATGATTGTTTTCATGGTTACCCTTGGACTAAATTTTAGGAGCTGGAATGAGTGAGACGTGATTGAACAGAGAGGCCAGGATGGTGGCATTAAAAGGGGTTCATCTCAGTTCTTCATAAGTAGGAAGTACATATATTTATAATTTTCACTTATCACAGGGTAAATTTAAAATTGATTCATTAAAAGATGATCTTTTTCAAGAATTCAAAGGACATAGAATTTTGTAACATGCAATATTTTTTAATTACTTGTCTTTTTTTCTTTCTAATTCTACCCCCCAAGTCTATTTTTTTATAAGGTCATTGATACATAAATAGTTTCAGGGAGGATGATATATTATCTACAGACTTTCTATGTAGTGAACCTGCCTACATATAAATGTCAATTCATCCAACTACTGTGTTGGAATAATTTCTGTGGATTGAACCTGCTAGGGCAAAGTAAATGCAAAATCTGCATTTTGAGGCTGGGCGCAGTGGCTCATGCCTGCAATCCCAGCACTTTGGGAGTCTGAGGCGGGCAGATCACCTGAGGTGAGGCGGGCAGATCACCTGAGGTCAGGAGTTCAAGACCAGCCTGGCCAACATGATGAAACCCCCGTCTCTACTAAAAATACAAAAATTATCCAGGCATAGTGGCAGGTGCCTGTGGTCCCAGCTACTCGGGAGGCTGAGGCAGGAAAATCAATGGAACCCTGGAGGCGGAGGTTGCAGTGAGCCGATATCACACCACTGCACTCCAGCCTGGGTGACAGAGGGAGACTCTGTCTCAAAAAAAAAAAAAAATTTCCTATAACATAACTCGAGTGAGAATTCTCCATTTCCTAAAACTGTACAAACATCAGATATCAGTATTTGTAATCACTGATAATGTAATATTACAAAGAAATTTATTTTTCTTCTATTAATGTTAAGCTACATCATCCTGGTGTAGATTTATTAGTCATTTGCGTTATTTCATTTTCCTCTGTTCCTTTTATTTTCACTTTCCTTGTAATATTAGTCTCTTTGTTACTGATTTCTAAGAGTTCATTCATGTTTAATGATGTTAACATTTTGTCAAACATTGCAAATGAGATACCTTGTTTTTTCCTGTTTATTTTACCGTGGTGGTTAATTTTTTGGTTGTACAGAAATTATGTATTGAAATATAATCAAGTGCGGTTTTAAAAAGAAAAAAAAGGCAAGAAAAGGAACAGAAAAAATCTTTTTGTTTTTTTGAGACAGGATTTTGCTCTGTTGCTCAAACTGGAGTGCAGTGCAATCAAGGCTCATTGTAGCCTCAAACTCCTGGGCTCAAACAATCATCTCATCTCAGCCTCCCAGGTAGCTGGGACCATAGGCACATGCCATCAGGCCCAGCTAATTTTTGTGTTTTTCATAGAAATGGGATTTCACCATGTTACCCAGTCTGGTCTCGAATTCCTGGGCTCAAGTAATCTGTCCACCGTAGCTTCCCAAATTGCTGGGATTACAGGCGTAAGCCACCACTCCTGGCCTGAAAATACTTTAAAAAAAAAACCGTAATTCAAAAATCTCCCCTGAAATTAAAAATAAGAAAAAAAAGACTTGAATCTTCATACTTACAGGGCACACTACATTCCTGGGAAAATCAGTTCAGCATGGCCAACTTTGAGACATATTTTAGTAAAATGATGGAACTTTAAAGAAAAAATCCTTTGGACATTCGGGCAAAAAGACAAAGTGACTTTTTAAGAAGAAGGAAATCCGCTTGGCATCAAACTTTTCAACAGCAACCCTCAAAGCCAGAAGACACGGGAGTAGCCTATTTAAGATCCTCAAGGAAAGAAAATGTCCACTGAAGATCTTATCCTGAATAACTCTCATATAAATTCATGGACTAACTCTATGAGCACACAAGACACCAGATAAGCTCTTCCTTCTTCCTCTTTCCCCATGCCTTCCTGAGAGAATTCAGTCCTAACTCAGCCATCAGGTATGGGAGAGCAAGGTAGTTGCCTGCACAGGGGGAGGGCAGGAGCAGCGGTGAGGGCCAAAAATGAGGTGGGATAGCTCAAGTAGGGTGAGGAAGACGTTTGCAGAGGAGGGCAGCCTAGCAGAGGCTTAGCAGGAAGAGAAAGGCATCTACAAAAGGTGGCAACCTGGCATGGGTGCGAGCAAAAAGGAGTGAAAAAAGTGTCCACACCCAGGGCAGCCTGACCCAGGAAGTCAGAGCTTGAATAGAAATAGAAAGACAGTCTGGTTGGGATGTGAAAACCCACACAAAAGAAGGAGGCATCAGTGTGTGTGAAGGGAAGAGTAGGGCATCAGAGGCCAAGTAGGCTGAGAGTGTGCAGCAGACAACCTGGCCCAGGGAGTAGACGCCCAACTGGGGTGAGAAGGGCAGCCACGAAGGGTGCATCCTGGCACCGAGAGTGATATTCCACGCAGAGTGAGAGGGGCATCTATGCAAGGCATGAAGGTGGCAGTAAAGATGGGAGATTTGTTACATACAGGGAGGTTGTGCAAGTAAGTAAATACATTAAAGATAATAGGGACTGGGTTTCTCACTGTCAGAGAAAAGGGATACAAACATGGAAAAGGAGAAAACTACAGTGAACTCTGTGGTATTGAACTGGAATTGGAGGTATAGTGTGACTCATAGAGAGAAAAAAGAGTAGAGTAGATTGGATTGGATTAGATTGAATTGGATTGACTAGATTGATAGATGGATAGATGGAGGGGAGATAATGGATGGATGGATGGATCAAGCAATCAATGGAATCAATGAATCAATCAATCGAGTGATGGATGGATAAATGGATGGGTGGATGGATAAGAAGAAGGAAGGAAGAAAGGAAAGAAGAAAGGGTAGATGGATGGGTGATAGATGGATGGATGGATGGATGGATGGGTGGTGGATGAATGGGTGGATGATGAATGAAAAAATGGATGGATGGATGCATGGATGCATGGGTAAATGGGTAGATGAATAGATGGATGGATGATGAATGAAAGGATGGGTGGATGGACGGATGATGAAAGGTTGCATGGATGGATGGATGGGTAGATGGATGGATAGATGGGAGATGGAATGATGGATGGATGAATTGATGGATGGATGGATGATGGATGGATGAGTGGATGGGTGGGTAGATGGATGGATGGATGAATGATGGATGGATGGATAGAAGGATGGATGGATGGATAGAAGGATGGATGGGTGGATGGATGGGTAGATGGATGGATGATGGATGAAAGGATGGATGGATGGATGGGTAGGTATATGGATAAATGGATGATGGATGGAAGGATGGATGGATGGAAGGATGGATAGATGATAAAAAACGCAAATGTGTAAATGTGTGGTATATGACATACATATATATCCCTTAGCCTGTTTACAGAGTGTGCCTGGGAACAACTACCTGACAGTATTGATGAGCACACCTAGAATCCTTAGATCTTAGTTTCTAAGTATCATTTCACATGAGAAGAAATCAGGGCTCCTTGACTGAGTCCAGGAAAATGATTCAGTCCAGGCCTAGGACAGGTGCAAGATATGCCTAGAATATCTTGTTGTTCAGAAAGTAAGGAAATTCTCAATGAATGATGGGAACATGTCAAAATGACACAAGAATGAGCTCAAAGAGGATCCCACTGGCCTAAATCTGAGACAGTTCGAATATCAAAATAAATAAATAATAATAATGGAGTATAATTGATCCAATAAAATAAAATCCTTAAGTCCGATATAAATACATGAATGAATAAATTGAGTTTGATCAGCAACAGGGTATTTACAAAGTTTTTGTATGTTTGTTTGTTTGTGTGTTTGTTTTTGAGACGAATTCTCACTCTGTCACCCAGGCTGGAGCACAGTGCCATGATCTCAGCTCACCGCAACCTCTGCCTCCCAGGTTCAAGTGATTCTCCTGCCTCAGCCTCCCATGTAGCTGGGATTACAGGCATGCGCCACCATGCCCAACTAATTTTGTATTTTTAATAGAGATGGGGTTTCTCCATGTTGGTCTGGTCTCGAAGTCTGACCTCAGGTGATCCACCCGCCTTGCCCTCCCAAAGTGCTGGGTGTGAGCCACCGCGCCCAGCCCTTTACACTGTTTAAAGTACCTCCACATGGTTGGATGGATGATGGAAGGATGCACGGATGGATGGATGGGTGGATGGATGGATAGATAGGGGATGCTAATTAAGAGGCAAAGAGTAACTTTACAGCAGAAAAGTCTGGCAAATGCCACTTTATTAAGTGATCACAGCGAACAGGACAAATTAAAATTGTGTGACAGATACATGGAGAATGCAACATCCACCTTTGCAATATCCCTCCCCAAAATGCACAACCTGAGTCTAATCATAAGATGTCATCAGATGAACCCAACTTGAAGGACATTCTACAAATTAACTGGTCCCTAATCTTCAAAAGTGTCGAAGTCATCAAAGTGAAGGAATCATCCTGTCCCTTTGGCTCCTCCGGTCTGGAGGAGGAGGAGTCAGTCTGGGGGAGGTATCTTCCAAACTGGAAGAGCTAAAGGGACATGACCACTAATGTCTCTTAGCAATGCATGATCCTGGCTGAATCCTTTTGCTATAACAGACATTATGAAAACAATAGGTGAACCTTGAGTTGAGGCTGAGGATTAAATGTTGCTATGGACTGAATGCTGATGTGCTCCCAAAATGCATATATTGAAGCCCCAACCCCTAATGTAATGGTATTATTAGGAGTTGGAGTCTTGGGAGGTGATTAGGTTTAGATGAGGTCATCAGGATGGGGTCCTTATGATGGGACCAGTACCCTTATAGAAGAGTATAGAAGACAGCAGGAGTTTTTGTGCCCTCTTCACACCCAACCCTTCCCACCAGAGCCGTGTGAGGATACAGCAAGACAACTATCTGCAAGCCAGGAAGACAGCCCTCACCAGGAACTGGATCACTTGGCACTTTGATCTTGTACTTTCTGCCTTCAGAACGGTGAGAAATAAATATCTGCTGTTTAAGCCATCCAGTCAATGGTATTTCATTACGGCAGCCTAATCTGACTAAGACACATGTTAGTAATGGATCCCTGTAATCTTCCTAAGTTTTTCTAATAATAATGAGGTTATGTTGGTGATTGTTTTCGTAGGAAATACACACTAAAGTATTTGGGGTGACAAAGCATCCGGCAACTTATCCTCAAATGAGTTGGAGAGAAAAAATTTCTTTCCTATTTCTTTTCTTTTCCTTTTTTTTTTTTTTTTTTTTTTGCGGGGGTGGTCGGGACAGAGTCCTGCTCTATCACCCAGGCTGGAGTGCAATGGCACAATCTTGGCTCACTGCAACCTCCGCCTCCCAGGTTCAAGTGATTCTCCTGCCTCAGCCTCCTGAATAGCTAGGACTACAGGCGCCCACCACCACGCCCGGCTAATTTTTGTATTTTTAGTAGAGATGGGGTTTCACCATGTTGGCCAGGCTGGTCTCGAACTCCTGACCTCAGGTGATCCACCCACCTCAGTCTCCCAAAGTGCTGGGATTATGCGCATGAGCCACCATGCCTGGTCGAAAAAATTTCTTTGGGTCCTCCAACTTTTCCACAGATTTTTTATTGAAGATTAAAAAGACAGATGTTAAAGTAAACAAAAAAGATTCAGGAACTATTGTTGCCATGAGCCTTTAATGAAGGCATCTACTGGAGAACAAACTTCAGAATACTAAGAAATGATTAGGCAGGTTCCAGTTTTGGCAAAGGGATAATGGTAAATACTGAGTATATTTAGAACTAGGACAAAATGATGGGGTAGGGGTGCCAGGACAATATATAACGGTGATGTGTTTGATAGTGTAGACAAAATGCAACCATCAAAAATAGTGGGGGAGAATGTATAGAATAAACTCAAGCTGGGCGTGGTGGCACACGCCTGTAGTCCCAGCTACTTGAGAGGCTGAGGTGGGAGGACCACTTGAGCCCAGGAGGTGGAGGCTGCAGTGAGCCGTAATGGTGCCACTGCACTCCAGCCTGGGCAACAGAGTAAGACCCTAACTCTAATAATAACAGTAGTAACAGTAATTAACTTGTTGATTGTCTTATTGCTGTTAACTGAGAGTAAACTAATTTTATTTTAAGTTAGATGCTGGATAAAAGGGAAAAAAAAGAGAGAGGAAGAATTACAAGCTATTTAAAACATTGCTCATGATAGGGAAGCCAACACAGTACCAAAATAGGTAGGGAGGTGGTATTTAGGTTATTATGTAAAGGTATTACTATAAAGATAACCATTAGGAGACAAAACTCCAAGCCTTTCTAAACACCAAAGGGAATATCAAGAGAGACAAAGACAGAGAAAGAAAGAGAGAGCAAGAGAGAGAAAACCAAAACAAAGACACTACAGAGAAACTAAGTGCAGATGTTGCTCCTCTTAGGATGGGGTTACATCCTGATAAGCCCATTCATTGTAAGTTGAAACTGTCGTAAGCCAGAAATGCATTTAACGCATCTAACCTACTGAACAACATAACAGCCTAGCTGACCTTAAACACGGTCAGACACTTCCATTAGCCTACAATTGGGCAAAATCATCTAAAAAGGCTGTTTTATAATAAAGTAAGTGCTGAATATCTCATAGAAGTTATTGAACATTGTACTGCAGGTGAAAAAATAGATTGGTTGTACAAGTACTCAAAGTATGGCTTCTACTGAACGAAGATCACTTTTGCATCATCGTAAAGTCAAAAAATTTAAGTTGATCCAATGTACGCCAAGGACCTTCTGAATACAAAGAAAAGGGTCACTGCACTCAGGCCACCACCTGTCTCAAGCGAGACAGGACAACAAAAATCACTGCTCATGTTCTTCCAAAGCACCACCCCAAGTGTGCCAGACACACCACCAAAGCCAGGTGCCCTGGGAAATAGCCCATGTGACACATGGCAATGGGAAAATGACAAAAGTCCACGTCTCTTTTCAGGAACTAGAGAAAGACTCATCTTCAAAATCAAAACGTCGTGAAAGTTTGGTAAGAGTTTTCTACACAGCTATGATCTATTTTAGGAACAAACACCTTTTCAAGAGAATGCTTTCCAGACAAAGAAGCTGATAGAAAGGGCGGAAATCCTCCCAGGATAGGATCACAAAGGACCCATATAAAAAATTCTTAAAGAAAAATGACGTTACCTTTTCTCTGCCAGAAGGATCCATGCTCTGAGGCTTGTAACAATGTCCGGGTCACCAGAGTATATGTTCACAGTAGTCTTGGCAGACAAGGAAGTTGCAAATTATTTATCTATGAAACCAAAAAATAATATTCCTAAAAATACTGGTTACACTGCTAATTATTTAAGTCTATTTAGCAAACCCATTGCTCTTTATATTTTCTATTTAGGTACTAACATCAACCATTTACACACAGCTGGAAATCTTTTTGAAGAATTAATTATCTAAGAGAGGAAAAAAGGAAAATAGTTTCCTCCCACATTTAAGCAACTAGTATCTTCTCTTCCCGTCTGGTGACCTTGAGGGACAGAAGTTTCCAATAATCTCTGCAAGTGGCCATTCCAGGCACTGACAGGCTCATGTGCTGTGATCCAGTGGGACATCACAGAAGCAAAAGGCTTGGCCCTTCCCGTTCACACCTGTCTTTTGTCCTAGATATTCCAGATAAATACAAACAGGACAAGATCAGCGAAAGACCCATCAGGAGATTACATCAGTGCTACAGGATGGCTAGATAAATCAGCTTTGGGAGTCTGGGGCCCTGGATGGGAGTCCAACATGTCCTAAGTGTGAGGCCTTCACTGGCCTTCACTCTGTCTCAGATTCCTGACCTCGAGACCAGCTTCACGGTCATGCAACTTGCACAGTCACACACGGCCCGTCACTTAGAAGTACCCATCTATGGTGGCTCACTCCTGTAATCCCAGCACTTTGGGAGGCTGAGGTGGGTGGATCACCTGAGGTCAGGAGTTCAAGATCAGCCTGGCCAACATGGTGAAACCCCGTTTCTACTAAAAACACAAAAATAAATTAGCCGGGCATGGTGGCATGTCTGTAATCCCAGCTATTCAGGAGGCTGAGGCAGGAGAATCGCTTGAACTTGCGAGGCAGAGGTTGCAGTGAGCCAAGATTGTGCCATTGCACTCCAGTTCAGGCAACAAGAGCGAAACTCTGTCTCAAAAAAAAAAAAAAGTACCCATCTAACCTCATCTTTTCAGTCAGGTAATCCAGTGGAACTCTGAGTCTATCACCAACAGCCATTGCCCTCAACTCCTTCCCTAGTCCCATTAAACTATCATCACATCCTCCTTACACCAGTCCTGATTTTAAGTCAACACAATTAGCATTGATCTAACACATGCCCTTTGCCAAGCCCTGGAGTAAATACAGAGGATACAAAACTAAGCAAGACAATGTTAGCTGAGTGCAGTGGCTCACATCTGTAATCCACACATTTTGGGAGGTCAAGATGACAGGATCACCGGAGCCCAGGAGTTCAAAACCAGCCTGGGCAACATAGCAAGACCCATCTCTACAAAAAAATTAAAAACTAGGGGTGACAAAAAATTTTTTGTCACAATGTCCTGCAATTGTGACATGCGCCTGCAATCCCAGCTACTTAGAAGTCCAGGCAGGAGGATCATTTGGGTCCTGAAGGTCAAGGCTGCAGTGAGCTGTGATCACACCACTGTGCTCCAGCCTAGACAGCAGGGCAGTACCTTGTCTCTAAAAATAAAAAATAAAATAAAATTTAAAAGACATTTCTCCTGCCTATGACTAGCTCAGGAAGAAAGACAGACATGAAAAACAAATGGGCCGGGTGTGGTAGCTCACACCTGTAATCCCAGCACTTTTGGAGGCCGAGGCAGACAGATCATGAGCTCAGGAGTTCAAGTCCAGCCTGGGCAACACAGTGAAACCCCATCTCTACAAAAAACACAAAAATTAGCCAGGTGTGGTGGCATGCACCTTGTAGTCCCAGCTACTTGGGAGGCTGAAGTGGCAGGATCACTTGAGCCTGGGAGTTCCAGGCTGCAGTGAGCCGAGATTGCACCACTGCAATCCAGCCTGGGTGACAAAGTGAGACCCTGTCTCAAAAATAAATAAATAAAAGCAAATGACTATCACATACTGCAGTAACCACCTAAACAGACATGACTTAAAGATATTGATGGCACAGAGGAGGAAAGGGCCAACTCTGCTAGAGTGATTCAAACAAGCTTCAGACCGATAGAAATGGTATTAGCCGGGTTATTCAAGAGTGATTATAAGTTTGCTAGGCAGTTGGGGTGGGGTGGCAGGGGAAAAGACTAGCATAGGAAAAACCAAGAAGGCATGAAAGGGCATGTCGAGGCCAGACTCAGTGCTTACACCTATAAACGCAGCACTTTGGGAGGCCGAGGCGGGCAGATCACCTGAAGTCAGGAGTTCGAGGCCAGCCTGGCCAACATGGCAAAACCCCATCACTACCCAAAATACAAAAATTAGCCGGGCATGATGGTGCACCCCTGGAGTTCCAGCTACTCAGGAGACTGAAGCAAGAGAATTGCTTGAACCTGGGAGGAGCAGGCTGCAGTGAACTGAGATCACGCCACTGCACTCCAGCCTGGGCGACGGAGTGAGACTCTGTTTCAAAAAAACAGTAAAGGAAAGAAAAAGCATGTGGAGATTGTCAAGCTGGTCAGGACAAACAAAGCTTGTGAATGGTGCACATGGGAAGGATCTGAGAGAGTAGGCCCTGACCACGAGACTTGGGTTCTGTGCTACTGAGCTTAGACTTCATTCAAAGGCAGCAGCAGGGAAGAGGTTCCCTCCAGATTTCAGTTTTAAAATGATCGCTCTGCCAGGCGAGGTGGCTCACGTCTGTATTCCCAGCACTTTGGGAGGCCGAGGCAAGTGGATTACCTGAGGTCGGGAGTTTGAGACCAGCCTGGCCAATATGGTGAAACCCCATCTTTACTAAATATATAAAAAAATTAGCCAGGCGTGTTGGCATGCTCCAGTAGTCCCAGCTACTCAAGAGGCTGAGGCAGGAGAATCACTTGAATCCAGGAGGTGGAGGTTGCAGTGAGCCAAGATTGTGCCACCACACTCCAGCCTAGGTTACAGACAGAGAGACTCCATCTCAAAGAAAAAAAATATAATAAATAAATAAACAATAAAAACAAAAATATCACTCTTGATTGGATGGAGAAGAGCAAGACCAGAGAGATCAGTCAGGAGATTACAACAGTGCTGCAGAGTGGCTAGACAAGTCGGCCCTGGGGGTCTGCAGCCCTGAATTGAACGCAGGTCCATCACATCCTTAGTGTGAGGGCTTCCGAGGTCTGCAATTCCTGACCTTGGAAACAGCTTCATGGACGCGTGACCTGCACGGTCACACACAGCCTGGCACTTCAAAGGGCTCTGTTGTCCGTCTTAAAATTCTTAACAACTTTTAAACAAGAGGACCCGCATTTTCATTTTATAGTAGGCCCTAAAAATTATGTAGCTGGGCCAGGCGCAGTGGCTCATGCTTGTAATCCCAGCACTTTGGGAGCTGAGGTAAGAGGATTGCTTGAGCATAGGAGTTCAAGACCAGCCTGAGCAACATAGTGAGACTCCATCTCCACAAAAATTAAACAAAATTAGCTGGCTATGGTGGCGAGAACCTGTAGTCACAGCTACCCAGGAGGCTGAGGTGAGAGTATCGCTTGAGCCCAGGAGACAGAGGTTACAGTGAGCCAAGATCGTACCACTGCACTCTAGCCTGGGTGATGCAGTGAGACCCTGTCTCAAAAAAAAAAAAAAAAGAAAGAAAAGAAAAGGGGGGATGGGGGCAAATAAGTAAGTTGTAGAATTATTACTAAAGGAAACAAGAGGTTGAACTATTTGAAATCACCATTTCTGTAGTCAAAAATTGCCAAGTATCAGCAATTTCATATGGCTCAACTCAACACTTCTTCAAAATGTAGGTAGTCATTCAAAAGACAACATTATCCAAAAACATGACAGTGGCAAAAAGAACATTACTCATAAAAAAAAAAAAAAAGGAAGTAAATTTAGGAATCTTAAAAGGGCATCGTTTATTACTCTTGTGATCAGAGAAAAATACATAAATATTAATTTTTTAAGTGCAATAATTCCAGAAGAAAGCAAACATATCACTAGAATGGAACAAGAAAAGCAATAAATGAACAAACATCCTCGCAGAAACCATAGCTGAAGAACATATGTATGGGTAAAGAAACAAATACTATAGTAAAAATAGTTTTATGTTTGAATTACAGGCATATTATGGCACATGTGCAATAAGACAAAATGACAATTTATTAAAACATGAATTCTACTTGATAAAAAAGCAAATTAGTGACTGGGTAATTCCTCTATTTATTATTTATTGAGCTAATAACAAATGCACAAAGAAATGAGACAGAAGGTTTTAAAACCTATTGGAGCCCTCTTTGTGGAACTGGGCCAATCAGGATCTTGCAGGCAGTTCTCACTCATGATATAAAAGGCCCTCTGGAGCATTCAGATGGGCTTTTTTAAAAATATACACAGCTGCTTGACACCAGGATGCCACGATGGGGTAGGTTAAATGGCTACCAACAGATACAAAGCCCCCAGCACTTTTTAATTCCTTAACCTTTTTCATTCTAGGTCTAATGATACACTTAGAATGGATGGCAGTGGAGGGATGGGTTTTGACTCCCTCCCCCACCTCAAGAATATTAGCAGATGCAGGAGACGACAATTAAGGTGTCAACATAAGGAAAATCAAAAATAAAAAGTAACCAAAGAGTTTAGATGATTTGGGTCTATCCTCAGAGCTCAATCCCGTCTATCAGAACATTTGATGCAGTGATTTTTCCTTTCTTCTTAAAATACTGTCTCCCTGCGGCTGCTGGCTCACCATACTCACCTGGTTTTATTTCCGTTTTCAAGGACCTCTACCTCTCTGTTTTCCTTGCTGAATCCTCTTCCCCTTCGCGGCTTCTAACTGTTGGAGCTCCCCCAGGGCTCAGTCTGAAGACCTCTTGTCATCCCCCAATACCTGGCGGATTTCATCCGGACCTGTGGCTTTACATGCCACCTCTACTCTGAGTACCGCGCATGTATCTGTCCAGCCCCTCCTGGCACCCTGAGCTCCACACATGCTTAGCAAGCCACGGATGCTGCATTTTCATTTGCATGTGTGATATGGTTTGGATGTGTGTCTCCTCCAAACCTCATATTGAAATGTGATCCCTCATGTTGGAGGTGGGGCTGGGTGGGAGGTGCTTGGGTCGCGGGGGTGGATCCCTCATAAATGGCTTGGTCCTATCCTTGCTGTAATGAGTGAGTTCTCACTCTATTAGTTCACATTGATGTGCAGACACGCAGGTGCCAATGGATTGAGCTGATTGTTTAAAGGAGCCTGGCGCCTCCTCCCCTCTCTCTTGCTCCCTCTCTTGCCATGTGACACATATGCTTCCCCTTCTCTTCCACCATGAAGCTTCCTGAGGCCCCACCAGAAGCCAAGCAGACGCTGTGCCATGCTTGTACAGCCTGCAGAACTGTGAGCCCAAGAAACCACTTTATCAATTACCTAGTCTCAGATGTTCCTTTATAGCAACACAAAATGGACTAATATAATGCCTAATAGGTATTTCAAATTCCATATGATTAAAACAATGCTCGATGCTCCCAATCCACTTCTCCAGTCTTCCCCGTTCACTGATGAGACTTAACACTGGGAGCCATCCATCACAGCCCATCTCCAATTCATCAACAAGCTCTATGACCTCTACCTTCAAAGCGAATCCTGAATCCCACCATGTATCACCATCTCCACAAAGATCATCCCCTTCCAGGCACGACTGTCTCTCACCTGGATCTCTACAATAGCTTCATGACCGTCACCTGCTCCCTACTTACCACCCCGGGGTTCCGAGAAAGCAGCCAGAGTTTTTTCTTTTTCTGTGTTTTTTTGTTTTGTTTTGTTTTGTTTTGTTTTTGAGATGGAGTCTCACTCTGTCATCCAGGTTGGAGTACAGTGGCGCGATCTGGCTCACTGGAACCTCTGTCTCCAGGGTTCAAGCAATTATCCTGCCTCAGCCTCCTGGGTAGCTGGGATTACAGGTGTGCACCACCACGCCCGGCTAATTTTTGTATTTTTAGTAGAGACGGGGTTTCACCGTGTTGGCCAGGCTGGTCTCAAACTGCTAACCTCAGGTGATGCACCCGCCTCAGAGCCTAAAGTGCTCGGATTACAGGCATGAGTCACTGCGCCCGGCATCCTTTTTATAATCAGATCACATCATCATTCTCCCACAGAAGCCCTGCAATGGCCTCCCACCACCCTTGGAACAAACCCCACTACTTCAAGACATGGTAGCATAAATTCTCATAATTACATCAGAGGATGATCCGGCAATGCCGAGTAAACCTGAAGATTAGAACACCTTCTGGCCTCGCTATTCTTTATCCCGGTATCTCCCTGAGAAAAACGCTTGCACAGATTCTGTACAGAGATGTCACTGCAAAACCACTTATCAGAGTGAAAAGGTATAAAACACTGATTGTTCCTCAGTAGAGACATTGATACAAAAATTAAGTTTGTTCCACATGGTAAAATGCTGGCACTAGTCAAAAGAAATAAATTAGATCTAAGCATAGTGTGCTAGAGTTAATGATTCCTGATGTTTGGCCGCTGACAGCTTCCAAGCCACATCACTGGCCCTTTCCCTTTTGCCCACACCCAGGCAAGCCTATAAGAAAGTTTGTGTTCTTTATCCCTTTGCATGGGCAGGGAAGTCTAAACCATGCACACCCCTGCATGGAGCCCTCCCCACCCCACTTCTAACCACACTAAAAAGCAGAGCGCCTCCACCTCCCACCCTCACTTTTTCACTCCAAACCAAATCGAAGCCTTCAAGAAATATTTGTGATGTTGACTATGTGAGCATAGTCACGCAATAAATTGCATTCCATATCCATTGGTAATTGTGTGTCAGCGTAGGCACCCTGACATCCATAAATTCCAGGAGGTGGAGGCAGGGGGATTGCCTAGCGTCCAGCAAGGAATGCTAAATTCCTAAATAATACGTATACCAGGCCAGGTGAGGTGGCTCACACCTGTAATCCCAGCATTTTGGGAGGCTGAGCCAGGGAGAATGCTTGATGCCAAAAGTTCAAGACCAGCCAGGGCAACAGATCACGACCCCATCTCTACAGAAATTTTAAAAAATTAGCCAGGCATGGTGGCATGCACCTATAGTCCCAGCTGTTCAGGAGGTTGAGGTAGGAGGATGGCTTGAGCCCAGGAGTTCAAGGCTGCTGTGAGCCTTGATCATGCCACTGCACTCCAACCTGGGCAACAGAGCAAGATCCTACCTCGAAAAAAAAAATATGAGAGTTAGATAAGCCTCAAAAACATAATGTTGATTGGAAAAAAAGTTGTGACAGGATATCGTATGGTATCGTTTGTGTAATAATCTGTTCTAGTTCTAGGGGTTCTGTTTTGCTTTAAAGTCTATTTTGTCTGCCATTAATCTTTCCTTCAGTGAGAATTTGTTTTATATAACCTTCATCATCATTGTATATTCAACCTTTGTGTATACTGAGACTTTAGATGTGCACCTTGTAATTGGCTTTTTTTTTTTTTTTTTGAGACGGAGTCTGGCTGTCGCCCAGGCTGGAGTGCAGTAGCGCGATCTCGGCTCACTGCAGGCTCCGCCCCCGGGGTTCACGCCATTCTCCTGCCTCAGCCTCCCGAGTAGCTGGGACTACAGGCGCCCACCACCTTGCTCGGCTAATTTTTTGTATTTTTAGTAGAGACGGGGTTCCACTGTGTTAGCCAGGATGGTCTCGATCTGACCTCGTGATCCGCCCGCCTCGGCCTTCCAAAGTGCTGGGATTACAGGCGTGAGCCACCGCGCCCGGCCTGTAATTGGCTAATTTTTTAAATGATGTTTAGAACCCAATCAGATGATTTTGTTTGTTTGTTTTTGTTTTTTGTTTTTTGGGTTTTTTTTTTGTTTTTTTTTTTGAGACAGGGTGTCACTCTGTCACCCAGGCTGGAGTGCAGTGGCAAGATCTTGGCTCACTGCAACCTCTGCCTCCCGGGTTCAAGTGATTCTCATGCCTCAGCCACCTGAGTAGCTGGCATTACAGGAACCCACAACCACACCCAGCTAATTTTTGTATTTTTAGTAGAGACGGGGTTTCACCATGTTGGCCAGGCTGGTCTCGAACTCCTGACCTCAAGCGATTGCCCGCCTCAGCCTCCCAAGGTGCTGGGATTACAGGCATGAGCCACCATGCCTGACTGATTTTTGTTTTTCAACTGGAATATTTATTCACCCTTAACTATAATTTTGTATATAGATACATTTATTCTCACTATTATCCTATCGATGCTTTTTCTCTTCATTTTTGCCTTTTGGGGGGATCTATTTCCTATCTTCTCATTCCATTCTTTTCCTCTACTAGTTAGGCAATTTTAGACTATGTTCTTTAAGCAGTAACACAAGGAATTTCAGCATCCACAACTAACTTATCCAATGTTAACTTCGACTATATATTTACCCTCCTCCCAAACAACACAGGACTTCAGACCACTTTAACCTTAATTACTCCTGTGTCAGATGTATAAGCTATTGCTGTTATACATTTTTATTTTATTTATTTATATTTTTTTGAGACAGAGTCTCACTCTGTTGCCCAGGCTGGAGTGCAGTGGTGCAATCTCAGCTCACTGCAACTTCTACCTCCCAGGTTCAAGCGATTCTCCTGCCTCAGCCTCCCAAGTAGCTGGGATTACAGGCACGTGCTACCACACCCAGGTAATTTTGTATTTTTAGTAGAGACAGGGTTTCACCATGTTGGCCAGGCTGATCTCAAACTCCTGACCTCAGGTGATCCGCCCACCTCAGCCTCCCGAAGTGTTGAAATTACATTAACCCCAAAGCCCTTACTGTTGTTGTACACAGGCATGTTTGTCTGGGTTTACCCACATATTTATTATTTTCCTTATTCTTCCTTTCTTCTTATACTTCAGACTTACAGCTGGGATCATTTTACTTTTATCTAAAATTCATTCTTAGATCATTGCTGTTCAATGGAAATACAACATGAGCTCATGTGTAACTTTAAGTTTTCTGGTAGCAAAATTTTAAAAAATTTTAAAGAAACAAGTCAAATCAATTTTTTTCATTGTCTAAGGTAAATTTATTTTACTGTTTTAAAACAAGCATGCATTTCCAGTTTCCAATATGACAAGGGCAGGCACTTAAAATACACACTCAAAATTAATTTTGAGTCAGGCAAAATTAATTTTAATAAAACAAAAATATCCCATGCCAAAAGCTTGACTCGGTGTATTTTTTCTTAATTAAAACAAAAGTGTCTATGAATTATCTGTGCTCAAAGATTACTCTGTCATTGCTAACAAATTAGTATGCCTCAATTTCCAAGATAAAACAAGAAAGTGTTCTCTTGGGAAACTGTCATATTAACAGACAGCTGTGTGTGAACATAGCAAATGCTGAATTCTGAAGGATTCAGGTCAAACTGACAGCTGACTTTTACTTATGCTAATCAATTTCATGTCCACTCTCTTTATAGGCTTTTAAGCTGTACTATTTACTGTACTGTTTATTGTTATATGCCTCATGGGCAGTCCTCAGATTTTCAGAGGAAACTTTCTAACATCAGAACTCAAGCTTTTAGCCCATTGGTGAGCTAGAGCTGGCTAGCATCAATGTGCAACAACTCATTGTTAAATATCAGGAAGTTTGTGAGTTCAACCATAGGTTGATGCGAAAGTCATTGCAGTTTCTGCTATTGAAAGTAATAGCAAAGACTACAATGACTTTTGTAGCCACCTAAAATGGTTTGAAATTGGCCATGGTGGGAGTATTTCCCCCACGGAACCAGTGAACACTACCAGTCAGGGCTTTTTTATTGATTACACCACTGACACACTATTTTAAATCCCTCCTTATTTGCACTGCTGGTTTCCCATTTCAATTTTTTTTTTTTTTTTTGAGACTTGTTTCTATTGCCCAAGCTGGAGTGCAGTAGAGTAA
The DNA here is from genome assembly GCF_000001405.40 of Homo sapiens. NCBI lineage: Eukaryota > Metazoa > Chordata > Mammalia > Primates > Hominidae > Homo > Homo sapiens. The sequence continues at coordinate 34,071,254 of NC_000019.10, forward strand.
TCTCAGCTCACTGCAACGCCTGCCTCCTGGGCTCAAGCCAACCTCCCACCTCAGCCTCCCAAGTAGCTGGGACTACAAGCATGCACCACCACGCCCAGCTAATTTTTGTATTATTTGTAGAGATAGGGTCTCACTATGTCACCCAAGCTGTCCTCAAAACTCTTGAGCTCAGGCGATCCTCCCACCTCGGCCTCCCAAAATGCTAGGATAACAGGCATGAGCCACCGCACCTGGCCAGTTTTTCTTTTTCAATATTATTTTGGCTATTTAGATAGCTCACACTTTCTGATTTCAAAACTACTGGAACCAAAAAAGTGTGGTACTGGCATCAGGACAGACGTACAGACCAATATAACAGAATAGAGAGCCGAGAAATAAACCGTATATGATCAACTGATTTCCAACAAGGGTGCCAAGACCATTCAATGGGGAAAAGACAATCTTTTTAACAAATGGTGCTGAGAAAACTGGATATTCACATGCAGAGAATGAAATTAGACCCTTACCTTACACCACATACAAAAATTAACTCCAAATGGATCAAAGACCTCTATGTGTGAGCTACAACTATAAAACCCTTAGAAAAAAACAGGGACCAAAAGGAAGAAGCAACCCACATGTCCATCCATAGATGAAAGGACAAACAACATGTGGTCTATACATGCAATGGAATATTATTTGGGCATAAAGAAGAATCAAGTTCTGATACGTATTTTCAACATAGATGAACCTTAAAAACATGCTGAATGAAACAGGGCAGACATACAAGGACACATACTGTATAATTCCACTTATTTGGAATATCTAGAATAGGCAAATTCATAGAGACAGAAAAACAGGGGCTGTGGTGATGGGAGAATGGGGCAGTATTGCTTAATAGGTACAGAGATTCTATTGAAGGTGAAAAAGATGTTTGGAAATAGTGGTGATGGTTGCACACATTGCGAATGTAATTTATGCCACTGAATTGTACACTTAAAAATTGTTAAAGTAGCCAGGCGCAATGGCTCACACCTGTAATCCCAGCACTTTGGGAGGCCGAGCTGGGTGGATCACCTGAGGTCAGGAGTTTGAGACCAGCCTGAGCAACATGGTGAAACCCTGTCTCTACTAAAAAAATACAAAAATTAGCCAAGTGTGGTGGCAGGTGCCTGTAATTCCAGCTACTCGGGCGGCTGAGGCATGAGAATTGCTTGAACCCAGGAGGCAAAGGTTGCAGTGAACCAAGGTTGCACCACTGCACTCCAGCCTGGGAGACAAAGCGAGAGTGTCTCCAAAAAAAAAATTGTTACAGCAATAAATTTTATGTTTATATATATATATATCATATATGTATGTATATATATTCATAGAATCTTTATGTAAAAGCTTATCATTCTTTATTCTTAATATTATTTATCTTGATGCTCAAATTCTCCCAGATCTGGCCAGTGGCAACTCTGCCAAACTGGTTCCTGCATCCTTTGGACGTGGCTATATCATCTTTGAAGACTTCCTTATTTTCTTCTTTCCTTTTTTGCAGCTATATGTATATATACACATACACACACACAATATATATATATAATGGTTCTTTAGGCTGTACAGGAGGCATATATAACATTTTATATATGTACATATATATACATACTTAGATACATATGTACAGGAGGCATATATAATGTTATATATTATATATACATATATGTGTGTATATATATAAAACATTTTATATATGTACATATATGTATATATACTTAGATACATATATATGTACAGGAGGCTTATATAATGTTATATATAATATATAAATGTGTGTATGTGTGTATTATTGCAAAAAAGGAAAGAAGAGCATAAGGAAGTCCTCAAAGACGATATGGACATGTCAAAAGGACACAGGAACCAGTTTGGTGGAGTTGCCACTGGCCAGATCTGGGAGAATTTGAGCATCAAAATAAATAACATTTATAATAAAGAATGAGAAGCTTTTACATAAAGTAAGATTCGATGAATATATACTGAATGATATGGTTTAGATCTGTGTCCCTGCCCAAATCTCATGTCGAATTATAATCTCCAATGTCAGAGGTAGGGCCTGGTGGGAGGTGATTGGATCAAGGAGGTGCATTTCTTATGAATGGTTTAGTGCCAGCCCCTTGGTGCTGTTCTTGTAATAGTGAGTGAGCTCTTGTTAGATCTGGATGTTTACAAATATAGCACCTCTTCTCTCACTCTCGCTCTCTTGCTCCTGCCTTGGAAGACATGCCTGCTCCCCCTTCACCTTCTACCATGATTGTAAGTTTCTTGAGGCCTCCCCAGAAGCGGAAGATGCCAGCATCATGCCCCCTGTACAGCCTGTAGAACCATGAGCCAAGTAAACCTCTTTCCTTTATAAATTGCCCAGTCTCAGGTATTTCCCTATAGCAATGTGAGAAGGGACTAATACACTAATATAAATAAATAAACAGCAGAAATGTATCTAATACACATAGAAAGAATGATGGAATTAGAAAGTCACCATGTGAGGGGCTTAACAGTAACAATTGATTCAGGCAAGAGTGATCAGCAGCCTAAAATGAGTAAGGAAAAGTTTGAGTAACATAATATTTACAGAGCCTCTATGCACTCCCCAGAAGATACTTAATAATTAGAAAGAATGAAGTTACAGTGGGGTGTGTATGTGCATGTGTGCGGGTGCATGCAGGCACATGTGTGTACACAGTCATGCACCACATGCAATGTTTCAGTCAATGATAGACCACATTTTTACCATAACTTTGCTATGTTTAGATATGCTTAGATACATAAATACTTACCATTATGTTACAGTTGCCTGAGCATTCAGTACAGTGCCATGCTGTACAGGTTTAGAGCCTTGGAGCCGTAGGTTATACCACAGAGCCTAGGTGTGGAGTAGTCTCTACCACCTATGTTTGTGTAAGCCCACTCTCTGATGTTCTCACAAAGACAAAATCTTCTAATGACAGATTCCTCAGAAGGCATCCCTTTCATTAAGAGAAGATATCCCTAGCCACCTACCCACCAAACTATCCCTGCAAAACCCTAACCCCCGAGCCTTCGGGGAGACTGATTTGAGTGATAGCTTCAGTCTCCCACGTGGCCAACCTCGCATTAATTAATTTAAGCAACACATGACTATATATCCATCAAGACAGAGAAAGAGAAAAGATAAGACAAATGTATTAGGCAGGCACAGTGGCTCACACCTGTAATCCCAGCACTTTGGGAGGCTGAGGCAGGAAGATTGTATGTATGTATGTATGTATGTATGTATTTATGTATGTATGTATGTATATTTTGAGACAGAGTCTCACTCTGTCGCCCCAGTCTGGAGGGCAGTGGCACAATCTCAGCTCACTGCAGCCTCTACTTCCCGGTTTCAAGTGATTCTCCCGCCTCAGCCTCCTGAGTAGCTGGGATTACAGATGTGTGCCACCATGCTCAGCTAATTTTTGTATTTTTAGTAGAGATGGGATTTCACTGTATTGTCCAGGTTGGTCTCGAATTCCTGACCTCAAGTGATCCTCCCACCTCAGCCTCCCAAAGTGCTGGGATTACAGGCATAAGCCACCATGCCCAGCCATTATTATTATTATTATTAATATTATTTTGAGACAGAGTCTCGCTCTGTCTCCCAGGCTGGAGTGCAGTGGTGCGATCTCAGCTCACTGCAACCTCCACCTCCTGGGTTCCAGTGATTCTCCTGCCTCAGCCTCCCAAGTAGCTGGGATTACAGGTGTGCACCACCATGCCCGGCTAATTTTGGTATTTTTAGTAGAGATGGGATTTCACCATGTTGCCTGGATTGGTCTTGAAGTCCTGACCTCAAGTGATCCTCCCACCTCAGCCTCCCAAAGTGCTGGGATTACAGGCAACAGCCACCATGCCCAGCCAAAAATGTATTTAAAAAAAAATTAGTTGGGTTTGATGGCATACACCGGTGGTCCCAGCTACTTGAGTGGCTGAGCAGTAAAGCATATTGGAGATTTTTTTGTATTAATCTTACAACTTTTCTGTAAGTCTGAAATTATGCCAAAATGAAAAGCTCAAAATAAAAGATAAACTTCAAATAAAGACATTTTAGATAAACAAAGATGGCGAGATTTCAGGATCAGCAGACTTGAACCAATGAACATGTTAAAGTACATATTTTAAGCAGAAAGAAAATGATTCCACATGGAATGTCAGAGATACAAGAAGGGGTGAAGAGGAAAGAAAGTGTTGAGCAGGTCATCAGTGTAAATGAACACCAACTTCATAAAGTACAGCAAGTCCTCAAATCATGTTGTTTCATTATAATGATGAGAAAAAAAATCACTTTCCAGTCTACACATCCTCCCCTTACCTGTGTGGGTTTTCTCCGGGTCCTCTGGTTTCCTCCTGCATTCCAAAGATGTGCATGTTAGGTTGATTGGCATGTGTACAACGTCCCAGTCTGAGTGAGTGTGAAACCACCTTTGCAAAGATGATGGCAGTGAGAGAAGCCTAACATAGCTGACTCCATCTTGCCTCCAGCCTCACAGGCTGGCTGTCCTTGCTCATTCCTGGGCAGAAGCCAGGCTAACCACGGGAGGAATTTATTTGTAGTTTAACTTTAAAGCAAGGATGAAAATAGCCCTTCCCAAAACTAAACTGCCCTATAAAACTAATGAAAGACCACAATGTTAGGATTCCGGGAGGAGCCCAAATTCTGCTAAGATGTAGGCATACTTAAACAATAGCCAGCCATTGTTTTGGAGGTCACAAGATTTGTGCAAGATTTCATAAGATTTGAGTGACTTCCTCAATTACTCCTATAGATAAGATCACTATTGTAGAACCTAAGGTTGGCCTTTCCAGATGATTTTTTGGACTTTCACATTTCTGACGACTGGCTGACTCCACCCAGATGGGGACTCATGACTCAACTGGTCCTGTGGTCCCCATTCAGAGGTGGACTCAGCACACGAGGACAGTTTTCCACACCCCTATGATTTCATCCCCAACCAATCAACATTCCCCATTCCTTAGACCCCTGCCCACCAAACTATACATGAAAAACCCTAATCTCTGAGCCTTTGGGGAGACTGATCTGAGTGATAACTCCCATTCTCCTTTTGGCTGGTCTTAGGTTAATTAAATTCTTTCTTTACTGCAATACCATGGTCTCAGTGAACTGGTTTTTTCTTTGCAGGGGGCAGGAAAAACGCACAGGGCGATCACAAGTATGGGTGTGTGTGTGAGCGTGCCCCCCAGCAGGAGGGCATCTTGTCCGGGGCTGGTTCCTATCTTATGTCCTGAGCTGCTGGGATAGGCCCCAGCCACTGAAACCCTGAACTGGAATAACTGGGTAAATGTTATCTTACTTGTTTTTATTAATCTTTCTCAAATGTATGTATAGCTCACATTTATTTCCATGTTTAATATTAAGAGTATTTTGGTCTTTATTTAGAAGTTCTGTTATATTTTTGTGACCAGAAATATGCCATAGGAACTTAACTCTTGCTTAGATCAATTAGCCTATGGTAAAATTAGTTTCATTATACATCATTTCACTTAAGATAGAAGTTTCCAAGAATCTATTGAAGACTTTAAGTAGGGAATTACCATAATTATAAAAATGCCTCTGGGGGATTTAAATATATATAAAGTAAGACAGACAATAATAATAGCATGTAAGTCATAATGGGAAATAAATGTAGTTAATGTGCTGGAAGGTAAATATATTGTTCAGGTGGATAGTAAAGGATTTGACTAACATTATATTTTCATAAATTTTCAAATAATTTAGACTTCTAGGGTAACCACTACAGGGGAGCAGAGGAGGGTGATAAAAATCATTTTTAAAAAATCCATTCAAAAGAAGTCAAGAGAAAATAAAAAAAATCCAAAAGAAGAGAAGAAGGAAAATGAGACATAGGAATCTTCACTCTACAACTTCCCAGGTGATTCATTCATATACCAACCCATCGTGATGAATTCAAGAAATGTGCTACAATTCTGTTGTTACTAGTAATACCCGTAACTGTAATGCTAATAGTAGCTGTAGCTGTAATAGGTCCATTGTCCAATGCACCCAGCAAGTCAATACACAGAGACATCAGGTTGCAGCAGAGAAAAAGGTTTAATGGTAAGGTCACAAAATGAGGAGATGGGAGGAAACCTCAAATCCATCTCCCTGAGGAATTTGGGGTTAGGGTTTTGGAGCAGGCTAAAGTGTGCAAATTGTTGGTGGATGGAAGAGTGCAGGGTGAACTCCTACTGCAGGGAGAGGAAGAAGCTGTGTTCTCATGCTTATCCCAATCCTTTGTGAGGTCTTCAAATTGGTTGCTAGAATTTCGGGTCTGAAAAACATCTTAAGCCATCCTTAACAAAAGCCTTATGAGTCTAATGTCAGAGATCCTGTCTATAGGAGCAATGGGGTGCCAATGATCAGGATCTAGCACCACATGACTTTCAGCTACAAGGAAGTGGGCCAAAGTGCAGCCTGATTGATGCTTAATTATAACTATACTTCTGTCCATAACCAGACATGCAATTCTTGCCACCCCTGTGAGGATGGTGATATGGTTTGGCTCTGTGTCCCCACCCAAATCTCATGGCTAATTGTAATCCCCATGTGTTGAAGGTGGGACCTGGTGGGAGGTGACTGGATCATGGGGGTGGTTTCTAATGGTTTAGCACCATCTCCTAGTGCTGTCTTGTGATAGCACTCTCACGAGATCTGGTTATTTAAAAGGGCGTGGCAACTCCCCCATCAAGCTCTCTCTCTCTCTCCTGCCTCCATGTGAAGAAGGTTCTCGCTTCCCCTTTGCCTCCTGCCATGATTGTAAGTTTCCTGAGGCCTCCCAGCCATGCTTCCTGGTAAGCCAGCAGAACTGTGAGCCAATTAAACCTCTTTTCTTCATAAATTACCCAGTCTCGGGTAGCTCTTCATAGCAGTGTGAGAACAGACTAATACAGATGGTTTAAATAATTTCTCAGAAATGTTACTAAATCGTATCAGTCCATTTCAAGCCAATAGAAGAAGTTCCTGCCTTCAAATCCAAATCCATCTCATTCATAAACAGCATATTTTAATCTATCTGTTTTTGAAATCTCCCTCTTATTCAATTAATTTCCCTGGCCTCTCTGATATAAACACAGCAGAATGTCCACAAAGCATAGATTCAAAGTAATACTTCATTTCTCACCCAAAAACATACAAAAAATAAAAAGTTTGCAGTGTGATTTGTTGTGTCTTCTTTTTTTTTTTTTTTTTTAATTTATTTTTTTATTGATAATTCTTGGGTGTTTCTCACAGAGGGGGATTTGGCAGGGTCATGGGACATTAGTGGAGGGAAGGTCAGCAGATAAACAAGTGAACAAAGGTCTCTGGTTTTCCTAGGCAGAGGACCCTGCGGCCTTCCGCAGTGTTTGTGTCCCTGATTACTTGAGATTAGGGATTGGTGATGACTCTTAACGAGCATGCTGCCTTCAAGCATCTGTTTAACAAAGCACATCTTGCACCGCCCTTAATCCATTTAACCCTGAGTGGACACAGCACATGTTTCAGAGAGCACAGGGTTGGGGGTAAGGTCACAGATCAACAGGATCCCAAGGCAGAGGAATTTTTCTTAGTGCAGAACAAAATGAAAAGTCTCCCATGTCTACTTCTTTCTACACAGACACGGCAACCATCCGATTTCTCAATCTTTTCCCCACCTTTCCCACCTTTCTATTCCACAAAGCCGCCATTGTCATCCTGGCCCGTTCTCAATGAGCTGTTGGGCACACCTCCCAGACGGGGTGGTGGCCGGGCAGAGGGGCTCCTCACTTCCCAGTAGGGGCGGCCGGGCAGAGGCGCCCCTCACCTCCCGGACGAGGCGGCTGGCCGGGCAGGGGGGCTGACCCCCCCCCACCTCCCTCCCGGACGGGGCGGCTGGCCGGGCGGGGGGCCGACACCCCCACCTCCCTCCCGGACGGGGCGGCTGGCCGGGCGGGGGGCCGACCCCCCCACCTCCCTCCCGGACGGGGCGGCTGGCCGGGCGGGGGGCTGACCCCCCCACCTCCCTCCCGGACGGGGCGGCTGGCCGGGCTGAGGGGCTCCTCACTTCCCAGTAGGGGCGGCCGGGCAGAGGCGCCCCTCACCTCCCGGACGGGGCGGCTGGCCAGGCGGGGGGCTGACCCCCCCACCTCCCTCCCGGACGGCACGGCTGGCCAGGCGGGGGGCTGACCCCCCCACCTCCCTCCCGGATGGCACGGCTGGCCGGGTGGGGGGCTGACCCCCCCCACCTCCCTCCCGGACGGCACGGCTGGCCAGGCGGGGGGCTGACCCCCCCACCTCCCTCCCGGATGGCACGGCTGGCCAGGCGGGGGGCTGACCCCCCCACCTCCCTCCCGGATGGCACGGCTGGCCAGGCGGGGGGCTGACCCCCCCACCTCCCTCCCGGATGGGGCGGCTGGCCGGGTGGGGGGCTGACCCCCCCCACCTCCCTCCCGGACGGGGTGGCTGCCGGGCGGAGACGCTCCTCACTTCCCAGATGGGGTGGCTGCTGGGCGGAGAGGCTCCTCACTTCTCAGACGGGGCAGCTGCCGGGCGGAGGGGCTCCTCACTTCTCAGACGGGGTGGTTGCCAGGCAGAGGGTCTCCTCACTTCTCAGATGGGGCAGCTGGGCAGAGACGCTCCTCACCTCCCAGACGGGGTCTCGGCCGGGCAGAGGCGCTCCTCACATCCCAGATGGGGCGGCGGGGCAGAGGCGCTCCCCACATCTCAGACGATGGGCGGCCGGGCAGAGACGCTCCTCACTTCCTAGATGTGATGGCGGCTGGGAAGAGGCGCTCCTCACTTCCTAGATGGGATGGCGGCCGGGCGGAGACGCTCCTCACTTTCCAGACTGGGCAGCCAGGCAGAGGGGCTCCTCACATCCCAGACGATGGGCGGCCAGGCAGAGACACTCCTCACTTCCCAGACGGGGTGGCGGCCGGGCAGAGGCTGCAATCTCGGCACTTTGGGAGGCCAAGGCAGGCGGCTGGGAGGTGTAGGTTGTAGTGAGCCGAGATCACGCCACTGCACTCCAGCCTGGGCACCATTGAGCACTGAGTGAACGAGACTCTGTCTGCAAACCCGGCACCTCAGGAGGCCGAGGTTGGCGGATCACTCGCGGTTAGGGGCTGGAGACTGGCCCGGCCAACACAGCGAAACCCCGTCTCCACCAAAACCAGTCAGGCGTGGCGGCGCGTGCCTGCAATCGCAGGCACTCGGCAGGCTGAGGCAGGAGAATCAGGCAGGGAGGTTGCAGTGAGCCGAGATGGCAGCAGTACAGTCCAGCTTCGGCTCCGCATGAGAGGGAGACGGTGGGGAGAGCGAGAGGGAGAGGGAGAGGGAGAGGGAGAGGGAGAGGGAGACGGAGAGGGAGAGGGAGAGGGACTGTGTCTTCTAATAATATGCAACATAACAACAAAAAAAAAGCCCAACTAGCAGAATTTAATGTTACCCAATAAATGGGTAATCTAATGGCAATTTAATGTTACCCATTCCTTACACTTTTTTTTTTTCTTTTGAGACAGGGTCCCACTCTGTCACCCAGACTGCAGTGCAGTGGCACAATCACAGCTCACTGCAGCCTTGACCTCCTAGGCTCAAGTGATCCTCCCGCCTCAGCCTGTCGAGTAGCTGGGACTACAGGTGTGTGCCACCATGCCTGGCTAATTTTTGTATTTTTTTAATAAAGACAGGGTTTCATCATGTTGCTCAGGCTGGTCTCAAACTCCTGGGCTCAAGCAATCCATCGGCCTCAGGCTCCTAAAGTGCTGGGATTACAGGCATGAGCCACTGCACCCGGCCATTCCTTACACTTTAAGTGAAATCTTTTAGCTCATTGAAACAGCAAATTGAAGTTACCCCTTAAAAAACCACAAAACAGTTGAGATCACTTGCTGCTAATCCTGATGTTTGGCCTAGAATAGGTGATCAATTCCCAATTTAAAAGTACAGGCAAATAATTAATAAAGAAATTTAAAAACTACAGGCTGTGTAATGAATTTAACTACAGCAAGACACTGACCTCAAGGGCAGTATTATTGTAACTATTTTTAAGAATTACAACACAGAGCTCATTATGTGTCAGTCACATTTCAACTTACAAAATAGCTAACAATGGATTTGACATTAACTTTATAATAAATTTAATCATCATCCCTACAGACAAGGATCTAATTTTACTGCATGTAAAGGGAAAATATACATTGCCATTCTCCTAAAGACCTGATGAGTTATGAGTCTTAAATTTAAATTTGTTTTAGAAAATCATGTCTCATTGCTCCCATACACTTGTGCCAGATGAAGTGAATAGCAAATTATTCCCCAAAGGACATGGACAGACAAAGACAGACAGACAGACACGCATAAACTCACACAGACACTCCTTTACAGCCATGACAAATATAGCTGCATTGTTAAAATGTCACCAATTTTTTTTTTTTTTTTTGAGACAGAGTCTCACTCTGTCACCCAGGCTGGAGTGCAGTGGCATGATCTTGGCTCACTGCAACCTCTGTCTCTTGGGTGCAAGTAATTCTCCTACCTCAACCTCCCAAGTACCTGGGATTACAGGCGCCCACCATCACACCCAGCTAATTTTTGCATTTTTAGTAGAGACAGGGTTTCACCACGTTGGCCAGGCTGGTCTCGAACTCCTGACCTCAGGTGATTGGCCCGCCTCAGCCTCCCAAAGTGCCGGGATTACAGGGGTGAGCCACTGCACCTGGCCAATGATACCAATCTTTTAAGGCTCCACCTTCAATGCTCCCTGGTCCACAATTTCTCAAACTAGATGCTTTCACTGATAAGTTTTCTGGCATTCTCTTTATTCTACATTTGTTCCTTGAGCTCCTGAGAACAGGAACCAGATTTTACTTCACATTGGGTCGTGCCATGCCTTCCCAACACTGACAGTTTGGAAAAAGCAGATTCTCAACAGATTACTATTGGGGACCCTTTAAGCCAATGTGCCAATTCATCAAATTAGTTTGGTTTTTCTACCCAAGCAGAACTCACACTTCTACAATATATGTTTCTTCACTAAAGAATAAAGAGCCGGTTAAGAGAATTCATTTCTTTGGCCCTAAAAGCAGGCACAATGATAACTTAAACTGTTAAGAGAAATAAATCCACAGCCCTAAGCCTTGCTGTTCCTATTATAAGAGCTAAAAACCTAAGCTGTCGCCCTCAGTACCTGCCAAAGCTTCCAACTGGGCCCTGATTTGTGAAGAGCAAAGGCCTTACAGGCGTCTTGTGTGGAAGTCACCAGGTCTTCCCTACCAGCGGGGAGAAATATCTAAGCCAGCCATCCATGGCTGGGTGTTTAAATGATAAAGAAAAAAAAAAAAGAAGAACATTTTGAAAAAATCAAGTGACCAAAACTTGAGAGAATATTATGAGAATATCAAACACAATGGAGCTATTTTAAAAGAAAGCAGAAATCTGGAATAATGAAATCGGCAAGAAGAAAACACTAAGAGCAAAAATACATTTATACATAAGACAACTATTTTTCAAAATTCTTGCTCGGCTTTGGATGTTCTGTTTGCCTCCCAGCTACAAACACATTCTTCACACACGCTGGGAATGCTGCTGAAAACTAGTCAGCATTCAGAGGCTTAATCCACAGTCCCGGCGCTGTGCCTGTGGGCTTCATCGTCAGACAGCCATTTGTCCTCAGGAGAGGTTAGGGGTTGAAATGCAAATATGCAAACAACTGAGTTCTTGCCCTAAAATAGCTGAGAAAAGCATGATCCCTTATGCTATCTTTTAAAAATGGAAAAAGAAGAAAAAAAGCTTACAATCTTAAGGATTTGTTTAAATACCTTAGTATGTTGCAATTTTGAAGGAGAAAATGATGGAAAGGAAGAAACACACTTGTCCTGGGTAAAATCTATAATCTGGAGAAAAGGTTGACATACGTGTGACACTTGATTTACCAGACCCACTAAAGATTTATTGATTTATCAATCACTGCCTCAGGCACTTGATTTCCCCCAAGGGAGAATTAACAATTCCCGCCAACTGATGGATTCTATTGTGAACTAAAATGAATGCAAGAATCTATCCTCTCCCTGTGCACAACCTCCAATTACCAAACAAACAAAAAAAAAGTGTATCTCTCTGTTTGGGGAATCCTTAAAATCCTTAAAATTAAAAATTATTTAACAAAAGAAATACTGTATTAAGTAATTGTCACTGGGCCGGGCGCAGTGGCTCACGCCTGTAATCCCAGCACTTGGGGAGGCTGAGGCGATGGATCACCTGAGGTCAAGAGTTCGAGACCAGTCAGGCCAGCCAGGCAAAACCATGTCTCTACTAAAAATACAATAATTAGCTGGGCATGGTGGCGGGTGCCTATAATCCCAGCTACTCAGGTGGCTAAGGCAGGAGAACCACTTAAACCCAGGAGGCAGAGGTTGCAGTGAGCTGAAGTTGTGCCACTGCACTCCAGTCTGGGCAACAAAGCGAGACTCCATCTCAAGAAAAAAAAATCACCCTTGATGCCAATAGACATTTTTAAAGGATGACTTTAACAAGCTCTAAAGGAGATACGGGCATCACAGAAATGTGATTTCATAACGTGGATAGGAACATGATCTTTTATGTTAAATTACCAGGATTGACTGTAGCCTCCACCACTTACGAGATGTGTTATCTTGGGCTTCTTTAAGCCTCAGTTTCACCATCTATAAAATGAGGAGATACACTTGTCCTTAGGAAAATGAGTAGTGAGGATGAATAGAATGCATCTGGCCTAGCCTCTGACATGCAGTCAGCCTTCCATCTGGCAGTTCCATTCCCATTACTGTCACTCTAAAATCATATGAAGTATAACACTATGGAAGGCCACACAGACAGGCTCCAGGGCTGAAACAGTTCACAGAGTATGACAAAGCGCCCTTAACGCTTTTGCAAGGCTCCTTCAGTGTCAACTAAGTGACAGCTTGAAAAGATGTACTTATTAACTAATATATGGATTAAGCTTTCTTTAATATTACCCACTAATCAGAAAATCTAAATCTATCAGAAGATTCTAAAGCAAATATGAGTAAACTATAGCCTGGGTGTCAAATCTGTTCTACCACCTATTTTTGTAAATAAAATATTATTGAAAGTGTAGGGGCAGAAAGGGGGTAATCCCCTGTAACAAAAGGCAGGTTAACAATAGAAAAGTATAACAAATTTTTTACATGCACACTTATGCAGGGATGTCACAGAAAATATGAAAACTCAAAGAGCCCAGTGAGTGATTATTATTATTATTATTTTTATTTTTAGACAGGATCTCACTCTATTGCCCAGGCTGGAGTGTAGTGGTGCCATCTAGGCTCACTGCAGCCTCGCTCTCCTGGACTCCAGCAATCCTCCTCCCACCTCAGCCTCCAGAGTAGCTGGGACTACAGGCATGTGCCACCACGCCTGGATAATTTTTGTTGTTGTTGCAGAGATGGAGTTTTGCCATGTTGCCAAGGCTGGTCTTGAACTCCTGAGCTCAAGTGATCCACCTGCCTTGACCTCCCAAAGTGCTGGGATTACAGGAGTGAGCCACAGTTGAGTGGAATTTTTATGCTATCCTGAGGCTACAGAAAGAATAAGGGGCTTGGGGCTTCCAGAAGAGGTAGCACACAGGTTATGGGAAAAGGAAAGAAGGAAAATTTGTCAAAGTGGTCTTGTCATGCAAATGAAGCATCACAGGTAGCAGCTCTCAGAAAGAATAGAAGTGGACTGTGGCAAAGTTTCTCTGACAAACCTTTAAACGTGTTAGGCTCTTAGTCTCTTTTTCCTGTGAGCTCATCTTTCCTAGATCTGGAGAAGAGGGTGCTCAGAGAAAGCCTGGCTGCTTATTTCACTAATGTAGATTTTCTCTACAGATGCAAATCTCCTCCACCAAAGACAGCTTTTCAGGGCTATTCTTGTCTGCAGTTTCTCTGAATAATTATCTCAAAATATGCCAAAGAAGTCTATTTTTGGGGTGAAATATTCTGGTTTCCTTCAGAACACATTCCTATATTGTTTATGGCTGTTTGGGTCCTACAATGACAGAGTTGAGTAGCTGTGACCGAAGCCATATGGCCCACTGTTCTCCCCACAGTGAGTGGTGAGGGATGGTGAGGGACAGGAGGCTTTATGCAGACCTCAGGAGAAACTTTTGAAAGGATTGACTCTTACCATTTTGTTGCTGACAGTTCCCTGGGGTGAGAACACAGCAACGCCCTGCAGGGCCACCCCAAGGAAGCAAGCACCAGAGACGGCAGCAGGGAAGGAAAGGGTTAGGCAGGACAAGCAGGTTTAGGATTGGCCAATTTTCATGATTTCAGCAAGCTCTGGGGCTTAGGAGCTATCCCTATCAGATATCAGATATCTGGCTCTGGGCAATTAGGGCAGGTGCATAGTGGCCTAAAGCATGAGAGGTGAGGCAGTTTGGGGTGTAGACTTTGTTTGTTTGTTTATGTGTGACAGGATCTCCCTCTATCACCGAGGCTGGAACGCAGTGACACAATCTTGGCTCCCTGTAACCTCAACCTTCCAGAGTCAGGTGGTCCTCCCACCTCAGCCTCCCAAGTAGTTGGGACTACAGGCATGCACCATCACACCCAGCTAATTTCCTTGTATTTTTTGTAGAGACAGGGTTTCGCTATGTTGCCCGGGCTGGTGTTGACCTCCTAGGCTCAAGCAATCTGCCTGCCTCAGTCTCCCAAAGTGCCAGGATTACAGGCGTGAGCCACGGTGCCCAGCCAAGAAGTATGACTTAACCAGCTGCCTAAGAAGGGGATGTGACCAGCCTCTAGCCAAGGTCTCAAAACTGTGTCAAGGCAGCATTTTTTTAAAAACATATTTCACCCGCGAAGCCAAAATTGTTTACTGTTTGCTGACCCATGGTCCATAAACGAAGTCTAGATATCTGGTTCCAGTTGGAAGTCACAACCCACATCTTAAATGTGCTTTCCACAAATGTTTATGGTGATAACTCACCACAAATGTTTATGGAGATAACTCAGGGAATATAAAATAGGTTAAATTTTCCCACATTGAGAATGAATGAAACATGTCCTAGAAGTCACGGGGTCGGTTCTCAGCCCCAGTCTCAGTCCTGCAGGTCATGGCAAGCCCCACAACTCAGTGGCAGTTCCCAACAGGCCAGGGGTGAGCAGAGTCTATACTGTGGATGTCACCATGGCAATGGAGCCCAGTGGTCCGAAGTCAGACAAGCCCATGTTCAAATGTTAGTTCTACCACTTATCAACAGCATGATCTTGAGCAAGTTACCTATATTGGTTATCTGCTGATGCATAACACACTATGCCAAAACCTAGTAGCTTAAATAATTGTCATTTAACATCTCCTGCAATGTCTAAGGATCAGGAATCCTGGGGCAGCTTAGCTGGGTGGCTTGGGCTCAGAGTCTCTCAGAAGGTTGTAGTCAAGGTGCCAGCCAGGGCTACCACCAACCATCTGAAGGCTCAAATGGGGTTAAAGAATCCACTTCCAAGTTCATGCATGGGTAGTTAGCAGGTGATAGGGTTTGGCTGTGTCCCCACCCAAATCTCATCTTGAATTGTAGCTCCCATAATCCCCACGTGTTGTGGGAGGGACACAGTGGGAGGTAATTGAATCATAGAGGTGGGTCTTTCCCTTGCTGTTCTCATGGTGGTGAATAAGTCACATGAGATCTGATGGTTTTATAAACAGGAGTTCCCCTGCACAAGCTCTCTCTTGCCTGCCGCCATGTAAGACATGCCTTGCTTCCCCTTTGCCCTCTGCCATGATTGTGAGGCCTCCCCAGCCATGTGAAACTGTGAGTCAATTAAACTTCTTTCCTTCATAAATTACCCAGTCTTGCGTATGTCTTTATTAGCAGCATGAGAACAGACTAATACAGCAGGTCTCAATGCCTCACTGGCTGTTAGGCAGAGGTCTCTGTTTCTTATCCCATGGGTCACTCCATGGGCTGCTTGAGTATGCTCTCAATATGGCAGCTGACATTCCATAGGACAAGTGATCTGAGGGAGAGAGAGAGAGAGCACGCAAGACAAGACAGTGCTCAAGAAGGAAGCCAGTCTTTTATGCCTAATCTCATAAGAAGGACAGCCTCACTTCTGCTGTATGTAATTGGTCCCACAGGTTAACCCTGGTACAAGATGGGAGGGGACTACATGAGTATGTGAATACCAGGAGGTGGGGATCATTGTGGGGGGCTGGCTGTGCATTACCTTTATTTAAGCTTCAGGTCAGGCTGGGTGCAGTGGCTCATGTCTGTAATCCCAGCACTTTGGGAGGTCAAGGCAGGCAGATTGCTTAAGCCCAGGAGTTTGGACCAGCCTGGCAACATAGTGAGACCCTGCCCAGAAAAAGAAAAAAAGCTTTAGGTCTACCATTTATGAAGTTAGAATGATAATGATAATAGTACCTGGTTTATAAGGTTTAAATGAGAAAGTGCTGGCCGGGCGTGGTGGCTCACACCTGTAATCCCAGCACTTTGGGAGGCCAAGGCAGGCAGATCATGAGGTCAGGAGATCAAGACCATCCTGGTTAACACGGTGAAACCCCGTCTCTACTAAAAATACAAAAAATTAGCCGGGCGTGGTGGCGGGTGCCTGTAGTCCCAGCTACTCGGGAGGCTGAGGCAGGAGAATGGCATGAACCCGAGAGGTGGAGCTTGCAGTGAGCTGAGATCGCGCCACTGCACTCCAGCCTGGGTGACAGAGCAAGACTCTGTCACAAAAAATAAATAAATAAATAAATAAATAAATAAATAAATAAATAAGAAAGTGCAGTCAAGCCCACTCACAGGGCTTGGCACTCAGTGAAGCATTCTGTAAATGCTTGCAATTATTATCTACCTCACTGTGGCCACTCCTGCCACTACCACTTCCATAATAATAACAAAAGGGTAAGGGGAACCCTTCCGCATCACAGGGAAGTTTCCTGTCCTTGGCCACTTCTGGGTGAGCTCTCTTTCCGCTTTACAAGGGCAACCGTAACTGTCTGAAAAAATAAACCTCCAACAAATTCAAACTAGTCTCTTTTTCTCTCACCTTGACCTAAAATCTTTGAAACAGACACCCACATAACTCCTCTAGAAAGGCAAACCCAAAAATTGTCAGAGTAAAAAATTCAATGACTTAAGATAAAGGGGATTATTTCCTTAGAAATAAACTCATTTAAGAAATTGTAGAAACTTCAGACATATCAATTTCAATATTCAAGGACATCACTCATTCAACAAATATTTACTGGGCATGTGTTATACATCAGGCATGGCTCTAGGAGCTGTATAAACAACCTGGAATTTAACAGATGAAATCTCTGCCCTTAGAAATTTGCAGGCTAGTGGGAAATAAACAAATAGGTTTTAAAAAAATAAAAAATAGAGTATGTTAGCTGGTATTGAGTTAGAAGCTGGTAATGAGTTAGATAAAAAATAAATAAAGGCCAGGCAGGCTGCTCACTCCTGTAATCCCAGCACTTTGAGAGGCCAAGGCAGGTAGATTGCTTGAGCTCAGGAGCTGGAGACCAGCCTGGGCAATATGGCGAAATCCTGTCTCTACAAATAAATAAATAAACTAATTAAGTAATTAATTAAAGATGGAAAGTGGATGGGATGATGTTAAAATTATCAATAGATGATCAAAAAAAGTTTCACTGTCATTTGCACAAAATCCAAAAGGAGGTGACAAGATGAGCCATGAGGATATGTCCTGAAAGGGTCAAGTGCTTGGCCTTCAGAGAAGAGCAAGTAGGCCAATGTGTCTGGAGTCCAATAAGGCTAGGGTAGAAATGGTGGCAGAGAAAGTTAGAGAAGTAGATTGGGGGATGCAGAATCAAGCGCAGTCTTGTAGGCTGTTGTAAGGACTTGGACTGGGTCCTTACAACAAAGAGGCACCATTGGCAAAAGAGGCACCATTGGGTTTTGAGCAGAAATGTGACATAATGTGATTTACGTTCTAAAAGCATTACTCTTAGACAACTAAGGGGAGTGAGGACAGAGGCAGAGAGAGCCATCAGGAGGCCACTATGAAAATCCAAGTGAGGAATCATGGCAGCTTGAAAAGGATGGCAAGACAGAAGTTGTGAACCTTGGTCAGGTTCTGGATTTGAGTGGGAGAGTCCAGAGTCTGTTAATGAAGTCTATGTGAGCTGTGTGGTAAAGAGAAGAGTCGCGAATAGCTTTGAATTTTTTGTTTGCTTGTTTGTTTTTTGAGACAGTCTTGCTCTTTCTTCTAGGCTGTAGTGCAATGGCATAATCACGGTTCACTGCAGCCTCGACCTCCCTGGCTCAAGCAGTCCTCCCACCTTAACCTCCCAGGTAGCTGAGACTACAGGCATGTGCCACCACGCCTGGCTAATTTTTATTTTTTGTATTTTTTGTGGAGACAGAGCTTCACTGTGCTGCCCAGGCTGATATCGAACTCCTGGGCTCAAGCGATCCTCTGACCTTGGCCTCCCAAAGTGCTGGAGTTGCAGATGTGAGCTGCCACACCCGGCTGCTTTGAAGTTTTTGACCTGAGCAGCTTAAAGAATGCAGTTGCCATGTACAGAGATATAAAGAGGTATGGAAAGAGCAATGTGGTTGCCTCAGGAGTACAGTGTGGGACATACTGAGTTTGAGATAAGATAACCGTGGGACATCCAAGTGGGATGTAAGGAGACAAGTGATAGACAAGTCTGGAGCTCAGGGGAGAAGTCTGAACAGGGGATATAAAGTTGAAGTTTCCATGATTTGAGAAGATATTTCCATCATTAGAAATGATAGTTAAAGTCTTGAGGCTAGGAGTAAGTGCAGACAGAGAAAAGACCTAAGATCTAAGCCCTGGGGCACTCCAGCATTTAGAATTGGGAGAAATATGGCCGGTCACAGTGGCTCACACCTGTAATCCCAACACTTTGGGAGGTCAGGGTGGGCAGAGCACTTGAGGTCAGGAGTTCGAGACCAGCCTGGCCAACATGGTGAAACCCAGCCTCTGCTAAAAAATACAAAAAAGTTAGCTGAGCATGGTGACACGTGCCTGTAATCCCAGCTACTTGGGAGGTTGAGGCAGGAGGATCACTTGAACCCGGGAGGCGGAGGTCACAGTGAGCCCATATCATGCCACTGCCCTCCAGCCTGGGCAACAGAGCGAGACTCCATCTCAAAAAAATAAGTAAGTAAAATATAGTTGGGGAGAATAAAGAGAAAACAGCAAAGGACTCTGAGCAGTGACCAGTAAAGTCGAAGGAAACCCAAGAGAGTGGCATGTGTAAAGCCAAGTGGAGAAATGTTCTCCAGAAGGGAGTGACGAGCTGTGTCCGATGCTGTTGGGGTGTCAAGTACCATGAGCAAGTGAACTGAACAGGTGCAGGGAGGTCACTGGTGACCTTGATATGAGAGGTATTGGAGGAGTGGTGGAGGTGACGCCCCACTGGAATGGGAGGAGAACTGGAGACAGTGAAGATGGATAACTCAAGGATTTGGGCCATAAACAAAGCAGAGAAATGGATGGTAATTGGAGAACATGGTGCAATGAAAGGAATTCACTCATGATCCACATAAGCTAATGGGAATATTCCAGTAGAGAAGGAAATATCCGTTGATGGTGCAGGAAAGAAAAGAGGGAATTGCTTCAGTGGGTCCTTGAGAAGGCAAGAGGGGAAAGGATCTGGCGCCTGGTCAGGGGCGGGCCTCAGACAAGAGCCAGAAAGTCCATCTACAGTAACAGGAGCAGCGTGCCTGGGCACAAAGGCAGGAACATGGATAGATGTGTCCCACCATGCTCCGGCCCTCCCTGCTGCACTGCTGATCAGGCAGGTTGTAATTACCACCCTGTGTGTCTGCCTGTGTCTCCAAGACCTATGAGAGAGAAAGACCATGTAGGTCAACATCGCACTTTCAGTGCCCAGGACAAAGCCTGGTGCAGAGCAAGCACTCAACAAGTATGGTGAATGGCTCCTTGCAAAACGAGACAATATCGATCTTACCTGGCAGATATTAAAAAATCATAAAGGTAGAAATTGTAATGCAATGTGGCAATGGCACAAGACAAAACAGACAGATCAATGGAACAGAATTTAAAAACTAAAAAACGCCGGGTGCAGTGGCTCACGCCTGTAATCCCAGCACTTTGGGAGGCCGAGGTGGGTGGATCAGTTGAGGTCAGGAGTTCGAGACCAGCCTGGCCAACATGGTGAAACCCCGTCTCTACTAAAAATACAAAAATTAGCTGGGCATGGTGGCACATGCCTGTAATCCCAGCTACACGGGAAGCTGAGGCAGGAGAATCACTTGGACCCAGAAGGTGGAGGTTGCAGTGAGCTGAGATCACACCACTGCACTCCAGCCTGAGAGACAGCGTGAGACTGTCTCAAAAAAAATAAAAAATAAAAATCTGGCCCGGCACAGTGGGTCATGCCTGTAATCCCAACACTTTGGGAAGCTGAGGCAGGAGGATTGCTTGAGCCCAGAAGGTGGAGGCTGCAGTGAGCCGTGATTATGCCACTGCATTCCACCGTGGGCGACAGAGTGAGACCCCGCCAATAAGCAGTAATGGCATAAAATGCTTAACAAATGCTGTCAATACAACCTGATACAATAATACAAATATTCAGGAAAAATAATGTTTGCTATGTCATATGACACACAAAAATGAATCACCAGCCGGGCATGGTGGCTCACGCCTGTAATCCCACCAATTTGGGAGGCCGAGGATCACTTAAGGGCAAGAGTTCAAGACCAGCCTGGTCAACATGGTGAAACCCCCACCCCCAACCCATCTGTACTAAAAATACAAAAATTAGCTGGATGTGGTGGTGGGATTACAGGCATGAGCCACCACGCCCAACCAGAAAGTGGTTTCTTGAGATGGAATCTGCTCCTGGTGAAGATGCTATGAACATTGTTGAAATGACGGCAAAGGATTTCAAATATTCCATAAACATAGTTGATAAAAAGGTGGTAGTGTTTGAGAGGATCAACTCTAACTTTGAAAGAAGCACTATATGCAATGATATCACACAGCACTGCATGCTACAGAGAAATATTTTGTGAAGAAGCCCATCGGTGTGGCAAATTTTATTGTCTTATTTTAAGAAATTGTCACCCCAGCCTTGCAACAACTGCCCTGATCAGTCAGCAACCATCAATATCAAGGCACGACCCTCCACCAGCAAAAAGATTATGACTCGCAGAAGGCTCAGAGAGATGGTTAGCATTTTCTAGCAATAAAGTATTTTTACTTATTTTTTTAATCATGCCATATTATTTTAAATTACATACGAAGATCTAACATGTCACCCACAGACCATTTCATCCACTGCTCTGTTTGGCTGCAGTCTCTTGTCTCTCCCTTCAGCAATGGTGAAGCGGATACCCTTTCCTCGGGGAAGAGAAATACATGGTTTGTTGCCCTTGTCAATAACAAAAATGATGGAAAAGCTGTTGCTGTTGGCATCTTTCACGTGAATCGTGTCAAAAGATCCAGGGTGCCTCTCTCTATTGGTGATCACACCAATTCTTCCCCAGTTAGCACCTCCAGTCACCAAACACAGGTTACCAGTGTCGAACTTCAAAGCAGTGATGTTGCCAGTCTCCAAATCAATCTGAATGGTGTCGTTCACTTTAATGAGGGAATCAGGGTGGCGGATAGTGTGAGCATCGTGAATCACCAGGTGAGGGGTTCCTTTTGTGCACACAAAGATTTTTCTCATTTTGCATAACTTGTACTTGACTTCCTCAGGTGTAACACGATGTACAGCAAAGCGACAATTGATGCCATAGATCAGACGGAAACCCTCTCCCGTCTTGTCAATGCTGATGACATCCATAAATCCAGTAGGGTAGGTTATATCAGTTCGAACCTTGCCATCTACCTTAATGAACCACTGCATGCAAATCTTCTTCACTTCATCTCCTGTCAGGGCATATTTAAGTCTGTTCCTCAGGAAAATATGAGGGAGACACTCTCTCAGCTTTTGGGGACCAGTGGATGGACGAGCAGCAAACACACCAGTCAATTTATCCAGCATCCAACGTTGTGGAGCTGCTACCCGCTTCAGATGCTGCTTGGGACCGGAAGCCACAGCTGTAATAGGCACAGAAAGAGGACCTCCCATCTTCTATGCACATAGAAACTGGGAACCAATAAAGTATTTTTACATTAAGGTATGTAGGCCAGGTGTGGTGCCTCACGCCTGTAACCCCAGCACTTTGGGAGGCCAAGACGGGTGGATTACTTGAGGCCAGGAGTTTGAAACCAGCCTGGCCAACAAGGCGAAACCCCATCTCTACTAAAAATACAAAAATTAGCCGGGCATGGTGGTGCACGCCTGTAGTCCCAGCTACCCGGGAGGCTGAGGGTGGAAAATTGCTTGAATCTGGGAGGCGGAGGTTGCAGTGAGCCAAAATCACACCACTGCCTTCCAGCCTGGGCAACAGAGAGAGACTCCATCACAAAAAAAAAAAAAAAAAGAATAAACATATGAAAGAAAGTTTAGCTATTGTATTAGTCTATTCTCATACTGTTATAAAGAAATACCTGAGACTGGGTAATTTATAAAGAAAAGAGGTTTAATTGGCTCACAGTTCTGCAGGCTGTACAGGAAGCATAGCAGCCTCTGCTTCTGGGGAGGCCTCAGGAAGCTTCCAGTCATGGCAGAAGGCAAAGGGGGATGGAGGCATCTCACATCGTGGCAACAGGAGCAAGAGGGAGGTGGGGGAGGTGCCACACACTTTAAACAACAAAATCTCTCCAGAACTCACTATCATGAGGACAGTACCAAGAGGAAACCCATCCACATGAGCCAATCACCTCCTACCAAGGCCCCACCTCGAACACTCGTGATTACAATTCAACATGAGATTTGGGTGGTGACACAGATCCAAACCATATCAGCTATAGTAATAATAAAATTGCAAATTCAAATAACTTGATTCAAGTCTTGCAATGCCCCCTTCTCAATTAGGCTTACCTTGGTTTCTCTAATTAAAACTGCAACCCTTGGCCAGGCACAGGGGCTCACACCTGTAACCCCAGCACTTGGGTAGGCCAAGGCAGGAGGATCACTTGAACCCAGGAGTTCGAGACCAGCCTGGGCAACATGGTGAAACCCTGTCTCTACAAAAAAAATACGTCTGGGCTTGGTGTCATGGGCCTGTAGTCCCAGCTACTTAGGAGGCTGAGGCAGGAGGATCACTTGAGCCTGGGAGATGAAGGTTGCAGTGAGCTGAGATCATGCCACTGCACTCCAGCCTAGGTGACAGAGCAAGACCCTTTCTCAAAAAATAAAAATAAAAATGAAAACTGCAATCCTTGGCCAGGTGTAGTGTCTCACACCGTTAACCCCAGCATTTTGGGTGGCTGAGGCAGGAAGACTGCTTGAGCCTAGGAGTTAGAGACCAGCCTGGGCAACACAGGGAGATGTCACCTCTACAATAAATTTAAAATTAAAAAACTACAATCTTCTCCACTCCCTACTCCTTTAACTTGCTCTGTTTTTTTTTTAACTATAGCACTTTTTGCTTTCTAAAATGCTAAAGGATTTACTTATTTATAACATTTATCATGTATGTACATGTCCTCCACTCAAATATAAGTTTCATGAGATCAGAGGTTGTTTTTTTCAATAATCTATCCCAAGCACTGAGAATATGCCTAGTACATGGTTAGTAATCAATATCTATGTGTTGAATGAATGCAGCAGATTGACAAAATAATAATACCCACGGTAGGCAAGAGTGTGAATAGTCAGACTCATGTACTGTTAACAAGAGAGTAAACTGATTAAATGAACTATATACATTCATACTCGAACATACTAAACAACCATTGAAAGTGATATTGTGCAGTGTGGCAAAATACAATTACACTCTGTTCCCCAGGCTGGAGTGCAGTGGCGCAATCACTGCCCCCCACCGTCTGGACCTCCTGGGCTCAAGTGATCCTCCCACATCAGCCTCCTGAATAGCTGGGACTACAGGAGCAAGCCACCATGCATTGTTAATTTCTTTTTTTTTTTTTCATTTTGTAGAGATGGGGCCTCACTAGGTTGCCCAGGCTGGTCTTGAATTTAGAACTTTTTAGTAAAGTTCCCATCACATTATCATGGGAATAATACAAATTATAAAATAGCATGTACAATCTGTTTCCAAGGAAAAAGTGTGTACAACAAAATCTTATCTATGAGGTGAGATTACAAGTTGTTGTTTTTGTTGCTGTTGTAAGACAGAGGCTCGCTCTGTCGCTCAGGCCAGAATACAGTGGCACCATCCTAGCTCACTACAGCCTCGAATTCCTGGGCTCAAGCAATCCTCCTGCCTCAGCCTCCTGAGGAGCTGGAACTACAGGTGTGCGCCACTGTGCCCAGCTAATTTTTTTTTATTTTTTGTAGAGACAGGGTCTTGCTATGTTGCCCAGGCTGGTCCCAAACTCCTGGGCTCAAGCAATCCTCCCACCTCAGCTTCCCAAAGTGCCGGGTTTACAGGTGTGAGCCACTGCATCTGCCCTGCCACATTTATTTTCTACAATGAATATGTGTTAGATGTATAGCAAGCAAGGGAAACATTTTTTAAAAGGAGAAAATAGAAACTACCCGGTTAATACGCATAGGCTTTCCTGTTTTAACAAGGATATCGGAAGAGTAAGAACATATTTTAGAAGATTCACTCTGCAGTTACATTAAATGGAAACCAGCAAGCAAAGAGAAATGGGTAACCAAATGTAGGCTATTTAAATGTCCTCTCTATTGTCTGTAGTTTTTAAACTGCAAAAAGTAAAAGTGTGTATGAAATAAATTGTATGAAAGTTTCTGGATTTAAAAAGCCCATTCTCTTCTCAGGAAGACCCGGATATCCTTCTGGAAAGAAATTCACGAATTCTGACCATCCTTGAAGCCAAACTCAAGCCCGCTGGCCTCACACGAATCTGCCTGTTACTCCTTAATAAGACAGGACTTCCTTTGGGCTTGGGCTGGGATCAAATGGTGCTGTGTGAAAGCCACCCATTCCTGCCAATCACACAACCCCTGTAAACAGCACGGCTTATTGTGAAAATTAATTCAGGGAGCTTAAACTCCACCGAACAGAAGGGTTTAAAAAGAAAAGAAAAAAAATTCCCGTGGTTTAGAAAATACTAGATGCATTATGACCTTCGGTATGAGTCCCAGGCTATGTGCATTATACCGGCAACACCCGGGAAAACATAAGCTGTCTTTTTTAATCCATCAGATAATTACACCGACTACAAGGACATTTTGGCAACTACTAGAAAATACTGCCCTCTGGTGTTAAGGTCATTCCACACTGATTAACACAACAAAAAGGAAAAAAAGAAAAGCCTTTCTTAAATACAAAAACCACTACCTTCAGGGACTTATGTTTTTGACTTGCAAAAAATCTGAACACAAAATCCCAAAGGATTTTACGGGTATATATTGTGGACACCTTCCCCACTGTGCCCGGAAAATACCTACTAATGTTATTACAAGCTGTCTCAGTCAATTCATGTCAGAGGATCTCCTCTCCAAGAGCTATATTCAGCTGTCTCTTGAACAAAACAAAACCAAAAAGTATTTTCAAGAGCTTCTGTGGGGGAGAAGTTTCTGGAAAATAAACTAAAGATTATTTTCACAGAAAATTTTCTACTAATCCTGGTAGGAAGAATAGAAAGAAGAGCAATATTACGATATTTTATATATTATAGAAGTCTTTAAAAATGTGAGACAATTTTTATGAAAAACAAAATAGCCACATTAATAAAGAAGCTGGCAATCATTGGCTTTATATTGATCATCTTATTCCTGCTTAAAGGTACTTCAAGAATAAGATAGAAAGGAGGTTCTGTCGTAGCTCTCCGCTATAAGAAAATAAAACTTTAAAAGGGTGGGGCGTGCCGTTCTGATGGTTACACACACAAGAATTGCATGCACAAATTCAGCAGTCTTGGCTGGGCATGGTGGTTCACACTTGTAATCTCAGCGCTTTCAAGCCAAAGCCACCATGCCCAGCCTTTTTTTTTTTTTTTTTTTTTCAGATGGGATCTCATTCCGTTTCCCAGGCTGGAACGCAGTGGCGCAATCTTGGCTCACTGAAACCTCCACCTCCTGGGCTCAAGCGATTCTCCCACTTCAGTCTCCCTAGTAGCTGGGACTACAGGTGCCCACCACCATTCCTAGCTAATTGTTTTTTGTATTTTTGGTAGAGATGGGGTTTCACCATGTTGCCCAGACTAGTCTCGAACTCCTGAGCTCAAGTGATCTGCCCGCCTTGGCCTCCCAAAGTGTTGGGATTACAGGCGTGAAGCCACCATGCCCAGCCCATGATCTTTTGTAGAGATGGAGCCTCACCGTGTTGCCAATAAAAGAAACCAAAGTTCCATGGAGAAATGACCGATTCTAAGACTGGGGCAGGAAATACACAGGATAAGCCAGGAGCACCTACTAGTACCAGAAAGTAGGAAAGTGCTCAAAACAAACAAACCAAAAAAAAGCCCACATCAGTGGGGAGACGTCAAAGGGTCACAGGATCCAACTGAAAGAGATCCCAATAGTCAAAACTGGAACAACTTGAGTAACAAAATAAAATAGATTGGATCATAACCCAAAGCATGGAATAAACACCCATGAGTCCACACTGATATTAATGATTGAATAAATAAATGCAGTTCTCCTTCCGCATCCACTGCAAATTGGTTCCGGGACCCCCATAGATACCAAAATCCATGGATGCTCAAGTCCTTTATATAAAATGGTATCGTATTTGCACATAACCAGGACACATCCCTCTGTACACTCTAATTATATTTAGATTACTTATAATACCTAATACAATAGAAATGCTAGGTAAATAGCTGTTCTGTGTTGCTTGTTTTATTTGGTTTTTGTTTTGGTTTGGTTTGGTTTTGGTTTTTTTGTTTTTTTGTTTTTTGTTTTTTGTTTTTGAGATGGAGTTTCGCTCTTGTCACCCAGGCTGGAGTACAGTGGTGCCGTCTTGGCTCACTGCAACCTCTGCCTCCTGGGTTTAAGCGATTCTCCAGCCTCAGCCTCCTGAGTAGTTGGGATTTCAGGCACCCACCACCACGCCTGGCTAATTTTATATTTTTAGTAGAGATGGGGTTTCACCATGTTGGCCAGGCTGGTCTCAAACTCCTGACCCCAGGTGATCCACCCGCCTCGACCTTCCAAAGTGCTGGGATTACAGGCGTGAGCCAGTGTCCCCGGCCAGTTTGTATGAATTTTTACTGGGTTTCTTTCCCTAATATTTTTTATCTGTGGTTGGCTGAATCCACGATGTGGGATCAGAGAATACAGAGGGCTGAGTGTAGAAGGGGGAGAAGAGACACGTCTTCCATGCGGAAGAAGTTCAATGAATTCTCACAGATACTCCACCCCCACAGAGGTGGAGCATAACTCCTCACTCCTGAAGTGTGGCCTGCATGTAGTGACTTCCTTCCAAAAATGGGAGAAGAGTAACTTTACAGTAGAGAAACCTGACCAACACTATCTCTGGCAGGTGATTAAGGTCAATGCCAACAGTGATAAGTCATATTGATAGTACGGTCATGCACTACATCATGACATGAGTTATATCATTATAATCATGGTGAGTTGTATAATTACTTCATCATATATTACAATGTAATCATAATAGAAATAAACAGCACAATAAATATAAAGTGCTTGAATCATCCCCAAACCATCCCTCAACCCCCACCCTAGTCCATAGAAAAATTGTCTTCTGGTCCAGCGTGGCTCACACCTGTTATCCCAGTACTTTGGGAGGCCAAGGTGGGTGGATCACTTGAGGCCAGGAGTTCAAGACCAGCCTGGCCAATATGGCGAAACCCCTCCTCTATTAAAAATACAAAAATTAGCTGGACATAGTGGCGCACACCTGTTATCCCAGCTGCTCGGGAGTCTGAGGCACAAGAATTACTTGAACCTGGGAGGCAGAGGTTACAGTGAGCCAAGATCTGCCACTGCACTCCAGCCCGGGTGACAGAGTGACACTCTGTCTCAAAAAAAAATAGAAAGAAAGAAAAATCATCTTCAATGAAACCGGTCCCTGGTACCAAAAAGGTTGGGGACTTCTGTGTTAAGGGATCTGCTTCATTGAAAGCGATGAAACTAACAAAAATTCATGGAAGTTCTCTATCAGATGCAGAGAAACTTCTAATGACCTGGATTGAAGACCAAACACAGACACATATCCCTCTCAGCACCGTGACAATCACCACCAAAGCAATGTCGGTTTGCAAGGTTGAAAGCAAAGGCTGGACCTGACTGTGGTGTTGAATTTACTGCTCTGGGTATTTCAAATGATTCAAGAATCCTTACTCCTTACATAAAGTGCAAGTTAGTGGTGAGTCTGTGGGTGCTGTTGTGAAGGCAGCAGAAGAATTTTTGGAAACTCTGGATGAGCTGATTGTGGAGGAAAATTACTTGTCACAGCAAATCTTCAATATGAATGAAACCTCCCCATTCTGGAAACGAATGCCTGAAAGAACTTTCATTCATAAGGAAGCCAAGTCAATGTCAGGTTTGAAGACTTTTAAGGACAGAGCAAGTCTTGCCTGGCAACAATGTTGCAGATTACAAACTGAAACCCTTTATGAGGACCCCAGGGCCTTCAAGCCTGTCAATTAGCACACACAGCCAGTGCACTGCAGGAGCAATAAGAAGCCACAGATGACCCAGCTCCTCTTCCAAGAGGCCCTCCTGAATTACTCTGCCAGTGAGATGGAGAAGTACTGTTTGGAGAATAATATATCTTTCAAGATTGGCTTATTGATAATGCTCTTCTTCTTCTTTTTTTTTTTTTTTTGTCATTTTCATCTCAATATCAAAGTGGTGTTTCTCCCTCCAAATACCACCTCTTTGATCCAACCAATGCATCAAGGAATTATAACAGCTTTTAAGACTATTACCTAAGGAGGACTTTTGCCCAGGCTGTTGCTGAAACTGAGGAAGACCCTGAGAAGACATGGATGTAATTTTGGAAGGATTACAACATCTATTACTGTGTCAAGCACTTTGAGCTTGGGCTTGGGGTGATGCCACCGAGGAATGTATGAATGGCATCTGGAGGAAGACACTCAAGAGGTTTTTCCATGATTTCAAAGGATTTGCCAAGGATGAGGAGGTTGCAAAAGTCAACAAGGCTGTGGTTCAGATGGCAAACAACTCTAATCTGGGTTTGGCTGAGGATGGCATTGAGGAGCTCCTAAAGGAATGAGGAGTTATTGGAACTGGGACAGGAACACCTAGCTGAAGAAGGGGCAAGAGCAAAGGGAGCTGCTGGAGAAGGAAAAGAACTCTCAGGAAAACTCACAGTGAAAAGGTTGACAGAAGCTTCTGCAGACTTCAGCAAACTCCTTAAGAAGTTTGAAAGAAGGAAAAGAACTCCCAAGAAAACTCACAGTGAAGGGGTTAGCAGAAGCTTCTGCAGACTTCAGCAAACTCCTTAAGAAGTTTGAAAGAAGGAAAAGAACTCCCAAGAAAACTCACAGTGAAGAGTTTAGCAGAAGCTTCCGCAGATTTCAGCAAACTCTTTAAGAAGTTTGAAAACATGGACACCCAACACCAAAAGGTTTTTATTAACAGACAGAAATGTTCATGGTGCATTATCTGTTTATAGGGAAATCTATGTTAAAGAAAAGAAACAAACCAAGCAAACCACCATGGACATATTTCTGAAAAGAGTGACCCCACCTCAAGAAGATCTCAGGAGGGTCCTTCAGGAGGTACCCAGAAGAAGACATTGTTATCACAGGGGATAATGCGTGTGTTACTGCCCCTGAAGACCTTCCAATGAGACAAAATGTGGAGGTGGAGGACAGTGACATTGATGATCCTGACCCTGTGTAGGCCTAGGCTGATGTGTGTGTTTGTGTCTTCATTCCTAATAAAAAAGCTGAAAGAATTTTTTAAATTTTTTTAAATTAAAAATAAAAGGCCAGGTATGGTGGCTCATGCCTTTAATCCCAGCACTTTGGGAGGCCGAGGCAGGCAGATCACCTGAGGTTGGCAGTTTAAGACCAGCCTGACCAACATGGAGAAACCCTGTCTCTACTAAAAATATGAAAAACATTAGCCGGGTATGGTAGAGCATGCCTGTAATCGTAGCTACTCAGGAGGCTGAGGCTGGAGAATCGCTTGAACCCAGGAGACAGAGGTTGTGGTGAGCCGAGATTGTGCCATTGCACTCCAGCCTGGGCTACAAGAGCAAAACAACGTCTCAAAAAAAAAAAAAGAAAGAAAGAAAGAAAAGAGCTTATAGGATAAGGATACAAAGAAAGACGATAGGCCGGGCATGGTATTTCACACCTATAATCCTAGCACTTTGGGAGGTCAAAGCGGGTGGATCACCTGAGGTCAGGAGTTCGAGACCAGCCTGGCCATCATGGCGAAACCCCGTCTGTACTAAAAATACAAAAGTTAGCCAGGTGTGGTGCCAGGCACCTGTAATCGCAGCTACCCAGGAGTCTAAGACAGGAGAATTGCTTGAACTCAGGAGGTGAAGGTTGCAGTGAGCCAAGATTCACACCACTGCACTGCAGCCTGGGTGACAGAGCGAGACTCTGTCTTGCAAAAAAAAAAAAAGACAATATTTTTGTACAGCTGTACAATGTGTTTTAAGTGTAATTACAGAAGAGTCAAAAAGTTAAAAAAATAAAAAGTTGATAAAGTAAAAAGTTATTGGAAGCTAAGGTTAATTTGTTATTGAAGAAAACAATTTTTATAAATTTACTGTAGCATAACTGCAGTGTTTATAAAGTCTATAGTAGTGTACAGTAATGTCCTAGGCCTTCACATTCACTCACCACTCACTCACTCACTCACCCAGAGCAACTTCCGGTCCTCCACTCCTTTGGGAGTTCGGTCTCCCAAAGCGCTGGGATTACAGGCGTGAGCCACTGCAAATGACAGCAACTCCAAGCTCCATTCATGGGAAGTATCCTATATACCATTTTAAAAAATATTCTAGGCTGGGCACGGTGGCTCACACCTGTAATCCTAGCACTTTGGGAGGCCGAGACAGGTGGATCACCTGAGGTCAGGAGTTAGAGACCAGCCTGGCCAATATGGTGAAACCCCATCTCTACTAAAAATACAAAAATTAGCCAGGCATGTGCTGCATGCCTATAATCTCAGCTACCCCGGAGGCTGAGGCAGGAGAATCACTAGAACCTGGGAGGCAGAGGCTGCAGTGAACTGAAATCATGCCACTGCAGTCCAGCCTGGGCGACACAGCAAGACTCCATCTCAAAAAAAGAAAAAAATTCTATACCATATTTTTGCTGTGCCTTTTCTATGTTTAGATATGTTTGGATACACAAATACCTACCACTGTGTTACAGTTGCCCATAGTAAAATGCTGTGCCGGTTTGTAGCTTAGGAGCAGCAGGCCATACATATAGCCTAGGTGTGGAATAGGCTGTGCCATCTAGGTTTGTGTAAGCACACTCTGTGATGCTCCCACAATGATGAAATCGCCTAAAGACACATTTCTCAGAACGCATCCCCCTCATTAAAGGATGTATGACAATATATCTGCGATATAATGTGACAAAAATGGCACTTTACTTTTGTGGTCTTCCTCCCAAAAACCCACAATCCCAGTCTAATCATGAGAAAAACATCAGACAAATTCCAGTGGAGGGACATTTTGCAAAAATGTCTGACCAGGACTCCTCAAATGACAAAGTCATCAAAAACAGGGACAGTATTACTCAGGTGTGGTGGCCATGCCTGTAGTCCCAGCTACTCAGAAGGCTGATGCAGGAGGATCGCTTGAGCCCAGCAGTTCGGGGCTGCAGTGAGCGATAATTGTGCCATGAGCTCCAGCCTGGGTGACCGAGCAAGACCTTATCTCTAAAATAAAAATAACAATTAAAAGTTAACTTTATTTGGCCGGGCGCGGTGGCTCACACCTGTACTCCCAGCACTTTCGGAGGCCGAGGCGGGCGGATCACAAGGTCAGGAGATCGAGACCATCCTGGCTAACACGGTGAAACCCCGTCTCTACTAAAAATAGAAAAAATTAGCCGGGCGTGGTGGCGGGTGCCTGTAGTCCCAGCTACTCAGGAGGCTGAGGCAGGAGAATGGCGTGAACCCGGGAGGTGGAGCTTGCAATGAGCCTAGATTGCGCCACTGCACTCCAGCCTGGGCGACAGAGTGAGACTCTGTCTCAAAAAAAAAAAAAGAGAGAGAGAGACATCTAAGGACATAAAATGAGAATGAAAGTAAAGAGATGGGAAAAGACATGCCAGGCAAATACTCGCCCACATAAAGCTAGTATAACGTAAGATAAAATAGGACTTCAGGCAGAAAGATAGCCATTACCCAGGCGCAGTGGCTCATGCCTGTAATCCCAGCACTTTGGGAGATCGAGGCGGGCAGATCACTTGAGGTCAGGAGTTCGAGACCAGCCTAACCAATATGGTGAAACCCCATCTCTACCAAAAACACAAAAATTAACCGGGCCTGGTGGTGCACACCTGTAGTCCCAGCTATTTGGGAGGCTGAGGCAGGAGAATTGCTTAACCTGGGAGGCACAGGTTGCAGTAAGCTGAGATCACACCACTGCACTCTAGCCTGGGCAACAGAGACGCTGTCACAGGAAAAAAAAAAAAAGCCATTACTTAACTATTCACCAGAAAAATATCACCTTATAAGCATCTATCGTAGAGCCTCAAAATATATAACTCAGATATTCTCTTTTTCCCAACAGCTTTCATTCTGAAGTAGGCTTCCAAATGAAGCTCTTGATGTCCTCATTTTCCCATTATTTACCTGCTTTCTGTCCTAACCTGAACCATGACATTCTGGAAAATATTCCAAATTTTACTTTACATAACTTTAAGTAAAATTATGAAATCATAGTCACTCCTCTGGGCAAAATATATATGTGTGTGTATATCTTAAAGGCAATTCACATGGAGAATTATCAAGGATACTCTATGTTTAGACTTGAACTCTTGAGTTTGTCATTTAACATTAGCCTGAAGTAAAAGCTCCTAACTCAATGGTTCACTTGCTTACAACTTCCTCCTACTCCAGACTCAAAGGCTGAATTAGACTTCCTCTTTATCAGGAGCTGCACACCACATAGTGCTTAGGGGTTCACAAAAAAAAAAAAAACCTCTGGCGACTTCAAGTCCAGCAGGGATCCAGCCCCCGGTGAGTGTCCACACGGCATCGGGAGGGATCACCTGCAAGAAAGAGGGGGCTTTTTTAAAAAACAAAAAAAGGCGGGGCTTTTTTTTAAGAGACTACAAAAAGAAAAAGGGACTCAGGCGTAAACAAATATGTTTGCAGAGTTTATCAGGAATATGCCACGTTACACATACATGGATTTATCAAGGTAGAGCAAGTTTGGTTAATTAGAAGGTATGAAATGGTGATGAAGGTAGTAAAAGCTGCTGTGGGTGCAGAGGTGAATTCCCTGCTTCCCCAGGCAGCAAAGGAGTGTCAAAAACATGAAGCTGTCAATGACAGCACTTCAAGATCCGCCCGTGCTACCAATTGCACATGACAATGAAATTCCTCCTTAGGCCTGCGGGAGTTTTCTAGAATGTTAAACCCTGACCTTGCAATTCCTGGTTGCAGTCATTTCTAATGTCAAATGAACACGGTTTTATCTTTCACAGGCTAACCAAATGTTGGCTGGACTAATGTGCATTTTACATATTATTTATTTTACATATTACTTATTACTTATTTTACATATTAGTGATTTTACATATTATTACTTATTTTACATATTACTTATACATATGTGTATACACGCATGTATATACTTATACATATATGTATACACACATGTATATACTTACACATATACATATTTGCATATTACTTATTATATTTTACATATTACTTAAGTAATCACCACAAATACAACATATTTTTGGGAAAATGAGTATTCACAACTATATTTTGTTATGTCAAAGGGATTTTGTAAGTCAGAATCAATTAGAATGACTCAGTCATGTAATGCACCACATGTGTACAGGTATGTTTCTAAAAGCTTTAATTTTATTTTTTCATTTCTGTTATTTTTTTGAGACAGGGTCTCATTCTGTTACCCAGGCTGGGGTGCAGTGGCATAATCATGGCTCACCGCAGCCTCCACCTTCCTGGCTCAGGCGATCCTCCCACCTCAGCCTCCGGAGTAGCTAGTACTACAGGTGCTCGCCACCACACCCAACTAATTTTTCTATTTTTTGTAGAGATGGGTTCTTGCCATGTAACCTGGGCTGGTCTCAAACTCCTGAGCTCAAGTGATCTGTCCACCTTGGCCTCCCAAAGTGCTAGGATTACAGGCGTGAGCCAGTTTCTAAAAGCTTTAAAATGGCCGGGCTCAGTGGCTCACACCTATAATCCCAACACTTTGGGAGGCCAAGGTAGGAGGAACACTTGAGCCCAGGAGTTTGAAAACAGGCTAGGCAACATGGCAAGACCCTGTCTCTACAAAAAATTAAAAAGAATTAGATGGGCATGGTGGTGCGGACTTGTGGTCCCCACTACTCAGGAGGCTGAGGTGGGAGGATAGCTTGAGCCCAGGAGGTCGAGGCTGCAGTGAGCTATGATCCTACCACTGCACTCCAGCCTAAGTGACAGAGCAAGACCCTGTATAAAAAAAAGAAAAGAAAAAAGAGTAATTTTTAAAGCTTGGAATCCTTCATGGTAAGAAAAAACTAGCATTTATTAAGTGCCTACTAAAAATCAAGCACTGTTTTATACGTAGTGCCATACTTTGTACTTAACCCTCATAACCACCACACAAGTTATGCATTATGAAAACTAGTTTATATACTGCAACTCAAAGAAGCTAAGTGATTTTCCCAAAGACATAACAGCTGGCAAATGACAGAATTAGGACTTGAATTCACATCTTCCTACACCAACGCCTATATTGCCCAGCATATAACACCCACCCAGTAAATGTTTGAAGAACAAATGTTTAAAAGCCTTAATTTCAAAGGTCTATGAACTGGCTGAGTGTGGTGGCTCATGCCTGTAATTCTAACACTTTGAGAGGCCAAGGTGGGCGGATCAATTGAGGTCAGGAGTTCAAGACCAGCCTGGCCAACATGGTGAAATCCCGTCTCTACTAAAAATACAAAAATTAGCCAGGCTAGGATGGGCACGGTGGCTCACGCCTGTAATCCTAGCACTTTGGGAGGCCGAGGCGGGCGGATCATGAGGTCAGGAGATGGAGACCATCCCGGCTAACAAGGTGAAACCCCATCTCTACTAAAAATACAAAAATTAGCCAGGCATGGTGGCGGCGCCTATAGTCTCAGCTACTCAGGAGGCTGAGGCAGGAGAATGGCTTGAACCCGGGAGGCTGAGCTTGCAGTGAGCCAAGATCGCGCCACTGCACTGCAGCCTGGGCAACAGAACAAGACTCTGTCTCAAAAAAAAAAATTAGCCAGGCTAATTTTTGTTGTGGCGGGCACCTGTAATCCCATCTACTCAGGAGGCTGAGGCAGGAGAATAGCTTGAACCTGGTAGGCAGAGGTTTCAGTGAGCAGAGATTGTGCCACCGCACTCCAGGCTGGGTGACAGAGCAAGACTCCATCTCAAAAAAAAAAAAAGTCTATAAACCAAGACTACCAAATAACTGCCATGAATTCAGTTAGTTATACATAAAGACAAAAAAAAATGTCTAATACCACACCCACACATATATTTAGCTTCAATTTTTTTTTTTTTTAATTTAAGACGCGGTCTTGCTCTGCTGCCCAGTGCAGTGGTACAATTTCAGCTCACTACAGCCTTGACCTCCTGGACTCAAGTGATCCTCCTGCCTCAGCCCTGCAAGTAGCTGAGACTACAGGCGCACAACACTATGCCTGCTAATTTTTTTTATTTTTTGTAGAGACAAGATCTCACCATGTTGCTCAGACTGGTCTCGAATGCCTGGACTCAAGCGATCCGCCCGCCCTCAGCCTCCCAAGTGCTGGGATTACAGGGTGAGCCACCGCACTCGGCCCAAATATTTGTGAACACATTTAAACTCGGTACTTTTACCACTTGATCCTGAGTCATACTTTCAGAATAAAATCATACATCACGACTGAGAGTCAATCCCCATAAAATGGCTCTGCGAAAGGAAAACATGGCCCTTGAATTAACAAGAGCTGTTTATGAAGCCCAAACAAGATGGACAAAAAAAGAGGTGTTGTGAACCAAAGAGTTCTCCTAAACTTCTCTCACCTGTGTTCCCTGAGAATAAAAAAGGGACAATCTTTTTTTTTTTTTGAGATGGGGTCTCGCTCTGTCGCCCAGGCTGGAGTGCAGTGGCGCCATCTCTGCTCACTGCAACCTCCGCCTCCCAGGTTCGTGATTCTCCTGCCTCAGCCTCCCAAGCAGCTGGGATTACAGGCTGTGCACCACCACACTCGCATAACTTTTGTATTTTTAGTAGAGATGGGGTTTCACCATGTTGGCCAGGCTGGTCGTGAACTCCTGACCTCAGGTGATCCGCCCACCTTAGCCTTCCAAAGTGCTGGGATTACAGGCGTGAGCCACCACGCCTGGCTCCAGGGACAATCTTTTTAAAACAAGGAAGTCACAAAGAGGAAAAACTGATTTGCCCCTCCAGAAGATTCACACTTGGAACCACAGAAAGGCTTCACAAAGACCATTTTCCACCCTCCAGGTGTGTAAAGGTGGGGCCACACCCCAACTCCTCCAGTGTCACCTTTACCAGCCACAGGTGTATTTCCCTCTCCCCCTCCCTGGGAACAGACCCTACAGAAGGAACTTCTTTTCCCAATGAACGAATTGCAGAGTTACAGAGTTCTGATGTTTATCTTCATTAGATACTAGAAACGAATGAACCATTTAGAATAAAACCAAACGTCAACATGATACCAAACGGTGCATCTGAACGTGTCCCTGACCTGTGACCTTAGCACACTGAAGGGTGCCAAGGCTCCAACCTGCTCTGCCCCAACCTGTTCTTCTAACTGCCCTAGGTGTGTCCACACGTGTGGTGGGGTAGGTGACTCTAAGAATTTCAGATACTTAGATTGCAAATAATATGAGATAAAGCATAATTCCTCTTAAATAAAGCAGGTGCTCTTTTTAGGAACTCTTAAGTTATTTGAGAAAAAAAAATTACAGTTACAAAGCTTCTAAAAACCATCCCCAGAGCCATAAGATTGTGACATCAAAAATAGTGGAGGCCAGGCATGGTGGGCTCACACCTGTAATTCCAGCACTTTGGGAGGCGGAGGCATGAGAATTGCTGGCATCCAGGAGGCAGAGGCTGCCATGAGCCGGGATCACGCCACTGCATTCCAGAGCGACTCAGGAAAAAAAAAAAAAACCACCAGTGGATGGAAAAATAACTAAGGCCAAGTGCAGTGGCTCATGCCTGTAATCTCAGCATTTGGGAAACTAAGGTGGGGGCATTGCTTGAGCTCAGGAGTTTGAGACCAGTAACACAGCAAAACCCCGTCTTCATTAAAAATACAAAAAATTAGCCAGGCATGGTGGACATGCCTCTAGTCCCAGCTACTCAAGAGGCTGAGGCAGGAGGATGGCTTGAGCCCAGGAATTCGAGGCTGCAGTGAGCTAAGATCAGGCCACTGTACTCCAGCACGGGCAACAGAGTGAGACCTTTTCTCAAAAAATATAAAGAATAAATAAATAAATAATTAGGGCCAGTATTATGCTGAACTCATCCTAAAAATATGTTGTTTTCAGGCATTTACGTGATGCTCAGATCCTCTCCCACATTCCCTCCACTCAATATCAGAGCCTAGCTTCAGTCAGTGGAGAGTTGGAGCAAGAAACTTACCTAGGGGCTAATTAATCAGCGAGTCCTACAGAGAGCCTGCTGCGTGCAAGATGCTGAGCTGGGCCTTCATGGTGGCACCACCTGTGCGGTTCTCCTCCTGGCTTTCGCAAACCTGTCTAGACTCCTTTCCTCTTGCCCCCCTGCCTCTGAAACACAGCATCTCGGGCTGGGCACAGTGGCTCACACCTGTAATCCCAGCACTTTGGGAGGCCAAGGAGGGTGGATCACCTGAGGTCAGGAGTTTGAGACCATCATGGCCAACATGGTGAAACCCTACTAAAAATACAAAAATTAGCTGGGCATGGCGGCACGTGCCTGTAATCCCAGCTACTCGGGAGGCTGACGCAGGAAAATCACTTGAGCACAAGAGGCAGAGGTTGCAGTGAGCTGAGATCATGCCACTGCCCTCCAGCCTGGGTGACAGAACAAGACTCCGTCTCAAAAAAAAAAATTAGCCTATGTGCTGGCGTGCACCTGTAATCCCAGCCACTGCGGACGCTGAGGCAGGAGAATCGCTTGAACCCAGGAGGCAGAGGTTGCAGTGAGCCAAGATTGTGCCACTGCACCCCAGCCTGAGTAGCAGAGCAAAACTCTGTCTCAAAAAAGAAAAAAAAAACATACACACACACACACACATACAGAGCATCTTGCTCTCTGGCACCACTGTCATACCCAACAGCCTCTCCTTCACTTGTGGATCAGCAAACCCCAGCTCATTAACCAAGGCTCAGAGCCAAGACCTCTGTGAAGCCATCTGTAAAGGCCACAGTAGAGTGGCTCCTCGTCCTCTTTCTCCATGTGATGTGGCTTTACAAGCACAGCTAACTTCCCTGTCACACGGCCAGCCCCTTAGAGAAGGGAGGATGCCTTCATTGCCTTCATTAACACAGAGTAGAGTTCCTATAATGACTTACTAAGTCACACTGAGACCTAACGTAAAATTAAACCATAAGGAATCAAGGCATATGGGTTTATTGCTGTACCTTTAAATGAAACCCACAGAGAAAAGTGAAACGATCATCCAGTTTTTTAATAGCAGTAGCATCTCTGAATGTTGTCAGAAATTTTTCCCTTGTGGTTATTTCATTACAATTTAAGAAACTTTAGGAGTGGCATATAAAATATTTTGCCTATCTTTTTTAATTTTTATTTTATTATTTTCTTAATTTTTTTTGTAGAGATGGGGGTTTCACTCTGTTGCCCAGGCTGCAGTGCAGTGGCATGATCATAACTCATCATAGCCTTGAACTCCTGGCCTCAAGAGATCCTTCCACTTCTGCCTCCCAAGTAGTGGGACTACAGGTGCACACCACTACAATCAGCTAATTTTTTTTGGTAGAGACGGGGGCTTGCTCTATTGCCCAGGCTCATCTCAAACTCCTGACCTCAGGCAATCCTCCCACCTCAGCCCCCTAAAGCACTGAGATTATGGGTGACAGCCGCCATGCCTTGCCTATATTTTCTTTCTTATACAATAGATAAAAATGAAATCAGGCTGGGCACAGTGGCTCTCACCTGTAATCCTAGCACTTTGGGAGGCTGAGGTGACAGGATCACGTGAGTCCAGGAATTCAGGATCAGCCTAGGCAACATGGCAAAACCCCATCTCTGCAAAAAAAATTGTAAAAATTTGCCAGGCATGGTGGCACGTGCCTAAAGTCCCAGCTACTTGGGAAGCTGAGGTGCGAAGATCATCTGAACCCAGGAGGTCAAGGCTGCAGTGAGCTGTGATCATGCCACTGCACTCCAGCCTGAGTCACAAAGTAAGACCCTGTCTCAAAAAACGAAATCAAAGTCTCCACCTCCCAAGCCAAACCACAACCCTTCCTGAGCTCCCCACCGTCCCATCTCAGTGGAAGCCCATGGAGCACCATCCAGAGTCCCCAGGTCAGAAGCCCTGGAGTCCACTCTGGATGCTGCACTAGACACTGCCCAGGGCAGCACACCTCTCCTGAAGTGCTCCCTGGGTTTTTCCTCTGTCCCCACTGGCCTCTTCTCTTGGTCTCCTCTGCAGATTTCTAAGGCCCACTCCAAAGGCTGGCTTGGTCCTCAGTCCACACTCTCTCTTGCAGAAAACAATGCAGGTACTCTGCCCAGATTGCCCAGGTTCCTGTATACTATGGCTTTACACACCTTTAGCTGTAATGTGATTTTGGTCCTAATGGCAGCTCCTGGGCCGCTTCCTTTTTTTTTTTTTTTGAGATGGAGTCTCGCTCTGTTGCCTAGGGTGGAGTGCAGTGGCATGATCTTGGCTCACTGCAACCTCCACCTCCCAGGTTCAAGCGATTCTCCTGCCTCAACCTCTCAACTAGCTGGGATTACAGGTACCCACCACCACGCCTGGCTAATTTTTGTATTTTTAGTAGAGATGTGATTTCACCATGTTGGCCAGGCTGGTCTCGAACTCAGAACCTTGGGTGATCCGCCTTGGCTTTCCAAAGTGCTGGGATTACAGTGTGAGCCACTGCGCCTGGCCAACCTCTTCTTTAGAGGACTGCCTTTGGGTTGCCAGAGTCACACCGTCCACAGGCACAGGAGCTAGAAGTGCCTGGGAGGCACTAGCCTTAGCCCAAGGTTAACACGCCTCTGCAGCACCATCTACATGCACAAATGCCCCTGTCAGATCAAACTGAAGCCTATCCACTGTGGGACTCTGGCCTGATAGTACATTCTGCTTGGCTTCCTCCCCTTCCGTATCTGCTTACCACAATGTCTTGTTTAAAATTAATTCATAGTTTTTCAGTAGAGACAGATGTCTCACTATGTTGCCCGGGCTAGTCTTGAACTCCTGGCCTCAAGTGATCCTCCTGCCTCAGCCTCCCAAAGTGCTGGGATTACAGGCATGAGCCACCACACCCAGCCCACGACAATCTCTTACTAGTCTTTGCTGGGACTAGTTCCTTAATAACATCATATTTGCTCAAAAATTATTGTCTCAGGATCTACTTCCAGGAAACTCATTTGGAAACAGGAATGGGGGTGCTAAGGAACAGATTCTTTTTTCTTTTTTTTTTTTTTTTTGAGATGGAGTCTCTCTCTGTCGCCCAGGCTGGAGTGCAGTGGTGTGATCTCTGCTCTCCACAAGCTCCACCTCCCGGGTTCATGCCATTCTCCTGCCTCAGCCTCCCAAGTAGCTGGGACTACACGCACCCACCACCACGCCCAGCTAATTTTTTGTATTTTTAGTCGAGACACGGTTTCATCGTGTCAGCCAGGATGGTCTCGATCTCCTGACCTCGTGATCCGCCCGCCTCGGCCTCCCAAAGTGCTGGGATTACAGGCGTGAGCCACCGCACCCGGCCGCTAGGGAACAGATTCTAAGATGGGATTTTAGAGCTGGATCATTCCCCAGCCAAATGGCAATAGAGTCCCCATTGTCAGTGATGAGTGGATTAATGGCAAGCTGTGCAATTGCTTAACTAATAATCACTAGTACTTTCATCTGTGATGAATTGGCTGAGATACAAAGGAAAAGGAAGCACTGGTTCACGAGCTATATTTCTAGCATTTGATAGACGTGGGGAAGTAGCTACACAGACTCAGAAATCTAATCACTTGTTGTTCAGTGCTATTGAAGCACCGAAGAAAGACCATGACAGGTTCAGGACAGCCAATTATCAACTCACAGCATGGTGTGAAAGTCAGGTGGCCTCTATGGCAGCATTTAATATAGCCATTTTAGCATCCTTTTGATTGGTGTTGCATGATACATCTTTTCCCATCGCTTTAAATTTAACCTATTGATGCCCACATATATATGTATATGTGTGTGTGTGTATATATATATGTGTGTGTGTGTGTGTGTATGTATATGTGTGTGTGTGTGTGTGTGTGTGTGTATATATATATATATATATTTTTTTTTTTTTTTTTGAGACAGAGTCTCACTCTGTCACCCAGGCTGGAGTACAGTGGTGCAGTCTTGGCTCACCACAACCTCCGCCTCCCAGGTTCAAGCAATTCTCGAGTCTCAGCCTCCCGAGTAGCTGGGATTACGGGTATGTGCCACCACGCCCAGCTAATTTTGTTTTTGTTTTTGGGTTTTTTGTTTGTTGTTGTTGTTGTTGTTTTGTATTTTTAGTAGAAATGGGGTTTTGCCACGTTGGCCAAGCTGGTCTCAAACTCCTGGCCTCAAGTGACCCGCCTGCCTCAGCCTCTCAAAGTGCTGGATTACAAGCAAGCAATAGCCACAACGCCTGGCTGATGCCCTTATATTTAAAGTGTTTCTTGCAGGCAGTACATAAGGTTGGGTCTTACTTTTGACCTAATTTGACAATCTCTCCCTGTTAATTGGGGTGTACGCAGCATTTCCATTTAATCTGATTACTGATATGGTTGGGTTTAGAAGTTATCATGTTGCTATTTGTTCTATCTGTCCCATGTGTTCTTTGTTCTTTTGTTCTTCTTTTGTTGCCTGATTTTGGATTGAGCATTTTTTATGAATTCGCGTATCTCCTTTGTTGACTTACCAGCCATAAGTCTTTGTTGTGTCATTTTAGTAGTTGCTTTAGGGCCACCTAATCCATGGAGTAAGATAATTCATGGTAGAATAGGCTAAAAAGAAGCCCCAGAAATTGTCCTTCCTCTGAACTTGATAGTACATTTTTAAAACAATACCATTAGAATGACTTCTGGAACGACAGAGTGAGGACCTCCATGGACTCACTTTAGAGAAATGACCAAAACTGATGAGATTTATTTAAAAAAAAAAAAAAAAGCCAGGCGCGGTGGCTCATGCCTGTAATCCCAGCACTTTGGGAGGCCGAGGCGAGCAGATCACCTGAGGTCAGGAGTTCAAGACCAGCCTGATCAACATGGTAAAACTCCGAATCTACTAAAAATACAAAATTAGCTGAAAATACAAAATTAGCCAAGCATGGTGGTACACACCTGTAATCCCAGCTACTTGGGAGCCTGAGGCAAGAGAATCGCTTGAACCTGGGAGGCGGAGGTTGCAGTAAGCCAAGATCGTGCCATTGCACTCCAGCCTGGGCAATAAGAGCAAAACTCTGTCTCAAAAAAAACAAATGATGATTTAAAGTCTCTGGAAATTGTCCTCATGGCATGAAGCAAATAAAGATGCATTTATTCAAGAAAATCTATTAAATCTCAATAAGAACACTCAGAGTCTGTAGCATTTGAGTCACAACTCACTCCTTCCCTAACCCCCAACTCAGCATGATGAAAGTCCTACCCCTGGCCAGGTGCAGTGGCTCACACCTGTAATCCCAGCACTTTGGGAGGCCGAGGCAGATGGATCATCTGAGGTCAGGAGTTCGAGACCAGCCTAGCCAACATGGTGAAACCCCATCTCTGCCAAAAATACAAAAATTAGCCGGGCTTGGTGGCAGGCAACTGTAATCCCAGCTACACAGGAGGCTGAGGCATGAGAATTGCTTGAACCTGGGAGGCAGAGATTGCAGTGAGCCAAGATCATGCCACAGCACTCCAGCCTGGGCAACAGAGTGAGACCCTGTCTCACAAAAAAAAAAAAAAAACTGACTGTGGTGATGGTTGCACATATTTGTCAATATACTAAAAACCACTGAACTGTATACTTTAAATGACTGAATCGTATGATATGTGAACTATATCTCAATAAAGATGGGTTGCTTTTTTTTAATCTAACGAACTTGATATTAAAAGGTTAAATAAGGCCAGGCACAGTGGCTCACACCTGTAATCCCAACACTTTGGGAGGCGAAGGTGAAAGGATCAGCTGAAGCCAGAAGTTCGAGACCAGCTTGGGCAACATAGTGAGGCCCCCATCTCTACAAAATAAAAAATAATAATAAATAGTAATAATAAATAAAAGATTAAATAAGAAAACAGTATCTTAACCTTTTTTTTTTAAGTACAAAGGTAATTACTAGAACAAAAACATCTACCTTCAGGCTGGCTGCAGTGACTCACACTTGTAATTCTAGCACTTCAAGAGGCAAGGGCAGTTGGATTGTTTGAGGAATGGAGTTTGAGACCAGCCTGGGCAACATAGCAAGACCCCATCTCTACAAAAAATTTCAAAATTAACTAGGAGTGGTGGTACATGCCTGTAGTCCCAACTACTCAGGAGGCTGAGGTGGGAGGATCACTTGAGCC
This sequence comes from Homo sapiens, assembly GCF_000001405.40. Classification (NCBI taxonomy): domain Eukaryota; kingdom Metazoa; phylum Chordata; class Mammalia; order Primates; family Hominidae; genus Homo; species Homo sapiens. The sequence goes on from NC_000019.10 coordinate 34,115,140, forward strand.
CAAGAGTTCGAGGCTACCATGAGGTATGATCATACCACTGCACCCCAGCCTGGGTGACACAGTGAGAGCCTGTCTCCAAAAAAGCAAACAAACAAACAAAAAATCCATCTTTTAAATATCCTAAATATCCAAATACATTTAGAAAATAAAAGAACAAAGAAAATATCAAATAGAGAAGGAAATACAGAAACACATATAACATATATATAACACACATAACAATTATATTATAAAATAATATGACACAATTGAGACTGTTAATACATATCTGTGGGCTTAAGTCCACTGAGAGGATTGACTAGTTTATTAAAAGACAAAGATTCGGCCAGGCATGGTGGCTCATGCCTGTAAAGCACTTTTGGAGGTCAAAGTGGGCAGATCACTTGAGGTCAGAAGTTTGAGACTAGCCTGGCCAAAATGGCAAAGCCCCATCTCTACAAAAAATACAAAAATTAGCCAGGCATGGTGGTGTGTGCCTGTAGTCCCAGCTATTTGGGAGGCTGAGACAAGAAAATCACTTGAACTCGGGAGGCAGAGGTTGCAGTGAGCCGAGATTACGCCACTGCACTCCAGCCTGGGCGACAGAGCAAGACTCCATCTCAAAAAAGAAAAGAAAAAAAAAAAAAGACAAAGATCAAAGATTTCCAGCTTCACTCACAAAGCAAAACTCAGCTATATGCTGTATACATGATTCGCACATGAATGGAAGTGATTGCGAAAGGCTAAAAATAAAAA